>NC_000002.12:118739618-119364618 GCF_000001405.40 Homo sapiens
AAAATAGAGGCAATAGTTAAGGAAGATATTAGAAAAGGTTAGTTAGCAATACAAAAAAGATAAAGCAGGGAGGGAGAATGGGAGCCCTATGTTGGTGGGAGACATTCAAAGATGGCCTCACTGAGAAGGTGAGATTTGAGGAAAGATCTGAAAGAAGTGAGGGAGGGAGCCACACAGACGCTGGCAAGAAGAGTAGTTTAGGTAGAGACAAGCACAGGCTCAAAAGTCGTGGGGCAGAAATGTGCCTGGATTAATGGAGACACAGCAACAAGGGCAGTGTGTCTGGAGGAGACTAGAAGATGAGGTGTAAGAGGTAAGAGGGAAGGTTACACCATGCTGGGAAGGGTCCCTGGAGAGCATGCAGGGGGCCCATGGACTGGGCTGAGAAAAGAATCACAACTGTATTTTCATATCCAGTATGACATGCATGTTGCCTTGCCCAAAACCACCCCATAGTTGAAAGTTTTTATTCAAACAAGCAACTATAACTTTCACCCTAATCAGTCTTTTAAAATATACTTTAACACACTGATTTTTAAGCATTTTAGTTGCATACTACATTAATAACAAAATGCATACATTACTATATCCAAATTTTGTTTTTTAATAGCTTAATAACTACGTTCCAATATAATTAGCGTTATGGACAGAATGTTTGTGTCTCCCAAAATTTATATGTTGCAGCCCTAACCCACAATGTTGTGGTATTCGGAGATGGGGCTTTTGGGACGTAATTAAGACATGAAGGTGGGGCTCTATTCCTAGGATTAATGCCCTTTGAAGAGGAGGGAGAGAGCAGAGGCCATGAAAGAATACAGCAAGGCG
Source organism: Homo sapiens (assembly GCF_000001405.40). NCBI lineage: Eukaryota > Metazoa > Chordata > Mammalia > Primates > Hominidae > Homo > Homo sapiens. The sequence continues at coordinate 118,740,444 of NC_000002.12, forward strand.
GCTGTCTGCAAGCCAGGAAGAGAGCCCAAACCAGAACTTGACTATACTGGCAGCCTGATCTCAGACTTCCAGCCTCCAGAACTGCGAGAAATACATTTATTTTGTTTGTCACTCAGTCTGTGATATTTTGTTGAAGTGTTTCAAGCAGACTAAGATGGTTGGTTTCCTTGGAAATTCTTTGTGTTTTTGTGCATTTTAAAACATCCTGAGAAGGGAATAAATGACCTTCATCAGACTACCAGAGGGCTCCAGGGCACACCAAGTTTAAGAATCCCTCCTTATGGAATCTTTTGAGTCATTCCAAGAACATAGACTTTTATTCAGATTGGGAAATGAAGTGTTGGGGAGGTGAGCAGAGGCATCTTTCAAGCTGACTTAGGCCTGCCGATAGGATCACAATAACTTCTGAGTTGAGAGTAGATTTTGGTCAAAGGCAAGAAGACCAGTTAGCAAGCTACTGCAATAATCCAAGCAAGAGATGACAGTGGCTTTGACTAAGGTGATATTTTTACTTCTCCCAAATCAAATATACACTATGAAACGAGAGAACAAGACCAAGTATGAGAAATCACCAAGGGATTAATGCCTGCAGAGATAATTGAGAGGTGACTGCAGAGTATAGCCAGGGAAGGAGGCAGTGATTGTAGCTGAGTAGCTAGGTACTTCTTTCTGTAAATGGCAATCCTTTCATTGTAAAAACATGTAAAAAGCCATTTATGAGGTGGCCCAATTCAGACAAACAAGACAGTGGAATTACCAGCAATTAATCCCAATTAAGTTAATTCTGAGTACCTGGGCACACCCCTCTCTCAACTCCCCACTCCTTTCCTCTTCCTCCCTAAACTCCACCTATCAAGTGAGATCGGCATTTTTCAAGATTGAACTCCTTCAAAAACAGTTCAACAGGTACAGAATAGTGGCACACTCAGCAAGGCACAGCTGGAGAATCAAAAGTGGGGTTCCCGAGGCATACACTCACGACTGGCTACATAGCTCAAGCAAAGACATATTATGGGGGTAAACATGGAAAGCACTGTTAGGCAATGGGATCTGGGATACCTCACTGCCAGAGCAGGCTTTGCCTGGTCCTTGAGGAATGAACCATCTGGAAGCTTCCTTTAAGCAAGGGAGGCATCTTGCTCAGCTTTGTGGCTCAGTGCCTGGCTTGCAGCCACAGCTCAATGCATGGAGCTCCTGAAGGTGATATGTAAATGAATGGCAGTGGCTATGACCCACAAGGATCGAATCCAGCCTACTGCCTTTTGTACTGCCCACAAGCTAAGAAAGGGTCTTAGAATTTTTAAATGATTTTTTAAAAACAAAAGAAAATTTATCGCAACTACTTCTAATTTTAATTTATGAAATTCAAGTTTGATGTCCACAGTTTGTTTTATTGCTGTAGTTGTTTTGAGACAAGGTTTCACTCTTTTGCTCAGGTTCTGGTGCAAGGGCATGATCATGGCTTGCTGCAGCCTTGAACTCCTGGGCTCAAGCAACTGTTCCATCTTTACCTCCCAAAATACTGGGATTACAGGCTTGAGTAACTACATCAGCCCCATAAAATACAATTTTATTGGAACATAGCCACACTCATTTATTTACATATCATTTGCAGCTGCTTAACGAATTGAGTAGTTGTGACAGAGATCACCTGCTCCACAAAGCCTAAAATATTTACAATCTGGCCCTTTACAAAAAAAACTTTACTGCCACCTGATCTGTGTGAATGGCTCTCCCTAGAATTGTGCAGTGCACAATCTATGCCACCAAACATGGCTGCCTTGGCCCAAGACCTTGGTCCTGGCTCGTTTGGTTTCCACATTGTGCACATCTTACCTGGGCTTAAACCATATGCCTTCTTTTTCATGGGGGACTTTGCACACACTTCTTGGACTGTGAGGAACCCTCCTACCAGGTCTTCAAACAGCAGGGACTTATCCTTCAGCTCTCAGCGCAGATGCCCTCTCCTAAAAGAAGTTTTCCTCACCATTCTCTCAGTGTCATAATTTATTTTCTCCCATTTATCATTATCTGAAATTATGTTGCCTGTGCATGTATAAACTTGCTCAAATCTGTCTTCCCCCACTAGAATGTGCACTCAGCAGATGAAGCACTTGGTCCCATCCCTGCTATATCTCTAGCACCTGGAGTAGTGCCTACCACATGGCAAGAGCCCAACAAATATTTCTCAAATGCATTGAAAAATTCTATGCCAATAGAAACCTTTAAAAATACTTAGGGACATGAGATTTTACTATATTATTCTATTTTTATACATTTTCAAAATTTTTCATTTAAAAAAATCTGCACACAGCCAGGTGTAAACTACCATTCGGTTGTAAAAGCAAAATAAAAATATTTCAAACAGCCGAGCTCACACCTGTAATCCTAACACTTTGGGAAGCTGAGGTGGGCAGATCACGAGGTCAAGAGATTGAGACCATCCTGGCCAACATGGTCAAACTCCGTCTCTACTAAAAATACAAAAATTAGCTGGGTGTGGTGGCATGTGCCTGTAGTCCCAGCTACTCAGGAGACCAAGGCAGGAGAATTGCTTGAACCCGGGAGGTGGAGGTTGCAGTGAGCCGACATCGTGCCACTGCACTCCAGCTTGGCGATAGAGTGAGACTCCATCTCAAAAATATATATATATATTTCAAACAAAAAACAAACAAAAGCCATAGGTAGACAGAGGACAAATTACAGACTTATGGCCTACAACTACTCTTCTGTATCTTTTGCCAAAACTTGGAGCTGGGTATAAGAAATTAAGAGTGTCTCACAAAAAACAAAACAAAACAGTGGAACAGGCAAGAAGGCTCTTTCAACTGCAAATGTCAAAGACTAAATTCAGACTTATTTAAGCAAAGTAAAACAAAACTGAAAAGTCCAAGGGGCACATTCCCTTCAGGTACAGTGGTATCTAGAGGTCAAAACGCTGTATTCAGGACTTGGCCTCTCTCAGAGTGACTGGGCTGGCCTGGCTTTACTCTCAGACAGGCTCTCTGTGCTGTTGCAGCTCTCATGGTACTAGAGAGAACCATTCCCATTCCTACCAGGACTGTCATAAAGCCCCAGGAGGACTCTGGCCTAGCTTGGGTCATGTGCTCCTTCCAAACCCATCACTAGGCCAAAAAGATGCAGTCCTTGGGTCAGCCTGGGCCATGGTCAGGGAATAGAAAGTAAGGGAGTGGCAGCCAGAGCCTGCCCAACCCAAAACCCACCAACAGAACAGGAATATTGTGATACACCACAGGAAGAAGGGTGTATTAGTCTGTTATCATGTTGCTGCTAATAAAGACATACCCAAGCCTCGGTAATTTATGAAGGAAAGAGGTTTAATTGACTCACAGTTCCACATGGCTGGGGGGCCTAACAATCATGGTGGAAGGTGAATGAGGAGAAAAGTCATGTCTTACATGGCAGAGGGCAAGACAGTGTGTGCAGGGGAACTCCCCCCTTATAAAACAATCAGATCTCATGAGACTTAATCACAATCACAAGAACAACATGGGAAAGACCAACCCCCATGATTCAATTACCTCCCACCAGGTCCCTCCCATGACACATGGGAATTATGGGAGCTACCATGCAAGATGAGATTTGGGTGGGGACACAGCCAAACCATATCATTCTGCCCTTGGCCCCTTCCAAATCTCATGTCCTCACATTTCAAAACCAATCATGCCTTCCCAACAATCCCCCAAAATCTTAACTCATTTCAACATTAACTCAAAAGTCCACAGTCCAAAGTCTTATCTGAGACAAGGCAAGTCCCTTCTGCCTATGAGCCTGTAAAATCAAAAGCAAGTTAGTTACGTCCTAGATAGTATGTGGGTAGAAGCATTGGGTAAATACAACCATTCCAAATGGGAGAAACTGGCCAAAATGAAGGGGCTACAGGCCCCGTGCAAGTCTGAAATTCAATGGGGCAGTCAAATGTTAAAGCTCCAAAATGGTCTCCTTTGACTCCATCTCTCACATCCAGGGCACTCTGATGCAAGAGGTGGTCTCCCACAGCCTTGGGCAACTCTGCCCCTGTGGCTTAGGGTATAGCCCCCCTCCCAGCTGCTTTCATGGGTTGGCATTGAGTGTCTTCAGCTTTTCCAGGTGCATAGTCCAAGCTGTCAGTGGATCTACCAGTCTGGAGTCTAGAGGACAGTGGCACTCTTCTCACAGCTCCATTAGGTGGTGCCCCAGCAGGGACTCTCTGTGGGATCTTGCACCCAACATTTCCCCACTGCACTACCTTAGCAGAAGCTCTCCATGAGGGCCCTGCTCCTGCAGCAAACTTCTGCCTGGACATCCAAGCATTTCCATACATCTTCTGAAATCTAGAAATTTCCAAACCTCAATTCTTGACTTCTGTGCACCTACAGGCTCAACACCATGTGAAAGCTGCCAAGGTTTGGGGCTTGCACCCTCTGAAGCCATGGTCTGAGCTGTACCTTAGCCCCTTTTAGCCACAGCTGTAGCAGCTGGGACACGCAGGGTACCAAATCCCTAAGTTGCACACAGCGGGGGGCCTAGCCCATGAAACCATTTGTTCCTCCTAGACCTGCAGGCCTGTGATAGGAGAGGCTGCCATGAAGGTCTCTGACATGCCCTGGAGACATTTTTCCCATTGTCTTGGTGATTAACGTTCTGTTCCTTGTTACTTATGCAAATTTCTGCAGCTGGCTTAAATTTCTCCCCCAAAAATGGGTTTTTCTTTTCTACCTCATAATCAGAATGCAAATTTTCCAAACATTTATGCCCTGCTTCCTATTGAATGCTTTGCTTAGAAATTTCTTCCACCAGATACCCCAAATCATCTCTCTAAAGATCAAAGTTCCACAGATCTCTAGGGCAGGGTCAAAAACCCACCAGTGTTTTTCTTTTCTTTTCTACCTCATGGTCAGAATGCAAATTTTCCAAACATTTATGCTCTGCTTCCTATTGAATGTTTTGCTGCTTAGAAATTTCTTCCACCAGATACCCTTAATCATCTCTCTAAAGATCAAAGTTCCACAGATTTCTAGGGCAGGGGCAAAAACCTACCAGTGTTTTTGCTAAAGCACAGCAAGAGTCACCTTTGCTCCAGTTCCCAAGTTCCTCATCGCCATCTGAGACCACATCAGCCCAGATTTTATTGTCTATATCACTATCAACATTTTGGCCAAAGCCATTCAACAAGTCTCTAGGAAGTTCCAAACTTTCCTACATTTCCCTATCTTCTTCTGAACCCTCCAAACTATTCCAACCTCTGCCTGTTACCCAGTTCCAAAGTCACTGCCACATTTTTTGGTATCTTTACAGCAGCAACCCCCTCTGCCAGTACCAATTTACTGTATTAGTCTGTTCTCATGCTGCTGCTAATAAAGACATACTCAAGACTGGGTAATTTATAAAGGAAAGAGATTTCATTGACTCACAGTTCCACATGGCTGGGGAGGCCTCACAGTCACAGCGGAAGGTGAATGAGGAGTAAAGTCATGTCTTACATGGCAGAGGGCAAAAGAGTATGTGCAAGGGAACTCCCCCTTATAAAACCATCAGATCTCATAACACTTATTCACTATCATGAGAACAACATGGGAAAGACCCACCCCCATGATTCAATTACCTCCCACTGTGTCCCTCTCATGACACGTGGGAATTATGGGAGCTACAATTCAAGATGAGATTTGGGTGGGGACACAGCCAAACCATATCAAAGTGTTTCCCCAAAGCAAGAGATGCTGGACTGCACACAGGACACAGGGAATGGGTCTTGCTGCCAGGTCCAGCCTTCTGACTATAGACCAGAGGAAGACAAAGACTTGTTCTGGGGTAGAGCCAGGTAGATGGGTTCCCAGCCAAAGAGTATTCAGCTCAGAACCTGTCCTTGTGTCAATCTTGGATAGTATTAGGTGACTTGGGACAAGGAACAAGGCCACTTTGCTACTCAGAACCACAGTGGAGAGAACAAAGCAAAAATTCAGTTACAGGAACAAAGTCGGTGCCAAGGGCATTTGTGGGAGAGGCCAGAACTTTGACTCAGTGTCATTCCCAGTGCTCAGGGACTGTCTTTTGTGTCTGCAGATCCAGGGCTGCGTAGACACTAAAGAAAAGAAGAGATGGAGTGACCGATGTGAGTACCTTCTCACCTGTCCAGGTTTAGGACCTGGAAGTCAGCCATTATGGGACCTCCATACATTCTACAATTTGTCCCTGGGGACAACTAAGGCAGAAGGAGTTTGAGACAGATGTGCACAGTCAGAAAGAACATGCTGGAGGCCTTAGAAAACAAAGGAGAAAGAGAGAAATAGTTTAAAAAGGAAGGAAATTGGGGTTCATTTTCTTGTTTCTCCTCTCCTGATTAGCTTTCTTTACAAGGGAGAAAGAGATGCCTTCCATACACATAGGTCTGTGGTTTTCTCATCTATAGAAAAGAAAGAGTAACAGCATGTACCTTGTCGGGTTATCGTATGGGATGAAGGAGATAATTCACGTAAAGCAATGAGCACAATGCCTAGCATATAGTAAGCATTTAATAAATGTTTATTTTTCAGGGGTTAGAGTAGTAGTGATATTAACTATGAACAGGGAGTGAATGAATGAATGAGCAGATGAATTCATTCACAGGTAGCTCACATGGCACCCTTCAAAATGACATATCCCTATTACTTACACAAAGCAGAGTTCCTCTTATTATTTTTCTAGTTAACCCAAAAAAAAATCCAATTTGAGCAAACTCTCCATCAGCCTCTTGTTGCATCCTGTGCAAACGGCTTTCTTAATTAAAAGATCTTAATCACAGCACAGCTTTTCCCGCAGAGCCTTCCAGGAGGAGGCAGGATCTGCCTGGGCAGGTCTCGTGAAGCATGCAAGTGAGGGAGTCATCTACCTCTGCAGGCGCCTCGGAAAACCCACAGCACAAAGCTCTCTCTTCCCCAAATCTGTTTCCACCTTCCTTGCTAGCATCATCACTCCCCTTCTCTTTCTTACAGTCTCCATTCTCTTTGATACTCACTTTCTTTCTTCATCACCCCCCTGGCACCTCTGTTTTAGCCTCTTTCATTCTAACACTTGGACATCCCGACCTCTGTGTTTCCCTCCACCTCTTCCTCTTCCAGTGGTTCTAGGTGTCCAGGCTGGTGGCAGGTGCTGCTTCCACAGGCTTTGGAGTTGGTTTGTATGGAGGCTCCTTCACAAACCAACATGTTGCTTGGTGGGTGATTTCATCCTTGGATAACCCTTGGGCTTCTACCTGGGGCCTTTCTTCTAGTTCTTCCTTACACAGTCTTCATACCCACACCTCTTCTGCCTCCTTCAAGACAGACCATGATGATGCTGATGGTGAGGATGATAAAGATTGCTAAGCCCTCCCACCTTGCACAGAACACCCCCCAACCCACAGACTCTGGAAACCTCCTATGCACAGTCACATTGAGCCCTAGCTGGCCCATGACTGGGCAGCAGTTCTCAGAGCCCCAGCACCATGAATCTATTTGTATCTGCCTCCTTCTCCCTGGAAGCAGGTGGGGAAGTGCTGTGTGACCAAAACTGGGTTGGCTTTCCATGAGGCCATATTTGAATTGAATCTGTAGGATGGCTTCATTTCACATACACTGGGCCAAAGGAGTGACATGACCACAGTTTATAAAAAGGCAGAGTTTGGTCCAGATGTCCAAGAGAAGGTAGATGAACAACTAATTTGGGGAGCCTGAAACAAGGGTCAAGGTTGAAGTCACGGAGCTGGTTGTTGAGCTCTGGGATCTGGCAGGTGGGGAGGACCCACAGCCAGTTCCAGAAGGCCAGGAATGGGTCTTGATGACCTTCTCCTGTACTGATATGAATGAGGATAGGCCACCAGGGAGTGTGAGTCAGGTGCAGGGGTGAAGGAGGGGACAATATTTTAAATATAAAAAAACCAACAAAGTTCTCCTATTCCACTGTGTTTCATATATTTTTGAGCCTCAGAACCTTCTTCAAACAAAATATTGTGCAAAAGCCCCAAACAGATGTTCTCTGACTTATTTCATCATTCAGTTCATAGAGGCCTTGCCTAGCTTATATAAGTCATCATTTTGTAGGTCAAAAATGGTAGTAGGGTGGCAATTTCATTCTGTTGGACCTAATAGAAGTGCTTCAGAATACATTTCTATCAATTTCATATCAGCAGTAGCAGTCACACCACCACTTTTATCTCTTAAATCCAAGGAACCACAAAGTTTGCACTGAATTCACTGTCCTCTTCCTTCCGTGAACATAAACAAACTTCCAGTGCTGGCTTGGATAGTGGTTTTCCGGTCACGACCAGAACATGATAAAAAGGTGAAACACAGGCTAGATGGAGGAAACATGAGCAGATGCTCTGAGAATTCACACTGTCCCAGAGATCAACAGGGGAAAAGTGTGAATTTGTGTAGATGTTATTTCTTTCCTGCATAGAACTATTTTCATCAGGTGGAATTTGTGCAAGTGAATGCTTCATAATCTGGGATTGTCTCTCTATATAGAGAGATGAAAAATAGATGATGGAAAGGTGAAAAGACAACAGAAGTGGAATAAGGAGGGTTGTAGGAGGCCCTGCCCATTGCTTTAAGCCCAGATGTCCCTCAGGCTCTGGTGTGGCCCCTGGGGCTCACTGGAAGAAAACCGGGAACGCCAACCTCAGGCAGACAGAGTGAATATATTTTAGATTTTCTTTGTAATTAAACATGTCTTACATATTATACAAGCAATAAAAATTCATTGTATAATAGAGTAGAAAATACAGATTAAAAAGAAAGATACTTCCCGTAAAGAAAATGTGAACATTTAGATACATAACATACATATATTTTTAAACAAAATCAGGGTTATACATATTTATTCACTATAACCCTTTTTTCATTCAATAATGTATTCTGACCATGTATTCATATCAATCAATATGCCTCCACATCAATACTCTCAATTACTGTGTGATGATTCATCGTATGGAATAAACGATCAATTATTTAACCACATGTCCACTGTTGAATGTGTAGGGGTTTTATTTCCTTTTTTATTATAAACACTATGTTGATAAAGATCCTTATATACACATCACTTATTATTTGCTGAATTATTTCCTCATAAAATTAGAATTGTTGGACCAAAATGACACATACTGGGGTGGACACTGTTGTTTAGCTGACCAAGCCACCATCCACAGCCCCTATTCCAGGTAACATGGTGTGTTAATCACGTCTCTTATTTTCTGTATTCTGATGCTTTGATATCTGCGGACTTGCTGATCCTGGAGGGACAGCCCCTCCAAGGGTTAGTCGATTCCTAGAGAGCATAAAGAGTGCGCCTTCAAGCATACTTTTCAGATACACACCAACCAATCCAAAGCCACACCTCAGCAACCCCCTCTATCAGCTCTCACACCCTAGGTGATCATCTCCCTGCCCCAGTCTCCCCAGGGCCCATTACCACGCATCCAGGGATGGCCCCTATGCTCCACGGCTGGTCAAGTTATTCAAGCTAGCCCATGCCAACCCTGCTTACCCTGTGTTGCCCACTCCTTCTTGCAGGAACCACAGTAAAGGCTCTTACCCTTGGCTCTCCCTTTCCCCTCAGCCTCCTGACCAACCCCCACATGGCCCTGTGTGGCATCCCGTGCCCCCTCCTCTTGGGAACTGTAACAAGCTGTCTTTTCAATGGCAGCAGTCTCCTAATCTGTTGGCTTTATCGTACCTGAACTCTTCCATTAGCACACTATATTTTAAAACACATGACGGGGTCAGAACAGGTCTGTCCAACTCCATTTCCTTTGTGACTGGAACGGAGCCTGCAGACAGAAAGCCTGTTGTTGTGCAGTGTGTTTGGGGGTGACTTTCTCTGCAGTAACAAGGTAACAAGAGGAGGGCCTGAGCCAGAATTGGCAGTAATCGGACAGGCTTATCAATAGTTCTGTGCCCACCACCTTCTCAGGTTGCATCTCTATCTGCCCCTCCCTCAAGTGGAGGCCATGGAACATCCTTTCCTCCCACATCTTGCCAGCTGGACTCCCATATGCAACATGGACTCCTCCCCCAATCCCCTCCAACAGGCAGACTTCTTGAACGCGCACCTTGTTGTAGCAACGAAAGTATGGCTTGAATACATGAGCATGAGCAAAAGTCAGAATATAAAGAGAGCAAAAACAATGCTTTTGACCAAACAAGTTGGTGGTATTGGAAGCAGTGCAGAAACATGATGAAAGCACGGGTGTTAGAGCTAGGCAACCTAAATCTAATCCAGCTCTGCTCCTGATTTTGTGAGCTTTGGAAAATTTCTTAGACTCATTGAGTGTTCCCTCATCTCTGAAATGAAAACGAAATCCTGTCTTATAAGGTTGTCATCAGAATTGAAAGAAATCATGCATGTAAAGCACTCTATTAGTCAGGATTTTTTCAGTTGCATAAGACCCAAATTAAGCCCCAAAGGAAATTTATTAAATCACATAATCTGAAAGCCCAGAGTAAATTAGCTTCAGGCCATGCTGGATCCAGGGGCTCTAAGAATGGGACTAGGACTTGGCCTGTTGCACTTGGCTTGCAGCCCTTTCAGAGAAGTTTTCTGCCTATAAGGCCCAATCTGCCTCTGGAAGCCCCAAACCTGCATTTTCCCTATGGCTTGTGATGGTAGAGCAAGGGTGATTAATCTCACAAGGGACTCAGTAAAAGTCCTAGGAAGGTTTCTGACTGGTCTAGCTTAGCTCACATGCCCAGCCCTAAATCAATCATCTCTGTGGTCAGGGCTGGCCTCGTGCCCACCTCTGGTGGGAAGAGAGGTGTACACCAACAAGAAGTCTGAGGCAGTTTCCTGAAGGTAGGGATGTTGAGAACAAAACCATTTGTTTGCTACAAGTTTCAGCAGAAACTGGAATAGAATTTACTAGCTGGCACCCTTTGGACAAACTTCGGCCTGCCAACACTCTGTGTGGCTTACACACAGTGGTCAAAAATGGATACTAACCATGTCCAATAGTGCTGCAAGGAGGATAAATGATCACAGCTCTCATGAAGGGCAGTGTGGCAATAGCTATCTAAATTTAAAATGCATGTGCTTTTGACCCAGGAATTCCACTTCTAGGAATCTATCCTAAAACCCACTCACACGCACATAGTTCTGGGAAATAACTGCACAGATTGTTATTTATTGCAGTACAGTTTGCGGGAGCAAAAGACTGGAAACTACCTAAATACCCACCAATAGATGATGGGTTAAAGAAACTATGATACCCCAATTCAAAGGAAGCATGGAAGTGATAAGAAAAATAAAGAAAAAAAACCTTTATGGACTGATGTGGAGCAATCTGCAAAATAATTTGTTGAGTATAAGAAGCAAAGTGCAGTATAGGGCAAACAGCATGGCCCAACTTATCTAAAAGATGGAGAAATCTGTATGTGGTGTGATGCTGGCTTTCATGTGCCCAGAAGCATTCACAAGAAACTGGTAACCTTGGTTGTAGGCGGGAAAGAGAACAGGAGGAACAGCTCTGGGGTATATGGTGGAAGGTGGACTTCCTGCTGAATACTACCTTTGATTAATTTATATTTACATTATATTTTGGGACTGTGTGAATATAGTACCCATTTAAAAGTAAAATAAAAACTTTATTACCCCAAAAAAGGTAAAATAACAATTCATAAGGCTGAGGTTTTTATTTGGGATTCATACACAGCCTGGAATCTCAAAGGAAAAATATCTCAAAATGTTGACCTCTTCAGTTCCTCCTTCTTGTGGCTAATTATCTGGTCCTTTAAGAAACACAGAGGAGACCAGGCATGGTGGCTCATGCCTGTAATCCCAGCACTTTGGGAGGCCAAGGTGGGTGGATCACCTGAGGTCAGGAGTTCAAGACCAGCTTGGCCAACATGGTGAAACCTTGTCTCTACTAAAAATGCAAAAAATAGCCGGGCGTGGTGGCTCGTGCCTGTAGTCTCAGCTACTGAGGAGGCCGAGGCAGGAGAATCGCTTGAACCCAGGAGGCAGAGGTTGCAGTGGGCCAGAGATCGCACCACTGTACTCCAGCCTGGGCGACAGAGTGAAACTCTGTTTCAAAAAAAGAAAAAAAAGAAAGAAAGAAAAGAAACACAGAGGAATGATTTCCACAAGATGAAGTGAACCGGGGATGCCTTTCTGATAGGAAATTCTGTCTGGTTCTTGAAGGATGAATAAGGGCCCAGCATGTGGAGGAGGAGGAGGCGCTTCCAGCCAAGGGGAACAGCATGTGCCTAAAGCCTCAGCATTAGCAGAAAATATATCAGAGGATGAGGCTAAATTCCAAGTAGCTGGGAGTAGGGGCAAGGAGAGACAGGGAGAGTGGGCAAGGCTGGGGAGGCCAGCAGGGGTCGGTTGCCAGGAGAAGGTATCTTAGGCGGCAGGGGTCAGGCTAAGAGGAGCTACAGGTAGTTCTGTGCTAGGCAGTGTCCTGCACTGTGCCCAGCAAGGTTTAAGGAAGCCAGGTCTGGCCAAACCACAGCCTGGCGGCGGGGGGAGCTAATGACAAAGGTGGCCAGCACCAGGGACCAAAACCACTCTCTCTTTGGTGGCTTTATCTTCTCCGGCCAGCATTTGTGGCCTTCCAGTTATAGTCTGCTGCCTTAAAAAGGAAAGCTCCCGAGGAAGAAGCCAATTACCCTGCCCCCTCAGAGCCAGCTGCATTTATCCCTCCTCCTCCAAGCCCTGGTCTGCAGTGGGCGGTGGATGGTGCCACCCAGGGCAGGAGCCTGGCCTTTTCCCCTTTGCGGCCATGGCATCTTCTGTTTCTGGAAGACACTAAATTGCGTGGCAAAGCTGGGAAGAAGCCCAGCCGTCCCGATGCCCGCCCCTCAGGCTCCAAGGCTCTCTTTGCCCTGCTCTGCCTCCTCACAGACCCTTCTTCTCACATTGTCTGTCTGCGCTTCCCATCACATCCTGTCCCAGACATGAATTACCCTGACCACAGGGGTGACTCGGGCAGCCAGATGACCCGTAGGCCCTGTGTCCCACCAGGGGTAGCGACTAAAAACAGCAGTGAGAGGTATTTCTCTCCCCCACAGGGCACCTGACTGTCAGCCGGGAAAAGCGTGCTGAGCAGAGCATCGGGAAGCAGTGAGCAGTGATTCAGAAAGGGCCTGGGACCCCCAAAATCCCATCTCCCAAGCCAGCCCCAGCTCTGCCAGGAGGCAAGCCTGGCTGGCCTGCCACCGGGGGCTTTGATGTTCTAAAGGTTCAATTTAAAAGGACTTCTCACAATAACATTGTATTGCTTTTTAAAAATTACATAGGTACTCCATATTGACTATTTTTAAAAATCACAATATAGAAACAAGCAAAAGAGCAGCAGAGAACCTAAAACAACCCATAATCTGGCTATCCTATAATAATTGATGTTTATTATTTTGGTATATATCCCTAAGACTTTTTTGTTTCTAAAATAGAATCATATGGCATATTTTATTTTGTAACCTGATTTTCCACTCACTCTATCATAACCATTTTTCTATGATATGAGATAATCTTCTGTGGCATTGTGTTTGATGGGCTGGACAGAATGCGTAGTTGAAATATACCATGGAGTATCTAACCAGCAGCCTCCTTTCCCCACTATTATTAGTTCATTCCAATTTTTTGCTGTTGTAAACAGTGCTTCAGGGAACATCCTTATACAGATACTTTTCATGTTTGCCCAATTACTTCCTGTATGATAAAATTCTAGAAGGGAAACTTCTGATCAAGGGGCATGTGCTATCATAGGCATTTGAATGATCTAAATATTAGAAAGTGGATTTTCCTTATGGAACTAAATTCCACCCTAGCAGCTCATCAAAGTGCTATCTTCTCACCCTGAGAAGAGAGCACTAACTACAGGTCACCCTTAGTAGCTCCTTCCTTGTCCACTACCTAACGCTTCCCCAGGTTACGGGCATTAACGCAGGTCACCCACAGCCAAGGGGCAAGATCACACGTAACATTCCTTAGAACAGCTCTCCAAGAAAAGTTGGCTTGAGGGATTGGAATGCAAATTCAAACCATTCCCCGTGTGCAGCTGGGGTGGGAGAGTGCTGATGTTTGGGTCTGCTGAATCACGGGTATCCGTTGTGGGTCCAGAATATGCTGAGACTCCCACCAGAGACTGGAGCAGACAAAGAGAGGACCTGAAAGTCTAAGGCTTCCTTCTAGCAGAGGCTGGAAAACCTAAAGCTCTGGGCTGCTCATCTCACCTATTACACGCAAATCAGTGTCACATGTGATATAATTGGAACCAACTAAATAAAAATTTGTGTCTACCAAGTCCGAGTCAACTTCTTCCTACCCTTCCGGTGCTTTGGAGTACGTTAAGAATCTGACCTCGCGTGTAGGAACACATGTTCTATTGTTGAACAGTCGTTCCACTGGAGATGTAGCTTCCAAGCCAGCTCAGGCGGGAATCCATGTGCATACCTTGCCTAAGAGAAATATTCTTGTCACATAAGAACCTCCTATTAATCAAAAATCACATTATGGCTCCTGGAATGAAGTTTCCTTTACTACTCTTTAATAATAAGCTGAGATAAGATAAAATTAGTAATTGCACGTTCTCTTCTGATGGGAGATAATACAAAAGTGGTATAGAAATTTGACTTAAAAGAGTATATTCACTTGGCTAATAGGCTTTCATTATGCGGTCTTTACTTATTCATTCATTACAATTTTTGCCACATATGGAAAACTTTAATTGGAAGTTACTTATTACATTGTTCCTGAGTGTTAGCTGCAGAGGAAAGTTTTCGATAATCAAAGAAGGATGAATGCAATAGAAGCCCGGAATTTTACAGACAGTGAAACCTCCTGAAGTAGACTACCCATACCAACCTCAGGAGAGGGCTTTCTCCTCTGTAGATGACCTTCAGATAAGAGATTAAGGGCTAATTTCATATTGACAAAGCTCAGTTTCCTCAGTGGAGGAAAGGGCAGTAAATGGATGCTAAGTAATATATTAATATGTGTATTTTATTTTACTTTATTTTATTTATAACCCACATTGCAAAAGGCAACTGACTCTCCAGTGGGACTGTGCCCATAGGCCAGGAGAACAATCAGCAGAAGCAAGGCTGTCCCTCCACTTACAGGCTAAATAACAACGTGCTTGTTTCATGAGTTATTTCCAGCTAACAGGTTATGCCATACTTGCTAGTCATTAATGCCTATTAATCAGTTAAGTCATATTTACATTGCTGACATCAGCAAGCCAAACCCAGGCAGCACTTTCACAAGGGAATATTCCTGATCAAGATACCAAGGCCAACAAACATCTAACATAACTCATGTAATTGAAGTCGAAACTTACAGGATTCATTACACAGCTTCAATGGTTCCATGGTTCACAAAATCCCTGGCTGGGGCTTGGTTCTTACCAGGGACACAACTCAAAAGATATGAACTCAGCACCAGGGGGTTCTGTGATCCAGAAAGAACAATGAGCAGCTTTGTGAATTGTGTTTCCACTGGCCCTTACTTATATTGCAAAACAGAAGCATTTGAAGCAAAATGATTTGCCCAAGTTCGTTCTTCAGCTTCCATTTTAACCACTAAAGTGAGAATGTGTTCATTTACACTTGAAAAGTATGTGTGAGCCTCATTCAATCTGTGTAGCAGCCCTACAGGGAAGGCTGGCAGGGACTTCTCACCATCACCATCCTAGAGATGCTGAATCCCAGGGACTAGCTCAGCTGGTAAGTGGCAGCACATGGCAGGTGTCCTGCCTTCCAACTCCTCCCACCCTGCTCCAGAGTGCCAACTGCACCCACTGAGGGAGAAGCTCCACCCTAAACCAGCAAATGGCCCACTTTGAGCTGAACAGAAACGATTTGTGAATCTACTGTTCACTGCAGATTTGACTATTCTTATTCATAGAGCTCAAATCCTTCTTCAGAGAAGATAATCTTGTGTAAAATACTTTCTCTAGCTGAGCTTGAATCTAAACTCTCCTTGCCCCTAAGGTCCCTTTAATGAAACCTCAGGAGAATGATAAAATGAGATGCAGCCATGCCTGTGCAAATTACAGTGGTTCCTCTGTCTCTCTTTTCTCCTATATCACTACCTTTAATGAGGAACATGCCAAGAGTAGCACCTAGTCTTAACACTGACTGGTAAAAACTGCACCAAAATAGAGAAAGCATCCCACTGAGTCCACAGGAATGGTTCACAGGAGTGTGTGCAGGAAAATCCACTGCAGCTGAGGAGGGCCTACCACACTCAGCTAAAGCCGGGTCTTGAACAACAGGAAGAGGCTACCCAAGTGGTCAAATGACAGAAAGGCATTCCAGCAGTGGGCACAGCATGTGCAAATACACAGAAGTTGGAGAAATGTTCAGCAGTTATCAGGGGAGTGGAAGGGACATTTAAAAACCCACCTGCATTCTTCAAGAACAACTCCGTGAACTCACCCCCTGGTGATGGACTATGCCAGGGCCCCATGCATGTTTACTGAATGCAACTGACCATCATCACAGAGGTGGGCACTCGATGCCTTTGCAGCTGTAGCCTGGTCCAGGCTTAGACACCAGAGGAAGGTCATTGTGAAACCCAGATCTACCATTTTACACCAGAGGTCCCTGGAGAACTTTTTTAACTTCTTTCTTCCTCAGTTTTCTTATTTTGAAAATGAGATTAATATCACCTGCTCCGAAAGGTGGTTCAGTTCTAAGCATTTAAAATGTCTATGAAATATCTGAAGCAAAGGCAGCAAGAGCTCCATAAGCAGCAGCTTCACTGCTATTGTGGTTACTGGGGATTTGCTGGGCCTGGAATGCCCTAGAGCTGCACAGACAACACCATCCATTGCACCCTTGCCTGTTGACTTTGAGTGCATAGCAGGGTCTGTTTGGTGGCAGTGCTGTTAATGAAACTGGGAGTTATTAGTCATAAATAAAAAAGATACTTTTTAGACTTTAAAGACTGCTGAGGCTGGGCTCTGCCCGTCTTGATGCCTCACTCTCTTTCACTGTCCAGAGAATCTGGACACCATCTTTTGTCTTCTCTGCTCTCCTGTATGCATGGTTCCATGTGCTTGAAGAATGCACTCTCCATTTATTACTAGTTAGAGCCAAAAAAGAATTACAGAGGTAAGTCTGTCAGAAGGAAGAGTGATGTCACATTCCAAAGACAAATGGGAATATTGTTGAAGTGTTTGCTTTTTGGATTGACTATGCCACCCTTTTGCTACTGTACAGAATGATTGAGAATCTATAGTTCCTGTTTTCCTTCTCTCTGTCTCTCTCATGGACTTCCACTCTTACCAATCTCTTTCAATGGGTCTTTTGAAGTAAGAAAATGAACTTTCTTTACTGCAAGGATGACGATTAACACCCACTTTCATTAACTCTCTACTACCACTCAATAGATCCTGCCATGAACTCAAACTCAGCAGTGAAAGGTCTGTATCCTGGGAAACCTCTAAGTCTCGGGCAAATCCAAACAGTTGGGCAACCTTTCTTTGGTCCCAAGCACAACTTACGAATCCCAACTCTACCACATACTGTGACCTTGGGCAAGTTGCTTACACTTTCACAGCCCCCATTTCTTAGCTGTAAAATCGTGATAATAATACCTATCACACTGTTGTGAATGCTTGTTACATAGTAGGCACTCCATAAATAAATGACAGGTGTTTTCTGTGTTTAGCATCATTTTTATCTCCCTTTTTGACTGTGGTGATGTCTTGCTGGTGAAAACTTTCACCATACCCCATGAAGAGTTCATGCGGATGCTGACTTCCAAGCATTTGTTGACTCCAGTCTCCCAGACAAGAACACCAGCTTTCCATGTTATGTCTCCACCAAACTATTGCAGTCCTCCTCCAAAACCTTGGGCAAGAGACACTGTCCTTCTGGAAGTCTTCCTCGATTCACTCTACCTGCTTTCACTCATACTCTCATTCAGTCTTCTAGCAGGAAAAAGAAAGCACACTCAGATGGGATTCCAAAGAGACTTTAATAAAGAGACAATTCACAGAAGTGTGGCTAGGGCTAAAGGAACCACCACAGGAAATTGAGGCCCCAGGGATTAGCAATGGCAGGAAGCTATAGCCATTCTTGGCCTGAAGGGCATAGTATTCTTAGAACCTGATGAGAGCTGGATCCAGGCTGGAATTGGCCAAACCCAGACAGAAGCAAGAGAGCAAGAAAGCAGGGAGAGGCAGTGTATACATGTTAGCATACATTGTGCCCCTGGGATAATGGGCAGAAAAGGGCAGGGGATGGATCTAGTGGTGGATACACAAATGAAGAATAACAAGCACACCCCTGTTACCCAAGATCCAGCATTAGGTTCTATGAATGAGATAACTGGGAAGAAATATGCTCTTTGAGATACATACATTTGCCATTTGAGGATCTGTTGTCATTGCTATGGTGCAGCACTCCAATATACTCACATGTTCCTTACAAACCTTAGTCCACATCTTTTCCTTCCTATGGATTTCCTTCTAGATTGCAGGACATTTATAATCATATTTATTGAGGACCAATTATGTGCCATGCACCGTGCCTGTGCACTCTCTCTCCCTCCTCATTTGATCCTCACAATGATCCTGCGAGGTCTCACAGTCTTCATTTGAAGATGAGGAAACTGAAGCTTAGAGAAGATGAGAATCTTGCCCAAGATTACTCAGCCAGGATCCAATCCTACCTCTGACTGTAAAGCCAACAATTTTGTGTCACAAGACAAAATATTGCTGGCTTTGCTCAGGCCTTTATTATCTGGTCTGTCTACAAGTTCATTATTGGGAAAACTACTCAGCATCCACCCACCCACAAACCTGAACCCAATATTAATGCAACAGAACACATTGACACTCTGGTATTATCTGTCCTATCATCACCTCCCCAAATCGTGTGATTGGAGCAAACTGCACAATACACATCCTTCACCCGAACTCTCCTTCCACAGGCCTGACACCAGAATAAAGTGGAGACAAGCTTTGTCTACGGCATGAGGGCTCAGTGGTCCAGCCCGCACAGAGAGGATGGATGGTGGAAAGGCAAGAACTGGACTTTTCAGCCTCAGCCACGAGAGGAATTTTCTACTTCCAACTCTGATTTACAGGATGGGGAACTCTCACACAAAGGAAAGAGATTAAGAGATAGAGAAGTCAAATACATACAGCCTACCAAGATTGAACCATGAAGAAATCCAAAACCTGAAGAGACCAATCACATGTAATGAGACTGAAGCCATAACAAAAAAATCTCTCGGCAAAGAAAAGCCTGGTACTCAATAGCCTCGCTGCTGAATTTTACCAAACATTTAAAGAACTAATACCAATTCTTCTCAAACTATTCTGAAAAATGGAGCAGGGGGAAATAATTCCAAACTGATTCTATGAGGCCAATATTACCCTGATACCAAAACCAGAAAAACACACATCAAAAAAAGAAAACTACGGGTCAATATCCCTGATAAACATTGATGCAAAAATTCTCAACAAAATACTAGCAAACTGAATTCATCAACACATTAAAAAGATTATTCATCATGACTAAATAGGATTTATCCCAGGGAAGCAAGGATGGTTCAACATACACAAATCAATTGATATGCTCCATCCTATCAACGGAATGAAGGACAAAAATCATACAATCATTTCAATTGATGCTGAAAAAGTATTTGATAAAGTTCAACATCCCCTCATGATAAAAACCCTCAAAAAACTTGGTGTAGAGGAAACACACCTCAATGCAATAAAAGCCACATATGACAGATCCACAATTAGTATCATACTGAATGGGAAAAAATTAATGCCTTTCCGCTAAGATCTGGAACAAGACAAGGATGCTTACTTTCACCACTGCTATTCAACATAGTACTGGGAGAGCAATCTGATTGCTAGAGCAATCAGAAAATGGAAAGAAAAAAAGGGCATCCACGTTAGGAAGGAATAAGTCAAATTATCCTTGTTTATAGACGATGTATCATCTTATATTTGGAAAAACCTAAAAACTCCACCAAAAAAACTATTAGAACTGATAAATTCAGTAAAGTTGCAAGATATAAAATCAACGTACAAAAATCAGTATCATTACTATATGCCAACAGTTAACAATCTGAAAAAGAAATCAAGAAAGTAATATAATTTACAATAGCTACAAATAAAATAAAACACCTAGGAATTAACCAAATAAGTGAAAGATCCCTACAATGAAAACTATGAAAAATTGATGCAAGAAATTGAAGAGGACACCAAAAAGATGGAAAGATGTTCATGGATTGGAAGAAGCAATATTGCTAAAATGTTTATGCTACTGAAAGCAACCTACAGATTCCATGCAATCCCTCTCAAAATACAAGTGACATTCTTCAAAGAAAAAAAAAATAGAGCAATCCTAAAATTTATATGAAACTACAAAAGACTAAGAATAGCCAAAGCCATCCTGAGCAAAAAGGACTAAACTGGAGAGATCAAACTACCTGACCTCAAGTTACACTACAGAGTCATAGTAACCAAAGCAGCATGATACTGGCATAAAAATAATAATAACAACATGGATGGAACTACAGGACATTATGTTAAGTGAAATAAGCAAGGGACAGAAAGATAAACTTCACTTGTTCTCATTCACTTGTGGGAGCTAAAAATTAAAACAATTGAACTCATGGAGATAGAGAGTAGAATGATGGTTACCAGAAGCTGGGGAGGGGAGTTGGAAGTGGAAAGTCAGGGGGAAGTAGACATGGTTAATGTGTACAAAAATATAATTAGATAGAATGAATAAGATCCAGTATTTGATAGCACAACAGGGTAATTACAGTCAACAATAATTTATTGTACATTTTTAAATAATGAAAAGGTATAATTGGAATGTTTGTCACACAATGAAATTACAAATGCTTGAGCTGATGGATACCCCATTTACCCTGATGTGATTATTATGCATTGTATGCCCGTATCAAAATACCTCATGTACCCCATAATTACATACACCTACTGTGTATTCACAGACCTTTTTTTTTTTTCAAGGTATAGAGGCTGGGCGCCGTGGCTCACGTCTGTAATCCCAGCACTTTGGGAGGCCGAAGCGGGCGGATCACGAGGTCAGGAGATCAAGACCATCCTAGCCAACATGGTGAAACTCCGTCACTACTAAAAATACAAAAATTAGCTGGGCGTGGTGGCACGTGCCTGTAATCCCAGCTACTCGGGAGGCTGAGGCAGGAGACTCACTTGAACCAGGGAGTTGGAGGTTGCAGTGAGCAGAGATCATGCCACTGCACTCTAGCCTGGCAACACAGCAAGACTCCATCTCAAAAATAATAATAATAAAATTAATTTAAATTAAAAAGGGATAGAGAAGCTAAAAAAAAACAAAATCCACTACCAGGTAATTCAAACTATTTAAAAATAAGCAAGATTCTTGTGTCCACGGAAGCTTTTGGGTATGGTTCTGTGGGAAGCTGGGGAGGGAGAGAAGATGAGTTACAAGGATCCTCTCTGGCTTTAATTCTGTGAGTTCTGGAAATTAACATGCTTGCCAGCAGACCCAGCGGCCGGGGGAAGAGGCAATGGCTTGCTATTTTCAACATGCCAACAAAAGAGAAAGTTTTGCGAAACTTTCTGGGAAAGTAATATTGTCCATCTTCCAGCCTCTGAATGCACCACATCGGTTTTGAAAGCCACTCACTGTCTTCCTGGCTTTCTCTGGAGGGCCTTGCCTGTCTCACCATGCTTCTTTTTGTCTAACTGATGGCTCTCATGCTGTAGTGCAGGCGGCCCATTTTCTCTCTTCACAACCTCGTGGAGATGGAGCACAGCTGGTCCTTGCTCCTCTGGGGAATAACTTTTCAGAGGATTGTTTTAGTGGAAACACCAGGGTCCTGAGGAATTTTCCCCTTTGTTTGAAAATGAATGACTTCCTCTTAGGGCTGCTCTGAGGGGCTTCCACCTGAGTTGTGGCAACTTCAAAGGCTCCCCATGTTTCTGCTCCAGAGGCCAGGGGATGGCTGGGGCCTCCTCCTGCTGCTTCTGCCCAAGACTCAGCAGCCTCTGCCTTATACTCACCACTTGAGCGTCTAGGGAAGGGCGGTGTGCACATGTGCTGTGCTGATGGGCGTAGGTGTCTGCCTCTGCACAGATGCATACATTGGCTTGCATTTTGGAGTAGGTGTGTGTGTCCAAAACACATCACACTCTTTGCATTGTTAAGAATTAGCTTTGGAAAGCAAAGAAGTGAGAGGGGGAAACAGCATTCAGCTAAGGTCTTATATCCTCAGTTTCAGTTTGTAATAAATATTTATGACCAAGTTACAACAAGTCCTGAAAAAGAAGCATTTAATAGAAACACAGATACTTAACCCTTGCGTTAATTACAGGCCTCTGTTGTCTTATTCAAGATATGCTTTATGTTCATTTTTAAGCCCTTTGCAGTGATTCTTCTCTTCCTTTTCAAAAAACGTGCCTAGCAAGCAGCTGTTTTCTATATACAGCTGGATCCTGCAAGAGACAACTGTTTCTCTTTTAGCAACTTTGTCAAGCTTGATTTGAGACTAATCTGACTGCAGGTGTCAGGTAAGAATAGGACATTGGCAAGGACCAAGAACTCCATAAAAGAGGAGAGAAAGTGGCCCAGGAGCGAAGGGGCATATTGGTCAGAATGCAGGGCGATCAAGGACACGTGGGCTGAGCTGTGGATGGCAAGGATACATGCCTGGCTGCTGGCTGGCACACGGTTTCCATCATGGACTCCCCACCTGGGTCCACAGAGAAAGATGCTTGCAGGCAGAATGGCAGAGTGTTTTCATTGCCATGTCCCCAGTAACATAAAATCTCACAAACAACCTCCATAAATCACACCATGACATCTACTGGGCTTGTCCAACGCTAAACATAAGTGGACTCTTAAGTCGAGTCTTAAGTTGTAGGCAGCACCATCACCCTTCAGCAAACATCTGTAGTTCATCTTATCTTTTGAAGAAATATATGAGTTTCACTGTCTTTTTTTTTTTAAGCCTTTTGCAGCTTCTGCTCCTTGATTTGTTTGAAGGCCATCTGCTATGTATAAAATTGGGGGTGGGGGCATGCTGTGGAAAAGGAACCATTTGGGAGATGTAGAGGCTGGGAGAAAATGCAAACACTGCAAATGTTTTTGTCAGCTTCGGTGGACAGGCCACTTCCCTTTCTGAGCCCCCCCACCTCTTACGAGAGTTGGACTTGCGGCATCACCATTGGCTGTGGCTGAAGACTGTGCTGGTTTTGTCTTGTGGTTATTACTCTACCACTCAATATGTTCATCATTGTTCACCCCCAGTGAATACAAGAGTCCCAGCACTGGTGATTCTGAGATCTTTCAAAACCTGAGAATACACATTTGAGTTGGCCTTCAAAGCTCTTCCAAAGATGCCCCTGGAACTGAGGGATTAAAGGGGGCAACCAGGAGTCGTGGGGGTGTTTCTCACAAGGATGGAAGGAACGTCCCAGTAGAGGGAGTGTATGTCATGGCATAAAGTTACCACAGGGTGGTAGAAGTTGTGCGGTTGCGTGTTCTCATTCGGGCATTCTTCCCCAGGAAGCAGAGGGAAAACAGAGGGCTCAGAGGCAAAGATCCGCAGCCCCGACTCCCTGCTTCTCCTGCCTGAGCAGAGGTGTCCGAGCCAAAGCTGGCTTCAGGGAGGCACCAGATGTTTAAACACTTGACCCCTGAAATAACTGTCACCCGCTTCCACCCCTGACCATGCCCGCCAGTTTCCTTGGCCCTGACGTGGGTCAGGCAACCCACATTGCTCAAGATCCAGGGAGCAGCACTTCACCGGCTGGGAGATTAATTGAAAGGATGTGTTTAACAACTAGGGTGAGTGTTAATTTGCCATTAAAGCAAAGCGAAAACGTGATGATGATAGAAATTTTATCACACCAGCTTCTCTTCTTCACCTTGGAAGATTCCGTCCTCCTTATAATGTTGACCAAGGAGTTTCTTATAAATCCCAAGGTTCCAACAGCAAGTTTTATTTTCCCATCTGTCCCACAAGATTTAAAATGCTTTAGTAAAACTGATTAAAAGCATTTATCATTATCATCAGTATTAGCAGTATTTGTTTTGTCACCATAATTTATAGAACAGTTGTGTTAAGTTCTAACATGGTCCTTTGTGGCGTTCCTCCCACTTTTATTTCTCCCACCGCACTCCAGCCCTCAGCTGCATAAAAATTTCAAGCGATGCATCGGGCCACAGGTTTCTAAAGTATTTTTGAGCCTCTGCCTCTGAAATGACAAATCAAAATATCAGTTTTGTTCTGAGTTCTAATGGAAGGCTGAGTTCTCAGGGTCCCGGTTGTATAGGGCATCCCAGCCAGGTCTGACTTTGCCACGTGGCTTTGCCCATCACAGGAAGGCAATGTGGGGACACACTGGCCCCCTTCATGTATCAAAGGGCTGTCACTTGCCCCTCACCTGAAAAACCAAACCAAGCATGGAGATTACTTTGAGCAACATCACAAATTTACCCAACCAAGTCAAGGCTACCGATTTGTGGGATAAAAAAATTTTTACCCCAAAGGGGAAAAAAAGACCTCCTTGTCAATCATCTCCTGATTACAAGCTGAGAAAATAAACTTGCTTGCAATTGTTAGCCTCTTGGTGGAGAACTGTGGAAAAGTTGCTTAAAGGAGTGATTCAGCAATAAAAGTGGAGGGGTTTGGGGGTTACAGTAAGTTTTCCTCCCTGCCAGAGCATTGTTTTCTCCACAGCTGCCTGTGAAACATTCGTGTTGTTCTGCAATTATGGCCATGATTTGTTGGTGCACTTTTATGTAGAAGTGTCTGCATCTGTTGAGGTCTGCAGCGCTACCTCTTTGACAGTTCCAGATGTTGCGAAGATGAAATACCTCCTGCTTGAGGAACTGTGCAACTAGGAGCCCCAAAAGATGTTCTGAATACAGTTTTAAAAGGCATCTGTCTTAAAATAATTTCAACATCTCGCTCGTCTATTTATAAGCCCCGTCGGGTGGTTTTTTGGGCCCTCCCGGACTATTTTAAGGGGCTCATTTTTACATCAAGATATTTTAACCATTGAAGTGACAAACCTCTGCCCTGTTTCTTTCTCTGCCCTGGGTTACCCATTAACTTGCCTTCTAACACCTTGCAATCTTTTTATATCAAGCATGAGACAGAAGGGCCTTTTCTTGGGGCATGAAGTGGGGAGGAGGCTGAAATACATATGCATGTGTATCCCTGGCCTGGGACAACTTAAGATTCACTGGTGAGGAAGCAACAAAAGGCCTCTGGGCCAGACTCCACTCTTCCCTAAGACCTCGTAACTCACCACACTGTCGGTTCTTAACATAGGAATGCTACTTGACCCTTACCAGGGCTTTGGAGGGATGTCTGGGCTTGAGTTTCTGCAGGTGAAAACCCATGCCCAGGACCACCCTTAGGAAGATCATTCTCGCGAGGTCTGGTGCAGACTAATGTTATTCTTGGGTCATTTAACTTCACTCTCAGGGAAGAGACGAAGATGGTGCTAAGTTGTAAATCACTCCCCTCTGGAATGGATTTGAGCCAGAACCGATTGGCCTGAGCATTCCTGCCTTGCTTGACCATGGTAAAGAGATTATGGTATGTAAAATTCAGCTAAACATAGCTTGTTTCGATTTCCTACTTTCCTGGTTGTCTGTCTTGCTATGAAAGGTTAAGACCTAGGAGGGGGAGAGAAACCCACTCTGTGGAATCCCTCTCACTCCAGGGCAATATTTCCTACTCAGATGATGTCCATACATAGCCACTGTGCGAGGCTCACAGCAAGGGAAGTTGGTCCCATCAGAGAGATATTCATAAACGTGGCCTTTGGGTTGTTTTAATTGGTCAGTCTCACAAAGCAATAAAAACAGAAGGCGTCAAACACTGAAGCCTGCCTGTGGTGTAGTCTGAGTTTACAAATCCCTGCTCACATGTTTGCCATTTCATACAAAGGAAAATGACCTTCCCTTTTCCCTGATGTCATTAGCTGAGTCCAGAAACTGCAGTGACATCCTCTTAGCAGATCTGGTTGCCCTACTTGGGACTCTTCCTGAAATCCTTCAACCCATGTGGAAATGGTGCCTCAAGTCAAAGTCTCTCGAAATTTTCTCTTGTGATCCAAGTATCCAAGTTTAAAAAACAAATTATCTAAGTTAAAAAAAAAAGATTTCCTTACATCTTCTTGCCCGTTTGGCCATGTAGACCACATATGCCCATCAGCCTGCTGAAAAAAGTGGGAGTTCCTAGAGATGAGAATGGTAATAATGCACACTGTCAGCATCACTCTCTTCAAATCATTGGAAGCCCTTTTGCTTTCTGGAAAGTAAATTTGAAGCATGTGAGAGAGTAACTTCTGGCAATGGATGAGGTAAATGGTGCTCAGGCTACAGAGGCAGGTCTGCAGGTGAAAAGGCCATGGTGCCAAGACAGATGGGCCCATGCCCCACCCAGGTGCACAGAGTTGGGTGGGGGGTGGCTGCCAACATGGTCAGACAGATTTGAGCAAAGACATCCTCAAATTAAAGCAAATCCCTGCCTCTGGGGCCTTGTCATGCATTTGTCTTGCTGAATAAGGTAGAACCAGAAAGTAATTTTGATTAGCATTCTTCCAAGCTATTTATCATAGGAAATTACACCACTGCGTTGAAGACTGGGACTTTTACCAGCTATTCGTGGTTGCCTTGTTGTGATTTCACAGCGGGAGGCAGATGTGGCAGGCAGCAAGTCACCTTTGCTTGACTTCTACTCCGTTGACAGTTCACGTAGTAGGGCTCCTGTAAGAAGATATTTTAAAATTACAAGCTCAAGAAAACAAACCAGAGGCGAGAGGGTCCTTCTTCTGTTTTTCTCCCCATATTAAAGGTGTCATCAGCAAAGTTTTCTCCTCTAACAGGGGAACAAATATATCAGCAAGTCCTAACTGAGAAAAAAATCTCCTCTCATGCAAGAAACAAAAGAAATACTTAAATTGAAAGGTTTACTAAGGTTGATGGAATTTTTATTAAGAATTATTTTCCATAAAAGGAAATAGCTCTGCATTAAGATGAATATTCTAAATGTGGCATTTTTATGAACTTATAAATCTGTGCATAAGCATCTTCATACAAACCCATTCTTTTTTTTTTTTTTGCAGACAATTCATTTCTTCTTCTATTTGTTCTGCCACAGATATACTACTTCCCCAGTTATCTGAGGCAGTGATATTTGCAGCTTTGTGAATTTGCTGGAATATATAGGGGGGATAAGAAATGCTCAAAATTTCTGTTGGAAGCAGGGAATGTACTTTTCAAAATAAGTGATGCCAAACCAACAAATTATTGGCAACTTCACCTCTTATCTGACAACCTTAGAAGAAGAGAGCCCAGTGTCTAGCACTTTTACTTAAAATACTTAGAAATTGTCATTTCTTTCCCTCATCAGAGGCTTTCCTTCACTTCTTTCCAATGGAGGATAATGAGGGCAGGATGAAAACCAGAATTGGAGGAGCTGGTCAAACTCTTCTTTCTCCAAAGAGCTAGGCTCCCAGGACATAGTGAGGACAGACAGCTTGATGCAGTTAATGTAGCCAAAACACCTGCAGTTAAGCAAGCCAAAAAAAAAAATGTGTTTTGTATCATTTCAGCAATCCTAACTGGATGCCTAAAGAGAAGCTCCTACTCTAGGTTTTCAGAATACCTGTGCAGATAAGAGCTAAATCAGAGGTCTCAGAACCCTGCCATCTGGCTAAAATCTGAAAAATTCTATTTGTAAGCTGCATGATTCCCCAATATTTCCAAATAATTCTTCTATTTGAAAATATCTAAGGATCCCACCATTTGCATATAGATGTTTGATGTCATTCAGATGAAAAATCCAGTTTTACTGCACCTTAATATTGACTGGATAGATTACAAACTTGTGAAGAACAACATAACCTCCTTTGTCCAGTCACCCTGGATATCTTCATGGCTGCAGCAGCCTGGCCATCTTTGGAAACCTCTGAAAGCATGAAGCATCTGCCCTGCATCTCCCAATATCTGGTGTGATAGATGCAGTGTCCAGCTACTCCTGCAGAAAGAAACAGACTCAGAATTCATCCCATACCTATGTTAGTATAAGAAAGAGAGTGCCCCATAGGGCCTAGCCAGCACTGGGCCCACAGTGAGCATTCAATAAATCCTTAGCGATGGAGTACTTATAGAAAATCTGTGTTTGCACATAGATAGTGGCTTCCCAAGGCCCGTGCTTAGGGCTTGATGTGTCCTGTTTGGTGGGAGCCAAGCAGCTGTCTCCTGCATCTGGGGATTTCTCACTTGGGGGAGCAAATCCTCTAAGTATTTACAACCATTTAACAACTGCTGCCTATATCCTGATACTTACCTCACAAATTTCTCTCCAACCCACCCACACCCCTGACCCATGCACTGCATTAGTCTCCCTTCCGTGCTGCTGCCCTGGCCCTGTGGAGGTCCCTCCCCTACAAACAGCCAGAATCACCTCTTTACAATGCTGCTCTGCTTAAAAATCTGCGGTGGTTCCCAGTGCATTCAGGATCAAAATCAAAAACCTTACTGAGGCAGGGCACAGTGGCTCATGTCTGTAATTCCAGCATTTTGGGAAGCCAAAGCGGGTGGATCACCTGAGATCAGGAGTTTGAGACCAGCCTAGCCAACACGGTGAAATCCCATCTCTACTAAAAATGCAAAAAAATTTAGCTGGGCCTGGTGGTGCATGCCTGTAGCCCCAGCTACTTGGGAGGTTGAGGCACAAGAATCGCTTGAAACCTGGAGGTGGAAGTTGCAGTGAGCTGAGATCATGCCACTGTACTCCAGCCTGGGCAACACAGTGAGACTCTGCTTCAAACAAAAAGAAAAGAAAAAGCCCTTACTGAAACTTTCTAGGCCCTGTATGATGGAGCACTTGCCTCATCCCAGCCCCTGTCTCTGGGCCCCAGCTGCTTTCATGCATCTGCTCAGGGACTTTGCATATCCTGTTCCCTTGTTTTAGGCACGTCCCCCTCCACGTGGACTTTACCCTGTGAGCTCCTGCTTGTCCATCAGCTGTCAGCGCCAACACCATGTCCTCAGGAAGAACCTTCTTGACAGCCCCTGACTATCCCTCAACCCCTGCCGCACACCTACATCACTATAGCAGCCCTATGGGGCCCTTCAAAACGTTGATGAATTAATGAGATTATGTGATTATTAGGGGTTTCCTTTGCTAGATAATAAGCTCCAGGAAGGACTAGCCAAGATGGGTTTGCTCAATCTTTTTATCCCCAGGGTCTAGCACAGTGCCTGAGAACCTGATGTATAGTAGATACCTAAAAAAAAACAGGTTGAATCAAAGAATGACTGGCAAGTTGATAAGAAGAAGTAGGAATGGAAGGAAGGTTGGGGAGAAGACAAGAGGGAGAGAGGAAAAAAGAAAGGGAGAGAGGGAGGAAAGGAAGGAGAGGGAAGGAGGGAAGAGGGGGAAAGAGGGAGGAAGGGAGGGAAAGAGGGAGGAAGAAAAGGGAGGAAGGGGGGAAGTTTCCTGGAGAGACAACAATAATAAACTCCAATACTATGTATATTCTTCACCATTTCTAAATCCAAAAATCCCTGAATCCTATATACATGACCCCCCCTTGTCCCCATGTGTTTTAAATGAATCAAGGGTGCAATGTTAACAACAATGAAGAAGAAATGAGAGGAACAGCTGGTTCTTCCATGATTGCTGGTTCATTCATTCATTCTACAAATATTCCATGTGCCAGGCCATGCGGTCACCGCTAGGGAGAAGCATGTGACGTAGCAGATGCGCAGGTGGTGGATTTCAGCTGACTCGACTTCACCATGCGACCTTGGGCAAGTTGCCCACCTGCTCTGAGTCTGTTTCCTTCTCTGTAAGGTATGGAGGTTGAATGATCCCTAATAACCATTCCAAAGCTCATCTTCTGTTGCCTCCAAACTGTAATAATAATAATAAAAAACATTATTAACTGAGCATTTAGTCTGTACAAGGTCCTATGGTGTTTCTCTATATTATCTCAGTAGAGAAACAAGGCTTGATGTGCCCTGTTTGGTGGAAGGTATATTTCTCTATATTATCTCAGTTGATTCTCAACTGGGTTGATTCTCAACTGAGATAATATAGATACTATCAATAAATGTAATTGGAGGCAGGGAGTAGAAATGTAGGAATAATATAGTATCTATATTATCCATACTGTTATCAACTGAGGTAATAGATTCAGAATCAAATGTAATCAAATGAGGTATCGTTTGATATCTCAGTTGGGATAGGTAGAATTACCAACAGCTATTTTGTAAACAAGGAAAACTGAAGCAAAAGAGATTAGCTGACTTGTTAATGGTCAACAAGCTAGAAAATGATGACATTGAAATTTAAACAAACATTCCTCTGACCTCACTTTGCTACAAAACCCCAGGTTGTATCATGCCCTCTAACAATTCTGGACGTGGCCAGGACGTGGTGCCAAGTCTCAGGGGCAAGACAGAAGAGGCAGAAGCACATTTAGTTCTTGTGTTTAAAGCAGGTGATTGTCTCCAAGCTTCTCTGGACTTCAGGTGAACACCTTCCTTTGGTCCTCAGAACACCTCTTCCCCACATGTATGGCTGCTTAAGAAGACTTTGAGGTCGCAGGTAGAAAAGCATGGCATCCAGAAACACAGCTTCTCCTGACCAAGGCTGTCAACAGCCATGAACATCATCCATGAGCTGGTTTCCTCCAGGAGACAACTTCCTGTCCCAAACCTTCACTGGTTGCTTTCTGCCTCAGTCTACGTCATAACTGGGTGTTCTCAAGCCAGACATGGCTGCAAATAAGTTACGTTTGGCTTGATAGCTTTTAAAAATTGGAATATATCACATAAAATCCCAGATATGGGACTTTGCTTCAGAAATTAGAAGATCTGGTTACAGATGACCTACAATCCAAGAACCAGCTGGAGCTGAGTAGGAACTGACCTTTCAAATACACATGGCTGGCCACAGGCCCCACTGCTCCTTATTGCCGCGTATTGACCCCTATAGGCATTTGAATTTGGAAACCCCAGACTGCATAACCAAATCCAAGGCCTGGCACTCAAAGCCCTTTGCTACCTGGACCCCAATCTCTTGTTCCAGTCAACCTAAAACTGCTGCTCTCCAGCCTTCTGGAGTGGACCCACCCGAAGGGCTCCTTTTCATTATACCTCATCTAAGGGTCCTTCTTGTCTTCCTACACTTCTACTCCCTGCCTCCAGTTGCATTGGATTCTGCATCTTTTGGCTTCCTTTTCCTTCCCTGCCCATCTGGGATCCACACAAAAGTGTGGAAACCCTGACTCTTTTAGATCTATGCATGGAAGAACTACTGAAGAAGAACCCATTGCCTGATTCCTTGCTGCTACTCAAAGTGTGGTCCAAGAACCAGCTACCTTAACAATGCCTGGCAGCTGTCAGAAAGGCAAGATTCCAGACCTCCACCCCACACTATTAAAACCAAAGCTGAACTTTAATAAGATCTTCCAGGTGAACTGGATCACATTAAAGTTTTGGCAACCCTCACCTACTGAAAGAATTGCAAGTCAAAGCCAGGTTCAGCCTCAGGCTCAGGTACTCACCCATAAGCCCACTCCCTAGCTCTTCTCCAGGCCACTCAGCTTCTCCCACAGCACCAAGGTAGAACACAAAAGGCTCAGTAACAAATCCAGCAGGTGGCCCCTTTCTAATGAGGCAGAATTAAGCAGATCAGCGTCCCAGGACTGAAGGCATACAGCCACCTTTCACATGATGAGTGCCAGTCCCTGTGTGCCACATCAGATCAGCCTTCTGACCCCAAGCCATCCAAATATCCCTGCTCTACTGCAGAGGGTAGGAACTGAGCTAGACAAAATAGGAAATGTTCTGAAACCAAGTGTGGTCATGAGCTCTGACCAACATGCAGGAACACTTGTAGATGCTGGAGATGGTCCAACACAAAGGATAGTGTGCATTACAGAGATGAAATGGAAAGGCAAATGGGAATATAGGACCGCTGTTGCAATCATGAGATCATATGATTCCAATACTGCTTATCCCAGTGGAGGTACAGGTTAGCTCCATTGTTCAATTTAGTAACTATTGATCAGAGAAAATGCTGTGTGCCAGGCACTGTTTCTAGGTGTGAGACAACAGACAAAAATCCATACCACCGAAGCTTACAAACTAGTGCAGGGAGACAGACAGGAAACAAGAGAAAGAAGGATAGAAAGACAGGCAGTGTCCGTGTGCGCACATGTGCCTGTGTGTTTTGAGGTGGAGGAAGCATTCTAATCATATGAGCAGCTCAACGTGGTGATAAGAGCCTTGAAGTGGGAATGAGGAGAAACTGTTCTTCTTTTGCACGTGAACTCATTTGACACTCATGATAATCTATGAGCTACAGTGGCAGGTGTCTAGGTGGCCCTGCGACCTGCTTGCCAGTGTTCACACCCCTGTGCGTTCCCCTCCCCTTCAGTGCAGGCTGCACCTGGTGACTCGGTCTAACAAATAGAAAATGGCAGAAGTGATGGGATGTCACATCTGAAATTAGACAGTAAAAAACTGGCTCCTAAATCTCTCTCTCTCTTTCTCTCTCTCTCTTTCCCTCTCTCTCTCTCTCTCTCTCTCTCGCGCGCGCGCGCGTGCGCGCGCGCCTCACTCTGGGAGAGGCTGTCAGTTGTGAGCAGCGCTATAGGCCTACGTGGTGAGCACCTGATGTCTCTGGCCAATAGCCAGCAAGGACCTGAGGCCACCAATGGCCTCATGAGTGAGCTTGAAAGCAGGTCCTTCCCCAGTCCAGCCCAGGGATGACCGCAATTCCAGCACTTTAATTGCATCTTCCTGACAGATCACCCATAAGCCACACCCATATCCTTGACCCATGGACACTGTGACTTTAGAAATGTTTGTTATTCTCAACCACTAAGTTTGGGGTAATTTGTTATACAACAGGCAATACAGGTCAAGCACAGTGGCTCATGCCTCTTATCCCAGCACTTTGGGAGGCCAAGGTGGGAAGATCGCTTGAGCCCAGGAGTTTGAGACCAGCCTGGCTACATGGTGAGACCCTGTTTCTACAAGAAATAAAAGTAAATTATCTAGGTGTGGAGGCATATGCCAGTAGTCCCAGCTACTTAGGTGGCTGAGGCGGCAGGATTGCTTGGGCCCAGGAGGTCGAGGCTGCAGTGAGCTATGATCACGCTGCTGCACTCCAGCCTGGGCAACAGAGACAGACCCTGTCTCAAAAAAAAAAAAAAAAGGTGGGGTGAGCAATACATTATATAGGCAGGTACTTTTCTTACCTCCATTTTATAGAGGATAAAACAAGGCACAGAGAAGTAAATTAACTTGTCCAGGACATACAGCAAGTAATGCCAGGGCTGAGATTTGAACCCTAACAGTCGGGCATCTAGAGCCCGTACAACTGAGCAAGGCAGGATGCTGACATATTCAAGTATGGGTTTGTGCATCTGCTCCTCTAATCGGACTGTGCTCTCCTTTTCAGATCTGTGCACCTGGCACTTGGTCATTGTCCAGCACTTAGGAAGTGCTCAGCAAATGCTAGCTGAGTGAAGCCAGGAGGGTGGAAGTGAGCAGAGCTGTCCTCTTGACTCTAGCCCACCTTGCACCAGAGAAGGGAAAACAGAAGCGGTGAGGAGAAACGTCCCCCACGTCCCCATCAGCCCCTAGTCTCCTGCATGGAGCTGGAAGCTGCGTTTTTGTTTTGTTTTGCTGAGACATACACAATCCAAGGAGAGCATGTTAGACTTGGCCCTAAGTTTAATATCCTCGATCTGATCTCCTAATCTTTTTCAGGTGCATCTCACATTCGGAATCTTTATTTGGCTTCCAAACAGCAAGTCGTCTCTTGAACTGAAAAAATGTGACTTGTATCTGTTTATCTTTAGTAACCTCTGAAAGATATGTTTGTAACTTTATGGGAATGTTCTACAAGCCTGTTAAACAACATCTGTTCTTGTTGCTTGTACACTTTCGGAGATGGGTCTTTAGGATTTTTTTTTTTTCAAGAAACATCTAGAAAGAATTTTTTTTATTACGTTTTCATTGTTCTGGTGCAAAGTACACGTGAACTCACAGCTCCCAGCCACTCGACTTTGCGGAGGGGGCTGAAAGCCTCAGTAGCGGACCCGGCCGGGAAAGGCGGAGCCGACAGCTGTCGCGGGGCGGGGCTTCCAGGGCCGGGAGGTGGAAGGCGGAGAGCGGCGAGGGCTCCGGCTCCGGACCCAGCCGAGCGCGCAGCGTGAAGCGGAGAACGCCGGGTTAGCGCCAGGCTGAATCCTCGCTCTGACTCCTATTGCGGTGGGATGTGGTCTCTGAGTCTCCGTTTACCGATTTTACGGAATGGAACTTATAATGAACACTAGCCAACACAAGCAGAGGTTTGCCTTGAGTGACTTCTCTGAAAGTGGCACCTTTTACCATTTTTTAGGTAACAGAAACTGACCTGAGGGTGACTAAGCCCGAGATGAAAAGCTGTTAAAGGGACCTGCATGGAAGCAAACCGGTGTGCGGCGCCGAGCATAGGGTGCTGGGGGCGCCTTTTTTCTGTGCTGGCGTCCCCCACCCCCGGCTTGCTGTCCTCGTGAAACCTCGCTCCCGCACTGCAGCTGGGTCGGGAAGCCCTTCCTGCAAGCCTTACAGGGTCCTTGGTTCTGTGAAACGAAGGCAAGAAAGGGAAACCGGCCCTGCCTGAAGGTGCTGAGTCCATGCCCTCGTGTCTTGCAGTTCCAGGAGCACCGATACATGCATCTTATTTTTATCTAATTAATGTAGTTTTTTGAGCAGTTTTAAAAAGGTTTACAAAAAAAATTGAGTGGAAAATACAAAGAGTTCTCATATACTCCTTTTCTCTTCTGACATCTTCTATGAGTGTAGTCGATTTGTTATGATTGATGAGCCAACGTTGATATATTATTATTAGCTAAAATCCATACTTTACATTAGCATTCACTCTTTGTGTTGTACAATCTGTGGGTTTTGACAAATGCGTAATGTCATGTGTCCATCATCACAGTAACTATACAGAACAGTTTCACTGCCCTAAAAATCCCCAATGCTCCACGTAGTCCTCCCTCTTTCCCCTCAAGCCCCTGGCAACCACTGATCTTTGTAGTATCTCCATAGTTTTACTTTTTCCAGAATGTCATATACTGTAGCTGGAATCATACAGTAAGTAGCTTTTTTAGATTGGCTTCTTTCACTTAGCAATATGCATTTTATTAATAAGTTCCTCCATGTCTATTTGTGGCCTGATTGCTCATTTCTTTTTATGGCTGAATAATACTCTGTTATTGCAGGTAGCACATTAATTTATCCACTCACCTGCTGAAGGACATCTTAGTTGCTTCCAGGTTTTGGCAATTATGAATAAAATTAATCTAAACATTCATGTGCAGATTTTTCTATAGATGGAATCTTTCAACTCTTTTGGGAAAATACCAAAGAGTGCAATTGCTGGGTCATATGGTAAGAGTATGTTTAGTTTTGTTTAAAAAAGAAAAAAAAAAGGCTAGACTGCCTTTCAAAGAGGCTGTACCATTTTGCAGCCATTTCCACTAGCAATGAATAAGAATTCCTATAGAATTCCTATTGTTCCACATTCTTGTCATCATTTAGTGGTGTCAGAGTTTTGGATTCTAGTCATCCAAATAGGTGTATAATGGTATCCCATTTTTGTTTTAATTTGCAATTCCCTAATGACATGTAATATTGAATATCACATTCATCATTTAAATAATGAAATAAAAAGAAATAAGTAAAAATGGAATTTGCCTGCTTTAAAATGTATGCTATGCCATCGTTGCTGTGTTTAGTGGACAAATATCACTGGGGATTATAAGGCTTGGGCCTCTTGGCCAAGAAAGTGGGCTTCGCTTAAGGAACAACCTGCTCATTTTCATAATTAATTGCTTGTTTTGGTTACTTTTTGCTTTAGCTACCAGGAAGCTCAAGAGGATCTCTAAAAACGGCACGGGATTTATAGTAGATACTTCTACACACCAATTTTACCCCTTACAATCCTACTCCTATTTTCTCTTCACTCTAATTTCCTCATTTATTGGGATCTGAGAAATAAGGAAGAAATGTTAGTAATATTTAGTTAATTTAGTATTAGTAATATACAGTTTTTTGTGTGTTGGACCACATGTTGAACTGGCTTGAGCTACAAGCCCCTCCCTGAACCTAACCCAAAAGAGAGAGGCAGAAGATCCCAGAATCCATCGGAAACAGTGGGAACTCCATGAAGAGACAGAAAGTAGTTGAGTCTCATTCCAAAAACAGAAAGATTGTCTGTAGCGTCAGAAGTCTCTGGAGCCACTAATAGGTGATAGAAAATGAGAAATGATCATAAAAAAAATGAAGCAAATACATAAAATGAGAGGAAATCTGCATGGAAAAATACTGTGTTTGCCGTGGTTTGCCATGAATCACTCAACCCAATTTTGTGCACCTGAATGCCAAATAAAAAAAACAATTACAAAACTTACCAGGAAAAGATGCAATTGTGGTTAAGTAGAAAGCATTTTATGAGCATCAGTTGTTACTATGGAGTATTTATTTGATCCTTATTTGAAGCCTTGTAAGATAAGCAGGATAAGCATCATTATTCCCATTTTACTAATAAAAAAAATGAGACCCAGGATGTCTAATTTGAAGAGGCCATTTAAATCTACCTGAGGATTCAGGCTCGACTGCCTGATCCAGGGTCCAGCAGAACAAAGGAGGAAACTTCTGAGAGATCACCTCTTAATAGGGAGTCAGCCTCTAGGGGCCAAAGGTCAGCTGCTGTAAGAGTATGAGAGGATATGGCATGACTTTGGGACTTTCTCTGCAAGTTTTGCTTGTATTAATTGGTATTATCAGTTGAACAGTGTCACCCAACAAAGATGTTTGAGTCCCCAGTACCTCAGAATATAATCTTATTTCTTTCTCTCTTTTTTTTGTAAGCATACATTGAGAATATTTTATTAAAACATGTTTCTTTTTCCATTGAGGCCCATGCAGCCAAATAGAGAAATCCAGCAATAAAAGGTGAATATCAGCATATATATATTGTTTG
Organism: Homo sapiens; assembly: GCF_000001405.40. Lineage (NCBI taxonomy): Eukaryota > Metazoa > Chordata > Mammalia > Primates > Hominidae > Homo > Homo sapiens. The sequence goes on from NC_000002.12 coordinate 118,777,461, forward strand.
TTTGTTTGTCTGTTTTTGAGACAGAGTCTTGCTGTGTCGCCCAGGCTAGAGTGCAATGGCACCATCTCGGCTTACTGCAACCTCCGCCTCTCAAGTTCAAGTGATTCTCCTGCCTCAGCCTCCTGAGTCCCTGGGATTATAGGCACATGCCGCTAGGCCTGGCTAATTTTTGTATTTTTAGTAGAGACAGCAGGGTTTCACCATGTTGGTCAGGCTGGTCTTGAACTCCTGACCTCGTAATTCACCCGCCTTGGCCTCCCAAAGTGCTGGGATTACAGGCATGAGCCACCATGCCTGGCCATCAGCATATATTCTTTTCTTTGTTTGTTTGTTTTGGTTTTTTTTTTGAGACGGAGTCTCACTCTGTCGCCCAGGCTGGAGTGCAGTGGCGCGATCTCGGCTCACTGCAAGCTCCGCCTCCCGGGTTCACGCCATTCTCCTGCCTCAGCCTCCTGAGTAGCTGGGACTACAGGCGCCCGCCACCATGCCCGGCTAATTTTTTGTGTTTTTAATGGAGACGGGGTTTCACCCTGTTAGCCAGAATCTCCTGACCTCATGATCCGCCCGCCTCGGCCTCCCAAAGTGCTGGGATTACAGGCGTGAGCCACTGCGCCTGGTCCATCAGCATATATTCTTTAAAGTGCATCATAAACTGTTTTTTCAGTGAATTGAAGACTTTGACAGAAAAAAATCTTTGTACGCGCACACTGAGAATTTTTTTTGTTTTTGTTTTTGTTTTTGTTTTTGAGATGGAGTCTCGCTCTGTCGCCCAGGCTGGAGTGCAGTGGCGCGATCTCGGCTCACTGCAAGCTCCGCCTCCCGGGTTCACGCCATTCTCCTGCCTCAGCCTCCTGAGTAGCTGGGACTACAGGCACCCGCCACCACGCCGGGCTGATTTTTTTGTATTTTTAGTAGAGACAGGGTTTCACCGTGTTAGCCAGGATGGTCTGGATCTCCTGACCTCGTGATCTGCCTGCCTCGGCCTCCCAAAGTGCTGGGATTACAGGCGTGAGCCACCGCGCCTGGCCAAGAATATGTTGTTAAAACATGTTTCTTTCTTCATTGGGCCTTATGAGGCCAGAATGTGACCTTATTTCAAAATAAGGTCACTGCAGATGCAATTAGTTAAATTAAGATTAGGTCATACTGGAGTAGGGCTGGCCCTTAATCCAGTAGAATTGGTGTCCTTATAAAGATGAGAAATTTGAACACAGAGACAGGCACGTGGGGAGAACACCATGTGACAATGAAGGCAGAGATCAGGGTGATGCATCTAGGAGCCAAGGAATGCCAAAGATGACCAGCAACTACCAGAAGCTACAGGAGTGGCATGCAACAGACTACCCTTACAACCTCAGAAGGAGCAAACCCTATCAACATCTTGATTTTGGCCTTCTCGCCTCCAGAATTGTGACAGAACAAATTATTGTTATTTTAAGCCATTCAGTTTGTCATCTTTTGTTACAGCAGCCCTAGACAGTCAGGGTATGCTGAACAGCTGTAACCAACACACCCAAGATGTGTAATGGCTCCAACACAACCAAAGTTTACAGTAACAGTCCAAGGCCAAGTTCCATTGGTGGGCACCTCTACTGCACACGGTCATTTAGACATCCAAGCTAACAGAGGGTTTGCCATCTTTAACAGTGGTTTCCCAAGACTGCCTTGGTCCTACCATTCTAGTCCATGGGAACAGAAAACAGAAGAGGTTTGATAAGCTGGCCAAAAATGGCTATATCACTTCTGGTCACATTTTCTTGAAGAGAACTTAGTAATATGGCTCTACTCAGTTGCAATAGGGACATATGCAATATGGTGCAGCTGGAGGAGAGCTAGTGATTCTTCTGCAATGATGAAAGCTGCTATTTGAAAAGGGGGCAGTGAGAGAGCTTATTTCCAGGAATGCAAAAGCCAGGGAGTTAGAGAAACAGTGTCCAACTCTTCCACCAGTCTTGAGGATAATGCAATTTAAGAGATGGATCAGGTGAAGGCTTTTGAAAAAAAGAATAGAAAACTAGGGCAAAGCAAGGGCCCTAGGAAGATGGCAAGCATCCTGCAAGGTTTAGCTATTAGAAAACTCATGGGAATGCCCTATTATTATATCCAGATGTTCTAAGGAAATTTCAACCCAACTCTGCCCCAAGGCATAGGCTCCAGAAAGAATCATCCTGCTTACAGCACCAGGCCTCTGATTCAAAGAACTTGAGAGAGAATAAAATTAGCACAGCATAGCCAGAACTGAAGTCCTGTAAGGACCCCCATAAAGTAGACATCAGGACCCGAGAGATTCATCAAAGGAGACCCAGTTTGTTAATTGGTTTCCTGGTAAACAGTCAAGAACCTGGGTTTGGTGGATTCAGGAGTCAGATAGAGCTGGGAATAAATCCTCCTTTATGGCTTTGAGCAACTTATGCATGTGTTAGGAAGGAATGTGCCCCCCTAAAATTCATATGTCGAAATCCTACCCCTCAATGTGATGGTAGGAGGTGAAAATTTTGAGAAGTAATTAGTTAATAAGGATAGACACCTCAGGAATGGAATTCACACCTTTATAAGAAGAAAAATGAGAGATGATTTATCTAGGTCATGTGAGGATACAACAAAAAGACAGCCATCTACAAATCTAGCAGAGTTCCTTTACTAGTTATTGGATCTATTGGTGCCTTGATCTTGGACTTCCCAGCCCCCAGAACAGTAGAAAATAAAAATGTGTTCTTTAAACTACCCAGTATTGTATTATGTTTTAGCAACCCAAACTAACTAGACAGCATCCTCTCAGAGCATTAGTTTTCTCCAGGGCATAGAGGTGACAATAACCAACTTGCAGGGTCACTGTGCAGGGTAAATGAAACAAAATCCATCTCAGTGGCCGTTCATTATCTTCTTTTTTCACCTCCCCTTCAATTTTGGTATAAGTGCAGTAGATTCCCGTATTGCTTACTTATAACAAAGTGTATCTAAAAGTAGACAATAGAATCAGCAGTGAGATCAGGTTTGACAGCACATTTCACACTTTCATGTGATAGAAATGTACATCATTTCTCTGCCCACACCCTGCACCCATTACAGCCCCTGTCCTCACTCTTTTCCACCCAACAAAATTCCTTCCATTCTCCAAGGCCAAAGTTACATCCACCTCTGCTGTGAATGCTACTCAAATTTTCAAATAGAATTTGATGTTTCCAACCTTAATAAAAACTCCCTGAGGACAGGGTTTTTGTCTATTGTGTTTACTGCTATATCCTCACCAGTTGGGAAACTACCTAGTACATAGAAGGTGTCAATTTATATCTGTTAAATGAATTGATTAGTTAATTAGTTAAACTTTCTCCCCTCTGAGACCTACTCATACTACCACTATTCATTCATTCTCTCTTTCCCTCAATAAGTATCATGTTCCCATTGTGCAAGGCATTGTGGCAATGTGAGAAAGGCCATGGAAACAGATCTGCCCCCAAGGAGCTTACAGTCAATGAGAGGACACCAGACATAAACTATATGTATACATATAACAAAAATAATGCCAGGTGGGAGCACCAATATTGCACAGGCATTGTTCAGATGAGAGAAAAGTTGCCTTCAGCTGGAGTGATGGGATGGAGGAAACATTACCAAATATGGGGCCCTGATTTTTTGTTTGTTTGTTTTTGAGATAGGGTCTCACACTCTGTCACCCAGGCTGGAGTCTGGTGGCACGATCATAGCTTACTGCAGCCTCCATGTGCTTGGCCCTGGGCTCAAGAGACCCTCCTACCTCAGACTCCTGAGTAGTTGGGACTACAGGTGTGTATCACTATATCTGACTAATTTTTAAAATTTTTAGTAGAAAGGGGATCTGGCTATGTTGCCCAGGCTGGTCTTGAACTCCTGAGCTCAAGCAGGCCTCCAGCCTCAGCCTCCCAAAGTGCTGGGATTACTGGCACGAGCCACCTCATTCTGCCAGGGGTCCCTGATTTTAACACATCTGTGCTACACATCTTGTCATGTACTTTCTTGGTGACTCCTATACTGGCCCACAACACACTGGAAACAGCATCACCCCTTCATCTTTGGGGTCCTTCACCCGACTTCCTGTGCCTACCACAGAAAAGTTACTTGAACATAGGATGATTTAAAAATAAGGTTCTTGTGCCAGGCGCGGTGGCTCACTCCTGTAATCCCAGCACTTTTGGAGGCTGAGGCAGGTGGATCACTTGAGGTTAGGAGTTCAAGACCTGATAGAGCATGTCTGGGTTGCAGGAGGAAATGCATCAGAATGTCTCTCCCTTTTAGCAGGTGAATAACTTCTGGAACAATGCCAGCTCAACACAAGTCTTCATTTTCCCCTTGAGTTTGGTTTGATGGTTTTTGTGCCAGTTCTGCTCCCAGAGCCAGAGGCTAAATCTGGAGACCTGACATTTGATTCCTACAGGTATCATTTTCTAAGTTGCAATAGAAATACAGACATTCTCACTTGTAACTTGGCTAGGAGTACATGTGTGGATGGACATGGAAGCAAGTATGTGGAGTCTGGAAAGAACAGGCATTTATCCACAGCCACTTGATTGTTACCTTCTTGTCAGGGGCAAATCATTTTGTAACAACTGGCCCACACCCTTGTTAAACCATCCCTTGCCCAAAATTCATCTGTGCTAATTGGGCCTGAATGAAGACAAAGGTCTCAGTTAAATAACATACCGTTATAGTAGGAATAAGACTTCACAACCAAAGAATCTCCATCAATTTTCCTGTCTCAAAAAATGCTAGCCTTCATAAATCCAGCAAACACTGGTGCATATAGAAAAAGCAATGAACTAGAAGCCAGGAAACCTGAGCCAGGCCCAGGCCCAGCTCAAGTCCTACTCAAACCCTACCTCCTCCATAATGTTGTTCTGACTTCTGTATCCTGCACCCATCTATCTTTTCTTGGAATTTTTATTTTGCTGACAACTTGTTTCAAATGATTTTCATAATGTGTTTAGCACATGCTTTGATACACAGTTGGCCCCAGTGGGTGTTTACTCCTACTATCGTCATTATTACCACATACCTCACCCCTGAATATATTCCTTCTTTAATTATGCTCTCAAAATATCATGTCTTACCATCTTATATTACAAAAAAAGTCTTCACTGTTGAGAGAAAGAACTTAGATCTGTACCCCTGAGTATAGACCAAATGCTTCATATTATTATTTTCTAATTTTGCTTTTCAGTTTTGAAAACATAGCAGCATATGCATGCAAGTATCTATGAGTATAAGAAGAAAATGTAGGAAAATCCTTTGTAACATCTAACATCAGTGGACCATATGGCAGACATGGCTGTAATCTTCAAAATTCTGTCCAACAAAGAAATGTGTTAAGCAGGAATCTTTAAATAAATAAAAATAATCAGGCTCAGAATAAAGGAATAATAGGTAAAGAAAATATGCAAACTAAGGACAAAAAAAGGCAGAAGATCATAGTGGACCACAAGTATTTACAAGTATAATACAAAGGTGTGGTTGATGATTTGTGTGACTTTTTTTAATAGAAGAGGTGACAGGGAAGTGGAGAGAAAGGTACATAGTACGAATGATCTGAGATAAAACAGACTCACATAATCGGAATTGCTTTGAACTATCATAAGTCAATAATAATGTGAGAATGTGGAAAGGATTTGGAAGACATTTGCAAACAGGATCTATGATGAAGGGTAAAATCCTCATCTGTATTGTTAGCCCAGAGCTGGAGAAAAGAATAAAGGGTGATGTGGCAATTTTCATCTGTGGGCAGGTAGACAGAAAATGGTGGGGATCTGTTCTCTCACTCCATTTAGTCCCAACACGAAGTAAATGGTCCACAGAAAGAATTTAGGTTCAACGTCAGGATTCATTTCCCAGCCATGAGGGTTGTTAAATGCTAAAGTGGTTGACCCACAGACAGTAGGCACTTTCCTTCATTGACACTCTTTAAAAGGGAAAATGAATGAAAAAGACACTTCTGTCTGAAACAACTTAGGTGAAGTCTGCCTTGAAGCACAGGGATGCTCCATATGACCGTTGAAACCTTGTGTCCTCATCATAAGTTACTAAACACACATACTTCTGTAAGTGGGACTATTCAAGAGATAACTATCACACACTTGCAAATTATACTATGCCTTGGTGCACACTACTCCCTGCAATTATCCTAGAAGGTAAATGTGTGTCTGGCATCACCAATAACCATCACCATCAAAATATAAGCACTTTTAGGAACAAACTTCAGATTAACCAAGCTCAACAATCACCACAATGGTGTTCTGTAGTTGTCTATAGAGATGGCCATTGCCTATTCAATTTAGCAAGTAGTGCAGGAACAAGCTGAAACTGTCCCACCTAGGCTCAATCTGCCATGCCTGGCGATGGGGGCACAGTCTTCGGTGGTGAGTACACATTGAGTGCTTACAGGTAGGAGACTCAGATCTTAGTCTTGTCTGATTCCAATCTGCTATGAGGCATCAGAGATGCCTCCTTGCTTCTCTGACACAGTGTTCCCACCCATGAAATGGGCTGTAAAAAAGGACTGTTGTAAATTAGGAACAGATATGGTTCTGAAAAATAATAAAGCTCAAGACAATGTGTGGGGTCATTACTGTTAAAAGTGGGTTTCACCGAAGGAGTACTCTGTTAGATAAGAAGGCACTGATTGGGTTGAACTTGCTGGCAGTCACTGAAAGTGGCATTAGGCCTGGCTAAAGGGAAGGCCAGGGTGAGTCGTTGGTTTTACAAATGCAATCAGCTCCTTGTGCATGAGCCAAGAGCATGCTCTCTTTCAGCTTTAGTAGCACACAGATTTTAGACAACAGGTCCATTTAAAGATCCTGCCCTGGTTAGCAACTGGCTGATCACTTTTCAAAGAAAATGACACCTGCATGGAATCTGAACAGAGAAAATAATGAGGAGAAGCATTAATGACCCAATTTTCCAGCAACTCAAAAAAATCATTTCCTCACGAGAATGTGCAGCTGTGCTGGAGACTGTGATGCTTTGCTTGATTCGTATTATTATGATGATAGTTTGTGAAAACGCCCCCCGTCAGGGCCTTTTTGAGTTTTAGATCAGTAATTTGTGGAAGTAGTCCTAGAAAAATACCCATCTCCTTCTCCCACAATCTTGCCTAAGAACACTATGCGGCCTTTCTGGTCCCCCAGACTTGGTAGCAGAAAGTCATAAGGGTGAAAATGAATTTGCCAAAATTGGACATAAAAGGGTTTGGGGGGCCATCAGGAAATACACTGTCTGTTGAGGTGGAACCAGAACCATCACATGGGCAGAAATACAAGGCTGGAGCTCACTGCCAGGTGGCAGCTGGCAGGTGGTGAGCAATTATTGGATCTTTTTGCACTTCTTTTTTCAAATTGATGTAGATACAGCAAGATGGTTTGGTGCACAAAGCAAAGGATTTGGAGATAGGAGAACTGGGGCCTGCCACAAACAGACTGGGAGACCTCTAGGCAAGCCTTCCTTTGGTTTCAGTTTCCCCAGCTACAAATAAGAGAGATTACACTAGATCAGTGAGGGCAGAGAGCGCTCTCCTCCCACGTCTGTCCAGTTGAGAAACAGTGGCTGCTCAGGCATTACATTGAAAGGGATCCTGAGGCTGCATCCAGCTCACTAGGAAAGAGTGCCGTGATCGATTCATGATGCCTGCCATGGGTGCAGATAGCAGCGGTAGACACGATGCTGTGGATTTACCATCTTTGAAGTGGACCAGTCCAGGGCCTCCCAGCATTGGATTCCAGTGGCATGAGTCTGTGAAGCCTTTATAGAGTTCATCAGAGCTCAAAAAAATAATCAACCCCCTTCCTTATGTAGACCTACCTGTAGGTTCTGCTAGTTTTAACTGCCCCCACCTCCAAATTGCTTGCTCTGAAATGCCTTCACAGGCCTTGTCCTGACTGGCTCCCATCCCCTGCACACACTTCACTCAGTCATAACCTCACCCTGTCATTTCACGTGGTCTGAGATGATACCCACCAAAAAGATGAACAGGGGTTAATTTGTTCTCATGAAATACTGAGTAACAAAGCTACATCACATGACTGAAGGTACCTAATGTGTTATAAACAGACACAAGCTCTTGAATCCGGAGTCCTGGATTGTAGCCCCAAACTTGCCATAAAGTTGAAGCCTCTCTCTGTCCCCCACTGGACCTTGGGCAATTTCCTCGCTCTCTCTAGACATCGGCTTCCTCATCTGAAAAGTGACAGAGAGCTAAGGTCAATGATCTCAGAAGCCTCTGGAAGGTTATGTTTGAGACTTCTCCCTAAGTCCTGAGGGTGACATTGGGAAAGCCCATACCCAGCCCTGCTAACTCTTGGGGTCCTAATGGAATAGAAATTCAAGACTAAAGGACCACAGACGCAAGCCTGAACCCACACAGCAAGCACATGCTGTCACGCCACAGCCCATCTGAAGGACTCCAAATCCTCACTTTTCCAACCCTGGTGGGTAATCCCCCAAACCTCTCCTGTGGAGGACACGCTTGGCCTCCCTCCTTTCTCCCCACTCCCAGTCCAGACTTCCTCCCTGCCCAGCATGCCCCAAGGGGATTGAGTGGGGCTCTTCTCTAGCCTGCCTTTGACCATCGCAGCCCAAGGTGCTGCCTCTCAGGTCTCGTTTCTACAGTGCTGTCTCCACAGAGGGGTTCCCTGAACACCTGAGTAAGCATGTTTCCAGGCAAAAGGAGCAAGTTCAGGGAGACAGGACCCTCAGGAAAAGCACGGGCTGCAGTTAGCAGATGCTTGAAAAGGGTGTAGACAATCCCAGGGCTGGCTGTGTTGCGGTGAGGGGTCAAGGCTGGCAGTGCCATAGGCCTCCCACAGCTCCCCATCTGCCACAGTTTCCCTACCCAGAGCAGCTCCTGAAAGAGCACTCTGTCATCCTTACAGAAGAGGAAAAGGCAAGGAAGAGTGACATGCAGGTGCCTGCTGCATGCCAGGTGCTGGAGTTCATGTACATCATCAAAATCATGACAACCCAGCCAGTTGGATACTGCCAGCCCCATTTCATGGAAGAGAAGACTGGGGTCAGAGGTAAAGTGACTTCCCTGAGCATCTCCCCAGAGGACAAAGGAATCCTAGAGTGATACAATATATTCACCTATGTCGAAGGATGGGAATGATATGGGTGGGAGGAAATGGTCAAGCAATTTGGCATGACAGAATGATGCCCTTTCCAAATGGTCAGAGTGAGCCGTCCCCACTGGGCTTCTCTCTCCCTCTCCTCCACATCAGCATTGCCCTGGCTGGAGATGCACAGGCAATTGAGAAGATTATCTTAGCAAAGGATGATCTGAACAGAGCTTCTGACCCCAGGGCCTCAAGACAGGAGAAACAAATGGGCTGCAGCCACCGACCCTTTTAAAGGAGGGGCAGCCAAAAGGCCAGCCAGGACAGGGAGGAGGTGAACTCAGACCCCATGCTCTGGCCAGGAGCTGCGTGCAGCCGCCCTGGGGCTAACTGCCGCGTGCCTGAGTGAAGTTAATAAAGTTGCATCCTAATAGTTTCCAAGGTCTCCTGGGTTTCCATTCCCAAAGGGGCCAGGCATCAGGAATGTACTTTGTTCATTTATTTTGGCAAGTTTAGCTCTGTATGCTCCTCACTGCGCTTCCTAGTCTGTTTTGCAAGCTTAATAAAGTCTTCGTAATGAGGCTCCCCTTCAGTGAGGCTGTGCAGAAGCCACTGAGAAATGGGGCAAAAGTGACAGATTTTTTCTTTTTTCTTTTTTTTATTTAAACAATTATTGTGTTTGCAAGAGAGAGAAGGACTAATGAGCCTCTATTCCATTTAGAGGCTATATTTCTCATTTCCATAGTGCATATCTCCCAGGGGCACCCCATTTCTATTTGATGATTTCCAAGTTGAGTTTTTACCTGGCCACTCTCAGGAAATGAGGTTCAGGGAGAAAAGACACATTTCCAAAGGCTGACAGAGGCAGTCCATGTCTATTTGATGATTTCCAAGTTGAGTTTTTACCTGGTCACTCTCAGGAAATGAGGTTCAGGAAGAAAAGACACATTCCCAAAGGCTGGCAAAGGCGTCATCCACTCAGGGGTGGCCACATCTCCATGTGGCTCCTTCAGTGTGGCTAGCTCTGTGCTAGGTGCTGAGGGAAGCCACAAAAGGAAGTGACAAGCAGACAGAGGTGGAGGCACTACCACCGCCCTCCCAGGGATGGGATGGGGTGGGTGAGGTTTATGCATAACAAACAATTAGGCAACAGCACACACAGTCTAAACCCAAGGGCTGGATTGAGTGGTACATTTGGGAAGAGCGGCTGCAACGCACTGCAGGGAATTGACTATGGGACTAATGTTTCTCAGAGAAAGCTCCCTGGAAGAGGGTCTTGACTCTGGTCTTGAAGGAAAAAGGAAAGGAATGAGAATGACCATTTGCTGAACATCATGTTAGATACATTATGTAATCCACCCACCCTATGCTATGAGTATTGAAATTATCCCTGTTTTTATAGATGGGGAAATTAAAACCCAGAGAGGTTAAGCAACTTACCCACGGTCCCACAGCAGAGTCAGCATTTAAACCCCAAATGTCCAGCTCCAAAGCCCATGCATTTCCACTCTTCCTTAAGATTTCTGGAAAGTGTAGGGCTTGGATTAGCAGGAGAGATTTAGGAAGTTCTCAGACAGAGAGGAAAAATAAAATAGACTAAAAAATGATGAATGCTCAATCTCTAAACATCAAGGTCGAGGTGTCTGCAAACCAACTGTAAATTTTAGAAAGACCCAATTGAAGCTTGAAGAAAATGTTGTCCATCAAGGAGAGCTTTACTTTACCTGTTGTATTATTTTCCTTGATCGGCCATGACAAATGACCACAACTGGGTGGTTAAAACTATAGAATTGTATCTCCTCATAGCTCTGGAGGCCAGAGGCTGAAATTAAGGTGTGACTGGACCATCCTCCCTCTGAAGGCTCTAAAGGAGGATCCTTCCTCGTCTTTCCCAGCTCCTGGTGCCTCCTGCTGTTCCAGAGTTTTTGGCAGCATCACTCCCATCTCTGCCCCTCTCCCCACATGATCTTCTTCCCAGTGTCACTCTGTGTCTTTTTCTCTTTTATCTGTCTCTCTCTCTCTCTTTTTTTTTTTTTTTGAGATGTAGTCTCGCTGTGTGGCCAGGCTGGAGTGCAGTGGCGCAATCTTGGCCTCTGCCTCCCGGGTTCAAGCAATTCTCCTGCCTCAGTCTCCCGAGTAGCTGGGATTACAGGCACGTGCCACCACACCCAGCTAATTTTTGTATTTTTAGTAAAGACGGAGTTTCACCATGTTGGCCAGGATGGTCTCGATCTCTTGACCTCATGATCCACCCACCAGAGCCTCCCAAAGCTGGGATTACAGGCATAAGCCACCATGCCTGCCCTCTTTTTTCTCTTATAAGAGCACTGGTAATTGGATTTAACTCTCCCACCTCCAACCCAGAATGATCTCGTCTTGAGATCTTTACCTTAATTATGCCTGCAAAGACCCTGTTTACAGATAAGGTCACATTCACAAGCACTGGCAGTTAATACTTGGATACATCAGGCCTGTAATCCCAGTACTTTAGGAGGCCGAGGCGGGCTGATCACTTCAGGCCAGGAGTTCGAGACCAGCCTGGCCAACATGGCAAAACCCCATCTCCACTAAAAATACAAAAATTAGCTGGGTGTTTTGGCGCACACCTGTAATCCCAGCTGCTTGGAAGGCTGAGGCAGGCAGAGGTTGCAGTGAGCTGAGGTCGTGCCACTGCACTCCAGCCTGGGCAACAGCATGAGACTGTCAAAAAAAAAAAAAAAAAAAAAAAAAACTTGGACACATCTTTTTGTGGGGACACAATTCAACCCACTACACCTGCCATGTTGAAAGGGTCACTGAATCCATTTTGAATCCCAAGTGACTGTACAGCAACCAGGTGTATGAAGCAGTTTAAGAAGGGATCAGGGACCTCCCAGTGGAGGGCAGGACATGCAGGGTAACTCCTGTGGCCTCTCCCCTGCAGCACTCGGGGTGCTGTGACTGGTCTCACCCTTGGGTGCTGCACATTCTCCTTTGCCTTCCACCTTTTGTAATGTGTTTTGGATGCATATTTTCAAGGCAGCATCATAGAAGAGAAAGGAATGAGCTTCGGAGTCAGATGACCAGAGTTCAAATCTGTGACCTTGAATAAGTCATTCACTTGCTCTAGCCTCAGTTTCTCCAACTATAACATGGGGAAATCGTAGTCCTTCTCTCATCAGGGTGTCATAAGGATTGAGAAAATGACCCACGCAAACTCAGCAGAGGGCCTGGTGCATAGTGAGTGCTTATTAAATGTGAGATCTTTATTTCACATATCCCTGTGGCTCCAGCACCTAGCCCTGCATTCAGCCTGCCTTGAGCATTAACAGATGATGGCTGAATGGTTGTACACATAAATAGAAGCAGCTGGAGCTCTAGAATCATGAAAAGTGGTGGATGCCTTGGATTGGTTTGCTCAACCACCTTTGCTCTCTAATTCTCAGGTAACTTCCTATACTGCAGAGGACAGAAAGCCAGAAAAATCACATGAGCCAGAGTCCTTTTCAGCTGGTGTATTGGATACGGTTTTGTGTTCTGGCAATAAGACTTAGAAGGCAGAAATGAAACGAAGGCCCTTTAGGTGTTTTTATTTTCTTCCTTCCCTCCTTCTCCCCTTTTCATCCCAACCGCCTCCAACCCTGGTTAACAAAGAAAATCATGGAAATTAAGGAATGTCTACAGCAGCATTTTTGAGTCCCTCTTTCAGCTTCTTGGGTATCCAGGGACAGATAAGGCGGTGGAGGCAGCTTATTGATTCCAGTTTCCTGATACCTGGACCATGGCAGCTTCTAGGTAGCTCCAGAGGCAGTCACTTCCCTGCTGAGGGTGTTTTATAGTGCTGTACTCAGGACCCATTCCTGGAGGCCCAGACTGGAGCCTATTCCTCCAGCCCTTCCAGTGTCTTTATAGACGTCTGCTATAGACTGAATATGTGTGTCTCCCAGAGAGAATTCTTATGTTAAAGTTCTAACTTCCTACATGATGGAGTTCAGAGGTAAGACCTTTGGAAGTTGGTTAGGTCATGAAGGTAGAGCCCTCGCAAAGGAGATTAGTGTCCTTCTAAGCAGGCCTCAGAGAGCTGTCTTGTCCACACAAGGACACAGTGAGAAGGCAGCCTCTATGACCCTCATCAGACACGGAATCTGCCGGCACTTCGATCTCAGACTTTCCAGCCTCCAGAACTGTGAGAAATAGATGTGTGCTGTTTATAAGCCACCCAGTCTACAATATTTGTTGCAGCACCCCAGAAGGACTGAGATAGACTCGAATTCTCTCTATTAGATTTCCTTCTGCTCAAATCGTTGATATATCTATCCTTTGGCTGAAAACACCCTGTCTCCATCACTATAACACTATAGTAAATCTTGAAATAAGGTTCTGTTGAGCTGCTAACTTTGTTCTTCTTTTAAAAAATTGTTTTGGCTAGCATAGATCCTTTGCTATTCCACATACATTTTAGAATCAGTATGTCGAGTTATACAGAAAGCTTGCTGGAATTTTGATTGCGATTTTGTTGCATGTTGCTGAAAATATCCTGAGTGGTTTTTATTTCATGCCCTCCCTCACTGACTAACTAAGGACCCTCCTTGCCCTTTACTTCCAGGCTGTCTTCTCAATTAAGTTAGTCTATGGGTCACAAGTCAAACTAACAACAAAGACAAGAGCTGGTGTAGCCTCTTTCCAAGTCCTGAGCCATTGGGTCCAATGGACAGCTACTGAAATACACTTCCCAGCTTATTCTTGGTGATTCATGCCTCATTCCCCATTCCCCTCTCCCTTTGCCTGACACTCCATTTTTCTTCCCTCACCTGGCATCCCCACCTCCTCATAGCCCCTTCAGCCACCCACCACCTCAGCTTAAAGCTGAAGGACCTTTAAATCCACATACAGAGTTTTATTCTTTTTTGCACAAGAAAGTCAGCTCTAAACATTTTCCTCTCCCTGCAAAACTCCCTACCCCCCACAACTGCATCACCACCCCAACTCCCTGTCCAAATCCACAAAGCCACAAACACTCACCCCCAGCCCTAGAAAAAGAGATGGCTGAATCCTTCCTATTCCTGGCCTCTGAATTGCCAGCTTCTCCAGATGGGGAAATATAAAGTGTGAGGCTCCAGAAAGTTCATAAACTTTTATGCAGATTAGTTTTAGTCTGGTTTAAATTAGGCAACAAAATAGAATTTCCAGATGTTCTATTTGGAATTAACTTGGCTACAGAGAAAAGGCTACTAGGAGGAAGAGTTGGTAATAGGGTTATTTTTACATTCCAGAAAGAGAGTCACAAAAAGCATATGGAATTGATTAGAAGAGAGGAACCTGCTGGTGGGCACATTAAGAATGCTGTTCTCATTTATTCTGGTTGAGGACATGCAAAGGTGCAATGCAACACTCTCAAGCCGCTGGGGAAAAAAAAAGGCCCACTGTAGTGGTGGTTTGTCCCAGCAGTCAGCTCAAAGCAGCAAAGGTTTTTGTCTGATATAAGAAACTCTGAATATTAGGCCAGTGTTTCTCAAACTTTAATATGTGTGTGTGTGAATCCCCAGGGTGTCTGTTAAAATGCAGATTCTGCCGAGAGGGTGACACCAATGCTGCTGGGCCACAAGATACACCCATGGAGCAAGGCACTGGGGTGCTCAAACAAACAGAGCTGGACAAGAAGGTTCATTCAGACCTACCATGGGCCGGACACACCTCCAAAGAGCAAAGAGGCCCAAAGAGGCAAAGAGGGAAAACAAGAGAGTTAGGCATCATCTTACACTTTAAGAGTAAAGTATAGACAGACAACTAAAGCAAAAGTCAGTAAACAAAGGATTGTAAAAATATGACTAAAAGTTATATGGAAACCTTAGGAGGGAGTGGCTAATTCCAGGGGAACTAGGGGAGGTATCAAGGAAGCCAGCTCTTGAGGACAATGACTTGTCAGAGAGGAAGGGGAAGGGCATGCCTTGTAAAAGGAACAGCATGAGCAAAGTCACAGGTGGCGTGAAGGAGCCACAGCATGTTTGAGAAACAGAGAGATGTGAGTGGAGCACATGGTGGATGAGAGAAGGGGTTAGAAAGGAAGCCAGACAGGAAGACTCCTGTGAGGCTTGTTAGGGAGCTTGAGGTTAGAGCAAAAGAATCACTGGGCATGTTAGGAAAAAAGAGCAAGGGTGGCTTGGATTTAGGTTGAGGGTGATTATTGCAGGGGAGGGAAGGGGATGCCTTTTTCCTTACTGAAGATAAGATGAGAGGACTACAGGCCTGGGTGGCAGGAACATTAGCCAACGTGAAGACAAGAAATTAGACCTGGTCCACTGCCTCTGCCTTCTCCTTTCCTGCTGAGTTTAAGCCAATCAGCTTGATGGGTTCATGGGTAGACTCAGGGCTCCAGAAACACAACAGATAGGCAGGTGTCTGGGATTCAGAAAGACAACAGAGAAGGGGAAAAAAAGAAAGGATTTCAGGGCCAGGGGAAAGGGCTGGACACTTTCATTCGTTCAACTGTGCTGGTCACCTGGATGCGGTTCATGGTATCCTCTGGGAAGTTGTTCATGTAAGGATGAATACAGTGTAGCAAAATTAGTGCCTCCGGAGAAGTAGCCTACGTGTTGGGAAGCTGCAAGGGTAGTACCTATGCCAGCTGGGGTGGACAGGAAGAGAAGGGAGTCAGGAGAAAGGCCTAACAGAAGTGATCTCCTGGTTGAAGTTTGAAGGACAGGTAGGAGTTAGCCAGGCCAGGAGAAGGAAGAACACTTTAGGCAACTGGAACAGGTAGAAACAGGAAGCATAGGGCCCTGGAGCCCCATTCAGCATGGGCAACAGGGCTGGGTATGGGTTGGGCTTGGTGGATAATGAACGTCAGACAGAGGCTAGATCTTCAAGGGTCTGGGGTCAGAGCATTAACACTGGAGACTAGCTCATTAACACTGGAGACTAGCCTACAGTCCCAGCAGGTAGAAATTGGGCATAACAGCAGTGATTCCAAAAAGAGGACCCAGAAGCTTCTTGTGCCAGGACCACCTGAACCAATTTGCACAACCATGGCCAGGGTTACAGTGGCCTCATGAGACAGGACCAGGATCCCTCCAAGAGCACTCTTTGGTGAACACTTTTGGTAGGCGAGTGACGTCAGGGCCTGGTCACAGGGGTCCATGGTATCATGCTTCGAGAATCGTGCCTGCTTCCACTGGAACTCCAAGATCATCGAGGGAATACAAACAGAGGTGATGGGCTCTGGTGAGGATCCTTAAGCCTAAATCCCTTTCAATCACACAGATATCACCAGTATCATCAGTTGACAAAGAGGTTTAAGATTTCTGAAACTTCAGCTTGGTTGAACATCAAAAGGCAGGTGGACCATCCTGATGCATTAGCAGTTTGAAGGGGCCGGGAAGAGTGAAAATGACTAGGAATTACTATAGTGAAATGGAGGCTGGAGCAACCTAGCATGAAGATCCCACGAAGAACGGAGTGAGGCAGAGCACAGGGCAACCTGGAAAGAAGCAGTCACGACTAGCAAAGGGAGCCTGTGCATTTTGTTAGGGGTGGGAAGGGTCTCTAGAGGCCTCAACCTGGTGAGGACAGTGAGAACTAGAGGAGCAAGGGGACAATTGGCCCCTGGTCGTAGAGGAAAAAAGCTGCCAACTGCTGAGGATCCCAGCTGGAAGGAAACCTGGAGTGGATGCTGGAGGAGTGAGCCTGAAGTTTGCTCCCTGTGCCTGCACAACTGTAGGGAAGCTTCGTGAGGTGAGATGATTCCATAGCTGAAGGAGGATCTGCCTGACACGTGTATCCAGTCCAGGGATCCCTGGAGTCAGGGGTCCTTCAGAGGGAGACACAGGCTGCCTGGAACATGAGGTGTCCCCACTCTAGGAAGGAACATGACAGGTGGGGTCAGTGCTTGAAAGGTATGCAGATCATGCAATCACTTGGGACATGTTAACTGAGTGGGTGGGCACCTTGGTCCATTCTGCATGGAGTACCAATGCCTCCAGCAGTCCTGTCCAGCTTCAGACAAACCAGCCCAGCTAGCATAACCTCTTCTCAAATCTTCCCCATGCCTCAGATGCACTGAACTCCCGAGGGAACCAGGATCAGCACCCCAGCCTCTCCCTTTAGTTTTCTGCCACTACATACGTGGTGTCCACTCTGCAGTGGCAGGTGTCAAACACAAGACAATAAAGGATCTGAGTCCTAGCAGTCTGATGTGTAAATGCATCAAAAGTGTCCTTGGAAATCTGATAATCCAACCTCATCATGTTGAAATGAGGCATTAGCGGCCAAGAATGGGGCAGTGACTTGTCCCGCCAGTGAGAGACAAAGGCAGGCTAGAATTAGGGTGTGCTGATGAGCCCAGGCTTGCTGAAAGCTCCCACTTACTGAGCATCCACTCCATGCCAGGCCCCTCCACTAGGCACTTTAATAAAAATAACAACAATAGCAGCTACCATGGACTGAACATTTACTCTGTGCCTGGCACTTGGCAAACCTTATCACATTGGATCCCTACAACGACCTTAAGAGAAAGTGATTTCTACCACTGTCATACAACTGGGATTCACTCCCAGGTCAGTCCAACTGTAAACTCTCAGCCCATTTTATAAATATCATAACCCTCAGCTCTCACAACAGCTCTACAAGTTAACATTTTTATCCCCACTTTTTCTTGATGACAAAACAGAGGCTCGTTGTGATAAAATAGCCACCCCAAATTCACAAAGCTGACATGTGACAGAACAAGACTGTGCTCTTCCTTCTGCATGGGTGTGGCTGGTGCCCTGAGTCCTCTGCCTCCCTGGGAACAAAGAGGGGACACTCAGACATAGACATTAGGGAAGGGCTCTAAGTCATTGCACGCCATCTTGGTGGTCCAAGGTACCAGCAGGTAGGCCCAGCACCACCTTCTGGAGTTCCCAAGGCTGTGACTCAGAAGGAATCCTCACTCAAGGCCAGAAGTGTAACTTTTGAGTTTGCCATTTGTATAGTGTTGACTGAAGCCACCAAGTTGTGCCTGGCCATTTTATGTGTGTGCCAGGGTCATTAAAGGAGGCCAGAATGGCGTTGAGAAGGGCTCGACAGAACATCCCTAGGACACTGTGAGATGCTAGCATGCAGACAGGGATGCAGAAGCAAATGGCATCACTGAACTCTATCCCTGAGTAGGGTCCACTCTTTGTCTATACCACTGCCCTCCTGGGGCACTGCTCAGAACCTCCTCTGCTTCCCATCTGCCTGCAAGCAACATCAAAATGCTTTGCCGCAACATTTGAATCCCCCTCCTGCCCCCCCAACACATACACACACACATGCACATATGTGTACACACACACACCCATCTGATGCTCACCATCTATTTGGTTGAACACTATTCACATTTCACTTCCCAATTTTCCACTGGGACCTCGCACTCAGTTTTCTCGTGAACAGGTTCATCTTTCCCAGTTTAAGGAGAAAAGGTGGGGCAAAGTTCATCTCTGTGGTCCCCCTGTGCCCCCCACTGTACCCAGAAAACAGAGGCAGCTTGTTACCGTTTGTTGAATTTAAGTTGCATTGTATTCAGAATGGGCACTCACTACCAGCCCAGGTGCATCCCAGGCTGATGGCAGCGCAAAGAACAATTTGCTGCCAATGGAGCTGAAAGGTTGTCTAGCCAGCAGCTTCCCAGCCACAGCATTATGCCCCTGGGAGAGAGTGCTTAGACACGTGTTAGTAAAATGAGGTTATATGCAAGCCATGGTATACTGGTAAGTGTTTAACAACTGGCTCTCCAAAAAAAGAAAGCCCTGGTTCGCAGCCCTTGCTAATTTCTATGGTGTAAATACCACCTTGGCTGGTTTCAACATGGCAAATGACATCACTGACTGCTGAGTTGAGAGGAAACTAACAATAGGCTCTTGTGAGTGAGTAAGAGCCAGTTCCTACACATGGCTATGTGTCAGGCATCGGACCCCTGCCACTATTTGTGTGTGGGTATTTCAAATAATGATATTGGCTTCCTGGGTCTTATTGTCGTATGTCTCTTTCTCCCATCTCTACCTGCACCATCTTATTCTCAGCCACCATAATCAATGACATAAACTCTTTCACTAGCCCTGTCTGCTCTTACACTTTCTTCTCTTGTTCCCTTCGATCAACTCACCACACACCAGCCACGATACCTTAACACACAATCTGATCATGCCACTCCCTGGGTTTAAAGCTTTCAATGGTTTGCCACCTCTATTAGGGTAAAGTCCAAACTCATGACCACTCTCTATTTGTGGTCTAGCCCCTTCCGTGCCCTGTAGCTTCCCAGGCACCCACTCCTGGCTCAGACACACTGGCCAATTCTGGCTCTATGACTGGGCCAAATTCCTTTTGGACTTCAGGCCCTGTGCACAGCCGCAGCTCTACCTCTGCCTACCATGCTCTTCCTTCTCCATTGTCTCCTTCAGTAACAACTACCCTTCTTCAGGCCTCAGCTCAAAGGTTTCTTCCTCAGAGATAACTTCACTCCTTCAACATGATTATTGTCCACCATAGAGCCCAGACTGTTGATTTGTAACACTTCTCCTGTTTGTGTCATACATGTAACTGTGTGATCATTGGTTTAACATAAGCTTTCCACACTGGGACTGGAAGCTCATGGAGACCACATCAGTCCTGCTCACCATTATATAGTCAGATTTAGCATGGAGCCAGGCACGTGGTGGAAAGTAAATATTCATTAATTGAATTAATTAGTTAATGGTCCATGAGCTCAAGGAGATAAGCAAGGTCTTCCCAGATGGCCATTCCCAGGATTGATCTTTCAAGAAAGAGGAAGAACCCCAGAGAGAAAACTGGAACTAAGATGGGAAAGGTGTCTTTCTCTTCATCATGGCTTTGTTGTCTTGAACTTGGACTTTGAAGAATCAAGGAGTCTAGACATACATTCTGGGTGGTGGGTGCTAAGGAGGGGCCCGCCCATGAAGATGGTTCTACCTAGAATCTAGGTCCTCTAACTAGCCTGGTTTATTCCCCAGATTTGGAAAGAGGATGGATTTGAGTTGATTTAGTGGAGGTTAAAGAGCCTTGACCCTTGAATCTTATAGCCTTGCTTGGATCTGGAAAGGAAGGTTTAGGCCAAACAATAAAGAAAAGAGCAGCAGCACCTTTTAAGGCCAGAGTGGAAGTGGTGGGGATGGAATCTGCAGGAGAACTTAGGAGGATACTGAGAGCTGGAGCCCCTCAGCCAATTCTGGCTCCCACCAGAGAGGCCCCTTCAGTGGCCAACCTTGAAGGATCTGCCCTGGGTTTTTATGAAGCATGGCAGGAAATGTCTTCATGGTCCTATGGCCCACCGTTTCTGTTCCTGACCATGGCTCCCTCACACCTCTGATGGTTTCCACATATTGTGACATGTACAGTTTATGTAGGAGTTATGGGTTGCATTATCTTAAATAGTAGAATGCTTGCAATACTTTATATAATGAGATGTGAAGTGACTGTGAAATTCTGTTGCACCCTAACAAGACTTCTCTGTGACATAACTGGCAATCATAATATAACAGCTGGCATTTTTTAAAATCTGTCCCTTTCAGGTAATTTTTTGTATCACTCATTGATATTTTAACAGTGAGTGATAAATAACTGTTTTGCCAAAGGGATATGTGCTATAGTGAAAATATTTGGAAAACAGATTTTTAGAAGTGTTTCCATCGTTGTGTGATTTTGTTCTGTGAAGTGAATATATGCAATACTTAAAAAAAAAGATCTGGCCGGGCTCAGTGGCTCACACCTGTAATCCCAGCACTTTGGGAGGCCAGGAGGTCAGGAGATCGAGACCATCCTGGCTAACACGGTGAAACCCCGTCTCTACTAAAAATACAAAAAATTAGCCGGGTGAGGTGGTGGGCGCCTGTAGTCCCAGCTACTCGGGAGTCTGAGGCAGGAGAATGGCGTGAACCTGGAAGGCAGAGCTTGCAGTGAGCCGAGATCGCGCCACTGCACTCCAGTCTGGGCAACAGTGAGACTCCGTCTCAAAAAAAAAAAAAAAAAAAAAAAAAAAATCTAATATACGCACACTTTAAAAACTTGGAAACAATTTTCTAACCTATTTAAAAATTTTCCAAAAGAAGATCTTCAGTGGATCTTGAGCCCACTTGTTAAAAATATAACTTTTGATTGGTTTACAAGAATTGACATCAAGAAGATAGAAACTGACTGGCTGACTAGATGAATTTCAATTAAACAAAAAACAAAACCTTTCCATAATTGCTAGATGTGGTTTTTTTTTAAAAAAAAAAAAAAAGCATCTTGATTTAGTAAGCACAGCCAGCATTGTATTTCTTCCATTTGGTGCCTTTGTAGAGATTTTTTTTTCAGCTCTGACAACCATTAAAACTAAGTATTTTTTTTTAAAAAAAAAGAAATTTAGAACCAGAACTTTGAATCCAGCATTAAAACACATTCAAATGCATTTCTCTAAAATTAATACTTTTCACTGAGAACAAAATGTCATTTTTACTATTAACAAATAATTTTTAATTAAAAATATTCCTTAATTCGCCTTTATGACATCTTCTTTAGTTTTCACTGTAGTTTCCTTTGTGTTCCATTGCTTTTTATATTTAGCTTCTTTTGTCTCATTCATACATTTAAAAGCCCTGCTTACTCTACCTTTATCTCACCTTCATTCATTTCTACTTTTGTGTATATTTTATCCTGGAAATCTCACTAGTATAGAAATAGATGTGTATAATTTATACTAAGTGATTATAGATGGGGGACTGATGGAAATGCAAGGTCCAAAGTGTGTAGCAATCACTCCTGATGCAGGCAAGTGTCTTGCTTCATCAATAGAGTAAAGCTCCTTGGAGGCAGGAAGACTGGCTTAATTCCTCCACAACCTCTCTACTCCACCCGACACCTGGCCATTGCTGCAGAGGAAGCATGTGTTGAGAGGGGGAGAGGACACAGAAGTGGAAGTGGGGAAAGGCTAAACACAGTTGCTGGGGAGGCTGGGAAGATGCTGTCCCCTCCCCGGAATCCCCCCAGCCTAAGAAGACCCATGCTCAAGGCTAGCTTTGCCACCAGTTTGTTCAGCGGTGTTGGTAAGGATCTCATTGGCTTTTTTTTTTTTTTTAGCTACATAATTAAGTTTCCCAAACTTCAGGCATTTATGCACCAACAGGATTTTCTGCCATTTTCTCATAACCTCTATCCTCTAATTAACCTAACACCTCTTTCTTAAATAACTCAGTTCTTTCACAAGCCTTATCCTATGCAATAACCACCTGAAATCACAGACTGATGAGATAGCTATTTTTTGTCTACTACATGTTAAAATGAATATGTAACTATGAAAATATAAAATGTTCATATTCTTGTTACCAAGAGTGTATGTACCATTCTTTGGGAAACCTGGGTACAGGTGGTATTTTTAAGGTCCAATTAAACTAAGTTCCACCAGTCCATAATTCTACCAATGGAGTGATCACTCTGATCTTGGAGCTTTCCAAGTCTCAGTGCCAGGTTAGGATTGAGGCTCTCTCCTCATTTCCCAAAGTCACAGAACAATTCTTGCTCTCCTTTGGAGCATGACCTCAAAGTTGTAGGGAAAGAAATGGGATTATTTTTATTTCAACATGACAAGCTCTCCCTTGGCAATAATTACCCCCAAACTAAAGCCATGTGATACTCTATCTGTGAATCTCTGATTTTTTTTAATTGCAAATTTTTAGCTCAAAGCTTCATTTCCACCCACAATCACTGAAGCTACAGTCAGAGTTATAGTGTCAAGACAGTTGAATATATATCTGAAGTGAAGAGGGGAATATGCCTTGTGCTTAGAATCAAGGGACCAGTTTCTAGGTCTGGTCTGCCAGTAATTTCTTAGTAATCTCACTGTGGACAAGTTACTTGCCTGGTCCTTTCTATCCCATGAGTGAAGGATGGAGACAAGTATGACTATTATTGCACAGACATACATTACTACTGTTATTTATGCAGTAAACATTGTGGACGTTACATTCTACTGGGAGGAGACAGACAGTGAAGATAATACATTATCAAACAATGTAAGACATTAGGAGGCAGAAAAAATAAAGCAGGGATGGGGAGAGAGTTTCTGAGAGTCAGAGATTCCTTCTCATGACCACAGCTGCCTTAAGCCTGCATCTTACCAGCCCACTCCCTTCCCCTCCACTCTTGTCCTCAATTTCTAATCTCACCTACGTGTCAGGATCTATCACTCAGGTAACAATTAGTAGCATAAGCCACCCACCTGTCCCTTGTCCCAGACAATGCAACGTTTCCCATCTGCTCCTTGTCGAAGGAACTCTTAGCCTGACCTTAGGCTAAGCAAGGACAGAGCTGGGACCTCAAATTCATCCACAACTAAACCAGAAATTCAGGCAGCCTAGTTGTAGGACCCTGAATCAGTGACTCAACTTCTATGGAATGTAAAGTCTTTTTTTCTGTGAAACACAGAGATGAGATGTGGTTATTTCTTAAGGCCTTTCCAGTACCAAAATTCCCCAAGTGTAATCATATCAACAACAAATAACAATGCAAAAAATATTGAGAGAAGTGGACTATACCTAAAACCATAATGATACTGCTAAGAACATATAAATGACATGAACCCTGAAACAGCGACCGAAAATGGGGTTGATGTGGCCCCCAAAGCTATCACTCTTCTAAGTGATCTTGGGCAAATAACCATTCTAGAACATGTAACACCAATAACGTTGACTGAATTTCTGTTGCCTGCCAGACACCGTGTTAAACATCATCCCATTGTTTCCACATTCCAGTGAGGCCTGGCATAGACCTTCATAGCACCTTACGCAAGATGCAATGCCTGGAAGATTCTGCCAGGCTCCTGCCTTTCCCAGCTCCACCCTGCTTCATGCCTGTCCAGAAGAAGGCAGGATTTCTGGGCCAGAGGTCACACAGTGGAGGGCTGCATCTGGCCCACAGATACGTTTGGGTTGGCCCATACAGAGTTGGCCTGTACCAATTGTTCAAAAGATTTTCATCAGTTACCAGCTAATTTCACATTTAAGGAAAAAAAAGTCTGGCTTCTTTGAAAACTTAGAGACTATGGCCCACACTTATAGCTACCATTGGCTGGAGGTGAGTCACAATCACCCCATGAGAAAAGGCATGTGCACGCTAGTTTGCCATAGACCCCAGCACTCTCTGTTGCCTTCTGATCAAGCCCCTTCATTCACTGAAAATACCTGCCTGGCCTTGTTCTCCTGACTCCTTCTTCAGACCTGCATCATGACCCCAGAGGAGGATGTCAGGATCCAATGAGTAATCAGACACTGAAATGATCTTGGCCCAGCAGGCTATAATTAATGCACATTAGATTTATGTGGGGACCAGACATAAAATATAATAATATGTGCCCTTTATGGAGTACCCATTCCATCCCAAGCTCTACAAAAATCATTTCATTTTGCCCTCCGAAAAAAAAAAAAAAAACCCTATTAACCTTCATTTCCAAAAAATGAAAGAAAAACAAAATTCAAGAGAGATTAAATGATTTGTCCAGGGTCACACCTTTGGGATGGATTTTGAGCCCAGCCGAGCCCTGCTCTTTCCTAAGGTGCACTTCCCATTGCCCCCACCTTGCATTTGTATTGTTCTTCTGACTTTTCCAGGATGTGAGCTCCACTATTAAAATCAGGGTTTTGCTCTAAATTAAATGATATGTAAAAGGCTCGAATAGATACATTTGGTCTCCTGTGCTGGTGGCAAGGAGGGAGGGAGCTGGGCCATGAACAGAGTTGGTGCTGGAAGCAGACAGAGATCACCATGCAACTGTTGAGCCTTGTCAAATTTGAGAGTGTATGTGAGACCCACCAACAAATATCCCTGTGTCTTTTGCAAGACTTCAGACATTCCAGGCCACCAGGCTGATCAAACCAATTTAACGGGGCTAGGGGTGAGGGTGGGCTCAGATTTGTTCAACATTAGGCTGTGTCTGGGCGTGCAAAGTAGTGCATTTCTCACTGACTGGTCAATACTGCTGCAGCGAAGAAAGAATTAAGGAAACATGCGAACTGAAAAGTGCTGTCTTGTGCTACATTATCCTGGCACTCAGTGGTCTGTTCCTGCAATGGAGGGCCCTCTAGTTTCTGCTGTCCTAGCCCCAATCACAACAGGAGAGCCATTCTTTGACTCCTGAATGAGGGAGTGGGGTCACTCAAGCACTGGCTGTGTAATTTTGGCAGCTTAACAATCACTCTGGGACTCACTTTTTCTCTCTCTGAAATGGCAATATTATACCTCCTTCAAGGACTCATTGTGAGAAAAACCTCATGAGGCACCAACAAACTTTAGTTTGTATCTCCACAATCAGAAGTAAAGACTTTAAAGGCAGACACTCCCCTTGTTACCCCCATTTCACACCAAGGAGGCCTAGAGCCTTGGAAGACCCCAAGAGCATTCAGAAGGACTCATGGATTGACATAGACTGCAGCCCCGAAGGGTAGGGAAGGAAGGTTGATGCCCAAGATCTGAGCATCGTGAAGGAAAAACTCTAAAATCTTCAGACCAAAAGGGGAAGACACTAAACACAGTGAAGGAGAAAAAGGAGTGAGGGGATCTTATGGCTTTTTGCAAAGGACACCCAGAAGGGTGGACATGCTTGAATTCAGTTACATAACGAGTTGTTGAGAGGGTGCCTCCCACGCAGTCAGGGTGGAAGTGATAAAGATGACTCATACCCTGGCCCCTCTCTCAGAGTACTTTATTCCATGTTGGTGATATCTCTGATTACCCACACGTCAGTTAGCATTGTGCTTTGCTTACCGTGTAGATGCCCAATAAGAACTCGATGAAGGTGTGACTCAACTCCTAGGTACACTAACATAGAGCATTCTCTATATTCTTCAAAGCCCACTCACCATTCCATCCTTGCTCCATTCCCACCCAGTCCCCCCATCCTTGAAGCCACCCCTCCAATCCCTTCAGACCTCCTACGATCATACCTCCTACGATCATAGTCTATTCACCGGCATATAAGAACGAATTATACGCTGCCCGCATTGTACACTCTCCTTTGCTCAGCACACAGTAGCAGCACTATGAAAATGAATGAATTAAAGCTCTGTGAGGGCAATGACCATGATTTTCCCGAGGAGCCAGCCCATTTTATATGTTAATACATTCTTCTGGCTGGCTTGTGTGGTTGCCACTAAGAACATGTGGACTGCCTGAAAGAAGGAGGTTTAATATTGGAAAGTAAGCATCCGAGGCCAGAAGTGGCATTGGCCATCTGTCCCAGGACAGATCCAGGTATCCACACACAGTCTCTGAGCAGCCCGAGTGCCTTTTAATATCCACATCAGGCCCTCCCGCTGCTCCTTCCCCAGCTCAGAACCCTGGGCTGTGCCGCCCCACCTGCCCAAACACTGTCCCACCAAGGTGGGTGTAGAAGCTGAAACCTGAACCAAGTATGTGTAAAAATCCCCAAAGAGGGAAAAACGGTTGTTTGCCAAGCGAGGTTCTACAAGTTTAGAAAAGGTGAATTGGCCTTCACCTTCTTTAGATAGGGCAAATGCGACTGAAGGGCATCACTGGTATTTTCCCAAAGTTAGTGGCATTAATCTATATAATTAATTAGACAGACTAGACCTACATCTTTCTGTTTTGCACATTTGTGGAAAAAAATTCCTTGAGCTTGGCACACTGATTATTTTGTGCTAGAACAAAAAGATTTGTAGCTTCAAAACCAAATTCAAGCAATTTAATAAATTGCAAGCCAAGCCCTTTAGGGCTGGGTTTGGTCTCAGATGATTTTTCTGCTCGTGCTCGGGTCTAGGCAGGGTAACAGTGCAGGAAAAACAAGAGGCCACTGGCTTGTTAAGGCTGGATGTTCTTCCCACCCGGAAATTCTCTTCCGAGCTGTAAGTACCCAAAAACCAACCTACATTCTTAAATTCCACTGAAAAAAGATCTCATCCTAGTTTCGATAAATTTGATACTTCTGTGCTCTGTGCAATATGTGTGATATATAATCCATATCAGGGTTTCTAGTCCTAAATGTAATATGCATCCTGGAAAGAGAATAATTCTTTGCTAATCTTTTTGAGTTTATTGCATCTGCTGTCTCAATTCTAACAAATCCAGTTCAGGCCTTAAAATCACTTGCGTACATTGTTTGTCTGTCTCATAATGGTATCCATAGAGTCCAGTTATTTATTTGATGAAGAGCAAGGATAGTCCTATGAGACGTCTTTTCTCTGTTTCTTTAACAATGGCAATAACTAAGTCATTATTCAGGAAACTAAACTCCCATTCAAAATGAATTTTAGATTTTGTTCCTATGCTTTCTGCACATTGAATTGAAGTTCACGAGTTTTATGGCCCAATTGTGAGGGTACATGTGAGTACTGGGGAGGGTGGGGGATCTGAAACCTACTGGATTGTCATACAGAGAAATAACTATATAAAATTTTAATTATCTATCTTGAAGTAATAATAAATGTTTGATGAGATAATAATGAGACATGCAGGGAAATGTTAATGAATGTGTGGAACATAAAGAGTTTAAATAAAAGAAGAAGAGGAATCGCTTAGTAATCGGCTGTTACTATTCATATATTTGCTACAGGGTTTTGGAAGTCAACTGAAGGATGTTTCACAGGTCACACTGTAGTCAGGATAATATTATGTTTGTTTATGGTGGAAACAAAGATCTTTGAATATTTTTCCCCTGGCAAAACTGTTACCAAAATAACTCCTGGGTTTCAGTTGGAATCTGGAATCCCGTATTGAAGTTGCGTTTTACGTTTTTCTTGCATCTCTCTGGCCTGGTTCCTATTTCCTTGTTGCTACCGCTAAGGGAAAACATGCACCACAACAAGGACAGTATCAGAAGCCCCATTTGCCGGCCTCGTCGGCAGTCATGGTGCTGAGATTGTTCCCAACTTAATTCAACAAAAATTAAATATTTTCTCTTTCAGTCTGGTTGTTTACTTGGAAAAACACCATATAATTAAAACCATTTTATGACTTGTCGCAAAGAACAAAAAAGATGACTCAGTCCTCAAGACTCTTTGGTGGGGAGGCTTTCCACTCAAGTGAGAAATAGAAAGTATCGGTGGTCAATGGGACATTTACAGTTTTTTATTTTCCCCTTAGAGTTAGGAAGGTCTTGCCCCAGAGCTTGAGGAAGATATTTTAAAGGAAAAGCAGAACCAGAGATGAGGAGAATGTGAGAGGCTTAGATTGCCTTCAGGACTGGGAAACTTAGCATCAATACTGAAGCCAGGTTTTACAATGCCAATGCCCTTGCCTTTGGCAGGAAAAAATGATGGGGGAGTAGGATCCCTCAGAACTGGCTTCAGACAGATAGTTGCATTTTATTTCTTGCTGAAATCAATAAGTATTAAAACTATAAAAAGGGACTTTTCATCTGCTAATATAAAAGTAACAATGGTCTTACTAGGACTAAGTCCAATAGTAGTAAGAGGTTACTCTCAGTAGGTACTTCCCTGGCTGACATGAGTGCCATGTCAAGAACTTCCCAGGTATCATCCCATCTGATCCTTACGACTCTAAGAGACAGATAGTCTTGCCTCCATTTTGCAGATTTTAAATAACTCACGTGTGAAAAAGTTAAGAATTTGCCCCCAAACACAATGCCAGTAAGCGGTAGAGCCGGAATTAAATTCTAGAGTCTCTTCCGTTGCAGCCTGTGGGTTCTCTTTCTCCTGCAAAGGTACCTTCTCTGCACTACTGGTGTGACAGATTCCACACATCAACACCGGGCACGAATTGGGCCGCCTGCTGTGTTGCCACCCCTTTAGATCCATGTGGATGCCCCATGTGGACACCTGTTGGCAGATATTGCTGGACAGACAGCCACCTGTACTGTCAGAGGCCTCAGAAGGGGAGCTTAGGGACGACCTTACATGAACCTTTCACTTTACAGACCAGGAAACCGAGGTTCAGTTAGCAGGGAGCAGGTAGAGATAGAAAAGATCTCTTTGCTCAATGCTAGGTTTTCAGGAGCTAATTGTTTTATTGAGCTAATTGTTTATACACTTTCTGGCCAACTCCATAAGATAAATAACCCACAAATACAATGTCAGAGGATTCTGCTGCTTGTAGCATTCAAGTGGGGGTTGATGGGATGGATACAGGGAGGAAAGAAGAGAGGAAGAGGAACTCAGAATAAAAAAGAGAAGGGGGAAAAAATAAAAGGAAGCTGTGCCCGAATTCAAACAAAACACATTCCGTCAGGATTAAATTCCTTTTTGTTTGCCTGTGTCACCGTCTCAGCATTTTGGAGGGTACATGGATGTTCTCATGAAACCAGTCAGACTCAAAATACACCATTACAACTTTATATATCCAGTATGTAATTTGTACTTAACGGAGAAATATTTGGGGCCATTTGCCTCCTCCCCCACTCCACCCCTCAGACTTGGAGACGCACGGTGGGAGGCAGGCCTCGGTGCGACCTTTGTTTTTAATCTTCTGACACCAGCAGCAGTTGGCTGGCTGTAAAATTTCATCAGTCTCCTCTGCCGTCGCTGGAGCCTAGACACCAGCCCAGAAAGGAGAATCCACGCAGAACTGCTTCCCTGACATTCTGGAATCTCCCAGAGCCCTCAAGGTCTGGAGCCCAGAGGGAAACGTGGGGCAGAGGACCTCAGGCCCTTACTGCAGTAAGAGTCAGGGAACCAATGCAGGTTCCCTCTGTCCTCTCTAAAACTAGACGAGGGCTAGCCTGCTGAGAGTCGTGGCTCTGAAGCTGGGCAGAGAGGCTGGCTTTCCTTCCGAGGCCTGCTCAGTTCCGCCCAAAATATATCTGTTGGCTCACGTAGCTCCTCACCAGGCTAGACCAGGCCCGGCTGTGCACAGGCCCCCGCAGGATCTGCACAGCGAGCTGGGTGGTGGCGAGGACATAATTTAAAACTGTTGCCTAGTGTCTTCCTAAGCCGTGCCCGACTCTGAGAAAAAAAAAATCATCATTCAGGCAACAGCTGGAAGGCTTGGCTGAATGGTGTGTGCTTCAATGTGGAAGGTCACAGGATACTGATCTAAGGGCTGAGAAGTCTTGCTCACCCAACTGTTGACACTCAGTAAACGGGGCAGGCGGGGCTGGGGTGAGCATCTGAGGAAGAAGGCCCCCACCCCACCCCCAGCCAGAGAAAGAATAGGAAGCGACTTCTATTCAGGGTTCACAGGGGTCCCTAGCCCCCCTCTGCCCCCTGCTAAAGCCACCAAGCCCTTTCCTTGCCTCTAAGTTACCTTGTATTATAACAGGATTAAAGTATATTTAGCTCCTCTATTAGCATAATTTAGCCCCCATTTTGGCCTACTTAAGGCTTCCGGCTGGCTTTGATCAGTTTTGCGTTCTACTGGTCAACAGGAGAGCCCAGCGGGCTGCGGGGGAGGGGGAAAGGGGAAAGGGAGGGAGGAGAGAGAAGGAGTCGGACTGTGAAATTATCCTGATGCTTCTTCTCTTATTCCCAATATTCTGTGTTTTTTCTTAAATGGCCCAGTTTACACCCAGAGTGGGCAGGAGGGAGAGGGGGGAGGTGGCAGGAACCAATAATAATTAGGTCTTAGTTGGAAGAGGAGAGAAAGGGTTGAGCATCTCCTAAGAAAAGGAGGGGGGGACCCTATAATTTCTACAGTGTCTGCCTTTTTATTGCTTGCATTTGCATATAAATTAAATCCATATTGTAGCTTTAAGGCAAGCCTGGGCTTAGAATTCCACACCGCTCGGGGTCCCATTGTCTTAGAGCCAGTTCTAGGCGGCAGCGAAATGAAAAGGGAGGGGAGAGCAGAGGAAGGAGAAAGTCAGCTTTGTAGCGTTTTTAATTGCCTGTTTGTTTTCTCCGCCAATTACAGGCAAATTAATATTTAAACTTTGGGAGGCTGGGAGGAAATGCTTACAAAATAGGTTTCAGATTCCAGGGTGTGCGGCCTTCGGCTTTCGGCCATTCTAGGGTTGAAATTTCATGGTGGTGAAATAAAAAAAAAATAATCATGTAATTAAGTCTCAGCTTGGACCTAGATCCTGTTTCGATTTCTTCTCTCATCGTGCCAGGGGCGATGAGGTTCAGTTGTGCTTCTGGAAGGATCCAGGGTTGAGGGTTCTCCAATCGCAGCAAAGGGCCCGGGCTGGGTGTTGCCGAGCGGTCCTCGGCTCCCCGGTGGACCATGCCCCTCCAGAGGTCTGGCCCAGCGTCGCTCTGCTCTGCAAAAAAGTGGCTCTCCGCTGATCTCGAATGCACCAGCGAGCCTCCAGATTCTGGGTGAAGCCGATTTTGGAAATCCATATGCCGCCCTAGCAAACACATCAGGATTGAGGTTACCGCATAAGAGCAGCCTGCAGAGGCCAGGAACATGCAGGGAAAAGCCCTCCATGCTTTTGTCTTTAAAACATTCAAAAGTGAGGACAGGCCTGGGGAGGGGCAGCTTTCTCCCTTCAGTCTTAGCCTAGTCCAACCATAGAACGGAATCACGTTTTAGGAAACCTCCAAATCAGACAGCAATCAATGACATCAAGTTCTGATAAAATGTCACAGAGGCAGGAGGCTCGGGTGAAGCCTGGGCATCTTTTGGTTTTTTTCGGAATGTGTTGTTTTTGCTTATTTTTTTTAAATTGACATAGGTACCCTGTGATGGTTATCACCTGCCACCCCCCTCACCTCCTAGAACACTTCTCCTCATTACCGGTGCCGTAGAGGTATATTCCCTAATTTGGGAGGATAGGCTGGGTTAGTTACTGTTGTTATTAAATTCCTCTAGCAAATCTCCAACCTGACGTTATTTCAATCATGGGCTCCACGGTGTTCTTACCGCCCTTTGGAATTCTTTTTTTTTTTTTTTTTTTTTTTTTTTTTTTTTGAGACAGTCTTGTCCTGTTGCCCGGAGTTGGAGTGCAAAGGCAGGATCTCGGCTCACTGCAACCTCTGCCTCCCTGGTTCAAGCGATTCTCCTGCCCCAGCCTCCCAAGTACCTGGGATTACAGGTACCGCCACCATGCCCTGCTAATTTTTTTTTTTTTTTTTGTATTTTTTTGTTGTTGTTGTTGTTTTGTATTTTTTTTTTTTTTTTGTATTTTTAGTAGAGACGGGGTTTCACTATGTTGGCCAGGCTGGTCTCGAACTCCTAACCTCAGGTGGTCCACCCGCCTCGGCCTCCAAAAGTGCTAGGATTACAGGCGTGAGCCACCGCACCTGGCCTTGGCATTCTTTTGCCTCAGCTAAGCCCCCTCAAACCCAGTTTCTGTAACCTCTGCAATTGTCTACACCCTTCAAGTTGCTCCATCTGGAGGTTTTTCTGCCCCCACCCTTTTCTTAATTTTATTTTTATTTTTATTTTTCCTATTTCCATAATGTTTCTCTCCTGGAAAGAGGACCAGAATGATGCCATTTCCCAGGTACAGCCTCCTCTTTCCTTTGTACTCAAAATCTCAGGAAAATATGTTTCCCCCATGATACACACACTGCCTTTACCCTCGATGGAGGTCTCTGCATTTCATGTTTCCTTTCTTCTAAGACCTCTTCAAATGCTCTGTGTTCCTCACTGGACTGCACAGAATTTCTTATTTCTTTGAAATAAGCCCTTCCTGACTCCTCCCCAACCTGGTTTCACATGGGCACTGCCAGATGGGCCGCAGTTTCCTGGGAGACAGTGGTGAGTCTAATTGGGTGTGTTTTGCCCATTTGCCTGATCTGTGTCTCCAGAAAGTGTAGGCTACCCACACTGGAAATGCCAAACAGTAATTGAGTAGCTAGACATATCCAGTTATTTCAAAATAATAACAATGATAAGAATGATAACTAATATTATTGATGATTTACTCCATGTCAGGCTCAATGCTAAGTGCTTTATAGCATATATCTCATTTTTATCCTCACAACAGCCCTAGATGAGGCAGGAACTATTATTAACCTAATTTTACAGATGATGTAACACAGAGAGGTTAAGTAAATTACCCTAAATCCCACAGCCTATAATTTGCTCGGTTGGGATTAAAATCCAGGCTGCCTGCCTAGAGCCCATTAATTAATTTACCCATCTGCTGTAGTCTAACCATGTCACCTTGGTGCACCAGGCAGCAAGAGCAGGGAGGAGGGGCTGAGAAGTCTGCACACTTCGGCCTCATCAGGCCTAGGGACAGCCCTGCAAGGTAGATATAATAGTCCCCACTGTGCTGATCAGAAAGTGACACACTGCCCCTCCTATGTGTAGAGCCCACACTCACACACAGGTCGGCGTGACTCCAAATGCTAAACCACCTGCTCCCAGTGTAGACCTGACCTCAGAGAGCACCATGATGTTGGTAATGCCCACTGAATCAACCCCACAGCCAGCTGACTCCACCCCACCGCCATAAGTATGTGCAGACACTCACACAGCACGGCGTGGACAGGTCAGCCCAGACTTGGCAAAAGGCTGCAAGCCTGACCCTGTCCTCACAGACCTTACATTAGCAGTGGGGAGCAGGAAAGTCAGACACACAGATACTCGGGATGGGCTTGTGGTTTGACCCAATTAGCCGTTGGTTTCCAGAGTCATTGGTGCTTCAAGTGCTCTGTTTTACTTAGAGTGTACTTGGGGGTCCCCAGGCCTTCTAAGTGGCCTGACTCACGCTTGCCCCCAGGCATTCTCTGGCCCACTGCTGAGCCTGCCTCACACACAGCCTCATTCTCAGGCCTCCGCCTCATCCTGGCCACTGCCACCAGGAACCAAGGCCAACATTACTTCTCAAGGGTGAGATTGGCTGGGAGACCCTCCTTGCTGAATCTCAGATAGCTTTATTAAATTTAATCATATTTAACCAAGAATATATGCACATGATACAAAATTCAAAAGGGGCAAAAGAACATACAGTGAAGTCTCCTCCACCCACTGTAACTCACCCACCCAGTTCTCCTTCCCAGAGGCAACCATTGCCACTAATTTTTGTTATATCCTTCCAAAGATAACCAGTGCACATATAGTAATTTAATATATAAATATATATGCATATATATATGTACACACATACATACATGTCTATTTGTTGTTTATACAAATGGCAGCATTTGTTCTGTACTTCTATCACTTAATATATATTAGGGAATATTCCATATTTATACATATAGCTGTGTCATTCTTTTTAATGGCTAGGTAATATTTTATTATACAAATGCATCATAATTTATCTAATAAGTCTTCTATTTAAGTAGACTTATTAGTCTTAATTTTTATTAAGTATTAAGTATTAATAATTAGACTTATTATTATTAATAAGACTTCTATTAAGTCCTTAGTTACTTGACTCTTCATTCCCTTGCTGCTCCCAGTGCTTTAGTGAATATCTTTGTATGGGTCATTCTGGCTGATGGATGTCAGGGGTCTTTGCAAAACATAACCTCCACACCCTCAGAAATGTCTGGGCTGACATTTCTACCTTCAGACTCATTCCTTTGGATTAGAAATAGATTTGTCTATGACATCCAAACGCTCCACTAAAACTGCAACTATTTGTGCTAACATACTTATCAGAAAAAAATGTCTAGTGGTAAAATACCTGGTCAAAGGGAATATGTGTTTTTCATTTTGATAGTTGTTACCAAATTACTCTCCATCAAATCATACTTCCACTAACGTTGTGTAAAAGTGCCTGTTTCCCCACACCCTGGGCAATACTTGATGATACGGAACTTTTTGATTTTTGCCAAATGGATTAGTAAAAAACATTATCTCATCTTCTAAATTTGTATTTCTCTGATTTTCAGTGAGGTCAAGCAACTTTGCAAATGCCTGAGAGTCATTTGAATGTCCTACCCAGTGAATAACACATAGCCTTTGTCAATTTTTCTGTTCGGTTATTGGATCTTTTCTTATTAATTCATAATGGCTCTTCAGATATTAAAGAATCTAGCTCTTTCCTGGTGTAATGAGTTGCAAACATTTTTCCCAGTTTGCCATTTCATTTAGTTTATGGTTTTTGTTTTTCCCTGGGTGGCCTCTCTTACAACCTGTCAATCCTGTCCCAGGCCATCAGTTACTTAATAAACAATTGTGTGTGGGGATGCCAATACTGTTCTAAAGAATCAGAGGTGTTTAATAGGACTACGGAAATTCAGATTGCCAGGAATTCAACAGCTTCGTGCCTTGGATTCCTGGCCCGTGGGATGAACCAGTTTGACTGGAAGCTGTGTGAGCTCCTGGTCAGCTCTGCCGTCCACTCCTTCTTTGAATCCTTCCCGCACTTCCAGGATGCCCCTGAGCCCAGGATCTTGCTGCTCACTCTGCTACTAGGCACTGCTGCTGGAAGCAGGTATGAAAGGCTTCCCCCTTGCACAAGAGCCGTGCCTCCCCTGAGCCACAGGCTCTCATCTCTGCCTTTTGTGCAAGCCTCCACCACCACCTCCAACTGTGTGAGCATACAGAGTTCAAACCCAACACTCTCTGGCCTTTGGAGCACAAGGCTTCAGGCAGGAAGCAGATAGGAATCTGGGTCACTGCATACAGCACTTAACTTCAGCCTTCCCTGTCCCAATCTTCAAAACTCCCCCTTACCCATAGATCATCAATGGACCCAGTGCTCTGCCTCTGGAGTTGCTGTTTATATCTACGCTGCATATTTTGGAAGATCACCCAGGCAAAATACTTATAATCATGTAGAAAGACACCCACTTTTGTTTTCAATTAACGAGGGAATATAAGCAATGCAGATTTGGGAGCACAGGGGGGTGGTAACGGGCTCCAAAGGACCTGGCCAACGGCGGACAACCATGCTGAACTTAAGCATCACCCTCATGGTCTTTGGGCAAATGCTGATTTCCTCAGACAGTCCGTATCCTCCCCTGGGAAATTTCTGTTTCTTCCTGGCTTCCAGCCTACTACCACGGAGACAAAGAACTCCTTCCCTGGCCTTAAGAATGGCTTGTTTTAGTCAAAGGATTCCTCTCTAGCCTCTCAAAGAAGGTCCTGGTCTGGGCGTAGGAAGCCCCTTTCCCTTCCCGCCCCTACCCACAGCATAAAATGACATTTTCTGGCACCAAAAACCCCTGTCCCATCAAAGCAGCAAAACCTTTCCTCTGACCTCAAGCCCACAGTGGCTGATGAATGTCGGGGGTCTTTGCAAAACCTAACCCCCACACCCCCTCTGAGCTAACATTTCTACCTTCAGAATCACTCCTTTGGATTAGAACTCGATTTGTTTATGACATCCAAATGCTCCATCAAAATTGCAACTATTTTAAATGCCCTGGGCTGGCTGGGGCTGGGTTCCAGGGACAGAGAGGTGAGCAGGTCAGAGTGTCAGCCAGATAGACGGAGCTGCCCCATGCGGGGCAGACCGAGGGCGTGGCAGGGCTCTGGTGGACAGTGCAGTGTGCGCTGGAGCCGCCTGGGAGAAGAGCTCAGCGACAGACTTTTTGATTTTTACCTTGGGAGCCCCAAAGTGGGTCTGAGCTTGAGAAGAGGAGCTATGGGGTAGGAGATTTCACGGCAGTAAGGCTGTTTGCCCGTGAAGGGGGCAAATTGGATGGAAGAGGTGTCAAAAGAGGAACAGGGAGGAGAGGGACAGCCCAAAGGAAGGAGATACCCAGAACACCCTGACTTAGTTCACCTCCCATTTCACCAGAAGTAAAGCCTGGGTCCGGCTTTGCTGCAGTATGCATGCCAGAGCTGACTGGCCCCACACACCCCTTACAGAGCTGTGCTAAACGCAAGCATAATTGCTGCATGCCTGCAATGTGTCAAAAACTAGGCTGAGGACTCTGTAGGCATTATTTTACTTAAATCCGATTCCCCTAACAGGGAAAGAAAACAGCCTTGCTGCTTGGGACAAGACCAGAAGGATGCAAATGACTTCCCCCTTCCACTCTGCCTCCAGCTTCTCTATTACCCAAAACATCAGCCACTGTGGGCCTGGACCCCCCAGGCATGGGCCCTCTAGATGCTCAAGCTTCTCTACAGGGCAAATGCCCCTCTGATGGGCACCAAATCACACAACGCTGGGGCCGCACAGGACCTCCAAGAGCATTTTGTGTCCAAGGGAGTTCAAACATGCTCCAAGGGACCCAAGGGGCCTGAGGTGTGGCTAGCATAGTGCCCTGACAAGGCCGACAACCAGGCTGCAGGGGGCTCTCCATCCTCAGCCAGACCAGGGCCCCTGCTGTCTTGTTGAGCTTTTGAATAGGATGCTATTTAAACAAAGGCCTAAAAGGTTTCAAAGCTACTGATGAAGTCTTAGCCCCTCAAAAGACCTGGCAAGAGGATGTTGGAGGGTAGAGTCACTTCAGGGTTGGAGGCCTGTGCTGTGCTGACTGCAGACCCCATATTTCTTCATCCTTGGCTTCGGAGTAATTCTGAGATTGCTGAATGGCCAGGGAAAACTGCTCCTGGCAGGCAGAGCTCACCCCAGGATGCCAACCTTCGGGGCCCAGAGGGTCTGGGGGGTCTAGGGTCCTCAGGCACTAAGAACCAGAAGAAAATGCCTGTGCTTCAGGGCAAAAAGCTTGAAGCCCACACAGCATGAATACAGTCAAGAGCCTACCCTTGATGTCCCCAGACCTGAATGTAACCTACATACTGATCAGCAAAGTGTGCATTTCTGCATCTATACAAGTAACGGTGGTTACCTTGGCCTCTGTAAATTTCATTTTCCATGGCTGTAAATGGGGCTCATAGTACCCTTCCTGTGGGATTTGCACTAGTAGTGGGACCTTAAGCACAGGATTTGACCTCCTCGTGCCTCAGTTTCCTCGTCAGTAGAACAGAGCTAATTATTCCACTTACATCACATTTGCACATGAGTTAAATGACCTCGACCAGTGTCTTGCACATTCTAAATGCTCACAAATGCTGGCTTTGGCTCTCTTTGTTATCGATCATGTTGGCTGTGTGCGCTCTCATTCTCTGGTGGTTGCAGCCCTCATCTATGTTGCTTGGTGTCCCCTATGACACCTGCAATGTTCCTCAGCCACAGTGGATGCTCAGTGACTCCGACTTCTCATTTCTTCAGTATTCATTCACTGAGCACCTCCTACAGGTCAGCAGGTACTGAGGATACACAGATCCCCAGAGGGTCTGGCAGGAAACACTTACTATTTTGAATTGGCTGAGTGAAAATCATCATTGTGGCCACACGGCCCAGACTGGATGACTTGGGCCAAATTTAGAAGCCCTCTGTCTTTCACAGTGGGTTAAAATGACATTTTTCTGGATAACCCCACAACCGTCCACCTGAGTCGACGGACATGAGAGAAGCAGACAGCGGTTTCCTTTTGTTTATCCCACAGCATTGAGGAACCCCTACCAGAAGAGGCTTTGCAACCCAGCCAGCACCCAGACCTGCCCCACACCCACAGCTCCCTCCCACCTCTGGCAGGCCCAGAGGTGTGTGGTCTCCACGGTGGCAGGCCATGGTCTCAGCATGGAACCTTGCTCATGGACGCTGGCGCTGTTTCTTCCAGCTCTTTGTCTCCTGGCTTCCAGGAACAGGCTGCCAGCGTGTTGCACTCCTGCCCCAACACAAACACCCCACCTGCCTTGGTCAAGCTCATTTCCATGGCACTTCTCAGCCTCCCAGGCTCAGCCCCCAGCCACATCCTGGCAGCCTCCCTTGCACCCTGCACAGTGCCTGCCCCTACACACAGGCCTTTAGAAATGCCATCAAAGCAGCTTTACAGCTGAATACTTGTGGAGAATTTTCCACTTCTGGAGTTTTACCTTGCTCTTCTGTCTGCTGCTAGTGCAGGTAACCCTTGGCCACTGCCCTCCCCACAATAGCCCAGTTTGTTTTTCCAGCCACAGTGTCCCTTATAGCCTTACAAGCCAGTTTGCCCTTCTGACGGAGGTTAACATCATCCCAGACAAGAGAGAAAACCCAATATCTGGCCACCTGCCTTGGCCACAGGGCTCAGCAAACTGGGGGCTCAGGAAGGTCAAAGGGATAATGCCCCTTCCTCCAGGCAGTTCATCCTAGGACATCAGCCAGTGTTTCCAGAAATCAAGACTCAAAATCCATTCCAAAATTTCAGAGCTGGGTGGTCAGTCCTGACACAGTCAAATCCGAGCTCCTCGTACCTGTTACCTGTGGGTGGCATGGGCTGGGGAGTGACCATGACCTCCATTCACAGCAGTGGCCTTCTTACTACCACTAAGTGGCACTCACCACATCCAGCTACTACTCACTGAGACCTCAAAACAACACTACCAAGAAGGCTGTATTCGCCTCTCCTCTTTAAAGATGAGGAAGCTGAGGCAAAGAGCGTCTAAGGAATTTGCCCAAGATCATTCAAAAACATGGATCAGGCATTCAACAACCACACTTGTAGACACTGTTGTGCCTGGGGAGACTTACACTTGAGTCCTAGCTCTGCAGCTTATTTGCTGTGTGACCTTAAGCAAGTCACTACACCTCTCTGAGCTGCTGAGTAAAATGGAGGAAATTGTACCTGCTTTGTAACAATGCAGGTGTAGGCCTGCCCATAATAAAGGCTTGATAAATGACTGCTGTCTTTATTAATCGATTCATTATTGCCTGATCCTTGTGAAATCTGAGAAAAACCCACTCCCAGCCTGATACTCTTCAGTACGGTTGCCTCTCTTGTCTGCATGAATCCATTATTAACTGGAACTTGTTTTCCACCTAATATATTCAGCCTCATGATGACAGCCGGTCCAAGTTCTTGTCAAAAGAGAGGGGCCTCCAGCAGGACTTTCTCAGGGTCATACCCCCACCCCAGACTGTGCACATTAAATGCAGATAACTTTAAGGTTGCACATGACCATTCACTGAAAGCCTCCCTGCCTTTGCACATGCTGTTCCCTTTTCCTGCATCCTTCAAAACTCAGTGTGAGCAACACTCCCTCCAGGAAGTCTTCTGTGGCTGTGCCTATGCTCCCACCATCCTGGAATCTTAGGTGCTCCTGCTCTAGGTTTCCTTTAGCTCTGTCCAAGCTTTTACCTTCCACTTTCTTCCAATGCTTACCACTCTATCTTAAGAGACTGCTTCTCTATTTCCATTCAGTGGTTCTTACTTTTCCACATGCAACAAAATCTTCTAGCAGCTTTTTAAGCAGACCTGTGCCAGGGCTGCCTCTTTGGAGATTTGAGTTCGGCAGGCCGAGCCAAACTCAAATTTGGATCTGGAATTTGGATTTTTCAAGGCTCCAGGGGTAGCTCTGCTGTGCTTCAGCAGCCAGGAGCCCTCAGGGCCAGTCCTGCATCCTGGTCTCCATGGTAACCCCAGCATCGCATGGAACAGACACCCTGCACCCAGTCAGGGCCCAACAATTATTCAGTCAATTAATGAGTTTCTGCTTCTCTGTTCTTCCTATCACCCACTTTTTACCAACTTCCCAACCACCATTCTGAGAATAGAGTGAGGAAGGGGTCGGGAAGTAGGGGAAGGAGAAAGTAGTTCCAGAATGAAAACGGGGAATTCAGCAATTCCCTGGCTAGCTCAGGCCACTGAGAGCCCTTTAAAATCTAATTATTAACAACTATAGTGGTAAAACTCTTGCTTTGGGTTGTTCTTGATGGTTTGAGGAGGGATCCTCCTTTGACAGAAGCGGGGCAAGAATGGTTAACCCCATCTCACAGATGATCTCAAAGAGTTTTAGAGAAAGCCAAGGTCCAAGAGCTTATTCTAGTGCTATCCTGTTCATTTTAAGATCAGGAAATGAGGCATGTGGAGGGTGAACGGAGCTCCTGATCACCAGAATTAGACTCGAGCTCCAGATGCCTTAGTAGTGTAGTTCCAACTCCAGAGAGACCCCCATCTCACCCTGCCCCAACCTCACTGTCTTTGTTCATGGCTCTTGATGGTTT
Source organism: Homo sapiens (assembly GCF_000001405.40). Taxonomy (NCBI): domain Eukaryota; kingdom Metazoa; phylum Chordata; class Mammalia; order Primates; family Hominidae; genus Homo; species Homo sapiens. The sequence goes on from NC_000002.12 coordinate 118,818,279, forward strand.
CAGAGGCACATTAAGGAAAGTGCCGCATCAGGGAGAAAGGAGAGAGGTGTCTGATGCCCCAAGCAGCCTCCAGCCCACAGCTCAGCATTCCTGCCCGTCACCCAGGCTTCCCCCAAACTTCTCCCCACTTCCTCTCTTTCTCTGATGGTCACAGAAATGTCATGATTATAGCATCTCTTCTTACTTCTTAATCATGTCTCCAAGTCTCTCATTGGTCCTAACATGGTGCCATGCTCTACCAGGGGTTCATCTCTCAATTCAACACTGCCTATTACAACCAGTAAAACACAACCTACACAACATTCTCTGATATGTCTGACCACAACAGGCTCTGCTGCACAAACCTGTTACTTCTTCCAGTTTATACACAAGTTTCTTCCGATCAGTTTCAACTACAATGTGTAACTATTCAAACCACAAATCGATCAAATCTCAGCCCTGCTTCATTTCCTCCAGTGACTCCCCTGCACTGAAAATTAAATCATAACAGCCTGTGCCCTAGCTCACAGGCCCACAGGCCCACAGACCTGGCCTCTCCGGCCACATGCTGCCCACTCCCCCTCAAGGGGGCAACCGTCTGGCCCTTGGGTACAAACTCTTCCCTAAGAACCTCACGTGCCTCTCCCTTCTCATATTGCAAAACTTGGCTCATACTTCATCCCCTGAACAGCGCTGGCGCCAGGGGATGGGCTTTGGAGGAGTGCACCTTAGCTTCTGCTCTCCATAAAAACCCATAGCTCGCCCCCAAAGCCACTTCCCAATAAACTGCCAACTTAAGCAAAAACCTCTTTGAGACAAATCCTCTGGTCCCACTTTCCAACTAAATGCCCCTCCAGGCGCTTCCACATAAAATTCAGCCATCATCACTGACTCCCCAGTTTAAATATCTGTCCACCCTTTATAGCACTTATTATTATGAGACATTTTTTCCTTGTGTTTACCTGTTTATTGGTTGGCTCCAGACCAGGCTGTAAGTTCTGTGTTGCCAGGCATCTTGCCTATCTCATTCAGACCTATATTATGGAACAGAGGTGGTGTTCCCTAAGTGTCTGTTGAATAAATGGATTGGCCACCATTTTGCTCAGCCCATAGTCACAACCTCCTTATAAAGAGATGATTCTATTCATCATCAGCCTCTCCAAGGAGCTCAGAACCATCTGAGAGGAGAATGTGGAAGAGGGAACTAATGTTTATTGAATGCCAGAGTTTCAATAAATAAATATCATGTCCACAGTGGAGGTCTACAGAAAACAAAAAAGGAAAAAAGAAAATAAAAATTTGAAAAAGAAATATTAGTGTCTCCATTTTATAGATGAGAAATCTAAAGTTCGGAGAGGTTAAGAAACTTTCCCAAGGTCAGCAGCAGGGCTTTGATCTAAACCCTTCATCTCCAGGCAGCCCCATCTCACCCTCACGGTCTCCGCTGACTCTCCCAGCCAGATACACCCTCAGAGGCTCCCTGCCACCCTGTCAGTCAGCTTATCCCTGACTTAGACCCTGGCCTCCCACCCAACGCAGCCCAAAATTTTGGCATTCTGTTGCTACAATCCCCAGGCCTTGCCTACCTCCCATATCTCTCAGGGACAACATCAGCTATAAAGGACCACCCCACTAAACACACACATACACACACACACACACAAGCAACTAGGAAAGAAATGCAGCCGTGGTGGAGGACATCTGCCCATCAGAGCACCCCAGCCCTGTGGGATATAGGCCGCTATTTATGGTTTTGTGATCCCAAAGGCAATTCAGAAAAGAAACATCCTGATACTAAGGTCCAAGGAAACAAAAAAGACCTAAGAGTCTATGTACCTGAGGTTTACAACTGTGTAAACATGTGTGCAAATTTGCGAGAGCTGGCAGGGGCCATGGAAAAGTGAAAACGGATGGTTCCATGGTAGAGCTACACTGAGTGAGTTTTTAAATTTTAATTATTACTTAAATGCTAGTTTGAAATGCAAACATTAAGACAGAGGAAGAAAGGGAGGAATGGGGGAAAGAGAAAAAAAAGGCAGAGGAAAGTGAGTGTGGGAGGGAAGCGAACCCTTTGCTGGTGACTCCTGGGGTCTGACTGCTGTCCGTGGAGTAGGGGTGTTTCAGCAGCCCCTGCCACTGGTGGGCAGAGAGATCTCTGGTAGCCAAAGGGATGGGTAGAACCAAAGGTGTAAAAAAAAAAAAAAATAGGCCAGGTGTGGTGATTCATGCCTGTAATCCCAGCACTTTGAGAGGCCGAGGCAGGTGGATCACCTGAGGTCAGGAGTTCGAGACATGGTGAAACCCTGTCTCTATTAAAAATGCAAAAATTAGTGACAGAGTAAGACCTGGTCTCAAAAAAAAAAAAAAAAAAGATGTCCACATCTGTCACCTGTCCCCAGAGCAGTGACCACGGTGACATCACTCCCAGCCTGACCTCTCTCAAAGGCACAGCCTTCCACCATCACCCCAGACCACCACCTCAACTCTCCTCTCTCCTTTACATATGTCACCCCGGCTCATCCACACCCTCCATCCTCTTTTCAGGGCCTCTTTTCTCCTTCAAGAGCCAACTCAAAACTCCCTTCTTTCTGGAAGCCTATCTGGATTACCATTCACTCTATAGAGCTTCAGGAGTTTCCTAATGTTTGCCATCTTCATACTGTAGGATATTTCATCATATGGAAGCAAATTTGCACGATTTAGAAAGAGAATGGGCTTTAAATTCCAGCTCTGCTACTCTCTACCTATGTGATCCTGTGAAAGTTACTTAGCCTCCCTGAGCATCAGTGTTTGAAATTATAAAATGGAAATACTGATGCATCCTAAAAGACTGATATAAGAAGTCAATGAGATAATGTATGCAAATAGCCAGGGAGGGTGTTGGGCAGATATGTAATCAATGTGTCAATGAATGGTAGTTTTTACTATGATGTATGGCATAAAATTCTAGAAAAGCAATTGGGCCATGGTATTCTGAACCACATTGCCTCTCCATGAACTAGATTTGAAATTCACTGAGGAGGAAAACTGTCCCTTCTAAGTCTTGGGTCTTTCCCTAACCCCATCCCTGTCCCCATCAAAGTAGGCAACACACAGTCAGTGAACAGGCAAGTAGCTGGACCCCTAAGCTTTTCAGGGGTAGTCACAGAACCCTGCCCACCAGAGTGGGTGGCCAGCCCATCTGAAGCCTGAGTCAGCTCTGAGCTAAGAAGGAGCCAAGGAGAGGGACTGGCTGTCAGTGCTTCCTCAGGTTCAGTGCTTGGGAATTGCCACTAATTCCCACACCCACCCTGTCTACCAGCACTAGGAACATGCAGCCAGAGAAGCCTAAGACCACATTACTGCATGGAGGGGCTTGCAAACCAGCCCCACAGCAGCTCCCAACCATTTCCCCATCAAAGACAGAATGTTCCTGCTACCACCCACATTTTGAAAGCTTTGGCCAACCAGATTGGCTGTAATAATGTTAATAATAATAATAACTACCATTTACTAGGAGCCAACAGTATGCCAGGTATCTTATAAATGCTACTTTTAAAAATATGTATTAAATAATAATCCATTCATTTTCCCATTTTTATTCATCATATACACATGTAACTGCCAGTCAGACCTTCTGGGCAACATGCAGCTGCATTGGCAAGTGCAGTGAGCCGTTCTGTCTTCAGCCCAAAACAAGACAATGTCCAATCTTGTTGGCCAGGGCATCCTACACAAGCAGAGCGCAGATATACTTCCAGCAATCACCTTAAAACACTGAGATTTGTCAGAGGGCCCTCCTCCCCCAATACTCCTGACAAGAACCCCAAGTAGGGAATTGCAGAGCTAATCCAATCATCACAATTTGCAAATGATAGGCTCGCATTCAGAGATGGCAGGAGTCCTCCCCAAGGTCACACAGCTGACAGCAGGACCAGACATTCCAATGCCGGCACAGTGCCCTCTGCTGAAGAGAGCAGCCTGGTCTCCCAGAGGTGGTGGTCAGGCCTGCCAGGAGAGGTGGCTCCCATACCACATCCCTCCCTGCAGCCTCACCTCGGCTGCCCCAAATCCACGCACAACCCTCTTCACGCACCTCACCCAGTGAGATGGGCTCCCTTCCACTCCAGGCACCTCCTCCCATGCACACTGAGCATTCAGGCCAAGCCCTTCCCTGGGGCACTGTGTACTCCCTCCATAAAGAAAATCCACCTACAGCAGGGCTCGATTAAGCACTGGAAAGGTTAGAAGCCTGCAAAAATAACTCAAAATAAAACAGGGCTAACTAGCAATTTATGTCTAAGAAAATCCCAGTGAGCTCGGATTTTTCCAGTCACAACTCCTTTGATGCTATCTTTCAAATGTCAAATATCAGATTATCTCCCCCCAAATTTTACTGGGAACCCTTGATTTACTGATGCCACATGTTCAGGCCTATCAGGGAGTATTCCACTCTCCCTCTTGCTCTGTTCCAATGTGCTTGTTTCTAGAAGAAAGGGTGGGGCATCCTGGGGCATATATATATAAACAAAGAAGCATGTTCCATACAGATTAGGTCTTTCTGTCACCAGAAATGTATTTGTATTCTCAGAAGATGGTTCATGGCTAATGCATTTTTATTCGTCATTGTTGTCTATACATCTGTATTATGGGAGAAGAGTTTTAAAGATGCAAGAAGAAAGAGTTTGGTAAAAGACAGAACCATTGCAAGGTCCTCTCACTCCAGGCATTTCAACATGCCCTTATACAGGCCATTTGATTTGCATCTGAGGAGCTTGCACTACCTTTCTTGAAACTGGAACAAATATTCACTTGAAAATGTTCATAGTTCACCAGCACCCAGAGGAGCAAGGTTCAGGCTGGCAGTGGGGGTAGGAGGGGTGCTGCAGGTTTGGTGGCAATAATGTTTCCCAACTGGAATTTCCACCAACCCAGAACTTTCACATCCAAATGTGTTTTGTCCCCTTCCAAAGACACACCCTGGAAATTCATACATTTATTCCGATTACACTGCCATGCTTAAAACCTCTTAAGAATTCCTCTTCTGAAAGTGCCGTGGGAGCCTGTGGCACATTCTTTTGAAAATCCTCAGTGGTAGAGAAATTTCCTTATTAAGGGAGGATCTAAGTTTGGGAAAGAGTCTAAAGGAGTTCTGAGCCAAGTCTGATGAATAAGGTGAGTGATCAAACTGGGAAATGCTATTTTGAGCAAGAGTGAGGTTCGGGTATAAAATAACAAGACTCCTTTTATGTGTCTATGCCCGGGTGTGTATGTGAATATGGGATTCGTAAACTAACTCTCAAAGGTAATTCCAAAAGAGAAGCTCTTAAAAGATTTTGAGCGGTTGCAATACTATTGAAATAAGAACATATCCGTTCAAAGTCATTACTTCCAGGAGGTCAACTGTTATTTGAAATGGCAAGCCCAGGTGTGAGATGATTTCCTGGAGCCCCACTTGGTAAAGGAACGCAGCCAGGTTCCATAGGAATCTGGAGTTGAGTCCACTCTGTGGCCAGGTCCTGGGCTGCACATGTGTTGAAGGAGTCCCTTCTGGTGGACAGGCTTTGGGGGCAGCTGGAAGGATGCCGGTCGGCCCCTCCTCCCAGGCCTGCAGCTTGTTGGCCATGTTCTGAATGACACAGCTAATTAAGGCAAGTCCTGTTGCAGCTCTGAGCTTGAACTGCCGAAATGGGGAAAGCAGAGCTCTCAGATGAATCTGTGTTTCAAGCGTTAACAGCTCATCTGTAAATAAAATAAAATGTCCTTTGGGCTGCAGCCAGGTAGCCCTCCCTGCCTTTGGCCTGAATGTGATTAGCACATAGGGGTGGAGGCAGGCAGGGGACGGAGGGACTGCAGGAGGAGGCAGTCAATTCCATCTTTTTAATAACTCTGAGAAATGATTTTGGTTATTGATTTCCAAAAGGGGTTTTTTCCTACCACTCTTACCTCCCTAGCCTCCAACTCTTCAAAAATTAAGCCCATTTTGAAATAAAACCCAATGCAGGAAATTAGCAATTTAGGGTTCAAGGCTACAGAACAGAATCACTATGGCACAGGCACACAGCACCAGGCTGGCCTTGGCGGTAAGCAAGTCTTCCTTGGACCTGGAAGTGAAGACAACTAGGTGAGGACGGAGGCCGTGCCTCAGGTTTTCCCCCAGTTTTTGTCCGAATCTCAAAGGTGACACCGAGAAAGACACAGCAAGATAACATTGACTGTGTCTACAGAAACAAACAGGCCAGGGGGGGAAGAAGTGATGAAACCACAGGGTTACCTATATAAAAACAGTCCTTGCAAAGCTGGTCTTTGGACTAAACCTAGCTGTTTTTTAAAATATACAATCTGCTATTTGAATACATTTAACTGTTATTTTACTTTATAACCTGATTTGCATGTGAGGTCTCTGACCCTTCTTCCAGGGAGCCAGGAACCCTGTTAACACTAAGCAAACTGTGTCATATCCACACCTCCTCAGAAGGAAGACTCTGCCTCTCAAGAATGTCCTCAGGAAGAGGTCATCTTGGAAATTATACTCACAATGGTAATGCCTGTAATACAAATAAGGCAACAGGCTTCACAACTTATTTATAAATCTAAAACTCCTTGAAAATAAAAAGTTGATTTAAAAAATAAGGCAATATCATTTACGTACAACATCTGTCTACATAACAGACAGACGTCAGTGGTACTGCGTTTTGTTTTGTCTTAGTTTTCCAAAATGCCCTAGGTATGTATCCTGGTGGTGTTCTTATGTCTACTTGAGATGTCTCTCTATTTAGTCTCTTTAATAATCTTAGAATGATGATGCACGTGGGTTACATTAGAGGCTTGAAAAGTTTTTTTCATATCCAGCAACCCAATAAATTACTCCTAGTATATCTAACTTCTCTGCTCCACTGTTGATGTTCCCAGCAACCTTTCCTTTCTTCCCCTGAATGTCAGCATGTGGTGAAGGCATTAGTGAGGGCCGCAACACAGTATTTCCCGGTTCCAGTTAGGTGAGGAGGAGTACAGTTGACCGTACTTTTTAAAGTGCTGTCGGCTTTAGAAAGTGTGGTATTTTTTAATACCACTTTTTACTGCCCAGCTGTAAGAAGCCTGTCATTTTCAGCATGTTGTAGAAGTCCTAAAAGCCAACAGTTTTCTTAAGCATCAGCAAAAACAAAACAAAAACAGCAACAAACAAACAAAAACCCCACATACAACTCAGCTTGAACATTTCTGATATCATCCTCTAAAATATTCTCTTAACAAATCTATCCTACACTGAAAGTTCCATAGGAAAAGTTACAAAGGGAAGGGGGATTTCTAAAATCTGACTCTTCACCCTAGCTTTCCATTTCCCTGAAAAGATTTCTAAGATGTGCACAGAAAATGAACTTCCAATAATTGTCTCCACAGTATTAATGTGTATCTTCTGTTGGGAGAAAATCTGTAACCTCATCAAGGAATAGCATTCAAATAAATTTTCATTGTCCCACTGCACAAAGCTAAGCTTAGGCGAATCCTAATTTGTTATTCATTCTTCTTGTTTAATTCATAATTTGATGGTAAATGTGGTGACACAGCAGTGCCCTACAAATTCGACTGCATCTGTCCTCAGATACATTTCTTGCACCTACCCAGACTTATGTTTTATACTAAAAAATGTCTTTAAGCTTACAGATGAGCAATGTAAATAGAGAGAGAGAAAGTGACGTTTTTCTATGCATAGTGAGCCAACATTAATCTCTCTCCAAATTCAGGGTCTCTTTTTACTAGGTCCATTCTGGCTAACTGTACTTCTCCATATTTTCCAAACTCTTATTTGAAGCAAAAACTCCTCCTGACAAATGCTTTTGGTTTAAAACTAATGTTTCCTTCAACTGGTTAAGTGCCATAGAAATAAAAAGGCTTTTGCAAAACATTCCACAACCTGATTTTTAATTTACTGCATCATCAGCTACTTTTATAATAATATTTAATCTACTGAAACAAAACCAGCCTTAGAGGGAAAAAAAAAACCAACAACAACAAAGAGAAAGAGAGTTTATTTTTAGCAGCTCCATTCTTGTGTAAGGTAGCTAGTGAAACCGAAACTTTACCTAAGGACACTAGTCCTAGTTTCTTCTCTCTCTCTCTCTCTCTCTCTCTCTCTCTTCCTTCTTTCCATTTATTTTTTTATTTCTCCTTTTTTCTCAGTGGCTGAGAGAATCAAGTTAAAGGTTAGATCTCATTAAGTATGGTTAACAAGTTTCAATAAGCAGGAGGCACCAAGAAATAAACTATCCCCTACCCAAAGGAAAAATATATAAAGTGATGGTAAATGTAAATATTCAACTGTGGCCCAGATGAGCAAAACCCTAAAATGAAAAGAAGTTTACACCACTTCATGAGGTCAAGTCTGGAAAGTTTGGCTCAGATGTCTCAAGTGCCAGACCGTGATGGTAAAAATGTCATTATTTTACATCACGAAAATAGAGAAGAGAGACAATAAAATGCGTCAAAATTCAGTGGGTTCCTTCAACTGAGGCATTTGAAAATGTTTGACTCCAGAGCTCATCATTTTAGGGACAACTCAAATGGGAGCAAACCCAAGTATTCTGGGGCTTTTTTTTTTTTTTTGGTGTCTATATCCTATTTCTGTTCAAACGAATATCCTGAGAATTAAGACTCTAGTGTGAGACAGCAAAGGCTATCGCTGTGCAGATAAAAACACTCCTGAGAAACTATGCCCTAAGGATGCAAACTGTAATGGAAACTGAGCCAGGCAAAAGGACCCCTCCCTAAAAGGAACTGCTTCCAACCAAAAGGTGGACCCCGCCAATGCTTCCAAATTCTTAAGCACTGCTCTGGCTTAGGCAGCTCAAAGCCATTGGGATGGGCCCTTCCTGAGTAGAAAGACGTTACTGAAAGTTTTGCCGTTGTCTCTGGGTAGAAAATGGTCCTTCCCCAGGAGCACTGTGCTGGTAGCTCTGTGTTCAGCAAAGTAGAAAATGTCACTGGAGCATGAGCTGTGACAGCAGCATGTACATACTTGCATATACCCTTTCCTCTGCAGAGCAACTGCTATAGCTGAAAATTGCGAGGCAATCTCCGTAGGATGAAAGAGGCCAACAAACTCAACTCTACAGTGGCTAAAAGCCATGGGATGCTGCAGAGAAACTTCAGGTTTATCTTTTGCCTTACATTAGGATGTTTCCCCTGGAAATGAAGGGGAAGTTGTAATTAGCATGTTTGAAAGCTCTCTGATTCACCTCCCCACCCCAATTCTTACTATCATGAATTTTGCATTATTCTATGTACAATAATGCACATAAAATTAAATAAACAATTTAATTAATTTAATTAAAATTAAATATTAAACATATTGTGTATAAGAAACCTGTGCCTTTGACTTAATTGGGCAGGAGTACCCAAAGCAGTTTGGGTAACAGCAGAAAATAATTAAAAACAACAAGTACGTTAGCCTCTGGGTACAAGAAATAGTTGGGAGCCTCCTCTTGAGAAAGGTTTATTTAATTAAAATTAAACTAATCTTTGGAAAACATTTGATAAGCATTTCATAATACAAATCATAATCCAAAAAATGAGGCTCAGCCTGCCTCTCCACAATATAGGAAAATCATGTTAAATAATTTATCTCTGGCAGTAGCTACTCTCTTCTTTACACATACATACAAATACACACACAGCAATTCAATAGACAACATGTTCAGTGGGTTTGAATTTTAGGTAATACTTGATTCACCTACAATCCAGATAAATATTAATAAAGTACATCAAATATATTATGTTCATAGCAAGAATTTAGAAGATTTAGTGTTTGATTTTGAACTAGGTGTGGATTTTCAGAGCTAAAAAGCCCCTATCAGAAAATATCCTTTCTGCGAATTTATCTACAAGGAAAATTCAAATGTTTTGGCAAGTCAATATGTTAGTTGGTCACTACTAATATAACCCAAAAATACAGAAAAAGCTGGGTCCCCAGGTCATCCACAGATACATTTAATTCACAAGGTAGCATTTAGTGCTTCACGTTAGGAGAGGAAGACCATTTACATTCTTATTGCTTTCCTCCGGTTTGTGTGACAGGATCTGATATTCAGTTGCAGAGCATTAGATAAGATTAGACGTAGACCATAAAAGAAAGACAGCAACCAAGCCCATGTATGTGTTTCCCCAATAACTGTTCCTAGGGCCTGATATTGCAGAATCTCCAGACATCTATAGTCTTCATCAAAGTAGGGCCCATTTAGACACCTATGGCCTGAGAAGGAATATTACCAAAACCAGCTGCTTCATGCTCCAATTCCAAAGTTGCTAAATGCAAGCATCCTGGCTGACAAGTGCCCACAGATATAACTCAGAGCCTGAATTGTCCACCAAATTCCAATTGTCCACCTCTTAAACATCTGCACCCATAAAGAAACATCAAATTTAGAACATCCATTACCACAAATGATTCTCATCACTTTTATTTCAGCATATATAGTAACTTAGTCTATCAGCGAGGTTAAAATATTTTCTTATATCCTAATGATTCATTATAGATAAAGCAACTATATTCACCCCAAAGATGAGCTGGGAACATATAATAATGCATTTTATTTTGTCTTTATAAGCATAAGATTTTCCATGTATATCCTGACACCAAAATCATATTTTTCAGTGGTCATATGTATATTAAAAACTATTGTTATGAAACATACATAGCCACAGGTGCCATGCATATAGAAAAATCTGAGTCAAAGCTTGGTGTTGCTATAGCAAGGTTATTTTGTAGTGCCTTTGCTCTGTAAAGAAAGCCACAATAATATACATCACACTATTTTATAAGCAATAATTCATAATGGCAACTAACAATTATTCCTGCAATATCAAGCATTCCTCCAAAAATTCATCTAAGCTTTTAACCATTTCTCTGATTGATTCAACTTTTCTTTGATGGAAAGAACAAAGTACCTTTGGAGGCTTCCAGTTGGGCCGAGAGACAGGGCGATCCAAAGGGTGGCCTGCTTAATGCCAGACTTAAAATAGGAAGAAAAAAATCTGGAGACTTGGCAGAGCTAAGAAGCACGCAAAGCAAAAGATCCTAAAGCCATCTCTAGCTCAATTAACTCTTTCACATATTTATTGGAAAAGGGCATTTAACCCTTCAGAAAACACCAAGCAAAGATCCTGGTGCAGCCCCAGCTTCTTCAGCCAGGACCACAGCTGCAGCAGGGTTCCCCTCTGCCATCCAGGGCTTGTCAATGATGCCCTTCATTTGCATGTCAATCCTTTTACATGATTAATATGTATTTATTGACCAGGAGGCCTTCCAAACCTAGGACAAAGGGAGACAGGCAGTCCTCTTTTATAGGGCAGCCATAACTTTCCTGGCAGGACTGACAATTGTGCACAGGAATAATTCCCTTCCAGATAAAAAGTTCCCACCATTCAGACATGTAGTAATGGAAGGAAAACAGGCTAAACTGAACACTGAAATCTGAAGGGCACCTCTCTACTCCTTTTCCCATAAGGTGATCTGTGTTCATTTCCTACCACCTCAGTTGAGGAGTGTGGACAGGCACCTAGAAGACCAGAAAAAAATGACCCCCAGCCTGGGAGTTTGGATATCTTCGGCTACTCATGAAGGTCTTTTAGGCTGAGGACTGCCCACAAAGCTAGGCCCTAGCTCGAACCCTGGGTTACCTGAGGGAAGGCATCTGCCTCCTTCCAAACATGAATCTAGAAATGGAAAGAAACGCACCCAACACACCGCATGATGCCACTCTTCATGAATCTTTCATCCACTCAAATAAACATCACATTTCCCAGATTGACAGGTGGAGTTTTATTTATTAAACAGCAAACTCCAGTTTTAAAAAAAGATCAGCCTTATGTCTACCATTAAAGATTCCCAGAAATTCTCTTCTCTTCCATCTCTTCACTCCTCCCACATAAGAAAATAGAAAAGTAAAAGCGAAAATGGTCAAACCGTGCCATAAACTTCCATTTTCACTCTGACATCTGCCTCTCAGAAAGTCGGAGATGAGATTCTAGATATGTTTAGAAAAACTGTAAGGGATTAGTATGACTCTTGTTTGTCCTGGTGCCAAGGATATTGAGTCAGATCATCCAAGAGGGTTTTTTTTTTTTTTGTCTTTATCCTGGGTGGTTCTGGGACTCGCTCCGTTTGATCGTGGCTTCCCACCTCTGTGCATATGAAATCCTTGACCCCACAGAGAGGCTGCCAGCTCAATGACTAGGGTTCCCAAGGAAAAGCACAAGGAGCCATCTCCTTTATAAGGTCCTTCACTATAAAAAACAATATCAAAAAAGAGACTTTCCCTTAGGTTGAAGAAATTCAAGACCAGCCTCTGCGTAAGCATTATAACCTCCCGAAAGTGACACACGAACACTCTCCAAAGGCCTCAAGTTTGATTTCCTAACCAAGACACCAACAAGAAACGGTCATCTTTCAGCTCAGAGGCCAGTTCTGAATCTCTCCCCAGGGACATAGTATCCTTGGCTTTTATAAACGGCCTTTATTAGGGGCAAACTCACTTCATTTTAAAAAAGGGAATTCTGGTGGTGTCAGATCCTAGTCTTTCTCTGACCTACACCCTGTCAAACTAAGAGATTAGGCAGGTGGTACACTTTATAGGAAGACCAGCCACTAGCCTGCTCACCACCAAAATCTGGCCTGGGAAAGGTGAAGGAAAGCAGTTTAAACAACCACATTGCTGTTTCTTTGACTTCAGCCAACTCCTACTTCAGTCATTTTTACTGAAACTGGTCTACATGTATAGACTATGCCTAAAAGAATCCCAGAAAGAGTCCTAGAATTCCAAGAATGTAAGCTTCAAGGACGAGGCTTGCAATGGTGAATTTATCAAAAGCAATTAAACATAAAATGGGCCCAGAAGGGTGTTTCAAATTTCTGCCCAAGTTTTGCCCATGCAGAAATGTGATGCTTATGATGAAGTTATTTTCCTTAGTAATAACTCTGAAGAATGTGACCCAAAAATAGACCGGGGAGTCATTTCAGCAGGGTGCCCCTCTGGCTTCATCCACTTTATATGACACCCAGAAGGCAGCAAGTCACTCTGTATCCTGTCCTTACATGCTCCATTCCAAACCCAAGGCCACACTTCTGAAAGGTATCTGGGACTGCTCCGCACAACCACATTTCAAGAGAATGCGGCCATCAAAAACGCAGGCACATCAAAAGCACCTGAGAAGAAACACAAGGATGAGGAGGGAAAGTATCAAGGAAAAGCAACTATCATCTCTAAATTCTACAAACCTGTGGTTTCATTTTGCTATGTAAACAGATGGCATACGCTGGAAGCAAGGAATAAAGTTTTTTTTTCCTGAAACTTCTGACATAATAAACTAAGTTATGTGCACCTAAACCTGACTTTGTTTTCTATTTCACAGATTATAAATTCAACTAAGTTAACCAATAAAAATGGTCCCACAGGAATTGCCTTGACATTATGGAAGTTAAAAGATGGGTTCTGACATATTCCAAACACCCAGGCATAGACTTCAGAAATTCATTCGGTTCAAATGAATATCTGGGGGCATGGGCTCCTGGAACATCAGGTGTCCATCCCACGGGGGCCCACCCCAGTACCAAGAACATCGCAGGCACTTGGTTTAAGCCAGGTTGCATGATTGAATAATTAATGAGAACCCAAGGAAGGTTTCCTTCTGATGTTTGTCATCATTAGAATCCAACCTCTGTTCACTAAGGAATAGCTTTTGCCTTAGGTTTTCAACTCCCTGACCAGCACCTCAGACATTTGGTGGGGGGCACTTTCTAGGTTTGAAAGAAGGGCTGAATACTCCTCTGAACACCTCAACTCACCCTTTGGCCCCCTCCTCATCTAATTTTGCAGGCCATTAATTCAGAATGGGCATGAGAGCATTTTGGTATTTGCTTTCACAATAAAATGACTGAGTAATTAATGAAAGTTGGCAACTGTTCAGTCAACAGCAAGCTCTCTCTCCGCCCTTCCCAACTTAGTGCTGTGTGTTCAAATAGACTTCATGTTGCACCGCCCCCACCTCGGCTAGCCTCACCTTCCCTTATAGCGCCAGTGGGACCTCCCCAGGCTCTGTGGGGTGATCTTGCTCTCAAAAAAACCACTTACCCTATCCCTCTTAGCCACTGAGGACCTTTATGGTGAAACTGTCATTACCCATTAAGGGCAGACAGGGCAACCAAAAGGGCCCTACTTCCTTGCATGCTATAGACAAGTCATTGGCTGTATAATAAGGGAGACTATATCACTTTTAGCCTGGTCCGTGTTGACCCCCCAGGGAAACTCACATACTCGTGTCTGTAAGATGTGTCTTAGAGCAAGCCCCTTTAAACAAAAGCAGCGCTGGCACTCTCCCTGCAACCTGTGCATTGGCTAAGGTGGGAAGAAGGGAGGCTGGTGGCCCCTCCTGGCTACCTCCCCCCACCCCCAGCAATAGCTTTTGTGTTACAGGGGCTCCCAGAGTGGGATGGCCGGAATGTGGAGACGCCACTGCGTTGGAGTTAATAACACAGTGTCACAAAGGAATTTAAGCCTGAACTCTGGAAATTCTCTTTTAGGAGCTTATACTTTTCCTTCTTCAAACTTCTCTGTTCTGTCTAAAAAGAATAAAAACCCTCTGTTGTGTTTCCTGCCGGAGGCTATTATCACTTCCTTCCAACTGCCCCTTGTGAAATAGTCAAAGCATCCCTGATCGCGGAGGAGACAACCGCCAGATCACAAGGTGAGTTTTGTATTCCAGAGTTTCAACGGCTCTGGATCTGTTTCCAAAATGACCCACCCTTTCTAGGGGCGTGTTGCCTGCTCTTAGGGGCTGTATTTGGCAGACATGCAAATATAAAACAGCCTCACCAAAGTGCTTACTATGGACACAGCCTCTTGGCCAAGCACGGAAAAGGTTACAGGGGCTGGTGTAAGGTTGGATGGGAACGTGAATGAGATCCAGGATATGGTACATGGGGCTCCTGGCTCTCCCTGTGTAATGTGCCCCAAGTTCCCCTGGATTCCACTGAAAATAGGGAGTGGAAGGGTGGGTTTGGAGTGAGGATAACCAGGATCGTCACACTCACATAAGCACAGAACCTCAGGGATCTTCAGGGCTGACACCCTGAACGCCCACCACTTTCCCTAGCCCCCAGTGTCTCAGCTCTCCAGGCGGGGCCTCTGAGGCTAGACCGCTGTCTCGCCCAGGGATGCTCGCGGACTGCGGCACTAGCGAACGCGCAATTCCCTTCCCCAGGGAAGCCACGCAGGGGCTTTCCCCGACGGCGTCTCACAGCCAAGTGAGCTTGTGAACACGGAGACGGCCGAGGATCCGAGACAAGGAGCTCGCTCGCTCGGTTTTTCCCGGGCTGTGTTTGCCATTCGCGGGAATAAATGAAGCATCGGTAATCTCCATAAAAGAGCTTTCACGCTTCATTCTCTGAAACTAAGTTGAGGCTTAGACGGAAAGGAGAAAAGAGACTTTTAATTTAAAGTAATGATCATCAACACTCAGGTGCTAGAGGGTCTCTGGGGAAAGGGGGTCCCTACCCCACCCGGGGTAGCGGGAGGGAGGCCGCCTCTCTGCGCCTAGCCGGGCGGGCCTTGACTTGCTAGGATTGGTGGGCCAAATCCCATCTCCGGGGAGCCTTCAAATAACTCTCCCATGGGGAACTGAGGAGGCGCGGGAGCCTAGGGCGGAAAAAGCTGAAGAGCCGTGGTCCCGGAGAAAAGGAAGTGAGCAGTCTCAATGGAGGCCCGAGCCTCTCCAAGGCCACCCTGCAGGCAGCAGCGACTTCTTCCTGGGGCAAAAGTCGCGCACTACCTGCGGGAACGTCCGCTGCCAGGGCGCCGCCCGGGACCCCAGAGCATACCTGGTTCCCTTCCTGGTGGCCGGTCCTGTTTGGGGCCAAAGTTTGCATGCGATGGGCACAAAGGACTCTGCGCCTCCTTTCCCTAACCCCAAGCCCTGGGCGGTCGGAGAACCCAAGACGGGTTCAATCCCGAAAAGCAAACTTTGTTAACTTCTGGCTGAATTTGGCACGGCGGAGGGGGGAGTGGGCAATAATCCCTCCATTCTCCCCTCCACCAACACCCAGGGTCCCTCACTTACATCGCAGTCCCCAAGTCAACACTCGACTTGTCACTTTGCACCACAATGCGGTCAGCCCTGTGAGGACATGAAGAATGGATATGAAACTCGAGGCCAGATAAGCGTGGAACTAGGTTCAGCCGTCCTCCCTGGGGTACCTACCTCCCTACTCCCGACAGAGCTGTGAGCCTCCGCCTGCTGAGAGGAGGGCACTTGGGCGGACCTGAAGTTAAGAGGCCCGGGGTGAAGGCCAGAGCTCAATCTGCAGGGATAGAAGGCGCGGGAAATCCAGCAAAGGATGGAAGAACAGTCCCTGCCAGGCCGCGGCCTCCTCGCCCCCGCCTGCCCGGCCTCACCCTTCTGGAAGTTCCTCCAGGCCTGGGTGGGGGCCGCCAGGGAAGGCGCAGAGGGAGGGCAAGTTGGCGCCGCTAGTTTTAGAGAAATCCTAAGTAAACAGTGAACCCGAGCAGGAAACCTCAGCTTTGCCTGGGTAAGAGAACTGGCCACACAGCTCCAAGAAAGGAGAGGAGGAGAACAAATCTCTGCGCCCTGAGGATGGTGGCTTTATTGCGGAAAGAGGTGGTGGGGCCGGAGCTGCTCTGCAACTTCCTCTCGCCCCCTCAAAAAAAAAAAAAGTATCCCGCAGCGAGGATTTCAGAAGGGGCTCACCTGGTGCAGGAAAAGTTCAGTTGGCAGCCCTTCGCGAGCAGGTCCTCCCCAGCCCGCACCGAGAAGGCAGGCGCCCGGGCCCTCTGACTCCAGTGGCTCAGAGCCGGCTCAGGACTGGCAGGGCGAGGAGCCGGCGGGCCGAGCCAGCGAGGGTTTGGGCTGCCCGCGGTGTGTGTGCAAGAGCGCGCGCCTCGTGTAACCATTCAGGACCAGTTGAAGCAACACAAATAAAGTCAGGTCTCTTCAGCCTTGCTGTCCACCCCTCCCCCTCTTCCTGGTTTGACCCTGGCCTGGCCGCTCTGAGGCCCAGTTTGCGCAGCCGACATTGCGTGGCTACTCTCATTACCAGGGGAAGGGCGCTCCCCTTTTCCCTGGTAATACTCCGGGAGCCCCTACTCGGAAGCCCAAGAGTCAAAGGGATACAGGGGTGACTGGAGAGCAGCGGGGGACAGCGTGGCCTCACCCAAGGTCAGCGCTGGTCCCCACGTGTCGGCCGGGGGAGGGGAGGGGAGCGGACAGTCGGAGCGTTCGGATGTCCAGTTGAGCCGCGGCGCGGGGCAGCCGGGGGCGCAAAGTTGGAGGCAGGGCTGGGCGACGAGGAGAGAGGGAGGGCCGGGAGCCGAAGGGACGCCCGGGTGCACCCCGCTGCAGAGGCCGAGTCCGAGCGGCCGGAGAAGGCTGGTCGCAGAAGGGCGGCCTCCGGTGCAAAAAACGGAAACCTTGGAGCAGAGGATGAGGAGGAATACGGAGGCGGGGAGCCCACAGAAAAAGATGTTGAGGAAAGAAGAGGAGACCCCGGCCTAAACAAATCGAAACTGTGCAATGAACGTGGCCCGGGAGAACCGGGGGTGAGGGGCGATGGCTGGAGCTGCGGCCCAAGCACAGCTTTCAGACGCTTGCCCGGACCCTGGCGCGGGGAGGCGGCCGGGACTGCCTTTCTGCGCGCGTCCCTGGAGAGCGGGTGGGCAGGACCTGCGCCCCGCGGTGGGCAAGAAGATTTGGGGTTTCGCAGTTCCTGGGGTCGGGGGCGGGGGTGAAGTGCCCTCAGAGACCTCGGCGGAGCCCCAGTTGCGCTCCCATCTCCAGCCCCCACTGGAGAGAGGGGGTCCAGGGCCGTACCCTCCTGCGGCCTGGGCTGCGCTGACCGGAAGTGCCTGTAAGAAGCGCCCTCCGCGGACCGTGCCGGGCGCGGGCAGCTCCAGCCGGGTTGGAGCAAGGCCAAGACGCCCGGATGGGGCGGGCCGTTTCGGCGGACCCAGTCTGGACGCAGGTGCGGGAGGAAAGTGTGAGGGGGGAAACTGCTGATTGTGCGGGGATAGGGGCATCTTAATCTGGGAAAAGATCGGAATCTCTTGGGACGCTAATCTGAGACCCGGGTCGGAGGTGTAGAGTAGGGGTGTGTGAGCAGGAACTCGGACCTGAGTTACAGAGTAAGAGGGAAGAGGGCTGGAGAGGTGCTGAGGCTACTCCTAGTTAAGACTGAAGGAGAGGAGAGGAGGGATAACAGCCCTTCACGCAAATCAGTGCTCCCCCTGCTCCCCCAGGTGCCAAAGTCCAGGACCAATGTGGAGACTTGACACTGCGCTATGCGACTGCGAATCATTCTTCTATTTATAAGTAACTACAGTATAGACTTCAACGTGATTTGGTGAGACCTTAGCAGGATGACCCTGGACCTCACTTTTCTTATCTGTAAGGTGGGGATTATAATAGGCAACACACAGAAATGTATGTTGTTGAAGGAAATAAATTGTGTTAAATGGCTAGCAATGTGCACGGAAGACCCTCAGTGATTAATGATCATGTTAATTTTGAATTTCTGGGAGTGACATCTTCTGAATTGCCTGCACTCTGCTAAATGGACAAGTCCTGTACCTGGAGGTGAAGGGGCGGGGGAAGGGCAAGGAGAGCCCTGCTGTGGTCGTTACTGGGACTCGCTTTTGTTTTCTTCAGGATTCAGTATTGAAATTGGGAGTGTGGAGGCGGCTTCTCCCCAGCTCTCTCCGTCCAGTTTTCCACTGTGTTCTATTTATCAGATGGCAGAGCCGTGGGTCTCGCTGCAGGAAATGGTTGCTGTCAGGGCCCGATTGCTGCTGTCAGGGCCCAAGCCCACTCTTGCAGTAGTCGTGGTTGAATCAGAAATTCTCCTGGGTCCCTTCTGTCTTTGGACTCTCATCTCTCTCACAGGAGGCTCCCGCCCCTCTGCGCTGGTCCTGGAGGCCTGCAGACCAGGTCTTCAGGAGGAGGGGAGGATGCGAGCACCCCAGATGGAGCTTTCTCCGTGCGCTTGTGTGGTGGCAGGGGGCAGAGAGGAATCTAAGTTGTGCCCGGCTTTATACCCCACTCCTCATCAGAGTTGAGGAGGGGGAGGCGAGTACTCACTAGTCTCCTCTACAATCCCCTGCCCCCTCCTGGCACTCCCACCCACCTGCCTGCCAAAGGCAGAGTCACAGGCTGTTGATAAGAATACTCTCTTCAGGATGTGTGTGCATGCACACACACAATACATTTCTGCTTTTCTATTGGGTCACACATACCTAGAGTCTTCCATTACTATAGCCTGAAATCTTCCCAAATGTCCTCAAAACACCCCACCCCCATACCTGTGGGGAGAATTCCAGAGTGGAGGGGCCCACTCCATCTCCAGAGTGGCACCCAGGTGGAGAAGGCTGTATTCGAAGCAAATTCAAGGAGCAAATTTTAATGGCCCATGACTTACCAAGCCTCTGAGAAATCTGTTTGGGATGTTTACCTCCTCTTGCCCTGGGTCTGCTCCGGTCCCAAGAGCTACAGCTGGCAGAGCACTGAGTGTACTTGCTGGTGGGAGAGGGTTGTAGCATTGGGTCTGTGTCTGAGCACAGGCACCTGGACTGGACCAGCTGCCTCCAGGGGAGAGAGAAGGGGCTGCCTCTCCTTTTGGTGGCTTCCACAGAAAGGAGAGGGCACACAGGTCTGTCCTGAGCCCTGGAAACAATGTCTTTTCCCTCCCCTGGCTAGGGGTGAAGCCCACCAGCTGGGGCATGCAGGTGCATCTTGGACACCAGTATGTGTATTCCTGGCTCATGTATAGTTGTGTGCCAGAACCTTCTACACAGGCAATGTCCATGTGCTTGCTGTGAACACACTGTATATTGGTCCACTGACATTTGTATACATGCCTATGTTTTGCATGTGTGCATATGTATCCACATGGGTGTGTGCATGCTTATGCATTTGTATGTGTGGAAGTGTGTACATGTGTGCATTGTGACTGCATGCATGTTGACATTACCCACTTGACGGCACAGTGAGGAGAGGCCTGGACTGATAGGAAATCTGAGGACTTTGCCTCTCATTTGCCTTGTGCTTTCTCTTGGGGCACTTTCTCTCTCAGGATTTTGTAATTCAAGAATCTCTGAGGACCCTTCCAACACTGACATTGCATTAAAAGACTGGCCTAAAGCATTTGGGGAGGCGTGGAGGCTGGCAGAGTCCCTAGCCCTTCCCCTTTCCACAGGTTGCCAAAGAAGAGAAACCCTCTCCTCAGAGTTCAAAGTGAGAGAGGACAATGGAGGTTTCTGGTGGGAGTGAGGAGGGATGAAGATACTCTGCCACCTCCCACAGACGGGGATGAGCATAGTCTTCCATTTGAACCCACTGTGACATCCAGACTAAAAGGGTCCAGGCTCTGAGGTGAAGCTGGGGAGGACACCTGGATGCCTCTCTGCCCTTCTCTGCCCTGCTCCCCTGTATGGTGGAAGCAGAGGATAGTGGGTTGACTAGATCGCCAGAAGAACGGCCTGTCTCATTCACACAAAGGAAAAACCAGGCTGACCATGGAAGGAATTGATGGCCATCCCACAGTAGCTGCGGCAGACACATTCATCCAGGGTGCAGTGTGGCCCTGGCCTGCATCTCCTGGACCTCCAGGAGACAGCCAAAGCTCACCCCTGCCTTGTAGCTTGGCCCTTTTTGGGGCCTTTTTTCTACTGTGTGTGTTGGGGCTTGGAGTGTCCTGGGGCACAGTGGCCTCCCCCATGGTATTATCTCTAGACACCCTGCCACAGGTGACAGATGGGTGTAGGGGCCTGGGAGGGTACAGGCTAGCAGGTCACTGCTCTGTTCCCTGGGCAGCCCCATCTAGGGAGCTTAAGAACTGGGTACACATACACACACCCACAGACATCAAACAGTCACTACTAGAGGCCATATACCCAAAGCACACACTTCCACCTCCCAAACCTAAATAAATATACTCAGTACCATCCCTATACAAATGCCCACACACAGTACAACCCACGAATACACACGAACCAACGCAATCACACCAAGCAACCCCACATTCCCAAATACCACAACACCCTCTCCTTCCACTTTCCTTCCTCCTTCCCTCAGCCCCATCCATGGCCTTCCCCCTAACCCTACTGAAGAAAAGAGAGTTTCCAGCAAGAAAACAGAGACCTTTGCCCTCAGAAAGAACCAGGGATCAATACTGTTTAGACTCAGCTAGCATGTATTTCCTTTTAGGCTGAGGAAGATTTAAGTTTATGGTTCAATTCAATCTTTAAAAAAAAGGAAAAGCAGAAAATGAGGCAGTTGGGATGGCGTGCTCAAGTATTTATTTCACTGCAGCCCCAGACCTGAATACACAGGTGGCTCACTAAGCCAGCCCCATAAATCAGAGAAATCAATGCCCGTTTATGATCATTATTAGTTTCTTTTTTTAAAAGGGCGTGCAAGAAAAAGGTCCCACCAGAATCCTCCTCCCCTCTCCTCTACTCCAATCAGAAAGAAGGAAAAATGGAGAGAAGATGGGAAAGTCATCCTGGATGATGGCTTCAGGGCCTTGGCCAGATCCTTGAGGTCGATGCGACTTAGACATACATAGTCAAGGAGGAGGCACAAACAAAATGTTTAAGTTCTCAGAGCTTCATGTTCTTTCACTGAACAATGAAGAAAAATCCATTTTCCCATAGTGATTGGAAGATAAAAGGAGATAATGGGCAAGAAAGCAAATTACATAATAATGACATTCACGTCTATACACTTTACTGACACAATCATGGGGATGGGTGACCACCTTCTCCTCCTCTCGCTGGGTTAAAGGAAAGAGCTCTTGACTTTGATCTCTTGGATAGAGGAAGGGGAGCATGAGGAATGGGGTGGTTCCTAGAGTTGCTGCTCACACCGACCTCTGTCCCAGCCTCTGGACCTGGTAGTCTTGGGGGACTTGAATATCCTAAGAGGCCACAATAGGGAGGGGAGAAGGGAGTGTAGCCAATTCCTAGACATTCAAAATAGTAAGGTTCTCCAATATATAGAGTTGAGCATCCTTAACATCACATCTGATGTGCTGGGAGGGTGAAATGGAATGGGACTCTTCCTGAAATTCTGAGAGGTATTAGGAGAAGGGTGCTCCAAGACACAGGCCTCAGACTGTTTAACAGGAAAGCCTGGAAGGCTTGAAGAGTCCAAGCCCACTCCCCAAGGCAAGCAAAGCACAGGCTTTTGACTACCAGAAAACAACTCCCCTAGACCAACCCCAGGGAAGGGCCCATCTCACTGCTTCTAACTCTGCCCACAAAGATTGGTTGAGCACCTATTATATGCAAGAGTTACTCCTCCAGAAAACAATGGGCAGATGGAAGGAAGGAAATTAATTGCAATAAAGTTGGGAACCCACAGCAGTGTCAAATGCACCCTCCAATTCCACTCTAGCCGCCAAACCCTTATGTAGGGATTTGGAGGGGACCTAGGCTTCCTGGGATTGAGATCTAGCCCTGTTAGTTCCCCGGCCAGGAGCAAACAGTACATTGGGCCAAATCAGGGAAAATTTTTCAATAAAAAAGGTGGAATAACTAGCCATTATCATTTTGCACAAAATCAATCCTACAAAAACAGTTGAGAAACTCAAGGGAAGAGCACAGAGAACAGGGATCTCACACATGAACAAACCCAGCAAACACACCTGCAGACATTCCAGTGTGCAAACACAAATTCATGCATGTACACACAGTGAACTCACAAACGTCCAATTGTGTATCTAATTAGAGAAGAAAATCAGTTGCACAATACTCACGGGTACAGGAATACACAAAAAACTGGTAGGAACTTAGGTGCACCAATATCTGCACATTATTGTATATGCACACAAGTATGTGTGGGCACCTGCCCGTCTAGCTGCACACGTGTGGGTATATACATACATATTGCCGAAGAGAGAAAAAATGTGGGAGTGGAATTTACAATTTAAAAAAATCCTGGACAAAGATAATACCTCCTGAGAAGGAAACTTCCCTTCCTCCCCTTAACCTCTTAAGATCTGAGAGCAGCTCCTGCTCTGGAAGGATGGGCCCCAGTGTTAGCAGCAAGAGGCCAGACATTTCCTTCTGGGAACCCAGGGTGTCCTGAGGGCCCTGGGGGCTTCTATGTGCGCCCCCCTTGGTGAGGAAGAAAGTTAGGCTTTGTTGGGATGCCTAAGGGAACCCTCTTTGGTTTAGGGCCCAGATACGGCAGACGTGCGCCCACCTCGGGTTCAAGGCCCAAGCAGCCACTCCGAACAGCTTTCCCAGCATTTGGGCCTCCTCTCCTCCGGCATTGCGGGCCCAGGAGATCCGAGCCCCGCGAGGCTCCGCAGGCCGCCCCCGGACCTGCTGCTTCGCCAACAGAAGCCCTCCCGCAAACGAAGTGCAGTGAGTCCAGGCGGCCAAGAGGCCAGGCCAAAGTGCCCCTCGCCCAAGCGGGCTGTCGGGGAGGGAGGAAGGCAGGCCCCCTTCTATCTCTGGATAAAAAAAATCTGCAGCAAAACCTGCACCAGGGGAAATAAAAGAAAGAAAGAAAAAGAAAAGTGCAGGTTGGAGTGA
Source organism: Homo sapiens (assembly GCF_000001405.40). NCBI lineage: Eukaryota > Metazoa > Chordata > Mammalia > Primates > Hominidae > Homo > Homo sapiens. Next base: position 118,841,837 of record NC_000002.12, read on the forward strand.
AAAGCAGTTTGTACAGGAGGAGGCCGCCACTGGGCTGGGCCTGGACCGGTGCGGGGAGCTGCCCCGCAGCCCAGGCAGCGTTTCCGAAGCCAGGACTGTGGTTGTCGGCCTTTGAGTTCCCTTGAACGCAATCGGAGACCAGGCGTGTCCCGCCAGACCCTTCAGACCCAGGCTAAACCCAAATCTGGGTCGCGCTTCCCCTTCGCCCTGCATTCGTTGTGCGGTGATCGCAAGGCCCGGCCGGCTCCCCGCCCGGCGTGCGCAGGGGCGCTGGGGCGCTGTGTGCCCGGACCCACGTCCTTCCCGAGCCCGCAAACAGGAGAGCCGCCAGCGCTCGTGAGCACAGTGTACACTTTATTTCAGACTACAGGTTTCTGAACATAATAAAATCTTTGGCTTGTAGCGGCGGTTCAGTCTCGCAGTCTGTGGGGTCGTATTTCTCAACAAGTCTCCGGAAAACGAAAGGGGGGCAGAACAGACAGACCGACAGAAGGGACCCGGGAGGTGGGGGAGAAGAGGTGGGCAGACACGAAAGGAAACACACTCTCGCACACAAAGAAAAGTCCCAGAGAAACCAGGGCCGGCGATGCGGGTCGGGAGGCACCGGAGAAGCAATGACATTCAAATGAAAAAGGCAACGAAAACGAAACTGGGCGGGGGCAGCGAGGCGGTGGGGGAGGGGATAAAATAATTATAATAATTATAATAATTATAACAATAATAATAAAGGAGATTAATAAAAATGTCCAGCAAATAGAGATCGCTACACGTATGTGTTTTCCTTACCTGAAATTAAATATATACAAGGTCGTAAGCGGTTTGGCTAGATAGAGCTTTAAGGAGTTCGCAGTTTCGTCCCTTATACTGGGAATAGAGAATGGATCTTATTTTTCGATAGCACCTGTCCGAGTCTTTCTCCCTTTTCAAAAATGCTGCGTTTCAACGTCATTGTCCATTCTGAGGCTCTCTTTCTGTCTCTCTCGCTCTTTTCCCTGCGCTCCCTCCCTCCTTGGAGCAGATGCTTTCTCCCCCAGCGAGGGGCCGGGAGACGACGGCGGCGGTGCCGGGAGGGGGCGCGGGCGCGGCCCCGGCCTGTGGCGGCTACTCGCTCTCGTCTTTGTCCTGGACCGTGGTGGTGGAGTGGTTGTACAGTCCCTGGGCCATGAGGTGCAGCGCCAGGCCGTTCTTGATGCCTGTGGCTTTCTTGATCTTGGCGCGCTTGTTCTGGAACCAGATCTTGATCTGGGACTCGTTGAGGCTGAGTTCCTGGGCCAGGGTCTGCCGCCGCTGCTCCGTGATGTAGCGGTTTGCCTGGAACTCCGCCTTGAGTCTCTGCAGCTGCTCGGCCGTGAACGCGGTCCGCGGCCGCTTGTCCTCCTTCTCGTTCTTCTTCTTCTTCAGCTTCCTGGTGCGCGGACCTGCAGCGGCGGAGAGGGCCGGGGTGGGGTGGGGGTGGGGACCGAGGGCAGAAGGGAGGGGGGAGAGGGCAAAGGAAGCCGTGAGAATAGCATTGCCGAGCTGGGCCGCGAGCCCCGCGCTTCCGGGGCGATCTCGGAGGCCCTGCTGAACCCCTGGCTCCCTCCCGCCAGCCAATCCCTGGATCGAAGTGCCCCTCACCAGACCACTGGGGTCCCCGGGTTCCCTTTGGGAGGGCAAAGGAGCAGTGAAGGAAAGCTGGTTGAGGTTGTAGGTGCACCCCACACCCCAATTCTCACAGGACAGTCAGGGACAGACCGAAATCACAACATTTCCAAGCCAAGAAGGCAGGAATCCAAGATGAGGAGATATTTGGAGCTCATATGGCCCAGCCCAGAGTTGGGGGTCAGGGGCCTGCTGTCCTCACCGCCCCGGAATAGATAGGACTGGGGCAGTGAGGGCAGGCCCTGGGGGAGTCGCCAGCCTGCAAACAAATCTTCCTCTCCTCCTCAAGAATCATACCTACAGGAGAAACTACAATAAGACCCCATCTGCTTGTAGCTATTGACCTCAGAAAACAACGGGATAGTGAGCCGGCTGGGAGAGGGCTGCTTAGCTCCAAAGTATTTGGTGTCTGCCCCCCTCCCCGCACCCCTCCCTCCCACACACACCTCCTCGCCTTCTTTCTCTTTGGCCTAAAGGAAGCCTTTTCTAGGGTCTCAGGGATGCAGGGACCACCCCTTCTCTGAAGGAGAAAAGGCCCTGATCCATCCTCATGACCCTGGCTCTGGGTTTTCAGCCTTGCCCCTTGGATGGTGCCAATAAGAAAGGGAGGGCCTTCCACATTCCTCTAACCGGCTGCGTGGGGCAGGGTCTCTCTTATCTGGGTCTTCCTTATCTCCCCTTTCAACTGATGCAATTTCAGGATTAAAAACTCCTGAATAACAAAAACAAGCCGGATTGGCTTTCTCTGCCTACTGATGACATTTGCAAGGAGACTGCAGCCCCTTCCCCCACCTATGAGCAAAAAGGAGAGGGAGGGAAGCAGGGACAATCCAGAAAAAAAAAAATGTGCTTTGACCACCAGATAGGAATGGGAAGGGGCCACAGGAAACCTCCTTAGGAAGGTGAAGTTCCCCTCAAATACTAGTCTGGGAGGAGGGCCCACTGAGAAAGGAGGGAGGGAAAGCGGGAAAACCAGGAGAGGATTGAACTGTTGGTGTGTGCCTCAAAAGCCTGCACCTCTGCCCACCTGCTTCCACACCCAAGTCTTCTGGCATTTACTTGCTGGGTCCTGCCTTGGATATGGTAGCTTGCTGAACCAAGTTAAGTCCCTGTCAGGCCTGTTCATCTCTAAAACTGTCTGGAAAGAAGGATCTTTGCCGGCATCTCCAAACCTAGCTACAGAGAGGAAGGCTGGGCAGCCTACTCCTGGGGCAGGCAGGAGGCTGGGGTAACCAGCTGTCCTATGACAAAGAGTCCAGGCCTAGCATACTGCAGCGACTCAGATCTGGGTCGAGGCTCATCCCCTCCTCCCCCAACTGCCCAAGCAGGAGAAGGAGCTGGTCCCCTACCTACCCAGGCCCATAAGAAGGAAAGTGGCCAAGAACAAAGCCAAGGCCCTCTCCAGAGCAGAACTGGGGTTTTGATTCGTAATTAGCTGAGCGGGGAGAAATAGCCCAAGAAATGCACACAGCCCCAAAAAGGCCCCACTGCCCGTTCTGCATCCGGGACATGTTGAAGTGTTGTTGTATGTGTGTGCAGAGGCACGGACTCTTGTAATAAAATCGTTCCTAGTCTCCCGGCCAGCCCGAGCCGTGCAGCCTGACAGCTCAATCACTCTATCCATCAGGCGAGTCAATCAAAGCAGCTTTTCGGAGGTTCAGGGAGCCCGACGTGTCAATAACGGGGCTCGAGATGGCGGGAGCTGATAGTGCGCATCGATCCGCGCCCGGCCGGCAGCTGTGGGGCGGCGAGAGACCAGCCAGAGGAAAGCGGCGCGTGGCTACGTTGTTCCCGGCCCCCTGCCGGACCGGGTGTCTGGAGTGCTGATCTTGGGCCAAAGCTTCTGCCGCTCTCCCAGACACTGCGGGCCGGGGCGTCAGGCAGGCCTTGGCCTTCTCTCCCGGAGCCCAGCTCAGGTCTCCTCCTCGGGTTCGCCAAGCGCGAGGGGCACACGGAAAAGTGGTGGAAGGAAAGCCGAGAAAAACAGGCCTACGGATGCCAGAAGTCTGCTGGATGTGCGGGTGAAAAAAGGAAAGCGCCGCGCGGGGAGGATGCGGGAACCGTTCCGCGGAGAAGCTACGGAGGAAACTGGCTCTCATGCCCTTGGACACGCTTCCTGGCCTGAGCCTGACCTGTTTTCTCTCCTCTCCCACTGTTTTTCAGCTCCAGAAAACCAGGGGCTGCCAGCACCCACCTTTTTGGCAACTGCCTTTCCCTGGTTTCTACCCACCCGGGTCAGACTCTTTTCGCTACCCAGCCGGGGGAGAGGGACGGCTTTCAGACGCTTTCCTCCCTGTCTTCCTGTGTTTCCCATGTTTATCAATGTAAACGGTCTCTCCGCAGAAAATATCGAGATGGTGTTTGTGTCTGTAAGGACACACAGTGAATATAATTTTTCTGAACAAGGCCTTCTCTGGTCAAATCTGGCCTTCGGACGATCAGGCTGGTGGGATTTCAGACACACATCACTAGGCCCACCTTCCTGCCTTATCTAAACACCCTGGAAAGAAAATCACTGACTATGTACTTTTCCTAAGAATAATAAAGATAAGAGACAAAGAAGGCCCCAGGGATTCAGAGTTCAAAATCAAAGAATCGAGACCCGAGCCTCCTGTGCCACGAGCTGTAGCTTCTCGGGTGGTGGCCGCAGAGGCCAGGATCGCATAGCTGGATGAACATTCGGTTGTGACTGGAACTGGGGTGAGGAAGCAGGCGTGAGAGACTGGAGTACCCGAGGCCGGGTTTGCTCTCCCTAGCGCCGCAGCTTGGCGTTCTGGGGCGGTCCGCGGGGCCAGAAGGCATGGCGCAGCCCGGAGTTGGGTACTCACCGGAGGATGGACGATCCGAATAACGTGTGCAGTACACCCAGGCGGGCCATACGAGAGGCTGCTGCGAGTCAGTTTTGACCACGGGCCCGCCGTTGGCTGAGCCCATAAGTAGGATAGCCGGGTTGCCGTGCTCCGGGTATTTGGTGCCCTGCGCTCCGGGGCTCCCCGCGCCGCCTCCACTGCCGCCGCCACCGGTGTCCGAGGGCTTGGCTGCTGCGGCCGCCGCCGCCGCCGCCACTGCCGCCGCGGCCGCCGCCGCCGCCGCAGCCGGGTTCCCAGCTTTAGACGCGCCCGCGCCGGCGGCGGCTGGCTGGGAGCCGTCGGGTGGGCCACAGTTCGCGTCCGGGGCGCACAGGAGCGAGGCAGCGCCTGGCGCCCGGGTGCCCAACGGGTGGACAGGGTCTCTACCTGCGGCAGTCTGGCCTCTGTCACGCTCGACCCGGCCTCCTCCTCCTGCGCCTCCTCTGGCCGCCGCAGCCACCAGAAGCTGCGGTGGCGGCTGCTCCTTTTTGCAGCCGAAGTCCGGCCTCAGGATGTTGTCGATGAAAAAGTTGGTGGTGCGGTGCAGCTGGGCCGCTGGCTGCGGCTGGTGAGCAGGCGCCGCGAGATGCTGAGGCGGCGGGGGCGGGGGGTGTGGGGGGAGGTGCGGGTGGTGGGCCAGGGGCGGCAGGCAAGGCGCCGCGGGCGGCGAGGGGGGCGCAGGCTGCGGGGACACCGGCACGCTGTCTCCATCGCTGCCGCTGCCGCTGCTGCCGCTGGCGCCCGGACTGAGGCTCAGGCTGAGGCCGCCCGGAGTCGCCGCCGCCGCCGCGCCGAGGGCCGAGTCGCGCTGACTTTTAGGTTCCGGCTGCTGTTCTTCCATGCTCGGCCGCCCCGCCGCCCCGGCCGCCGCGCCGGCCCCCGCCCCCACCGCCTCGCTCCCCACCCCACTTTGCCAGCGGCCCGTGGGGGTGCGCGGAGGAAGGAGGCAGGCGAAGCCTCAGCGAAGGCACGGGGCGGGTGCAGGAAAAAAGCTCAGGCGTCTGGCCTGGATCGCTCGTTCTTATCTAGCAGATAGATCTCGCTGTCTCTCCCTCTCTAATTTGTAGACATCCAGATATGGAGACACTTGGCTATTTCTTTTTTCTTTCTGCAACCAGATTCAATGATTTGATTTAAATGGGGAGTAAGCCACGGCCAAAAAAATGAAGGAAAAAAAGAAAAAGAAAAGGAAAAAGAAAGCAAGAAAAAAAGCTCCAATAATTTTTTTCTTAAAGGGAAAAAAATAGTATTTAAAGTCTAGCCATCTTCCTAGGCAGTAGTGAGGGGTTTGACTTCCCCGAGTGTCACGCTCAGCTGTGCCCAGAGCGTGAGGCTGGCAGCGCCTTTAATCGCCTTTGCTTTTTTTGCAGGGAGAGCGCGTCTCCGCCAGCGCCGGGCTGTTTTTTTTTTTTTTTTTTTTTTTTTTTTTTTCAAATCTCTGACAGCTCGGATCTTTGCACAAACTCTCTCGCTTAAAAAAAAAATCACCCAGGCACACTTTTTGCCTTCAAACCGGAAGCACGTGAGTCAGGGCCGCACGTGTGCGGAGCCAATGGCGAGCCGGGACTCGCGCTGACACTCGGGCCTCGGCCCAATGGGCGCGCGCGGGACTTTGCGGATAAATAATCCGGGGGCGTCAACCGCTGGCGGAGAGGGGGCGCCTCGGCGCTGGCCCTGTGCGTCGGGTCCGCCCTCCCCCACCCGCGCCCGCACCCGCGTCCCTCCCCCTCCTTCAGGCCGGGACTCAGGAGGGGGCAGAAGAAACCCGGGAGGGGTGAATTTTGGGATGTAGGCAAATGGAGAAGCAACTCCATAAACAACTTGTTAGAGAAATGCAGGATTATGGGTCTGTGAGCTACGGGAGCAGGGGCAGTAGGCAGGAGCCTGGCTGTTTTGCACCCCCACGCCTAAGAAACTCAGCTTTTTATTTTCTCCTCTGTCTCTGGTTGCTGTTATTGAAGGATGGGTGGTTGTTGTCACTGCCGGTTTGTGTGTTTGTGGGTGGGTGTGGGTTTGGGTGTGTGTAGTGGAGGGAGGGGGAGTGAGACAGGGAGGTCGGTGATGTGAAATAGACCTAGAGTTGGTTACTTTCAGAGGCGCAATTTGTTTTTCACAAATAGCAAAATCTGAAAGGCCCGCTGCGCCTAGCTAGCGTCGCACGTTTACGTTTGTACGTCTCCTGCCGGCCCGCTGCATTGCTTTCCCTTTGTGGGGAATCCGCACCCATGCCCTTCCCGGTCCAGACTTTCGACAACACCCTGGAGCTGCCCTGGCGCCATAGAGCCAAGCCCAGAGGGCTAGGAATAGCCCCAGAGCCAGTTGCCTGGACCTTCCCTGGCAGTGGGAGTCCGGGCAACGCAGATTAATCTCAGGAGGGCCCCGGGGCCGGCGAGTCAGAACGCGGATGCGCGCTAGGCCCTAGCTTTTAGAGTTCAGGGTAACCTCTGTGTTAGATTTCCCTGCAAAGTAAAATCAAATAAATGAAAGCGCTGCACCCCAAGTATTTGCCCTGGCTAGCTGAAGTTGTGAACAGGGAGTTTCCCTCAATTGCCGGGTGACTGAATTTCCTGGGATTGCTCCCAACTCCCTGGGTGCCTCCGGCTCCAGCTCTGTGCGTTCTTCCCTAGTTTGAGGGAAATGCCGTTCCTCCAGCTGCTATCATTCTCCCGTCTGCCGATCTCTTTTTCGCTATTTCCTGGTCGAGGCACCCCCAAAATTTTCTCATAACCGGGAATGTGAGGGACGGGGGTGGCGTGTGGACTGAAGCTCTAGGCACCTGCGGGACTTGTCTCCGGATTCGTTTTGGAGGACCAGTATCCGACTATGCTGAAGCCTGCGGTGGCCGAGAAAGGCGTCAGCAAACGAGGCCTTCGGGGGTGTCATCTTAGAGCTCCAGCGGACCTCCTCGCCCTGAACGCCCTCCGCAACTGGGACAGTAGAGAAAGGATCCCTTTGGAAATATTGTCTATTTGTGACATGCGAAAGAATCCCCCTACCTCCAGTTTTCCAGAAAAGTCACAGAGGGTTAGGCTAGGAGGAACATGCAACTAAACCCACAACAAGCCGAACCACCACCACAGTAGCTGAAGTTTCTCAAAAGGGCTGGTGGAGAGCAGGAATTTATATTGCTCACCGCATCTTGGGAGCAGGCGAGGGTCCCCCGATTTCCGGGGCTGAGTTCCCGGCTAGACTTGCGCTGCAGCCTAGGGGAGAAAACCTCTCTCCCTAACGCTGCGCTGCAGTCTTCTCTACCTTCCCAAGCCGCCTCCAACCCCACCTTGGAGTCTCCCGAGTCCTCTTCAGTAGCACACCCAAGGGCTCCCCGAAATCTCCAGGCGCCCCCACCCCTTCTCCCCGAAATGGGGGTGGGATTTTATTTATATTTAAGTTCGCAAAATTGAAATCTTTATCCCGCAAGCAAGCGTGGGTACTTAATTAAATTCTAATTAGGACACTATCAATATCCTATTTAGCTGCGTAGCTTTTGTGCGCCGCGGTCCCTTTCAGCGCGGTAAATAGGGTCTCGACGCCTTATCTCGCCTGCAGGAGACGCCTCGAGAAGGGCTGCGGAAGATAATTTATAGGTTTTAATTACTCTTCATTCCGCCTGATCAGCTTGGCGTTCATCACAGGCCTGTGAATAAAACCCTGGTCAAAAGCTCTGTCACATCGCGCTGGCAAGACGCTTAATCAAAGTGAGCGGCCCCGCGCGCCGCGCGGCCCGGCTCCTCCACGTAATTTCCAGCCAGCTGATAAAGCCAGCTGAATAATACGGCGGCCCTTTGGAGACACCATTTACAGAAATGACTTTATTGACGGCTTAACGTCGGTAATTCATTTTACCTTTCATGTAGTGGAGCCCGGATTTGTTACAGTAATGGGATGATAAATGCACCCGCGGCCCACGAGCTCGAGCTGGATTAGGCGGCACTCTGCGCGCTGGCTCGTCCCCCCACCTCCCCGAGGCCCGGCCTGGGCCGGACGCTCGGTACCCCGCGCCGCTCTGCGCTCCATGACCTCCACCCAGACCCTACGCCCTCTTCTCCCTCCTGCAAATGAACATGCCATTGGGAACTCTGTGTGAGCGCATTGGCGTCTTGTCAAGCATGCGAGTGAAGTGTGTGAGGGCTGAGTGAACAAATGTTGGCCGAGAGGGATGGGTGAGGGTTTCACAGGACTCTGAGTGAGCCCAGGATTGGGCGTGTGAGTGAGGAACTACGGGCAGGGTGAGTTGTGTGTACAAGTATGTGAGTAAAGGGTTAGGGTGTGTGTAAAGGATTGTATATGCACGAGTGGGTATATTTGTGTGGCGGTCCTTTTGGGGGTACTCGTTTCTGCCTTTGGGAGCTAAGGAATTACTTTCAACTTGATAGATGCCCAGGCCGGGGTGGCAGAGAGGTGGGCCTGCAGGTAGCAGGTGGGGAAGCCTGACTCAAATGGAATAGAGCCCCTTTCTCCAAATGCCATCTGCTCTTGGGCCGAAGGTAGGGAAGTGTGGGGGTACCCAGTGCGTATTTCTATGGCCTTGTAGTTCTGAGCTATGCAGTCACCTGAGCTAGAGGCGCACAGAAGGCCATGGACTGGGCTGCGTCTCTGCAATAAGTTGATTGTCCCCAAGTACCCTTTTCTTGGGGATAGCCCAGATAAAAGTGGAGAACGACAAGAAAGATAAAGATTCTATTTTGTCTCAAATGCCAAAGTTGGGGGAGGGGTGCTACATTTTTTCACTTGAAGGAAGGAGGTCCCAACGAGGCCTTCAGTGATCGGGAGTTGGGTAAATAGGACAGAGAGAGACCCCAACCGTCCTTCCCTTCTCCAGTCCTTGGACTTCCTGCATTTTCTGAGGATAGGCAGGGGCTCCCAGTGAGCAAAAGGCACCTGGCCAAACAGAGGAGAATGATGCATACTTGTTTGAGGAGCTGCTAGCTAGGGGAGTTTGGGGATCATATAGTCGGAAGACTGGCATGTGTTTATCAGAGTGAAGGCTGAGAAATTTTACCTTTCTTTCTCTCCTTTTCTAATTTTGGGAAAAACGCTCAGCGGTCTTGAAGAGTGGCCCGTGGCTGTGGGGAACAGAGTGTATATTTGTGTTTATTTGCTTGGTATGTGAGAGCCACCCAGAGAGAAAATTAGTCTATAAAAGTATTGTGTGTGTGTGTGTGTGTGTGTGTGTGTGTGTGTGTAGTTGTGTGTGGCAGGAGGCCCCTGTATGTATGTGAATGTTAATGTGTACACCCAAGTCAGCCCCACTAGTCAGGCATGAAGAAATGTATTTGCTGAGGGTTTTGGTGTATGCTGTTCAGAAAAGAAGACCAGCCTGTGTGTCCATAGAATTTTGGATTTTGTGTAAGCAAAGACAAATGCCAGGGTCCTGCTTGTTTCCACCTCTCTTTCGAGGATGAGGACCAGAAGGAGAATTACGAAAGAAATTCTTGCAGCCTGGCGAGGGGTGTGCGCCATGGGCTGGGAGTAGGAGCATGTTGCATGCACAGGGTGGTAATCGCATTTCGAGTGTAGATCAGATGGCGGTGGGGCCTCGTGGTGCGGGACATGAATGAGTTGTCGCAACACAATAGCGTGCAGCCTTCCTACGGGGACTGGATGACCAGCGGTTTTGTTGGGAGTGAATGCGAGGAGATTTCTGCTACAAGTGCCGCGTTATTATGAGCTACAAGGTCAGACTATACATCGCAGGTCCCCAAAGCCTATGGACCTTGGGAAATGTGGGGCCTCGAGTCACGTCATTGTACCTGACAGTCTTTTTCAATAGACTAATTCAATTAGTGCTCGCGGTTTCGGTCTTCATCTGGAGCCCATAATAATGTGGGGGTGGGTGGGTGCTGGGGATTCGTTTGGGTATTGGTTAGGGATCCTAAGCAATTCTGTCCAAAGTGGAGTGGGACTAGGGGAGGCAGCAAAGGAAAAAAACCGGTGGCCGGGGGGTGCATGGGGGGCAAACCATTGAAAATAAAACGCTCTGCTGACAAAATAAAATGCTCCGTTGACTCCTGAAATTGGGGCAGTAGCTTTGTTTGTAGAGGACTCAGAGCATTCCTTGAAGGGGGTGAGGGACAGGGAGGATTTCTTTTTTTCTGTATATATGAAATAAGACTAAAAATGTCTAGGTATCTAGAAAGCCCGAGAAAAAGCCCACTGTTGGAGGTTGTCACCTTCGTGGATTTCAGTATTTGGATTTATGTCCCCATCATCCGGTCTTCCCCCAGAGTTTTCTCCCTCTTATCTAAGGCAGTTCACAGCATGGACCGTTTTGTTCTAGAAATAGTGCCTCTCTCTCTCCTCTCTCTCTCTCAAGCTCAGACAAACTGAGACCTTTCTCCTCTTGACTCCCCGCGGGAAACGGTGGAAAGATATCAATGATTTCTGTACATTGCACCCGGTGGCCAGGATTCAGAAAGCGCTCCTGGGGCCCTGGTTTCCTCTCTGAGCCCCGCCGGCTGTCCACAGGCCCGCGCCGGGCGCAGAGGGCGCCAGGGTGCAAACACCCGAACTGTCGCCGCTCGCGGGTTTGCAGGCGGCCTTCGGGCTGCGCGGGGATGTCCGGGAGCCCGACGCAGGGCCCCTTGGCTCGGATTACGGGAAGAGGAGCCTTCACTGGCCCCCCTCGGAATTTCAAACCTCGCTGGGACTGTATCACACAGCCAGACAGGCCTCTGGAGCTGAGAATTTTAGACTTCGCTGCTCCGGGAAGCAAGAGGACTACATACAATTCCCTATTTATTTTTCTTCACTTTAATCTGACATCCCGCTTTTTATGCTTACACTGAATCCTACCCAAACCCCAGAACCCAGACCCGAATTTGGGTTTAACCCCTTTCTCTTTCGCCGAAAAAAAGAAAAAATCCGGAGTTAATTCAATGTCTACGCCTGAATTTTCTTCTATTTTTTTATTTTGCTTTTCTCCCTGTATGGCTCCCTCCCACTCCCCAAAAAATTCCCCGAGGTCGGTGTTCTCAGGCCTAGGGGACCCTCTCCCACCCCTGGTCCCCACCTGTCCGAGTGGCCGCTCTCGCCTGGATCCGGCTTGGCGCGTTCGGTGTCCACACAGACTGGCCTTGGGCTTGTGAGAGTGTGGGAGCGATTGAGGAGGGGCCAGCGCGGCTTCTGGGTTCTGCTACCCCCACCCCTCCGCTCAGTCCGTGGTCTCCAGGAGGTCTGAACCCGACTTCAAAGCTGGGAACGGAAAACGCCAGAAAAGAAGAAAAAACACAACATCCAAGTCCTTTGTGCAGGAACGCCCCCGTGACTCCAAAACCGTTCTTTTTGCTTGTCCCAGAATTAACTGTCTTCCTTCTCTTCCCTTTGACTCCTGTAGGGGTGCGGGTGGTTGTCCCGGGGCTCTTTTCCCACTGACCCTGGAAAAGGAGACAAAAGTTCGCGCACCTGGCTCTCGGCGCCTAGGTTTTCTGCCTCTGCCGGCCCCGGAGCCCGATCCAGGCCGCGCCTCCCTGTTGCCCAAGGGGCGTGCATCTTTGGGACCCTCTTCCCGGGGAGGTGCAAGAAAAGCTCCGGGTTCCAGCAGAGGTCGGCGCTGCAGGGCCCAGGCGGGAAGATGTGGAAGGAAAAAGTTTAGTACAGAAGGTGGGGCGGTAAGGGAACGGAAAGTCTCAAGAGCCTGGGAGCGGGGGAGAGGGGCGAGAACCCGTCTGTCTCCCCCACCCCGCCCACCTCCTTCCTCGTATTGAATCGGATGCGGGGGGCGGGAGGGGGTCACTGCAATGCCAAGGCCTTCTCGGGCCATCTTCCCTGTTCCCCTGCTCCAGCAGAAAGCTGGGAGGGGAACGAGTGTGTAGCCCCGCGCGTGCGTGTTTGTTCGTGACTCAGAGGCTCTGGGTGGGTGCGTGAGTGAGTCCAAGTGTGTGCCCGAGTGTGCACGCAAAAATTGCGTTCGTTTTGTCTCTCTAATTCTCGTGTGGTTGCGCTTTGCTGTGTCGGTGTGAAAGTGTGTGTGCGTGTCCACGTGAATAGTCTCCATGTGTGCGTGTCAGTGAGTGAATTTGTGTGAGAGCTGGGGAGTGACCGAGGTTTTGGAAGTGAAATATGTGAAGTTGGAACGACCCTAGGCTCTGACCCCAAACCTCACCTTTTACCCTATCTCTCCCTCCAAACCACCCCCTCCACCCCCGCCATTGAACTATGCCAGGGAAGAGGAGACAGTTGTTTAAACCCGGATTAAAATAGCAACTGGTTTTTTGTTTCCCACCAAGACCCACCTCAGCAGCTCTGAGCCCTGATTGAGGGGAGGGTGGGCCACACGTGCCAAGGTCAAGATCAAAGGGACCTTAGGGAGCGCAGAGACCAAAAGCCCGCTCCACAAATGAGGCAACTGAGACCCGAAGAGAGTAAGGGACTAGGTAGGGATCCCACAGAGGCCGCCACTGGTCTCAGAGCTCGCCAAATCCCGCTGGGAAGCCGCGGGCGTCCCAGTTTTGTTCTGCAGCCTGAGTCCCAGATGAGAGCGCGGGGGATGACGGTCTCCTACCCCAGGCTTCCAACTCCACTCCATTCACCCCCAGGAAGGGTTCACCCCCTTCCCGGTGGGTGTCGGAGGTGGGAGGAAGGAGGGAAGGTGATCTCTTGGGGCTGGGAATGTAGTGGGGCTGAGGGCGAGAGGGAAGCACAACCCCTCCCCTTGTCGGATCCCACTTAGGGCTCCTAAGATTCCCACCTCTCCTCCACCCACCAGGGGGTTAGCAGCATCCTCTTCGCCCCCGCTACAACTGTCCAAGCGTGAATGGTAGTTAGGGGTAGGGGGCTCGGTAAAGGGAAGGCTGGGCTCACTTCCTGCGGGGGGACTGGGGGTAGGGATGGGGTAGGGGTGGAATACCGGCCACAAAGCCATTCCAGGCACGTCCCTCCCCTCCCGCGCCGATGACTCCCGCCCCAAAATTGTTATGCAAAGGAGTCAAGTATGTGATCTTCTGGCGATCAAAGCGGCAAAGCCAAATATTAGAGGAGCAGTCAATAATGGATGAGCAGATTAAGAAACCCATCTCGCGGACAATTATCGCCGCAATTGAAAAAGCTCACTTTTTCCCTTATTCTCCATCCCACCCCCATTTATAAAAGAAAAAAAAAATAGGCGGAAGGATGGGGGCTGGGGCTGGCAGCCGAGGAGGCTGCAGGGACGCGCATGGAAGAGCCGGTGCGTGGGAGGGTTTGCGGGGGGGACATCGCGCCCCCTAGGGGTGACCCCAGTGGGTCCCGTGTGCTCTCCGCGGAGCCGGCGGAGCCTTGTCCTCTGCACCCGGCGCGCAGCGGCCCCTTAAACAGTGGAACCGTGAGGCCGCTCTAAGCCGAAGGGCTGGAATCTGGGTTTCTCGGGTTTTATTTTAGACCATTCGGCACCAAGCCCGAGCTCCCCCGCCGCACCGCTTCCAGTCCCCTTTCTTTCCATAGAGCGACCCGAAGCCGGCGGTGGCGCAGGGAGCCGAGTCTGATGAGCTCGCGGGCGGCTGAAGGCCGGCTTCCCTGTGGGGAACGCGCCACCTGTCGGCGCCAGTGAGAACTGCGTCTGTGTGGCGCCCTCGGGGTATTCGGGGCTGCGGGGAGATGTGTGCCTGAAGCCCTGCGCTTGCGGTGGGGACGTCCGGCCTCTTTCCTGGCAATTGACCCCTGAGGCGGGAGAGACAACGGAATTCCCACAAAGGGATCCTTCTCGGGATCTCCCCACCTCAAGACAGCTAAAGCTGGAGGAAAAGCCCCTCCGGGGGGTGGGGGGTGCGGGTTTGCCCTGCGATTCCGAAAGCAGAAAATACCCGAGCCACACAGGGACGGGCGCCGCGTTGGTAGTCGGGGCTACGTTCCTACTCCCTCTACCTCCCCCGCGCTGTGTGACCCTGGGCGGAACCCCGCTGCTCTCTGGGCCTCAGTGTTCTTATTCGTAAACTGAGGGCGTTGGATGAGATTGGTCCTCTCCCAACTCTGACCTTGAAACTGATACTGAATCTGAGCAGCGTCTGTAGACACCTGTGCCTTGCCTTCTATTTCTAGCCTTGAATAAATCCTGGACTTTTATGTGCCATTTATATCCTAATCTCATATATATTTAATGTATAACTGCTGCCATTATTGTTTTCTCAATTGTCTAGGTTTTCATTTGGATGGGGTTAGGATGGTCCAAATTATCCCGATAAGTGCCCATTAACTTAAACCTTTTTAAAAAATGAAACCAGTAAAACTTCATTCACTTTGCAGTGTGGACACTGCTGGAGAGCACCCATGTCGTGGGTCCAGCGAGGACACAAGGAGGGGCTTAGAGACATGCGGGAGGCTTAGATGAGAAGACAGCACCCGGGCAGCGGTCAGTGTTAGAGAGAGGACCCGTAAGAAGGGCCGAGGCTAGAGGGAGAGCGAAGACTGAGCCAACGACGCACCTGAGCCCTGGGGTGGGGGTGGAGACGTGGCTCCTAACCCAAATCTCCCTGCCAGGCAGTGTCCGACGAGCATCGACGGCAGGCGTCGAGACCAGTGCAGGGTAGCTCAGACCTCAAGCCACGCTTGACCTTTCCATGAAATGAATAAAACTCGAAAGCCAGGGAAAGGGGACAGTACTTTGATCCGGAGATCGCTTATAACCTCTGCTTGGAGTTCCGAGTTCGTGCGGCTCAAGGGAGGCTACAGTCCAGCAAGCTCTGGGCTCCAAGCGTGGGGACGGCAGCCCCCAAGCTTGGCGCACCCCTCGGGAAGCCCCGGAACGGTCCTCGCCAGACATAGCCGGCTGTCCTGGTCCTTAGCTTCAGGCTGGCGGCGCAAGGCCAGAGCGGCTGCCTTCTAGGCACCTGGGTGGAGGTCTCGCATAGCATTCCCTGAGAAGCGAAACTGCCCTTGGGGCCGCAGCGAGCCTGCCACATCGAACTGGAGACCCTCTGCTTTCGGGATAGATGGGACGTTTCTGCTCTGTCCTTCTTGGAGTCCCGGAATCGTTCTGGGGCCGCGTGCTGCCTGGAGGCGGTGAATTTCAGGGTCTTGAGAAGCCGCGCACACACGGGATTCTGGGCGAGCGTCCCGTCTCTTAATTCCTATTAAGAGACGGGAAAATCGAGGGACTGGAGGTCCCATCATTGTCGCGTGAGCAGCCTCCTGAACACCAAGCGAGACCTGAGGGTTCCGCTGGGGCCTCGCCCTGACACCCGGGCCCTCCGTGTGGTCGAGAGTTTGCGCCCGCTCCCGCTAGGGCAGCGAGGTCCCACTTGCGGCCGGCTGGGGCATGGTGGCACCGGTTGTCTACTCCCCACTTGTGACACCGACAGCTTCCAACTCCTCAGACCCACCCCGTGGAATTCTGGACTTTGTGAGGGCCGCCGGGGTCCTGGCCCTGGGGTCAGCTGCCATCTGACTAAGCCAGGACGGCGGAGCTCCAGGCCTTGCTCCAGCACTGCCGGTGCGTCGGGGCCCGCGGAGAGCCCAGGGCGGGAGCTGTGGGCTGAGCCGGGTGGCCGCGTGGACACAGATGCCCGGCCGGACTGAGCGGCAGCCAAGACTCTCCGTCCATCCCGCCGCTGGACTCGACTCTCCCAGACCCGCCACGGAACCCAGATTTGAGCACGCAAGATAAAGACGCCAGAGGCGAGTGCGCGGCGGAGAACTGGCCGCGACACGGGAAGCTTCTGGGGCGCAGAACGCTGGCTCCGACTCGCGCGGCGCAGACCAGCTTCTGTGGTTGCACTCAATTGAACAACAGGCGGATTTACGTTAAACTTTGTTTTCACCTTTCACTAAGATGTTTCCAATTTACCAAGGGGATAGAATGAGAGACAGAGATGTGAGAGATACAGAGAGAGAGATAGAGAGTGCAGGGTCGGGGGAGGAGGCAGAGAGCGGAAGCGGTTCTCTTTAGGGGTCTCCACCTTCAAAAGACGACGGAACGATGGTAGCCAGCTCAGGATCTATCAGGTGCTAGCCCTGGGCTGCCTGGCTCTGAAGGCTTCACCTGGTGGGCTGGCTTGGGCATTCCTAATGGGCATGCCGGGAGCCTATCAAGGTATGAACCAGCATACTCTCCCTTTTACAAAGGAGGAAACTGAGGTCGGAGAGGCTAAACCCGCCCCAAGCGCATGCCCATACCAAGCGGGAAACGAAGCACCGAATATTTCCCCAGCTCGTAGGAAGCCAGATGGGGGCCAGTTCCCTCAGGAGACGCTCCAAGTCGCCCTGCGGGCTCCAGGTGGGGACAGGAGTTATAACCTTCCCTGCCCTTCCCCCTGCAACACACGCGAGGTCTCAGCGCTCCCAGGCGCTCCAGTGGGGCCGCGTTCCCCGCCAGGGTGGGTCAGGGGAATACTCTGCCTGCGCCCTCTCCGAGGGTCCGCGCAGAGCGAGCGCCTCTTTAGGTGGGGCCTCTGGCTCCGACCCCTGCTCCCAACAGGGATCTTCGTTTGCATCACCCAGAGGAGCTGGCCAGAGAGCCGCGCCGGAGGCCGCATCTCCCCTTGTTGGTATTGTTGTCGGCTTGCTTTCTTCTGGCTTCCCAGCTCAGTGACCCCGGAAAGGGTCGAGCATCCGACTCCGGCATGCTGGTTGGCTGCCCCCGGAGGCGGAGGTAGGGGGCCAGAAATGCTGACCTGGGCAGGCCCCCAGCCCTGAGCTCCTGGGGTGGACATCTCAGGGTCCCGGGCCTCCAAGCTCATGGCCGGTCTCCGCGGCGGCGGGGTGACCCACCAAGGGCAAGACTTTTTCAGACTTGCCTATGGTCACCAGGCAATGACTCCGACTGGTACGTGAGGGAGCTCGGGTCCCACCTTGAGGACAAGGCCCAGCCTTCCCCGGAGCCGCACCTCAACTGTCAGGGTGCAAGTGGTGGTGATCCGGGAGCAGTCGAGGCCCGTGACAAAACCAGGATGACCCAGCGTTTTCTAACCGCGCTGAGGCAGTCGCCTCTCCGGGTCGCTCCACTCCCGGACTCCGGCAGCCTGTTGGCCTTCCTGTCACCACCTCGCATGGAGCACCCTGCCCTAAGCCCTGGAACTGGGCCCCTGGCTCGCAAGGAAGAGGGTGGGGGTGGGGTAGGGAGGAAAGGCCGGGAAGCCTGCTAGAGAGAAGGAGGTGACTGAGGGCCAGCATCGCCAGGAGGCATAGTTCCACTAGTCCCCAGTCCCATGGTTCCACCTTGACCCCAGTTCACCTGCAGGGCGGCAGGGAACTCCTCTGATTCCCGAACCTGCAGCTGGTGCTGCACTGGAGGGGTTTCCGTTGGTCCAACGCACCCCGGTGAAGGGAATTCCCTGGAGAAGAGAGAGGAGGTGCCAGAACCTGGCTGTAAGGGGGGTGCAGGTGTGCAGAGAGAAGCGGGTTGTCCCGGGCTGTGGGTCCTGCAGCGCAGCACCTGAGACTTCAGTTTCCTTCCTTTTCCTTACTCCCGTAGTCTTCCGGGACCCTAGCTGCCTCGCGACCCCTCCCCTTCTTCTTCCCTGGGGTTTCTTCTTTAACCTAAAGAGCAGAATAAGTAGGCCTTGCAGCGAGAACATCTTAGGTAGGACTGGCAGCTTCTCATGCTCTGCCAGGGCTCTCAGGATAGGGGATAAGCCACCTCTTCACAGCCCAGCTCTCAAGCCCCTGTTGCCAGCAAGGAGCAGAGTCTGCTGACCTGCCCCTCTCCTCTATTTTACTGTAGTTTGTTTCCCTTCTCTGCTCTGAAGGGATACTCCTTTATTTTAACAGACCCAATTAGGATTTGCCAAATGCTAGATAAAACCTTCCTATCAGAAAATGCCTTAGGTTTCGGAATTACAACCCTGAGATTTTATAGGTAGCTTTAATGGAAAGGTTTGGAAAGAGACTGAGGGTGCCCTTAGTTCTGAATAAATGTGAACTGGAACTTGATATTTTTTTTGTCTTGTTTTTTTTTTTTTTTTTTTGGAGGGGGGAAGGTGTTTGGACCTTGAGCCAAAATACATCAAAGAAGAGATCCCTGCACCTCAACTCCTAGAAGTCATAGTCACCTTGATAGTGGAGAACTGGGGATTGAAGGTGCAGGATTTGCAGGAGTAGGGGAGATAATTAATATTAGCTGGGTCACCAGAAAGAATGGAAGCTAAGAGATTGTGCTGCCATGCCCTCTTCGACAGCAACCTTTAGCATTTATCTCTTCCCCGTCAGTCTCCCCAGCTATCAAGTGTGGACTCGACAGGAATGTTGCAAGGAAAAACTAATTAAATGGTAGTACAATGCTTTGAAAATATTAAGTGTCATGTAAATGCCTAATGCTAATAATAATCCTGATGTTGGTAATTATGTCCCAGGAAGCACATTCCAAGACAGCCCAGCACTGAGTCCATATGCACTGCCTGTCTAGGAGGAGCCTGGAAACACCCACCCATTCTGCCGTTCTGCCGCTGAGCCCCGTCTCTGCCTGGCCATGTGGAAGGTAGGAGCTGGGTCGTGTCCCCATCACCCGGCAGGCAGAGCAGGTTTAATCCTGGCTGGAAGTCCTTAAGCAAGTTACTGCAGCCCTTCACCTATAAAGTGGGAGTCATAATACCTGCAGCACAGGATGGTGGTGAGAATTAAATGACATCATGTGTGTAAAGCACTTAGGGAAAGTGGCAAATAGCTAAGTAGAAAGATCTGGTTAGGTGGTAGCAGCTCTTCCAGTTCAGTTTACCTAGCCCTAGCTGCATGACCAAGACAGGGGTTTCAAAGCCCATCCCGCTCTCATGTTGTTCAGCTCTGATCTGTATGTGGAATCCCAGACCCCTTTCTTATGCACACTTGGCTGGGGGCAGGGTGAAGATACTTCCAGCCCATTATTATCTGCACTCTCAGAAGGTCACTGTCCCATTGCTGGTCTGCCAAAGGGCTGAAGAACCAGTACCACCGACTTCAGGATTTGTTTAGGCCCTGAGCCTGTGACCCACCCAGGGTTTCTGCCCCTTCTCCCCGACTGCTTGCCCACTCCATTGAGAGGCAGTGTTCGACTGGGGGACCCAAAGGAGTCTTGGGGACTCCTTTGCCACCCTGACTGTGAACTATCTGGAGCATCCGTCCTGAGTGCAGTGAAGAAAGACTATAAAGAGTAAGCTCCCTGTCATCAGAGGCTGGAGGGGAAGCAGAGAGGATTGATGGCAGAGCAGGCAATCAAGCTCGGAAGAGGGCTTGGACAGGTTCGTCTGTGCCTCCCTGCCCCCAGGGCTTCCAGGGTGTGGTTGCTCCTCACATTGGGTCTGGCTGCCTCAGAGGCTCTGGCTGTCTCTGTGGTGTGTCCAGTGGCTTCAGCCATGTTCCCTCATTGTCTGACCTCTGTGAGTTCCGTGTCTTCTATGCTCCGTAGCTTGGCTAGGAAATCGCTATGTTTCCCTTAAGTGGGTTACCCCTTCACATTTAAAGAGAGGGATATAGTACAAGTCTGTGTTGAGGAATAACATATCCCTCACTCTCTTCTTTCTCTGAATTCCTGATGGGAGGAGTAAGGGGTTCAAGGATCTTCCCTTAACAATTTTTTAGTTTGGTGAAATACCAGGCCTTCCCCAGGACTTAAGAGTTTCCTTATAAGGCAATTTCTCCCCACCACCCATCCCTTCCCACCATCCTCTCCCCATAAAAAGTTTCCCTACTGTTGCTGGACTCCAGATTTGGGGCCCTGAGTTCTGCCAAAACTAGTGGAGGCTTTGAGGGCAACAAATTACAGTGACTCATGATTGAGGCTTTTGGGAATTTCCACCCCAGAAACCTCTGGGCCTTTTAGGGGTTTTAAAGAATCACCTAGATATTTTAATGACACTCCTCATCCTTGAACTTGTCCTAATTTTGTGTTTTAATGACTTAGAGAATAATAACAAACTCGAACTCCTTCAGCTACCTTTTGTTGTCTTTCCCAATTCGGTTCAAAGTTCAGCTTTTCCTTCTACGTGATGACACAGCCCTCCCCATTTGAGAAGAGCATAGCTTTAAAAAAAAAAGTTAGAAACGAAATGCTTTGTTTTGTTTGTCTTAGGCAACAATAACTCAAATACACCTTAATTTTGGAAGTAAAATATTTTTAATATTGTACAGAAACAGGTGGTTTCCCAGGTAATTATTTTTTAAAAAGGCACTCAAATAAGAATGCTATCAACAGTGGCAGTGTTGGGTTTTTGGGGTTTAGGCCAAGTGAGACTTCATGGTTGCACTCTGATCAGAGGTTTGTAGGGTCAGACACTGACAACACACACACAGACACACACACACACATACAAAATAGGCATGCACAGTTGAAAGGAATTTTGGAGTTTGCCATTTCACTCTCTCCTGTCCAAATACAGGCTTTGCTTTTCCTTTCTTCTTTACAGTGAGATGCCTGATTGTCACCGTGTCCAGCCTCTCATCTGCTTTCTGGTTGGGAAAGTCCTAGCACAGGGAGATAGGTGGCATATGCAAGCTCACACTGTCAGTCAGTGGCAGGCAGGGACTGACTTCTGGGCCAGTGGCCTTTCTGCCTGGTCATCTGCCTGCTGCTTCTTTGGATAAAAAGAAAAATCTACATGCAAATCCTGCAATTCAAAAATATGATTCTTCTCCCTCTGAAACCTTCTCAACTTCACAGGCGACCTTGCAGGTGTGTGGTTTCCATGCCACATTATACAGTTATAAACCCAGGACAATGGGCCAGTCAACAACCATGTCCCCTCCACACACATGAATGGGAGCTGATGTCTGAGAACTTTTAGGAAAAAGTGGGGAATTCATATGCACACATCACTTTGGTAACTTTCTAACAAGTTGGTTCTGCTGTTATTGTTGTTTTAGTCAGCTCCAGCCAAGATTCTTGCTGCATCATGAAACATTTGCTTCCAAATTGGGTAAGTCACCCAGTGAGACACACCTGATAGTGAAGATAAGATTTTAGCAACAACTCCTGCCTTTTTGCTTTCATGAAGTTGTGTTTCACTAGAAAGCATTGCCTTTCCTAGGAATTTCATAAATAATTGACATTTTTTAAAAAACATTTTGGTCCCTTTGGTTGGTGGGAAGGGAGTAAGGAGAGTGGGGCTGGGGAGATGGAGAGGGACCAGGGAGAGAAGCAAGGAGAGGCTGGAGCAGGAGGAGAGGAGCCTTCTTCTTCTTTTTTTTTTTTTTTTTCTTTTTGAGATGGAGTCTCTCTCTGTCACCCAGGCTGGAGTGCAGTGGCGCAATCCCAGCTCACTGCAACTTGCCTCTGCCTTCCGGGTTCAAGTGATTCTCCTGCCTCAGCCTCCAGAGTAGCTGGGATTGCAGGCGCACACCAACACGCTCGGCTAATTTTTGTATTTTTAGTAGTGACAGGGTTTCACCAAGTTGGCCAGGCTGGTCTTGAACTCCTGACCTCAGGTGATCCGCCCACCTCGGCCTCCCAAAGTGTTGGGATTACAGGTGTGAGCCACTGTGCTCACCCGAGAGGAGCCTTCTAACGGGGAGAACGGGCAGGCTTAAGCTGTCCTGTGCAGCCCTGAGCTGCATCAAATAAATCAGCTTTATTTGATGATTTTCAACATCAGGGGGCTCAGATGACTCCCAATCCTTATTAGGTATCTGTAGTTCCATGCTGGCTGCTGTTTTTTCCATGGACTGTGGGAACCCAAGAATTTGTGTAATAATTTTGGTTAATTCTCTTAAGAACACACTCTTACTTCGACAGGATGTTTAGGAAGTGAGGCTTCTATTCTGATGTAGAGAGCCTTTCTCTCCCTCCAAGGGCTGCCAAAATTACCCCTCCATGGGCTGCCAATCTCTCTCCCCCTACATTCAGCCTCTTCCACACTGCAGGCTCTTTGGCACTGGTGTGGGGTCTGGGAGCTGAAATGTTCATCATTTCTCCCAGATATTAGCATGTCATCAGGTCCCACAATAGCACAAGGGGCCGAGTTTATATCAGAAGTCCATAGAGTAAAATGGGTCCAAGGCCTGTAGAAACCACCAAACTGAAATCCTTCCTAAGCCTGCAGGGGCAAAGTGGAGACAATCCCAATTTCTGCCCAGCAGAAACCGCTCAAGCTTGTGTAGATGAGAGGCCCCCTCCCAGTGTGAGCAGGCTAACCCGGGTCCAGAGCGGCGGAAGGAATCAGCGCTCCAGGGCTCCGAGAGTCGGACGATTGGCCCCGGGGAAGCCAGTTTGCTGGGAGGCCTGGTGACCTTGGCTGCTGAGTACCCCTCCAAGCACAGTCAGGGAGGCTATCAGGCAAGTCTACAATGGGTCAAAGAAGCGGATCCTCTGTCCTCTTGGTCTGCGACTTTTCCCATGAAGGACAGACCTCGTAGCCTACATCCCTCCATAAATTCAGATCTACCCCGTGAGTAAAAAAGAGAGAGAAGGGTAAGTCCCATTTAGGGTTTAAAGGATATGAGACCTAAAAGGAGCAGATGGTAGAATTTCAGGCATTATCTAGCAGGTGGCAGAGAATCTGGGGGAGTCCAGGCTGTGTCAGCGCTGCCTGACAAATCATCCTTCCACTCAGAACAGATGCTCCTGGACGCTCATATCCTTGTACTGTATGGAGACTGCTTCTCAGAGCTGACTCCATGTGATGTGGCTTTGTGTCTGCTCCCCTGAGGATGGTGGCTCCTCACTATCTGGGGCTGTTGAGCACTTGAGATGTGGCTGGTCTGCATTGAGGTGTGTTGTCAGTGTAAAATGCACACCAGATTTCAAAGGCTTAGCAAGAAGAAAAAAAGATTACAAAGTATCTCATTCCCATTTGGAAAGGAGCTCTTTGCTCTAGAGAGGTCCTGCAGCCTTTCTTTTTTGCTGAGAAGAAAATTTTGCAGTGAGTGTCCTCTGAGCAGGTAGGCCTACCTGTCTCTTCTGAAACTATTTTGAGAACTTGCTCATTACTTTCCTTCTCTTGTTAGTCACATGCTCAGAAGCACCTCAGAATTTCAGTAAAATTTCATTTCCACTGGACAGGAACCAAAAGGCCGAGAGTAGGCTGGGAGCCCCTGCTGACAGGAACCAAAAGGCCCAGAGTAGGCTGGGAGCCCCTGCTGACTAATTTCTAAATACTGGTTTCTGGTGACATCGTATGGCCACTTCTTGATACTACACCGGTCACAGGCTGTGTGCAGGTCCTGAGTTCTGCAGTCCTGATGTCACCCACCTCTTGCTGAGTGGGCCAGTGCATCAGAAATCCTAAACTTGTAGAAGGCTGTCTTTCCAACCTCCATTTCTCCTCTCACTTCTCTCCATCTCATTTCAGTTCTTCCACATCTATAATATTGGGCCTGTCACCCTAAACCACTGGGGAAATGGCTGTGGACTGAGGGTTAGAAGAACCTTGAGTAGAACTGAGTAGTTTTAGGAAAACCATTCAACATCTCTGGGCTTCTCCTCCTCAAGGTTATAGCGGATGACCTCTAAAGTCACTTCTGGCTTCCCAAGTTCATAAATCTAATGGTGGAATTTGAGACACTGATGAAGAAGACTCAAATACTGCCTCATTGGTGGTGACCTACAAGAAAGGCCCAGTCTCGAGTCTAACTCGCAGTTCAGGAGGTGACCCAAACATGGAGCTGAAGTGGCCAAATGTGATTTCTTTCCTTTTTTTTAAATATTGGATCTGTGTCTCTGGAGACCAACCATGATTTCTTAGGAGATGATAATACTCATAAATGCAATTGTTGTCAATTGTTGCATATATTATCTCATTTAATTCTCACAACAATCCCATACATTAGGCATTATCACAATTAAAAATACCTAATATATTTAACACATACAAGAGATATCTATGTATGTGGATATATATGTATACCTACCAATGAATGTGTTTAAAATCAAACCATAAATACTTAGGAACTACTTTCAAGAACTAGAACAACAGTGATTCTATGTTTATGAAACTCCAATACAAGTAAAAGTAAACAATATGTAATAAAGGCTGTTTTTAAAGGCAATGAAGGCCAGGCATGGTGATTCACACCGGTAATCAAAGCACTTTGGGAGGCCAAGGTGGGTGGATCTTCTGTATATACGTGTCTTCCCTGTCCCATTCCCTTGCCTCTGCCCAAACTAATCACTATCCTAAATTTTATATCTTTGCCTTTGTTTTTTTGAGACAGGGTCTCACTCTGTCACTCAGGCTGGAGTGTAGTGGCAAGATCATGGCTCACCGCAGCCTTGACCTCCTGGGCTCAGGTGATCCTCCTGCCTCAGCCTCTGGAGTAGCTGGGACTACAGCCACACACCAACATTTCCAGCTAATTTTCGTGTTTTTTTTTTGTTTTTTTTTTTGTAGAGACGGGGTTTCACCATGTTGCGCAGACTGGTCTTGAACTCCCGGGCTCAAGCGATCTACCCACCTTGGCCTCCCAAAGTGCTGAGATTACAGTTGTGAGCCACCATGCCTGGTCTTCTTTGCCTTTTAAAAACTGGTTTTATTACATGTTGTTTAGTTTAACTTGTATTTGAGTTTCATAAAAAATGATATTCTATGGTCGATGGGACTAGATTTTTCACTAAGTATTACTTCTCCAAGATTCGTCACTGTTGCATGCATGTAACAGGGCTTGAGTCAGGTTATCAGCTGTATAAGAGTTCATTGCTGGAATAAATCTCATTTTATTTATCTATCCCCTTGTCAGTGGACATTTGGGTTGTTCCTAGCTCTTTACTTCTGTGAACATTCTTGTTTTTGTCTCTTGGTATACATGTGTAAAAATATCTCTAGAACACAGTAAAAAGATTGGTGGTTGCCAGGGGCTTGGAAAGTGGTGGTGAATAGGTGAAGCCCAGGGAATTTTTAGGGCAGTAAAACTATTCTGATATATATATATATACATACACACAACATATATATAAAATATATATATAACATTATATATAATATATAATATATTATTATATATAATATATATAACATTATATATAGTATATATGACATATATAACATATATTATATATAACATATATAAAATATAACATATTATATATAACATATATAAAATATAACATATATTATATATAACATATATAAAATATAACATATATTATATATAACATGTATAAAATATAACATATATTATATATAACATGTATAAAATATAACATATATTATATAACATGTATAAACTATAACATATATTATATATAAAATATATTATATGTTATATATTATAAATAAAATATATTATATGTTATATATTATAACATATTATATAAATAATATATAATATATAACATATATTATATAAATAATATATAACATATATTATATAAATAATATATAACATAACATATATTATATAACATATAACATATAACATATATTATATATAACATATAACATATAACATATATTATATATAACATATAACATATAACATATATTATATATAACATATAACATATATTATATTATATATAACATATAACATATATTATATTATATATAACATATAACATATATTATATTATATATAACATATAACATATATTATATTATATATAACATATAACATATATTATATTATATATAATATATAACATATATATTATATATAATATATAACATATAACATATATTATATATAATATAATATATAACATATATTATATATAATATAATATATAACATATATTATATATAATATAATATATAACATATATTATATATAATATAATATATAACATATATTATATATAATATAATATATAACATATATTATATATAATATAATATATAACATATATTATATATAATATAATATATAACATATATTATATATAATATAATATATAACATATATAATATATAACATATAGCATATATAATATATAACATATAACATATATTATATATAACATATAACATATATTATATATAACATATAACATATATAATATGTAACATTATATATAACATATATAATATGTAACATTATATATAACATATATAATATGTAACATTATATATAACATATGTTATATATTTCAGCCTCAAGGAAGAGGATACATCCCTACCCACTAAGTGTGGGCTGGGCTGTGCATGATGCGTTTGTTCCCTCCACGGAGTATAGGGGAAAGAGTCACTTTACAGTGTCAAAATCTGACACATACTACCTCAGCTGGGTGATCAAGGTCAGTAGCAACAGTGATAAATCATGTTAGTACATGTCTTTCATATAATGATAAAAATGGCATTTTACCTCAGTGGTCTTCCTCCCCAAAGTCCATAACCCCAGTCTAATCATGAGAAACACATCAAATAGATTCCACAGAGAGACATTCTACAAAACACCTGACCAGTACTGCTCAACTGTCAGGGTCATCAGAAACAGGGGAAGTTTGAGAAACTCTCACAGCCAAGAGAAGCTTAAGGAAATATGTCAAGTAAATGGATGGGATCTTGGAGCAGAAGACTTTAGATAAAAGCTAAGAAAATGTGAATGAACTATGGACTTTAGTTAATCATGTAGCAATATGTAACAAGGGTACCATGCTAAGGTCAATGACAGAGAAAACTGGGTGAGAGAGTCTATGGGAATTCTCTACTGTCTTCTCAATTTCCCTATGAGTTTAAAACTGTTCTAAAAATAAAGCCTGTTAAAATGGTATGGGTTCTAGAAAGTTATAGGTAAAAAGAAAATGATACCTTAAAACTGTCTCTAGATCAGGGTTGGCAAACTTTGTTTGCAAAATATCAGCTAGTAAATATTGTAGGCTTTGAAGCCTTAAGGTGTCTGTTGCGACTACTCAACTCTGCTGTTGTGTGTTACAAGAGCAGCCATATCTTAACAAGTAAGTGTGGCTGACTTCCAATAAAACTTTATTTAGCAAAAACAAAGTCCACAGGCCTCAGTTTGCAAACCCCTGCTCTCATGTATATAAATGAAGTCAAAGTGCTAGGTCACAAATTTCCATCACATTGTGGTGGAAAGCATCAAGTTGTATTGCATCAAATACACATTCATCAGAAACAGCAGAAATGGATTAACATTGAAGTCCATGTCTTGCCCAGAACTTAGCGTTTTTACTACAATTGTGTCTCACTGGGTTATTTTTTACTTCCTTCTTCTGAGAAATGCCTATTTGCAGCTTTTGCTCATTTTCTGCTGGGCTGTCCTTTTTTCTAATGCATTGGCAGGAGTTCTTTATGTATTCTGGATAGTAATCTACCAGCTACAGATGTTGCGTATATTTTCTCCTGGTCTATGGCCTGCCTTTCACTTTTCTTTTGGTGTCTTTTGATGAACAGAGTTAATTTTAATGTCGTCTGGTTTATTAATGTTTCCTTATTGTAGTTAGTGCTTTTTCTCTCTTGTGTTTAAGAAATCATCTCAAACTCAAAGTCAGAAAGATACTCTTCTATATTTTCTTTGAACAGTTTTGAAGTCTTGCCTTTCACCTGTAAATCCTCCGTGTACCTGAGATTTACTGAAAAGTACAGAATATATGGAGGAGGAAGGGATTCGATGTTATGTTTTTCTACGTGGATGCCCAGTAGTCCCATCCCTGTTGCCTCCTCCCATGTTGGTCTGGAGTGCCATCTGCCATGTCACTGAGAGGATTACATTATATAATGCAGGAAATGTGCTTGGCCTAGCCCCCAGCTTCAATTTAGTGAGACTGTGACTCTGAATTCCCCTTCCTTTCCAGGCTCTAGGGGAGCTGGGGCTCACAATCTTCTGCTTTCAATAATGCTTTTCCTAAACATGAAGACCATAATGTAACGAGGGCTTCTGGCTACAGCAAGCTTGCACATCCACCAGTGAACCAGGGTAACAGGACAGCAGCAGAAGGGGTCCTCACCCTCTGAGCACTGCAAAATGAACAGCTCGGCACTCCTCCTGCAGCTCAAACATTTGCTAAAGCACTTTTAAACAGGTCCTCAGTCAAGGACACTGGGAGATGGCAATTAAGTCTTCTTGAGACTCCAGGGGCCCTGGTGGCAGTGGCTGGGAAATCTGACCTGGTGAACAGATAAGAAATGCTTATAATTAGCACATTCAATGTGAAATACATGTGATTGCACAGATTGTAATTTTCCAAACTGTCAAGACAATTCTCCAACAACTCTTCACTCATAAGGAGGCTCAGCATGGCCATTGTATATGCTACTAATTTCCTTGTTTTCATAGAGAGCAGATAGAAACCCCAACTCACCTTGTCTATATGTCCGTCAAATCTAAATTCAAGGAATTGAAATGAATACGGACTTAATCTTACAGATATGTCTTAGATCATTTTCTTATTGAGGTAAAACTTACATTCAATAAAATTTTACAGATCTGAAGTGTCCAGCTTATGAAACTTTTCCGTATATGTACACCTGTATTATTGCCACCTAGATCTGCATATTTAACATTTCCAGCCTCCAGAAAGCTCTCTCATGCCCTTCCTGGTCATGTCTCCCTGCAGAGGTAGCCATTAGTCTGATTTCCATCATGCAGATTAGTTTTGCTTGTATCTGAAGTTCCCGTAAATGGAAGCTTTATCATGTGTACTCTTTTGCATATGGCTTCTTTAGCTCAACATTCTGCCTGAGATTCATCTGGGAGCTTTATGTAGCTAGAGTTTGCTTTTTCAATAGTAAAATGATGAATATGTGATGACACATTGTATGATCCGCCACAATTCATTTTACTATTGATGGACATTTTGGTTGTTTCCAGGTTGGGGCCATTATAAATAAGGCTGCTATGAACTTCAGTGAATATGTGTTTTGGTGCACATGTGTGCTCCTGTATGTTGAGTATAAACCTAGGAGCTGAATCTCTAGATTATGATAGGCATTGGATTTTCTTTCTTCTTTGTTTTGAAAAAAAAAGCAGCTTAATTAAGGTATAATTTATATATAAGAAATCAACCAATTTTAACTTTATAATTTTTGACAAATGTATTCAGTGTCTAAGCATGATGATCATCAAGATAGAGAACTGTTCCATCCCATCCCAAAATTCCTTTGTGCTTCTTTGCAATCACTTTCCCCTTCCCTCAGCCCCTCACAACCTCTGATTTAATTTCTTTCGGTACAGTTTTGCCTTTTCTTGTGCCCAGTTGATGATGAGTCACTCCTGAATCTCTACTGCCAGTTTTGATCTCTCTCCTGAGCTACAAACTTTCATCTCCACCTGCCTCCTAAGTGTCCCCAATGGAGAACTCTAAATGAATGAACCCTAGTGGAACCCAACACCTCTTCCTCCTCCTCCAGCAAAGTTTCCCTCCCTGTGTTCTCTGTCTCCTGAGAGAATCACTCTTAATCCTGGTGGCCAAGCCAGAAAGCTGGTTAGCACTTAATATCGACCTCCTTCCTCTCCCTACCACCCATATCCAATCAATGAGCCCTAGTCAATGCTCTCTAAATATCTCTTGGATCAACCTACTTCTTTCCAGCTCCTCTGTATTAGTTTACCATCGTCTCTGAATTGCCTCAATGTGTCTGACTTTTTGCTTCTTAGCATGAACCCCCACAGTCCATTCTCCACACTAGAGAGGAGCCCTTCTAAAGTGTGAACCTGACCAGGCCACTCTTTAGCATGAAACTTTTCAAGAGCCTCCTGGGACTTGTGGTCACACAGCTGCCTTCACACGAGGCCTCTTCCCTACCTTCATCCCAGCCCCAAACCTGCCTCTGCTGAGCTCTTGAATGTCCTCATGTCCCAGTGAAGAAGTCACTGCTGTGTAAGCTCGGCCTCAACCTGAACAGCAAGTGCAGGTCAAGTCTGACCTGGGCCCCCCCTTTCGTTGTTCCCCTAGCACTTCTTTCTTCACCTCTTCCAGCACTGAATGCAATCACTCTGTCTGTAATTCCATTTATTTTCTGTGTCCTCTTCAACTGAAAGCCATGTGAAGACAGAGTCCATGTCTGTCTAGTTCACTGTCATGCCTGGAAACAAATATTTGCTGAAAAATAAAGAATACTGGTACATAACCTATTCTATTCATTCAGTATATCTATCATCAAATACTTTAAAGGAAATCTATAATTTTTTTGAGAAAATTTTTGCAATCTATGCATCTAACATTTTTCATTATAAAGAAAACAAGATAAGTTAAAAAGCAAATGTCCAACTGGGAGAAAATGTTTCTAAATATATCACTTATAAAGGACTAGTATTTCTAATACATGTAGAACTCTTTTTTAAAAAAATTTTATTATTATTATACTTTAAGTTTTAGGGTACATGTGCACAATGTGCATGTTTGTTACATATGTATACATGTGCCATGTTGGTGTGCTGCACCCATTAACTCGTCATTTAGCATTAGGTATATGGAAATCTATAATTTTAAAGGAAATCTATTATATTACTGCATAAATGTACAATCATTTATTTAAGTAATTGTCAGGCATTAAGATAGCTATCTTTTTTTCTGATTATATCTATTATTATAGTGGGTATCTTTGCACACAGTTCTCAATACACAATCATTATTTAGGGGACTAAAATTTCTAAAAATGAAAATGGTAGGTCAAAATGTATGCATATACATTGGGAACTCCTAGGCCAGTATTTTTCAAACAGATCTTAACTCTTTGGTAGGTTATAAAATGCACCCTGTCCCCAGCTGAGGCTTGCCTCCGTTTGGCGAGTGAGAACATGCACAGAAGCTATTCCTTTCCGTGTATTTAAGTCAATACGTGTGCCCCTTAATATTTTGCAGCAGGGAGGTTCAATTGAAGTAAAAAAGCTAATAAATAAGGCCATAAATGAATCCACCAATTGGTAAGCAGATATAAACATATGGGAAAGCGCCCGGATTCTGGACTTCACATGAGCTATTTTTTTCCCATTAAGATTTTTTAAAAAAAAGATTGGAATTGAAGTTTGTTTGATGAAGGCACAATCCCCCAGTGGGTGTTTCCTTGTCCCTTGGAGTCAGGAAATATCACTCATCTTAGGTGGGTCCTTTGATGTCAACTTCCTGAAATTAATTCTCAGAGCTATTTATGACAATATAAACCAATTACGGCAATATAAATCTTCAGGTTCTTGGAACCCAAAATGGTAAACGTTCCCTGAATTGGATAGAGGCTGACCATGTCAGAAAACCTTGGAAGAAAGTTTGAAGTAGAATGGGGGGACTGTTGGAGCACCACACATATCATAAAGGAATCTGGCACTGGGTCCTTGCTGTCTGCCTGCTAGCTGTGAGAGGCGTGTTTCTCAGTGAGCCTCTGTTCCAAAATTCATAAAATAGAGCTATAAAGGCCTCCTTATAGATCTTGCCTTTTCATTCAGAGTATCAAAATGAGGCACAGTATGGAGAAGGGCTTTGTAACCATGAAGTTATCTACAAAGGCTTGGTGATGTTACTTGGATTAACCAGCCCTTGGGTCGACTTTTCAAAACAGGAGGGAAGGCTAGGGGAGGATCAGGTTCCTAGGGTGTTTTTGGTTGTATCCTAAAATCCCTTGTTCTCTTGGATACAGTATAAGCACTGTTAACATTCAACATTGCTCCTGTGGTTTCTGTGTTACAAACAGCAACAGAAGGTAGCAAGTCCAGTAGCCAAGCCCCCCAGCACAGAGAGAGTATGAACTTCAGACTCAGCAGACCCAGGTTTGAATCTCAGCTTCATCACCGGTTAACTGCTCTCTGAGTGCATCTATGAATTGGGGATAATGACACCTTATTGGGAGGGCCATATGAATGATACAATGCAATAGTTGTGTGAACGTAGTGTCTGCTTGTGAAGTCATAATCCTTGCTAAGGCAGTGCTGATCTTCCAAGGTTGGCGATGACAGAGAAAATCCGTGCAGAGCTGAGGAGGCTGAGCCTGCCATTTTCCACTTCCTGTGTCTCTGAGATGCTCTTCTCTTTGATCGCATGTTCTGGACTTCAGTGTGCAAATGTGCTTTGGTAACTCAATTAAAAAGTCAGTCCCTGGACTGCATCCCCAGTGATTGAAATGCACCTATGATACCAACTGCCTCCCCTGGTGTCTTCCCCTGACCTAAGGTCAGTATTGATGCCTCCAGGACACCGGCTGTCCTTTGAGGTTCTGGCCACAGCATGGACTCTGCCTTCCCCTCGTAGTTCCCATATCCATGGCTCAAGGATAAAGGAAAGGACTTAGGTAGAGGGACATGGAGTTTACCCATCCAGCCAAAGCCAAGAGACCCCCTTCAGGCCCCTTCCACCTAACTCTGTGTCTGTGTAGCCCCTCCCCCACACCCCAAGCTTAAAGCCAGGAAGGAGCAACCCTCAGCCACGCAGAAAGAAGGGAGACAGCGCCTTCTTTCCCAGTCTCAGATCCTGGCCTTTCACTCCAGAGGGGCTGCACCAAGGCTGCAGATAGCCCTTGCCTGCCTCAGGGGCAACTTCTCCGTGAAGTAGGACTCTGGACTTTGACAGTCCTTCCAGGCATCTCCTCACTCAGGCCTTCCCTGGGCAACCATGTCTGCAGGGACAGCTCCAGAATTCTCACACTGAGGAAATTGGGGTGGCAATAAGGGGCTGAGGTCTAACAAAATGCTGTTTTTACTTAAACTGCATGTTATGTATAGATAGATAAAAATGCAGTTTCCTAGAGGTATTTTTATTCCCACTTGAATAAGATTGAGAAAATATTGTAGAGCTGAAACAATATTATTAGTGCTATAACTGTTACTGTACTTATTTCTTTACTACAATCTCTTATTTATGATCATGGATGCAAAAGGCTCAGAAAATCATGTTTTTGCCCAACCTGTTTGGTGGTAAAACCTTTCCTAAATGGGTGCGAAACCATTTATCATCTTTATCTCTCTGGCTTGGTTTGAACACTCATCCATCCTGTTTGCTTGGTTATGGGCTGCTGCTCAAGATCCCTTGGGGATGTCAGGAACCATTCAGTTTTTATACTATCTTACTTTCGTCAAAACCCTAAAATTCTGAATTTTCAAATGCTTCTGGCTTGCAGAGTTTTGGCTGAGGGGTCATGCACTTTATTATATTAATGCTCATTGTTGTTGCTGCTGTTTAAGAGTGGCAAGGGTGAGCTGGGACTAAAGGGTCCCCCAGACACCCACCAACCCTCCAACTGCTCCTCAGACATCACTGCTGCCAACTTCTGGTTGGACTTCATCAGCTCCATCTCAGGCCAGATCATCGCCATGGCTCAAAGCTGTGACCAGGAAAAACTCCCCACACAGAGGCCTCTAAAACTGTGCTTGCTTTCCTGGCCCAAAGGCAGGTGGTGGCTTTTCCCATTGGGCTTCAGGGTGTACTGTGGCTCTGAGCCCCAGGCAGGACCAAGGAGGACGCCAAGGTAGCTGTCAATGCCAGCAGTAATGAATCACTGGGAATCAGATAACAAGGCTATTACCTCCGGCACCTTCGTCAAAGGCACTCTCAGCCAGGACTCATGAATCTGCCATGCTTGTCAGCCCTCCCCACACCCCAGCCCTGTCCCACCCCTTCCCAGTCCCCAAATGTCAATCAATCTGAGAAGGGAAGGGGAGAGCCAGAGTCTCTGTCTGAGGAGTCCTTGGCACAGAAGCAGGGGCTGCTGTGACCCAGCAGACACCAGTGGCTCAGAGAGGGCTGGACCCCAGAAGGACATGACTGTGTGTCCATCTTATTCTCTGCTGTGTCCCAGGGCCCCAGCACAGCACTAGCACTTAGTAGCAACTCAAGGATTATTTGCTGAATGAATTCATAAACCCAAGTAACATTCACTTAACTGGCCAGACAACAGTAGGTAAAATGATCAGAATCACCAGTGGGCCCATAGTAGCTGTGGGAGATTTACTGTAGTGCCTACTGTATGCAGAGCCCTACTAAGTGCTACATGCCATGCCCCGTATAGTTTAGACCTTAACACACTACGTGAAGGAGAGATTTTTACCCTCATTTTATAGGCAATGAGTTGAGGCACATTGAAGGAAAAACCCTTTATTGAGGTCCCCTGGACCACCGTGGATCCAGACTTTAAATCTGACTTCCATCCTGCTCCGCTGCCCATGAACAACCCATTTGTCAACTTTACCCCACCACGGGGCTAGGCCAGGCTCCGCCACCATTCTTCATGTTCTGAGTAGAAACAACTGCTAGGACCTCAAAAAGAGACACCAAGAGCTTTCTCCTGGTGCAAGAAACCAAGAAGTGAGGACGGAGGAGATGATAGAGAAGGGGAAATGGTGGTGGTGGCGGGGGTGGGGAGTTCCCACTCCATAGTTTGTCCTGCCTCCCAAGTCCCTTTCCTCCCTCCCCGATCATCTGAAGCACAGCTTCTCTGCAAGCTCAGGGATTTCTCTTACCTCCATCTCCCCTGACCCAGCCCTGCCACCTGCCCGCTATGTCTGTGGTCCAGTAGTCCACTCAGATAGGCATCATTCCCTTACAAAGCTATGAAAACTCAATCCTCACCCTTGTTTTTTGTTAAATCACAAGAAACCCACATTTGCGACTTACTCATCCCCTCCTGTGAGAGCAGACCCTGAGGTGGCTCCTGGGATTCCCACCTCCTGGGACCCACGCACTGTGTAATTCCCTCCCCTGTGGGTAAGCTGGTGTTTGGAACTCACTTCTAGGGAAAAGAAAAACAGGAGCCTTGGGGTTTAACTTTGATGTTCATCTGTATGAATCATCTCATTCTGGAGTCCTGGAGCAATCATATTAGAGTCTGATTGAAAGCTATACACCCTCTCCCAACACAAACGCACATTATGCACAGTGAATTTGCAACTACTTTCAAGAGGTTCATGAGCCCTTTCCTAAAGCCCCATCTTGGAGACCCTTAATTTATGGTCTCCAAGTAAAGGCCCCATTTCCTGAATGGTTAATATTTCTTTTAAACAGAGTTTACCATCCACTAGGTGTGACTGTGGGCACTGGTAAGAGCTGGTAAGAGCTGTAACGGGGTAAGAGCTGGAATGGGGTTTGTAAACCATGAAGTTATCTACAAAGGCTTGGTGATGTTACTTGGATTAACCAGCCCTTGGGTTGACTTTTCGGTTGACTGGTAGGAGCTGGAAAGGTGTTCGAATCCAGCCCATCTGGCTCTAGACTGCCTCCCTGTTTTATAAGAAAATCATAGAGGTGTTTGCTGTTGTTTCTACTTGTTCTGCTTTGTTTTATGTATATTCTATAGAGACTGAAATGCACAGATTTTAAGCGTACATTTTGAGGAGTTTTGACAAATGTATACTCCTGTGTGATTCCCACCCAAATCAAGATATTCAACATCTCCATCTTCCCAGAAAGTCCCACAGGCTCCTCTCACTCACTCCCTTCCTGCTCCCCATCATGCTAAGGTGGCCACCATTTTGAATGCTGTTTCCATCGATTCCTTTTGCTGCTTCTTGACCATCACATAAGTGGACTCATAAATACAGTCAACCCTCTCTGTCCATGGGTTCCACATTCATGGAGTCAACCAACTGTGGATCAAAAATATTTGAAGAAGAAAACAATAAAAAATAACAATACAGCAATAAAAACTATATAAATAAAAATACATAATAATTATTTGCATAGCATTTATATTGTTTTAGGTATTATACATAATCTAGAGATGATTTAAAGCACACGGGAGGATGTGCGTAGGTTATATGCAAATACTATGCCATTTTACATAAGGGACTTGAGCATTCATGGAGTTTAGCGTCCACTGGGATCCTGGAACCAATTCCCCCAGGATGCCAAGGGATAACTGAACATACACTTTTGCATCTGGCTTCTTTCACTCAGCATAATTTCTGTAAGATTCATCCATGTGGTTGTACATATTTGGAAATTTGTCCCCTTTAATTACTGAATAGAAATTTATCGTATGAATGTACTATAGTTTGTTTATTCATTCTCCTTTGACTGACACAAGGACATCTCTAATTTGGTGGTATGATGAATAAAGCTGCTACAAATATTTTGAAGTCTTTTGTGGGCATATATAGATTCATTTCTCTCGGGTAAAGACCTAGGGATGAAACTGCTGAGCCAAAGGATAGGTGTGTGTTTACATTTGTTAGAAACTTTCAGACAGTTTTCTAAAGTGGTTGTGTCATGTTATCTTTCATTTAACCTTCAATATTAGATGTATTTTAAGCTGCCGTAAATATCTTTTGGAAGTAGGTGAGTTTTAAGTGAAGGAATGAATGAATGATGGATGGATGACCCAACAATTCAGCTATCCTCTAACCCAGTATGTGGCCAACACAGAGCCTGTGCTCACTGTCCTCATCCTGCTGGGTTTCTTGAACTCAGGGTGGCTCCATCTGCACAGCAAACCACACCACCAAGGCTGGCCCCTCCTAGCTTTTCAACCCCATTGCCACTGTAGATGCCTTGGCAGGAAATCCAGCCAGGCTCATCCTAAAGAAATCCCATTCCCTTTGCTAGAGCAGGAGCAGGAAGCCCATGCTGTTGGCTATAGAGAGGAGCAGTCAGCTCAGGCACTGCTCTCAGCTCTGTTACCAACCAGGTGTCCAAAGAAGCTGAGTATCCCTCTCTCTGGGTGCCAGCATACTCCTCGTTTGTTTTGGGCTCTCAGAGGTCAACTGTGGGCAGTGACTCATCCAGTGGATTATGAAATGGAAGAGGCTGAGGCTGGCCTCAGGTGCCAGTTCCATCACTCCTTCAGTGAGCCACCCCTCATGCTCCACCCTTCCCTGACAGCTCAGCTGCACCTGGAGCTTTCTGAAATGTCAGACCATGGTTCTCTGTATTGGAAGAAGCAATGATCTCAACACCAAACTCTTCCTGTCCTCATTCTGGGACCTTGATGCCTTGAGAGTTTCCTGTTGCACAATCTGTTTGTCTGTAGAGAAGTGGCATCCAGAGGGTGGTAGGGGAGGAAAAAAAAATGAAGTAATGGGACAGAGCAGACACAGGTAAAGAGGGCCTTAGGTCCTCAGGAAAGGGGAAAGGGAGGGATATGGCCCTTCCCTCCAGGTCCTCATATTTGTTGCCCCTTGTTCTGGAACGGACCCAGAGGCTTGCCTTCAGAGGGTTCTAATTTACTCTGTATTCTGTGTGGTAAAAGCAAGAGGCAGCATGTCCAGTGGACTGTGAGACTGAGCACTCTAAAGCCAGTAGGGTCAAGTCACTGGTAGCCCACTGGCACCTTTGAAAAGCAGAAGAGGGGCTAGGCACAGTGGCTCATACCTTTAATCCCAGCACTTTGGGAGGCCAAGGTAGGTGGATCTCCTGAGGTCAGGAGGTTGAGACGAGCCTGGCCAACATGGTGAAATGCTGTCTCTAATAAAAATACAAAGATTAGCTGGGCGTGGTGGTGGGTGCCTGTAATCCCAGCTATTTGGGAGGATGAGGCAGAAGAATCGCTTGAGCCTGGAAGGCCGTTGTTGCAGTCAGTCAAGATCACACTATTGCACTCCAGCCTGGGCAACAAGAGTGAGACTCCGTCTCAAGGAAAAAAAAAAAGAAAAGAAAAGTAGAAGAGTTGCCATTTATTTGCCTGGGGTGCAGTGCAAGCTGACACTCAGGTACACTCACCCCTTGGTAGGTGCCCCTGAGAAGGACACAATTTGCCAACTGCAAGTGGTGGCCCCAGGTAAGATGCCTCACTCATTGGCAGGCACTCTTGGTGGATCTCCTGAGAAGGAGCCATACAGATTGTCTGCTGGTGTGGGTGATCTGTGCAGACAGCCCCACTACAGTTGTGGACTGGGCCTCGAATGTGTTTCTCTGGCAGTGGTGCATTGACTGGACCCACACAAAGCCTTCCAGCTCATCAGCCTTCTTGCTAACGCAATGTGTGCAAGAAGAATTCAGGATCCCCTGTATTTGGTATGTGTGTGTTGGGTTTACAGTCAAAACCAGACAGAGGAAGTCTCTCTCTGATGTCAAATATCAGATATTTGGAAAACTTTTTCAAAACGCCAATATAACACAATGTTTAAGAGTACAGACTCTAGTAGCAGACTTGTCCATTTAAATCCTGGCACCACCGCTTTCCACTGATGCCAATGGAATATTCTTTAACTTCTTTGAGACTTTATTCCTCTATCTTTACATAAGGATGATGCCTACTTCCTACGGTTAATGTAAAGATCAAATAAGACACTGTGTGTGAAGCACCCATCCCATCATAAGTACTTGATGAACTATGATTAGACAAGATATCTGAATGGCTGTTTCGTCTTTTGACCTGGAAGCTTGGCTAGAACAGTTTTAAACAGTTAAAAATGAAGAGAAATCAGTTAAACAAATGGTGCTTTTAGAAGATGCTGGAAGACAGAGGATGATCTGGATGACCCCTTTACTTGCAAAGGCTTCAGGATGATGTCTGCATGAGCACACTGAGCTGTTTGTCTCTTCAACAGGGTGACTCTCGAGTAATGATGCTGGCCAGTGCCACCCCTAATTGAGTTTTAATTACAGTACTTCCAGGAACAATGAAGTGAAACCTCTGTTCTCCTTGCATAATTAAATTTAGGTTAGCATATCTGGAGAATTCTTAGCCCACACATGCACCACTTCTCCTTGTCTGAAGAGGGATTTCAAAATTGGACATTGTTGTTTAACGGATGGAGTTAAAGAATGACACATGGGCTTTGCTCCTCTTTAATTACGAATAGTTAATTGTAGAAAGAACCTAATTAGATTGCCCACCAGCGGGAGATGTAGGTGGAGATGAGATGGATCTCTTCATTAGCTATGGTTCCAAGGAAAAGAGGCCAAGGAGGTTTCCAGGCAGGGCAGTCATAATTTTGAGAGACACTGCGGTCCGTGGAAGGGGACTGACTTTGTGAACCTGCAGGCGCTTTGGAGCACCTACATGCTGAGCACCTAAGTTCCAAGCACCATGCTTGTCTCTGAAAGCAGCCCAAGGAAAGGAAAAGACATGGTCCCTTTCCTTGAGATGCCATTAGCTTGTTCAAAAAAACAAAATTAGCATGCTGGAAGCAGAGAAAAAGGAGACCTTCCTCAAAACCTAAACCATGAGCTACTGATGACAGGTTCTAACTGGCGTCCAAGAAAGCAGCTCACTGGAAACTGCAATGGCTTGCAGAATGCTGTGTGGAACCCAAGTCCAAAATCAGTCTCTATCGTTATAAGTGCCGAAGGCTTGACTGGTTAAGTAGCCTAGTGATTCTCAACTGAGGGCGATTTTGTGTCTTGCCTCTCCTGCATAGGACTTTGGCAACATCTGGAGACATTTTTGGTTGCCCTAACTAAGCGGGTTGTTACAGGCATCTCGTAAGTAGAGGCCAGAGATGCTGCTAAACATCATGCAATGCACAGGATGGCCTCACCCCACCCCCAACAAAGAAATATCCAGCCCCAAATGTTCAGAGTACTGAGGCTGAGAAACCCTGGAGTAACCTGTTCTGGATCCAGGGCAGCAAGCGTGGCAGAGAAGTCTCTCGTGCCATGTCAAAGTGTGGCCTGAGACAGACACGTGCTTCCAATCAGCCTCCAGGAGCAGCCACCATCAGGTCACCTGTAGAGAAGGTCCCAGCCTGTGTTTCTTTTGTAAATGGCCGCAGGGTAGCTGCTCAACAGGTTGATCAGCAGTTGGCGAGGGAGTGTGTTCTATAGCTTGGCCACCAGGTGGAGATCGTGGGCTGTTTTTTTGCCATGGAATAGGTGCACCTGAGCTGGACCGGCCTACCCAGAGAGAGGCGTTTGCTCCTGGTTGCTTTCTCTAAGCCTCTGGTAGCCATCAGGAAGAGGGACTTTGAGGAGACAGAGGCATGAACTGGAGAGAGTGCTCAATATCCTCTTCTTGCTTAGCAATCCCTGGGCGTTTACAGCTCTGATCCTCCTTTCCAAACATTGAGATTTGCACCCTGGAACTTTTCTGTTAGCAGTGTCTATTCTGAAGGGGTATTTTGCTCCACTGTTATAAATGTGCCCTGTTGTTTCTGTCTGGAAGACAGACTGGGGAATATGGATAGGGATTGGGGAGGTGGGCAGATGGAAGAGCTACATGGCAGAGGTTGGCGCATCCCATCCCTCAGGTCACGATGTATGCCTGATGCTCTGCACACATGACCTCATTTTACCTCTTGGTGGACCATTTTAGATAGAGGCTTAACAACAAGCCAAAGTTGCACATTAAAGCCAAGTCCAGTCCTCCCCACGTCCCCACAGAGCCTCTTCTTCGACATCAGTGTAGGAGTTTCCTCATCTGTAAAGTCATGGGACTGGACTCAGGCTGGTTGCCTTCAGGGAACCATGTAATTTATCACCTGAGCAGGACACTTGGGAGAGTGGGAGGGAGCACTAACAGGACAGTGGTTGGGACAGCAGGTGCAAACCTGGACACGAGGTCAGCCTGGCTAAGTGACCCTTCCTGTCTAATACCCTCAGCTTCTGAGACCCAAGCGGGACTGTTTTCAGCTTCCATGACATTCATGAACATCATCCGGTGTAGCCATAAGGGAAGACCTGGGGGTAGAAAGAGAGTGAGAAAACTTGAAAGGCTGAGACTTTGGGGGCAATGCCTAGGACCAAAGGGGCACACTACCTCAATAGTTGTGTTCCAGGTTATGAGTGTGTCACTTATCACTTTATTGCCTCACTTCTCCCAACCCATACTTCATTGCATTGCTTGTGATACTGGAGGTGAATCTTGCCAACACGTCTCTTTTGCAACTGGCACGATGCTCAGCTTTGCCAGTAGAGGGTGGTAGAGGCACACTGCAGGGGGAAGGGCTTCTCTGCTGGTGTCTCTGTGCTCTGATTCCTTCTTGCTCCCGCGGGGTTCGGGACACCCAGTTGCAGCCTCCCTCAAGGACTTGCAGTGGCATCCCCTGTGTGCAGCTTTCTAGCGAGTTCTGCTGGCACCTCGCCCAGCTTCCAGTGAGTTCAAAAGCACCCCTTGAGGGCTTCGCCGTCCCACCAGTCCCCCAGCCGATTTTTCAGAAAGTTCAGCAGCGTTTCCTCCAGGCAGCTTCCCGGAAAGGGTTGCTGTCACCCCCGGGGGCAGTTTCCTGTTGGACAGTCTCCACCTGTCACCTGGGCAAACTTCATTCTCCAGTGGGGACAGCCCCATGCTCTCCCGCAAAGTCTGATTCTCATCCTTGGTGGTGAGAGGGGAAGCGGGTGGGGTGTCCCACATTTGTTTTCTCCTCGGGCACTTCGCTTAGCCTTTAGTGCCTGCCCCATATATCTGCCACCTCTGTAAAGTGCTCCCTTTACCCTCAGTAGCCAATACCCTGATACTCCCCTGTTATTAGTTAATAATTCTTAACTTTCCCA
Organism: Homo sapiens; assembly: GCF_000001405.40. Taxonomy (NCBI): domain Eukaryota; kingdom Metazoa; phylum Chordata; class Mammalia; order Primates; family Hominidae; genus Homo; species Homo sapiens. The sequence continues at coordinate 118,883,384 of NC_000002.12, forward strand.
TTTAAAATCCTGTGTGGTTTTCGTCTCTTGTTTGTCTGATAGTTTTCTTTCATTTTTCAACATCTATTTTTGACTTTCTTTTTGTATTTGTCCTGCTTATCGAGGACCTTGTTTGTAGAAATGCATCAAGAAATAAATTCTTTCATGCCACCAAATTCAGGAGACTCGAGTGAGTATGCTAAGTGGTTTCAGATAGCTGACCCTGAAAGTGTGCAGAGCTGAGCAATGTGTATGGTTCCCCCAAAGCAACTGTCCCTATGTCTTCAAGTTCCCAGGGTTTAAAACACCATGTTGCTTATGCCACTGGGCAGCAAGAAGTGGGCAAGTCACCTCCCCTCTCTAGGCCTCAGGATCTCCTTTTGTGTCCGGAGTTGGTTCCTTCCAGTGAGTTCTTGGTCTGGCTGACTTGAAGAATGAAGTCGCGGACCTTTATGGCGAGTGTTATAGCTCTTAAAAGTGGTGCAAACCCAAAGACTGAGCAGTAGCAAGATTTATTGTGAAGAAGGAAAGAACTAAGCTTCCACAGCATAGAAGGGGATCCCAGCAGGTTGCTGCTGCTGGCTGGGGTGGCCAGCTTTTATTCCCTTATTTGTCCCTGCCCACCTTCTGATGATTGGTCCATTTTACAGAGTGCTGATTGGTCCATTTTACAATCCTTTAGTTAGACACAGAGCGCTGATTGATGCATATTTGCAGAGTTCTGATTGGTGCATTTACAATCCTTTAGCTTGACACAAAAGTTCTCCAAGTCCCCACTAGACCCAGGAAGTCCAGCTGGCTTCATCTCTCAATCTCCCCTCTAAACAGGACACCCCAACTGCTGTTGGGAATTGGGAGATGACTGCTCTAGCTACTTCCTGCTGGATAGGGGTGAAGAAGGGGCCCTGCAGTTGTAGTGTCCTCCAGAGGGGAACTCTTTAGGCCAGTGTAAGGGCCAGCGGGTCGGTCCAAGGATCCTCACTAGAAATTGTTAGTTGAGCTCATTTGGGGCTCCATTTGTAAGATCATCTGTAGTTTGATGGCCTCAATCCTAGAGGAAACAAATTTTACAAGGAGGTTAAAAATGCAGGGCCCGAAGGTGAGTAATAGTAAGCTGGCTGTCACGGTACCTAGAAAGCAGAGAAGCCATGTCGCCCAACTCCAGAGGTTGGTATAAGAGTTTGAAAGGCGTTGTCTGATTTCAGAAGCCTTTTCCTGTAAACGCCGGGCAGCATCTCTTACTATCCCTGACTGGTTAGTGTAAAAACATCACTCTTCCCCTAAGAAGGTGCAGAGTCGTCCCTTCTCAGCAGTAAGGAGATCTAGGCCTCGGTGATTTTGGAGAGTCACTGCTGCCAAAGAGTCTATTTGGGATTGCAGAGGAAGGATAGATTTTGTTATTTCTTGCAAACTGCCTGAGAGGCAGATATAGGTTGAAGTTCCACATAAGAAGAATATGCCTTGGCTGGGTAGACAGAAATTTACCCTGGCTTTTAAAGGAATAGGGTACACTGTTTTTTCTTTACTACTTCTATCTCTCTCTTTCTCTCTCTTTGACTCCTTCTTTGTCTGTCTCTCTTTTGTAAAATGAGAGGGTAGGACAAGGTCATCACTAACATACCCTCCAGCTGTAAGAGTCTGAAATTCTATAGCTGGATGTATGTTCCAGAAACATCTGTACTTTCTCATTATCCACACATGTATAATCATCAGTCTGGCATTCAAGCTGAGTTGTTTCTTAGCCTAGTGAAAGCATCACTTCCAATAAATGTGCAACCACCTCTTGGAAGGCCAACACAACTTACTGTGTTAGTCATTTACCCTTTAGTGAGAATGAGTGCAGAAAGATCATCTGATCAAATAACCCACCTTTGTAGAGAAGATAATGGAGGCCCAGAATGATTAACTGACTTGCCCAAGGCTGCGGGGTTGATTCTGACAAAAGCAGGACTAGAACCCAGGATGCTTGGGTCCCCGTTCAATTTCTCACACCATATTGCTTTTGCACCAGTGTTTAAGTTCTCTGTCAGTTCTTTTCTTGATGTTATATTTGAATGGCAGTAGGAAAAGAAGCTACTGTACTCCTTGGATGGGGTGGGGGAATGTTCATCGTTCACAGGAGAAAAATACAAGGAGATTTTGAAGGAAGGACTAGGGATTCTGAAGATAAGTTATTCTTCTGGCTGATGGTGAATGCAAATTAGCTTCATGCATTTCCTTAAACCAAAGCACTTTAAGGATGTTTTTGTTAAGGCCAAATACCTCACACGTCTGGTACAGTAAGCAAGCTCTTCACTTGTCTTTTGTTTGATCTAATCCAACGGCTCTCAACTGGGGCCAACTTTGTCCCTCAAAGGACATTTGACAAAGTCTGAAGCATTTTTGATTGTCCCAACTGGGGAGGGTGCCTGTTGGCATTTAGTAAGTAGATGTCAAAGATGCTGCTAAACATCCTAAAATGCACAGGACATCCTCCTACCACAAAGAGTTATCTGATCCAAAATGTCCATAGTGCCAAGGTTGAGAAACCCTGATGTAGCCAAACATGTTTCTTAATATTATAGAATTGCAGAGCCGAACAGAGGCAACTCCCATCCAGCTCAATCATAACCTCTGTCTGCCTCTGACCAAGGGTCAGTCAGCTTCTGCTTGAACTCCTTGGAGAGAGTCAGAGACCTCTGGGCTCCAGAGATTATTGGAGAATTTGATGCCATTCTGGTTACCCTCAGGGTCCTACGATGAGAAGTTTTCTTTATCACTCTCTTCTTTTTAAAACTATGCAAATAATATTGTAATAACAATACCACAAATTAAAGAGGAAATAATTCATCCTAAATTTTGCCACCATTCCAAAAAACTGTTCCCATATTTCTGTGTTACATGTTAGATGTTACTATAGTCACACCTAATTTTTCTGAAACCACAAACTGTTTTTTGTTTGACATTTTATCATAAGCATTTTTTTTATTATTATACTTTAAGTTTTAGGGTACATGTGCACAACGTGCAGGTTAGTTACATATGTATACATGTGCCATGTTGGTGTGCTGCACCCATTAACTCGTCACTTAACATTAGGTGTATCTCCTAATGCTATCCCTCCCCCCTTCCCCCACCCTACAACAGGCCCCGGTGTGTGATGTACCCCTTTCTGTGTCCATATCATAAGCATTTTTAAGGTTGTAACAACTGCTCATTATTGATGGCTATCAAAATGAGAAATGATCCTTGGTGTAATGATGCCTTCCCCAATTGTTTGACACTTAGGTTGTTGGTTTGTCTGTTGTTGTAGGGAATACCACTCCAACAATCATCATGCATCAGACTTGTCCCATGTTTCCAATGCTTTTTTTTTTTTTCTCAGTATAAGCCTCCCAAGTAGGGTTATCAATTCAAAGGACAATTTTCCTCTATTGTCAGAAGAGGCCATTACCAAAACCTCTGTGGCAGAAGCAGGTAGACACCGTTGCACCATTGGAGTCAGTCCCTTAAGCATTCTAGGTACCACGAGGAAGTTGGCAGACGATTTTCTGGTAAAATCTCTGAAGCATTTCTGGTGCCTTTACTTCTGAAACCAGCACCTTCACTAACATCCATAAAGTGTGTCTTTCATATTTATGACCAATTGAAGACAAGGATGTTATCGTTTCATCAAAGGGCTCTCTAGCCTTGCACCAGGCCCATGGGTGCACCTCACCTCTTAAGCAACTGTATCAGCAGCGACCCTGGAGATAGAAAGATGCAGTCTCCTTAATCAGTGATGCACAGAATTTCATGAGCATCTGGCCCACCTGGGAGGCTTTTTAAAAACACAGTTGCCCAGGCCCAACCCAGACCTACTGAGTCAGCATCTCTAGGACTGGGGCACAGGCACTCATATTTTTTAGCAAGCTGATTTCAATCCATGGTCCTGAGACCCACCAAATTTTGAGAACCACTCTTCTAAATAATCCCTGTTCAGTGAGGAATATCTGGAATACCATCACTTAGAATTTCTGTTTCCTTTGGGGAAACAGAAATTCCTCAGTCTAGACATTTGAATTAAGCAGCAGGGCACAGATTGGCTCAGAGTTAGATGTCACTCTCTGTCTTTACCATCAGGAGATCAAAGTATCTCCTCAAAAGAGTAAAAAGTTGACACCTAACATGTCATGTCATACTGGGGATTCAGGAGCAACAAAGAAAGCTGGGGGCTTAGTGAAGGTTGGCGGGTAACTGGGGGCTTCTGACTGCTGACAAGGCTCTGTCTCTTGACCTGGGTGTTGGTTAACTGGTGTTTATGCTATAGTAATTTCTTAAGCTGCAGATTTATATTTGATGCTTTTCTGTACATGTGTTATATTTCACAGTAAAAAAAAAGTTTAAAAACTTTGACTTGCCATTTTCAAATCATGGATATAAAGATTGTCAATAGATCAGCAGCCTAAGTATAGTTAACCTTAATTGATTGTACATCTCAAAAGAGCTAGGAGAGAACAATTTGAATATTCCAGCATAATGATAAGTATTTAAGGTGATGGATATCCCAGTTACCCTGATTTGACTATATGAATGTATCACATTATCACATGTACCCCCAAAATATGTACATCTAATAGGTATCAATTAAAAAAACATTTTCTTCATTAAAAAAGATTGTAAAGAATCATAGCTACACATATATGTGCTAGAATTATAAATAATTACTAAGAAATGTCAGCCATACCAAACAATATATATATATGTTATATATACACATCTGCATACGTGTATATGCATGTGAGTGTGTGTGTGTGTATAGTTTATTATCCATCACTGTACTTGCATCACTTGCAGCCTCTGCAGATCCTTAGGGATCCTTGTTCCCCATCATGTAGCACTGCCTTCTCTGAATAATAACTGTTTGGAAACAGATGAGCCTCTGAATGCTATGATGAGATAAGGTGGGACAATCAGATGTTCTCTCTGGGGAATCTGGACTACGAAATGTCCAGAAAATGAGTCCGTGACTAGTAGGAGCTAAGTCTGGAAGACTGTAGTGTAGAGAGAAGCCAAGATACACCACAGAATTATGAAATTGTAATGGAACAGACATAAGAGAAATAGAGAAGCTAGAGAGAAGAGCACGTGGCCCAGGAGAGAAACTGTGGGAATCTCTGGTTCCTAAAGCAGCCGCTGTTGCTGGTAACATTCCATTAAATTTCTTTATAATAATCTCCTTTTCTCTAGAGTAAATTGAGTGGGTCTCTGGTTGTTGCATTATGATCTCAATTAAATATATATGTGTGTGTGTGTGTGTGTGTGTATATATATACATGTGTATATACACATATATATACACGTGTATATACATGTATATATATACATGTGTATATACATGTGTATATATACACACACATCTCTATGTATACACATATATATACATATATATATAAACATATATTTTTTAAATTTCTTTGAATAAAAGACTGGAAGGTAAAACACCAGACTGTTAGCAGGGGTTATCACTATTTCAGGTAGTAGTATACCTGGTGATGTTAATTTTCTTCCTATACACTATTCTGTATTTTCCAAATTTGGAGGAATAATAATGTATTACTTTTATGATCAGTTAACAAAATTTTAAACCTATCCTTGTATAGTGCTCCTGGACACAGATGATCAGTCTCCCTGTCTTCAAGGAGTTTAGGATCAGAAACCAGCAGCCTACCCATGTTCATATGCCTTGGGATGGATTCTGGGAAAATAGCTGTAGCAGAGGAGTTTTAAAATTTTTCTAAGTCTCCCATATGAAAGCACATATAACAATCAGAATAACACAATAAAAACTTATGTGCTATATAACAACCAAACTGAGTGAAAAGATATGTTCACAAGCTCCAAAATATGAATAGGTAAGGACAAACCACTGTCAGCTACAAGCCCTGGTTGCTATGAGTATTTGTGCAGAAAGAAGACAAGGGGCCTCTGATGGCCTTGGCAACAGAACTCCAAAGTCCCCATAGGTACTCACTAGATACACAGCATGCCCATTTGACCACAGTGCCTGAAACTAGAAGTGGGGGTGTGCAGAATCCAATTAATGGGTGAGCACTCAGGGCCCTCAGTAAGGTTTAAGAGCATTGGTATAGAGTGTGTCCTGGGAACTCATAAAAACCAAATGAAATATGCCCTGAGAAGAAGTTGCCATGGGTAGAGTTCAAATTAAGCAAGACAAGGACAATAGAGGCAAAGGAAGGAAAATATCCAAGGAAAAGAATTAGAGGAGGCAGGTACTACAAAGTAGAAAGCCTATGTTTTTGATTTCTTCATATAAACAACAGAAGAAGGAGACTAGAGCTGTGAAGAGCTGGCCTATGCACCCTCTAAAAAGTACAAGAAGAGTCATTTCCCTTAAAAATGAGCAACAGAAAAGGATTGCCAAAGAATACAAAGTCATTATAAGAAAACACACACACCAGGAACAGAATCATGTCCCTACACAAATGATGAAGGCAGATGAAAAAGATATGCCCACAAACCATGTGAAACGACACCCTAATATTCCAAGTGTGCTAACAATGTTTTAAAGGATAGAGAGGACCACATTAAAATAAATTAGAAAAGCTCGGAAATGAGTTCACTGGAGAAAGGAAGATTTGAAAAGGGGGGTGGTTAGCATTCAGAAAAGAATTAGAAGTAAAAGAAAAAACAGGAAATCAAAACTAAACTAGAATGAACACAAGGCTGACAGATGACAGTGGATAATGCCTTAAGACCAACAGAAGGTGAAAAATAGAACATTTTAAATATCAAGAAGAAACAGAAAGAAGTTTTTAGAGTGTTCAAGAAAATGTAATAGATATAGAAAATAGGAAAAAAATGATCCAACCTACGTATAAGAGGAGGTCACAAAGAAGACAGCCAAAGCAATGGAAGAGAACTAATGCCAAAATCCATAAATAAATAAAAAAATTACTGAAATTAAAAAACAGAAGACTTAAAGCACATATTGAAAGAACATAGCACATACCTAGAAAATTTGACCCAAAATGGCAACACTGAGACAGGGTGTAATAAAACTATTGAACTTTAAAAGAAAAAAAATACATTCAGTGGGAATTCAGACAAAAAGATAATCTCATCTCTAAGAGAAAGAAAATCAAATTGTCATCAGAGTTCAACAGCAACACTCTGTGGACTTCTATATTCAGCGAAATAACCTTTAAGTATAAGATATAACACAACAATTATTATTACTAAGGAAGAACAGAGGAAATTTTGTTCTTATGGTTCTTTTCTCAGGAATTTGTCATCAAACAATTTCAAACATCCAAAAGTGTTGGTTGACTAAAGAGTCATCAAAGTGAGGACTGGTGGTAAATATTAAATATATGTTAACTATGGATCTAAAATAAAGGATGCTTTTAAGGGAGACAGTATTGTAATGGCCATATGCCCTGCCATTGTAGATACAATACAATCATTAAAATGGGGAAATACCTGAAAAATAAAATAAACGTGCTAATTTTCTTAGAGTTATTAACTGAAAGGAAAAGGATATTACTTCATATCAATGCTGAAGTATAGACAAAAAGAAAGGATAAAAACACTTAACTAGCTAGTTTCAATATTGTTTATAAGAGGGGACCAATAGATAAGAAGTGATCTTAAAGGGGGGCAGCTAATATAAAGTATGATATGAGGATGTTAGTCATAGTAACCTTCAGAACAAAAATGCAAACTTTCCTAAAAACAAAAAGATATATTAACAAAAGACAGCAAACTAAATAGGCCACGTAGTGAAAGACTCTTAAAACACACAAACATGCATGCAGTGGGACAGAGCTGACACTATAGCTCATGGGATTTCAGATTGGCTAATAAAGCAAAGCCCAATGCCATGAAATCATAAGACAGATTCAGAAAAGTTCAAATAAAAGGTTAGACAAAGACATAACAGTCAACTACACATAAAAAAATTAAGAATTGTAATTTTAATACCTAACAAAGTAGAATTCACATCAAAAAGCATTAAAAGAAACATCATGAACTCTTTAATTGTGCTGAAGTCTACAATGCTGGTGAGGTTATTAATATCCACACACCCAATCAGCAGGTTTTTTTGTTTGTTCGTTTTACAAAGAAGAAGCTATCGGAGATGAAAGAAGAAGTAAACAGACACACCATACTAGGGGAAATTTCATATAACACTCTCAGTATAAGAAAATCAAATGGATTTTAAAAATTGGTGATAATATAGAAGACCTATACAGCAGAATCAATAAGATAAATATAAAGATCTATATCAAATTCTGAAGCCTGATAATAGGAAATATACACGTAACTTTCACAGTAATTGACCATGTCTTAGGACTCCAAAAAAACCCTCAATGCATTCTAAGAAACTGAAATTATATAAAAACAACATTCTTTGGTCACAATGCAGTAAAACTAGAAACATATAACAAAGCAAAGGCTCTTATGCTCGGAAATTTAGAAAGAAAAAACATCTTACTGTTAAATAATTTTTGAGTCAAAGGAGAAATATAAAACAGAATTACAGCATTTCTTAAAAATAATGATGAAAATATATTGGATGCTATGGAGTCAGAAAGAAATTGACAGCATTTCATGTCTCAGTGAAAATAAAAACATAAATTAATTAATTAAAGACCAACTCAAAAATCTACAAAAAGGAAAAAAAGTAAACCAAAAAAAAAGCAGGAGAAAGGATTCTTATATTTATCTTTTAAAAAGCAAATTAATATTAGAAAACAAAAACGCTAACAACAGTAGCTTTTGTTTTGTTTTGTTTTTTTTCAGACAGAATCTCACTCTGTCACCCAGTCTGGAGTGTAGTGGCATGATCTGGGCTCACTGCAAGCTCCACCTCCCAGGTCCAAGCAATTCTCATGCCTCAGTCTCCCAAGTAGCTGGGATTTCAGGCATGCACCACCATACCTGGCTAATTTTTATATTTTTAGAAGAGACAGGATTTTACCGTGTTGGCCAGGCTGGTCTCAAACTCCTGACCGCAAGTGATCGCCTGCCTTGGCCTCCCAAAGTGCTGGGATTACAGGCATGAGCCACCATGTCTGCCCAACAGTAGCATTATTTATTTATTTAGAGACAGAGTTTTGCTCTGTCACCCAGGCTGGAGTGCAGTGGCATAATTTCAGCTCACTGCAAACTCCACCTCCCGAGTTCAAGCGATTCTCGTGCCTCAGCCTCCCGAGTAGCTGAGACTACAAGTGTGCACCACCACACCCAGCTAATTTTTATATTTTTAGTAGAAACAAGATTTCACCATGTTGGCCAGGCTGGTCTTGAACTCCTGACCCCAGGTGATCCACCTGCCTCGGCCTCCCAAAGTGCTGGGATTATGAGCGCGAGCCACCATGCCTGGCCAATGGTAGCATTTTAGAGATGCCTACTGAAACACTGGAAACACTTTCAGATGAAGTGACACAATCTCTGGGCTGGGCTGGGAAGCAGGTGGGGAGATAAGAGAAAGGATTGGCTATAAGTGGGTGATTCCTGAACCAGAGCGAAGGCACGTGAAGATTCATTACCCTATTCTTTCATGTTTGCATATGCTTAAAAATGTGTCTTTGAAAAGCTAAAAAGTTTTAAAAATGAACTTGGATGAAAGGACTATATGAATAATAAATATATAAAACATTGGTGAATAATCATAAGAGTGAGTGTGTGGAGGGGACCTGGGGATGAGGAAATGTATTTAGACAAGAGAGCCAGGAAGAATGTCATTGTCTTCCAGTAAGAGTGATCATCTGGTTAAGGTCATACGGTCCTGTCTCTTGTCTCTGTCCCCAGGTGATGATCCACTTCCTTGTGGCGGCAGAGAACTGGATAGGTGTTGAGACTGTGCCTGGTGGAAGCTGCCTGTGTGGTGAGCCACCTGCTCCAGATCAGGAAAAGCACAGGCTCTGGGTCAGGGCTGGCTCCATGCCCACCTCTGCCACAACTCCATTGTGTCCTTGACCAAATACCTCCTTGTGTTTCTAATCTGTGAAATTGTGGCGCTGGACTTGATGATTGTTGAGGTTCTCTCACATTCTGCAGCAGGGTGAAGAGTGAATGCAGTGACCCACTCTCTTCCCATTCCTCCAGACTTTTCTGGAAGTCCAATTTGAGGCACCTCAACTTTCCAGAGCAGGGCCGTAACCCAGCAAATGATGGAGGAATCCCCCCTACCAAATCTCAGCTGCTCACTCAATATGAGGCTGGGTCCGAAGCACCAAGACAGCATTGATCTGGGCTTCAGATCCTCTGTTTAAGAAGAGAATGCATTTTAGGAAACTGTCATTTTTAACTTGTTCAAACAAAAGAAGTCTTGTTTTGAGAAGGAGAGCTCTCAGTCATCTGAAAAGATCCCCAGTATGCCTCCCCACTCCCCAGGCCCCCGTCTCTGATGGTGTAGGATAAATGGCTAATCCTTTCTCAGGATTGAGGTAGGTTCCGCTCATGTACTTTTTGCTTGTTCCATTTTGATATCTTCAATGCCATTGCCACTTACACCTTTGCAAAATGTGAGAAAGGAGTAATTTCATATCTGAATATCAACTAACAGCAAAAAGGCTCAGAACAAGGGTGTCTGTATTCAAAAAATAATACCGTGCTAATGAACAACACCACAGAGAGTGCAGCAACTCTGATTTCTAATGGAATTTGGAAGAGGGGCTCATTAGAGATTCAAGGCTTGTGACTCAATTTAATTAAAATTTGAGCTGGTAGAGCTTGGAGAAACCAGCCCAACGAATGAGATTTAAAAGAGAAGGAGGGGAGAAAAAGGCAGGATATTGACACGATGAAAGGAGACCATAATTAAAGGATTAATTATGACAATAACAATAAAAATCGTTTCATCCTCACCTTCTGTCTGCAGTTGGACAAAGTCCTTTGTGAGGCAACACTAGGCTGAGGCTGGATTTTGTGACCCAAAGGCAGGGAAATACCAGGACCTTACAGGAATTACCTCTACATCCATCATCTAGATGTTCTACATATTCAATGTTTGGGGCCTCATTTAACTGAATCATCTCCTCCAAGTCTCTACTTCATGTGATAGGTACAAACTCACCTGCCTCATTTAAGGGAAGATTTCTCTAAAGTCCTGAATCATGATTTAGATGTCCCTGGCCCAACAGTAATTTGTAAAATAACAGCAAGAAGGTCCAATAAAATTCTCTTTTCTCCCTGCTGGTTACTTGAATGACTTTTGGGGGAAAGATTAAAAAGTCAAGTATTTTTAAAGTTACTTTTTTCTTCTCCTTGTTTTTCCCCAAGAGCTTGCTGCTTCTGCACAGTGGGTCACCCAGCTCTGCATGGGGGCAGCTCAGATAATGGACACAACCACTTCATAGTTCTGAATTTATTTCTTTGGCTGTGCACCATCCTCTCTTTTAGGTCTTGGAATCTCAGGGACCATATTCGTCTGCTCGCATTGCTGTAACAAATTACCATAGCCTGGGTGGCTTAACCAGCAGAAATTTATGTTCTTACAGTTGTGGAGGCTGGAAGTCTGAGAACACATTGTCAGCAGGATTGTTTCTCCTGACACCTTTCTCCTTAGCTTACAGCCAGCCCTCTTCTCCATGCAGTTGTCCCTCTGTGTGTGTCTGTGTGCTAATCTCTTCTTAAGAGGACCCCAGTTATGTCAAATTAGAGGGTACCCTAATCACCTCATGTGAACTTAATTTCCTCTTTAAATACCTTATCTCCAAATACAGTCATGTTCTGAGGTAGTGGGGGTTAGGATTTCAAAATACAAATTTTGAGAGGTCACTATTGAGTCCATAACAGGGACTAAAAAGCCAATGATAGCACCACATTCACTCTTCACCTGGAACAAATCATCATCACAATGTTAAATATATATATGTATAATATATATATTATATATATATATATAATATATATATATAGTTGTTGTTGTTGTTGTTGTTTTTGAGACAGAGTCTCACTCTATCGCCACGTTGGAGTGCAGTGGCACGATCTCGGCTCACTGCAACTTTCACCTCCCTGGTTCAAGGAATTCTCCTGCCTCAGCCTCCCAAGTAGCTGGGACTACAGGCGTGCACCACCACGCCCAGCTAATTTTTGTATTTTTAGTAGAGACAGGGTTTCACCATGTTGGCCAGGATGGTCCCGATCTCTTGACCTTGTGATCCGCCCGCCTCAGGTAGAGGCCGTAAGAGCCCACAGGAAGAGCAGAGCTCACCCAGATTGAAACAGACCAGCTGATGCATATCTTCCTAAGTTCCCAAATTAGGATTCTGTTTAAGATAAACCTAATGCAGGGACTACAGTTAAGATTATAAATAAACTTTCATAAGCACTTAAACCTACACAATTAATTATGAATATCTTCTGCAACTATAGCCGTAAGTAAACTTCTCGGCACTGGCTTCCTTTTTTTTTTTTTTTTTTTATTATACTTTAAGTTTTAGGGTACATGTGCACATTGTGCAGGTTAGTTACATATGTATACATGTGCCATGCTGGTGCGCTGCACCCACTAACGTGTCATCTAGCATTAGGTATATCTCCCAATGCTATCCCTCCCCCCTCCCCCGACCCCACCACAGTCCCCAGAGTGTGATATTCCCCTTCCTGTGTCCATGTGATCTCATTGTTCAATTCCCACCTATGCGTGAGAATATGCGGTGTTTGGTTTTTTGTTCTTGCGATAGTTTACTGAGAATGATGGTTTCCAATTTCATCCATGTCCCTACAAAGGACATGAACTCATCATTTTTTATGGCTGCATAGTATTCCATGGTGTATATGTGCCACATTTTCTTAATCCAGTCTATCATTGTTGGACATTTGGGTTGGTTCCAAGTCTTTGCTATTGTGAATAATGCCGCAATAAACATACATGTGCATGTGTCTTTATAGCAGCATGATTTATAGTCCTTTGGGTATATACCCAGTAATGGGATGGCTGGGTCAAATGGTATTTCTAGTTCTAGATCCCTGAGGAATCGCCACACTGACTTCCACAATGGTTGAACTAGTTGACAGTCCCACCAACAGTGTAAAAGTGTTCCTATTTCTCCACATCCTCTCCAGCACCTGTTGTTTCCTGACTTTTTAATGATTGCCATTCTAACTGGTGTGAGATGATATCTCATAGTGGTTTTGATTTGCATTTCTCTGATGGCCAGTGATGATGAGCATTTTTTCATGTGTTTTTTGGCTGCATAAATGTCTTCTTTTGAGAAGTGTCTGTTCATGTCCTTCGCCCACTTTTTGATGGGGTTCTTTGTTTTTTTCTTGTAAATTTGTTTGAGTTCATTGTAGATTCTGGATATTAGCCCTTTGTCAGATGAGTAGGTTGTGAAAATTTTCTCCCATGTTGTAGGTTGCCTGTTCACTCTGATGGTAGTTTCTTTTGCTGTGCAGAAGCTCTTTAGTTTAATTAGATCCCATTTGTCAATTTTGGCTTTTGTTGCCATTGCTTTTGGTGTTTTGGACATGAAGTCCTTGCCCATGCCTATGTCCTGAATGGTAATGCCTAGGTTTTCTTCTAGGGTTTTTATGGTTTTAGGTCTAACGTTTAAATCTTTAATCCATCTTGAATTGATTTTTGTATAAGGTGTAAGGAAGGGATCCAGTTTCAGCTTTCTACATATGGCTAGCCAGTTTTCCCAGCACCATTTATTAAATAGGGAATCCTTTCCCCATTGCTTGTTTTTCTCAGGGTTGTCAAAGATCAGATAGTTGTAGATATGCGGCATTATTTCTGAGGGCTCTGTTCTGTTCCATTGATCTATATCTCTGTTTTGGTACCAGTACCATGCTGTTTTGGTTACTGTAGCCTTGTAGTATAGTTTGAAGTCAGGTAGTGTGATGCCTCCAGCTTTGTTCTTTTGGCTTAGGATTGACTTGGCGATGCGGGCTCTTTTTTGGTTCCATATGAACTTTAAAGTAGTTTTTTCCAATTCTGTGAAGAAAGTCATTGGTAGCTTGATGGGGATGGCATTGAATCTATAATTACCTTGGGCAGTATGGCCATTTTCATGATATTGATTCTTCCTACCCATGAGCATGGAATGTTCTTCCATTTGTTTGTGTCCTCTTTTATTTCCTTGAGCAGTGGTTTGTAGTTCTCCTTGAAGAGGTCCTTCACATCCCTTGTAAGTTGGATTCCTAGGTATTTTATTCTCTTTGAAGCAATTGTGAATGGGAGTTCACTCATGATTTGGCTCTCTGTTTGTCTGTTGTTGGTGTATAAGAATGCTTGTGATTTTTGTACATTGATTTTTTATCCTGAGACTTTGCTGAAGTTGCTTATCAGCTTAAGGAGATTTTGGGCTGAGACAATGGGGTTTTCTAGATAAACAATCATGTCGTCTGCAAACAGGGACAATTTGACTTCCTCTTTTCCTAATTGAATACCCTTTATTTCCTTCTCCTGCCTAATTGCCCTGGCCAGAACTTCCAACACTATGTTGAATAGGAGTGGTGAGAGAGGGCATCCCTGTCTTGTGCCAGTTTTCAAAGGGAATGCTTCCAGTTTTTGCCCATTCAGTATGATATTGGCTGTGGGTTTGTCATAGATAGCTCTTATTATTTTGAAATACGTCCCATCAATACCTAATTTATTGAGAGTTTTTAGCATGAAGGGTTGTTGAATTTTGTCAAAGGCTTTTTCTTCATCTATTGAGATAATCATGTGGTTTTTGTCTTTGGCTCTGTTTATATGCTGGATTACATTTATTGATTTGTGTATATTGAACCAGCCTTGCATCCCAGGGATGAAGCCCACTTGATCATGGTGGATAAGCTTTTTGATGTGCTGCTGGATTCGGTTTGCCAGTATTTTATTGAGGATTTTTGCATCAATGTTCATCAAGGATATTGGTCTAAAATTCTCTTTTTTGGTTGTGTCTCTGCCCGGCTTTGGTATCAGAATGATGCTGGCCTCATAAAATGAGTTAGGGAGGATTCCCTCTTTTTCTATTGATTGGAATAGTTTCAGAAGGAATGGTACCAGTTCCTCCTTGTACCTCTGGTAGAATTCGGCTGTGAATCCATCTGGTCCTGGACTCTTTTTGGTTGGTAAACTATTGATTATTGCCACAATTTCAGAGCCTGTTATTGGTCTATTCAGAGATTCAACTTCTTCCTGGTTTAGTCTTGGGAGAGTGTATGTGTCGAGGAATGTATCCATTTCTTCTAGATTTTCTAGTTTATTTGCATAGAGGTGTTTGTAGTATTCTCTGATGGTAGTTTGTATTTCTGTGGGATTGGTGGTGATATCCCCTTTATCATTTTTTATTGTGTCTATTTGATTCTTCTCTCTTTTATTCTTTATTAGTCTTGCTAGCGGTCTATCAATTTTGTTGATCCTTTCAAAAAACCAGCTCCTGGATTCATTGATTTTTTGAAGGGTTTTTTGTGTCTCTATTTCCTTCAGTTCTGCTCTGATTTTAGTTATTTCTTGCCTTCTGCTAGCTTTTGAATGTGTTTGCTCTTGCTTTTCTAGTTCTTTTAATTGAGATGTTAGGGTGTCAATTTTGGATCTTTCCTGCTTTCTCTTGTAGGCATTTAGTGCTATAAATTTCCCTCTACACACTGCTTTGAATGCGTCCCAGAGATTCTGGTATGTGGTGTCTTTGTTCTCGTTGGTTTCAAAGAACATCTTTATTTCTGCCTTCATTTCGTTATGTACCCAGTAGTCATTCAGGAGCAGGTTGTTCAGTTTCCATGTAGTTGAGCGGCTTTGAGTGAGATTCTTAATCCTGAGTTCTAGTTTGATTGCACTGTGGTCTGAGAGATAGTTTGTTATAATTTCTGTTCTTTTACATTTGCTGAGGAGAGTTTTACTTCCAACTATGTGGTCAATTTTGGAATAGGTGTGGTGTGGTGCTGAAAAAAATGTATATTCTGTTGATTTGGGGTGGAGAGTTCTGTAGATGTCTATTAGGTCCGCTTGGTGCAGAGCTGAGTTCAATTCCTGGGTATCCTTGTTGACTTTCTGTCTCGTTGATCTGTCTAATGTTGACAGTGGGGTGTTAAAGTCTCCCATTATTAATGTGTGGGAGTCTAAGTCTCTTTGTAGGTCACTCAGGACTTGCTTTATGAATCTGGGTGCTCCTGTATTGGGTGCATAAATATTTAGGATAGTTAGCTCCTCTTGTTGAATTGATCCCTTTACCATTATGTAATGGCCTTCTTTGTCTCTTTTGATCTTTGTTGGTTTAAAGTCTGTTTTATCAGAGACTAGGATTGCAACCCCTGCCTTTTTTTTGTTTTCCATTTGCTTGGTAGATCTTCCTCCATCCTTTTATTTTGAGCCTATGTGTGTCTCTGCACGTGAGATGGGTTTCCTGAATACAGCACACTGATGGGTCTTGACTCTTTATCCAACTTGCCAGTCTGTGTCTTTTAATTGCAGAATTTAGTCCATTTATATTTAAAGTTAATATTGTTATGTGTGAATTTGATCCTGTCATTATGATGTTAGCTGGTGATTTTGCTCATTAGTTGATGCAGTTTCTTCCTAGTCTCAATGGTCTTTACATTTTGGCATGATTTTGCAGTGGCTGGTACCGGTTGTCCCTTTCCATGTTTAGCGCTTCCTTCAGGAGCTCTTTTAGGGCAGGCCTGGTGGTGACAAAATCTCTCAGCATTTGCTTGTCTATAAAGTATTTTATTTCTCCTT
The DNA here is from genome assembly GCF_000001405.40 of Homo sapiens. NCBI lineage: Eukaryota > Metazoa > Chordata > Mammalia > Primates > Hominidae > Homo > Homo sapiens. Next base: position 118,900,017 of record NC_000002.12, read on the forward strand.
CACTTACAAGGCTAAGTTTGGCTGGATATGAAATTCTGGTTGAAAATTCTTTTCTTTAAGAATGTTGAATATTGGCCCCCACTCTCTTCTGGCTTGTAGGGTTTCTGCCGAGAGATCCGCTGTTAGTCTGATGGGCTTTCCTTTGAGGGTAACCCGACCTTTCTCTCTGGCTGCCCTTAACATTTTTTCCTTCATTTCAACTTTGGTGAATCTGACAATTATGTGTCTTGGAGTTGCTCTTCTCGAGGAGTATCTTTGTGGCGTTCTCTGTATTTCCTGAATCTGAACGTTGGCCTGCCTTGCTAGATTGGGGAAGTTCTCCTGGATAATATCCCGCAGAGTGTTTTCCAACTTGGTTCCATTCTCCACATCACTTTCAGGTACACCAATCAGACGTAGATTTGGTCTTTTCACATAGTCCCATATTTCTTGGAGGCTTTGCTCATTTCTTTTTATTCTTTTTTCTCTAAACTTCCCTTCTCGCTTCATTTCATTCATTTCATCTTCCATTGCTGATACCCTTTCTTCCAGTTGATCGCATCGGCTCCTGAGGCTTCTGCATTCTTCACGTAGTTCTCGAGCCTTGGTTTTCAGCTCCATCAGCTCCTTTAAGCACTTCTCTGTATTGGTTATTCTAGTTATACATTCTTCTAAATTTTTTTCAAAGTTTTCAACTTCTTTGCCTTTGGTTTGAATGTCCTCCCGTAGCTCAGAGTAATTTGATCGTCTGAAGCCTTCTTCTCTCAGCTCGTCAAAATCATTCTCCATCCAGCTTTGTTCCGTTGCTGGTGAGGAACTGCGTTCCTTTGGAGGAGGAGAGGCGCTCTGCGTTTTAGAGTTTCCAGTTTTTCTGTTCTGTTTTTTCCCCATCTTTGTGGTTTTATCTACTTTTGGTCTTTGATGATGGTGATGTACAGATAGGTTTTTGGCGTAGATGTCCTTTCTGGTTGTTAGTTTTCCTTCTAACAGACAGGACCCTCAGCTGCAGGTCTGTTGGAATACCCTGCCGTGTGAGGTGTCAGTATGCCTCTGCTTGGGGGTGCCTCCCAGTTAGGCTGCTCGGGGGTCAGGGGTCAGGGACCCACTTGAGGAGGCAGTCTGCCCATTCTCAGATCTCCAGCTGCGTGCTGGGAGAACCACTGCTCTCTTCAAAGCTGTCAGACAGGGACACTTAAGTCTGCAGAGGTTACTGCTGTCTTTTTGTTTGTCTGTGCCCTGCCCCTAGAGGTGCAGCCTACAGAGGCAGGCAGGCCTCCTTGAGCTGTGGTGGGCTCCACCCAGTTCGAGCTTCCCGGCTGCTTTGTTTACCTAAACAAGCCTGGGCAATGGCGGGCGCCCCTCCCCCAGCCTCTTTGCCGCCTTGCAGTTTGATCTCAGACTGCTGTGCTAGCAATCAGCGAGATTCCGTGGGTGTAGGACCCTCTGAGCCAGGTGTGGGATATAGTCTCATGGTGCGCCGTTTTTTAAGCCGGTCTGAAAAGCGCAATATTCGGGTGGGAGTGACCCGATTTTCCAGGTGCATCCGTCACCCCTTTCTTTGACTCGGAAAGGGAACTCCCTGACCCCTTGCGCTTCCCAGGTGAGGCAATGCCTTGCCCTGCTTTGGCTCGCGCACGGTGCGCGCACACACTGGCCTGAGCCCACTGTCTGGCACTCCCTAGTGAGATGAACCCGGTACCTCAGATGGAAATGCAGAAATCACCCGTCTTCTGCGTCGCTCACGCTGGGAGCTGTAGACCGGAGCTGTTCCTACTCGGCCATCTTGGCTCCTCCTTCCGGCACTGGCTTTCATTACCACCAATCCCTCTGCACACAGCAAGCTGGCACCATACCTTGGCCTGAAGTGGCTTCAGTGGACTCTCTTTGCTTCTGTGTCTGTTGTTGTCTGTAGATTTGGCCCTGATGTCCGGGTGGGTGGGCCCTTAGAGCTGAGTGATGCCCACACCCACTGAAGCCCTCTGCGGATGGCTGTGTGCCTCATCCCTGCCCCTCCCAGGGATCTTTCCTTTTTCCTTCTTCTCTTCCTTCCCTTCTCCCTGATCTGCTCCTTCTCTCTCACTTGCAGTGGAAGTTAGCATGTGTTTTCCTGTGGACATCTTCTCACTGAGAGGAAAAGAACAGCCTGTGTTATGGGCTGAGTCGCGTCTCCCAACCCCAAATCTCAGATGTCGGAGTCCTAACCCCAGGACCTCAGAATGGAACTGTATTTGGAGACAGGGTCTTCAAAGGGGTGATTAAGTTAAATGAGGCAGTTAAGGACGCCCCTAGTGCAGTCTAACTGGTGTCCTCATAAGAAAAGGAAATTGGGACACAAAAAGAGACCCTACCATGTGAGTGGAGAGAGGGCCGGCCCCGCAAGGGCAGTAGGAAGGCAGCCGCTTGCAAGCCAAGGAGAGAGGCCTCAGAAGAAAGCTACCTGCCAACACTTTCATTTTGGAACTTCCAGCCTCTAGAACTGAGAGGAAGTGAATTCTTGATATCTCAGCCAACTCGTCTGTGGTCTTTTGTTATGGCAGCCTGAGCTGACTGTTCCAGCCTCTCAGAAGTGCCATAGGGAGAATAATTCCTACCCCATTTCCTGTCTCCCACCGTCTCCCACCTCTACCTCCACCTCCAGAATAAACATCTTTCTCTGTTTTATCCTGGAAATAGAACATATCCAGTGTCTCCAAAGTGGCCTGGCTGCAGACGTGTGGCAGAGACTGAGAAAGTTGCACATCTGATCGAAGCATTGATGGAGATATCTGGTGATCTGTGCTGAGATGGCACGAACACCTCCTCGGCCACTCGCTCCCATAGGCTTTATTCTGTTTTTAAAAACACCTTCATATGTATTACTCATTGTAACCTCACCACAGTGGAAAAACAGGAAGCATTCAAAGAAATTAAATTTTATAGATGAAGAAACCAAAGTTCAAGGAAGTTAAATTGTTGGTCTGGCACCATATGACTTCCTGTTTTTAGAGTTTATGTCAGTTACTGTGGTAGAATTAGTGTCTTCCCCAACATCATTCCAGCTTTCACTCTCTGGGCAGGTGGCACACTTTTGAAATATGGCATATCTGTTTGACTTGCTTTAACTAGTGAAATGTGTGGGGAGTGACACGTGTCACTCAGGGAGAAAGCTTCTAGGGCCAGTGTGCCATTCCCAAGACTCTCTTCCCAGCCTCCCATAGCCAGATCCCTGAGCAGCTGAGATGGGCAGAGCTCCCCTGCCAATCCCCAAGGGGCATGGCACCTGAGTGAGAAATTAACTTGTATAAAACCCCTGGGGTGTGAGCATGGTTGTCATCATGCACGACCTAACTTAACCTGACCAATACAGTTAAGATGCTATTGGCTGTGGGGAAAAGAAAATCCATCAGAAAGTGGCTCAACAATAAGGACATATATTATCTCCTGCAGAAAAAAGTCTGAAAACAGAGTAATTGCAAGTTTGGACAATTCTGAAGCTCAATGATGTCCTTGAGGACTCAGATGTTTTTCCACCTGCCATGGCCAGCACTTCATTTCCTCCCCTTAGAGGGACAAAATAGCGTCAGCAGCTCCAGCCATCACATCCTCACACAGAAATATCCAAGGGTCAGAGAGAGAGAGAGAGAGAGAGAGAGAGCTTCCCTTTCACGTGTCCCTTGCTAAGAATGAGCACAGCCTTTCCAGAAGTCTCCTTTCTGCAGTGGAGTTTCCTTCAAGCCTCCTTGACCAGATCTGTGTCACATGCCCACTCAAGTATCCAAGGGAACAAAATCAACATTGATTTGCTGGACGGATTGAGCTCCTTTCCCTGGGGCAGATGAGGGACCCATTCTCCCTGAAGCACAAGGTCACCTAATTCTGTTGGCAAGAAAGGGGAGCAGCACAGTTGTGAAGTCCCCAGTAGTGTTTGCTGTAAGGTTGATTCGAGAACCTGAGTCCCTTACACCAAAAACTCGCCTCAAGAGTTAGAAGAGGAAGGTCCATGCTCACCCCTGACACTTTATGAATAAGCACAGAAAGATTCAGAGCTTCAAGGGGAGGAGCTGAGACTCACAAGCTCCTCAGCATTGAACACAGTGCTAGGCAGACGGTTCAGCCTCAGGGACAACCTTCAGGCCCATCTTCAGGCAGGGAAGTATTAATATTTTTCACATGTGCAGATGCAGACACCAAGACCTCCAGAGGTCGTGACTCCTGGGTTCTCAGCCAGTTAGTGGTGCAGGAGACCCGGGAACCAGGACTGCTGCTTCCCAGTACAATATCCATTTCTTACCCAGCTCCTGTTTGCACAACAGCGCTTGCTGATTGATTCATTAAAGTCCTGTTTGCTACTTTCACTTTGGGAAATAAACTGGCAGCTGAAATTATAACTAGATTTAAGAGAAGGATGACAGACCCAGATTGGAGCGTATGAAGGGAAACTTAATACATTCACATTGGGAACACTCAGAATTTGATATCAGGAAAAACGTCCCCATCTTTCCATTAAACACTTCCCTGGGACTTCCAGCAGAGACAGAAATTTGGCCTGGGTAAAGCCAAGAAGCTGACCCAGTGTGGCAATTCTGACCCCCTTAATGGTGAGGATACAGGCCAGGGAATTTCTGATTTCAGAATAGTTTTCCCCAAAACATTAAATTGTTTTGAAGGAAGAGAGATGTGCCTTTTTTTGTGTGGGAGTAACTGTGTGATTGTATGTGTGTATATTGTGTATATGTGAGTTTATGTGCATGTATTTGTGAGTAGGTGCATGGTGTATATGCCTGCATGTGTGTATTTGTCTGTATATGTGTGTGTATGCATTTGTGCTTCCATTCTCCTGCTGAGGGTGGAGTGAGGAGGAATGGTATATGTGACCTTTCTGGTTATCTTTCTAATACTGCAAAGTCCACCTTTATATAAGGTGAAGGTTTCCATTTCCCTTGTCCTCAGAAATCCCCAAACACACTTGATTTATGGGATGCTCTTCTGCCTAAGTTCCCATGAATCAGACCAGTGCAGGAAACACTGAGGCGTCTCCCAGGAGGACAGCTGCTCAGTGCTGCCCAGCATCCCATTGTCTCCCCCTCAGTTACCGCTCGACTGCCCAGTTGGCTGCAGGAGGTTAGGCCTTACTTCCCCCAAATAGTGGTGAACAAACCTGGGGGAACAGAGCTTCTTTGCAGTCATAAGGTTCAGGATTGCCCAGGGCAGGACCTGGGGTTTTGGCTTGATGTGGCTCCACACCCTAAAGGGCAGGCTGGTTTGTTGGGTTGGACCAGTTTTGGCCCAACTGGACCTTTCTGCTTTCTCCCTGAGTGACATGTGTTACTCCCCCTACATTTCATTGGTTAAAGCAACATCCAAACTTCATCTGTTGGACCCACTTTCTTTTGAGGTAAGCTGGAGCATTGCTATATGTGGTGGCTGTGGCATATTTGGTTTGTCCAGGGCCATGACAGGGTCTTTAGGCCAGTGTTGTGCCAGGGCCTGGCCACCTGGCATGTGACTGAGGTAAACACAAGCATCCATTCCTTCTTGCATTTATTCGCCCCGTACAATTATTGAGTACCTATCATGTGCTGCGTGTTGAGTGAGGCACTATAGATGTAGGTAGGAGCAGAGAACTGTCCCTGCCCTCCAGGACAGTCTAATTGGAGAGACAGTCAATAAATAAGTAAACAGGTAACTGAGATCACCACAGACCGTGATAAGTGCTATGGGTAAAATAAACAGGGTGATGATATTGAGGAACTGGGGACTGCCACTTTGAGTAGGGAGATTGGAGACCATTTCTCCAAAGAGAAAGATACATGAGTGGAGACTTCAAGGTTGAGAATCAGTCAGTCATGCAGAGGGCTGGGGAGAGCACCCCGGGGAGACAGAAAAAATGGTTATAAAGGTTCAGAGAGGAGGTTTGTGCCTGGAGTTGGTGAGATTAAGAAGGAAGGATGATGTGAGTCTGAGAGTAAGCGGGGCCAGACCAGTGGGTATTTGGAGGTCTTGTGAAGGAGTTTGGGTTTTATTTTCAGAGCAATTAAAATCAATGGAAGATTCTCGAGCCAGAGATCCATGGTTAGCTTGTAAAAGGACCCTCTGGTTACTGTGTGGCAACCAGATTGAGTCCCATCTTCTCAACCTTGTTGGTAGTGGGCACAAGTCTCAGCCAGTGACTTGCTTTACTCGTCTAGGCAAATTGAGATGACCAGGTGATTTTCAACTCCTCACTTCCCCTGTGTGAGACGGGGGTGCTCTGAGAATCCCCAGCCCTCCCAGGAGTAAGTGGAGCTTCAGGAGCTAGTGGGAGAAAGAAGACCAATGTAGAAGGCACGAGTCCTTGGCATGTGTCCCAGTCTTGCTGTCAGGCTGTGTGGCTAAAGGGGACTCACTGCAATGCCACACAGCCTCTACCGCTTCCTTTACAAAATGGACACGCTGGCAGGCAGGTCACTTCTTGAGCACCAGGGGTATTTCTACTGAAAGTATTATAATGTCCATTGCATTGATGGAAACACTGAGACCCTGAGTACACCAAGGAGCAGTTTGGGGCCAGACTGCCCACCTCCTCAGCTGATGACATTCCAGACACACCAGACTCTGGGCACCCTGTCTCTCTCTTGGAGCCCACAGCCTAAGTCCTCTGGGGATAGAATGACAAAGGCTCCTTTGGTCGTTAGCCCAACAACTTTGAAGGGTGTATCATTTAAGATAATTTCAGCCAAAAGTAAAACATTCCCCAACTAACAGTGGCTTAAACTATTAGGACATTATTACCTCAATAAGAATAACTCAGCAGGCAGGGATGTTAATACAGCAGGTCAGTGACAGCTGTGGGTCTGTTTCTCTGTGATTCTCTTCAATTCCTCCTCACAGTCACAAAATGGCTGCTGAAGCTCCAACCATAGCAAACTTTCATTAATTCATTCAACCAATATTTAATAAGTGCTACTGTGTGTCAAACACTTTTCTAGGTCCTGGGGACACATTCGTGAATAAAACTGACAAAAATCCCTGCCCTCAGGAGCTTCTATTCTGGGGATTGGGTGAGGCAATGAACAAAATAAATAAGAAAACTACATGGTATGTGACATAGTTTGAATATCTATCTCCACCCAAATCTCATGTTGAATTGTAATCCCCAGTATGCGAGGTGGGGTTTGGTGGGAGGTGTTTGGATCATGGAAGCAGACCCCTCATGAATGGCTTGGGCCACCCCCTTGGTAATGAATGAGCTCTCACTCTGAGTTTGCACAAGATCTGGTTGTTGAAAAGTGTGTGGCACCTCCCTGCTCTCTGTCTTGCTCCCACTCCGGCCGTGGGATGCACCTGCTCCCCATTTGCCTTCTGCCATGTTTGGAAGCTTTCTGAGGCCACTATACTTCCTGTACAGCCTGCAGAACCATGAGCCAATTAAGCCTCTTTTCCTATGAACTACCCAGCCTCAGGTATTTCTTGACAGCAGTGCGAGAAGGACCTAACACAGTATGTTAGTGGTGTATGCTATGAAGAGTAATAAAAAAGGGAAAAGGAGGAGGAGAAGAAGGGTAAGGATTTGTTTTAATTTGGCAAGGAAAAGTCTCACTGCAAAGCTGACATCTGAGAAAAGACCCGGAGTATGTGAAAGAGAAGCCAGTGAAGACCTGGAGGGAAAGCCTAGGAGACAGCAAGTGCAAAGGCCCTGAGGCAAGAGTGCTTGGTATGTTCTAGAAAAGCAAAGGGGCCAGGGTGGCTGGGGGGTGTGATGGAGGAGGAATGTTGTAGAAAGTGAAACGAAGGGGGCCATAGGTCCTTGAAAGGAATGACAGCTTGCCAAAGCACCAGGGGAAAGAAGGCCTCCCCTAAAGCTACCCTTTTGTTTAACAGAGAGGATTTCCCAGCAGTCTAGCCCACGCCAAAACTTTTCCTTGCATTTCACTGACATTTCACTGGGTCACGTGGCCACCCCTAACTACCCACTGACATGATGCATTCCCAGGGTCTGGGCACACCTCCCCCAAGCATATGCTCAACTCAGCGGCACTCTGTCAGCAAGAACAAAGGCAGAGTGACTGCTGGATACACAAGCAAGAGTGTCAGCCGCTCAGAAAGTTCTCGTTCAAGCAGTTTGCCCCTTGACATCAGTGGCAGAGCTTGGCTTCAGACCCCTGGCTCCTCTGACAGGTTATTAATCACAGTCAGGGCATGGGGAAGGAGTAGGGTCTGCCTGGGCCATGGGGGCTTCTCTGAAGCTGCTTCGATCTCAGGTCTCTGGTACATAAAAAGGTCTTTCCAATTAGAAAAAGAAGGTTTCTCCAATCAAAAAAGAAAATAGTACACAACTTTTAACTATGGAAATGTTCACTCATATTCAAAGTGGGGAGAATGGTGCGATAACCCTTATGTATCTGTCTCCTGCAATATCTTCAGCTTTATCAGTACATGGACCCAAACAGGCCAATCCTGTTTCATCTATACCACCATCCACTCCCCCACCAAGGGTTGAAGTGCCAATAGGGACCCCAGTTCCTTTGAAGGCCTCTGTGTTCTGAAGATCCAGCTGGGGAAAGGGGCATGGAGAGTTGCGAAAGTCACCCAGCCCTGCCCAAAGCCATTCTAAGCCTGGAGCAGCCATGCTTCTGCAGTGTCACTTGCCCATAGCCGGCTGAAGGACACCAAAGCTTCTCCTGAATCATCCTAGCGTCAGCTCAGAAGCTACGGATGTTCACAAAATCATCTATAATTGGAGCACTTGGCCCATTAGGAATTTGGATGGACCAGAGTATAAGTCCTCAGCACTGCTCAGAAAAAGTAAACACGAGCAATGCGAGATTTGACTTCTGTGCAGTTAATTTAAACTCCGCTCTGAATATAAATCAGCTACTTTAGTTCCGATCCACTCAGTCCCATCCCAAGGCCCACGCTGAATGATAAACACTGGCTGCTGGAAAGGGAGAAATCGTGAAAGGCAGAATGAACTATTTCCTTCAGCCCAAGTGAAGTTCCTGGACAAGCAAAGGACACTGCTCCTTTTGAAGAAAGCCTTCTTGGTGACATTCGGAAGACCTTCCTCTGGGCAGAAGGGTCTGCTTATTGGATGTGGAAAGCTAGCTAGCCTTAAGATTTTGAGGACCTGGCAGTGCTTCCAGGTGGAAGGGAAAACCACCCAAAGAGTCCCCATAAAAGTTTCTAGGGAATGACGCCATTATAAACCTCGTCTTAAAGGCCTGGGATCTTGTGTTTAAAGGCTATAATTAGAACAAGTAGGAGGGCGCAGAGCAAGCTATTCTGGCTTCGGGCTGCCTGATGTGGCTCCCTTGAATATCAGAGGTGGTGGCTAAGCTGATGGAGCACAGGGGGAAGGGAGGAGTGAGTGGAATGCAGCTCCACCTCCCTCCTAACTGCTAAAGGAATATAGAGGTCGCAGTTGGGTCTGTCCAAGAGGGGCCCTAGAGGAATACACCCATTCCAACTTCTCCCACTGAGCAAAAGCTGTCTCGAAGGCCATCAGGACAGAAGTGCCATGTTCCTGAGTGAAGATGGAGTTAATGCCTATGAGAAAGATCAGTCATGGCTGGTGAGAGCCCAAACCTTTCCTCCAATAGACTCTCCTGGACCCCAAGACTCCCATATCAGAGCTTCACTGCTGAGTCTAGACTTTAAAAATGCTGATATGCAGATCTATAACCTAGATGAATAGGCCCAGGTTCCGTTGTTCATTCAGTAAACATTATGACCTCCAGTTCCAGGTCACACAGTATGCTAGGTGATGGTGGTACAAAGCTGAAAAAACATGGACACTTCTCTCAAGTGTCAGCATATAATTTTCAAAAAGTTAGAAACATAAATTTTCTTACCAATATAGGGTGAATGTGTGCCAAAGATTTTACTCAACTTTTGAATTAAATAATGAGAGACCAGTAATATGGTAAAATTGGTTCCAAGAGCACTTCATGACTTAGAATGATATAGTCCATCAGGAAAAAGTATGAAAGAGAGAGAGAGGAGGAGGGAAGGAAGGAAGGAAAGAAAGAAAGAAGGAAGATTGTTAGGCTAGATCAAAACTGGTTAATGTCCTACAGGGCAATAACAGCATAATATTTGAGGTTATCTTTTTTTTTTTTTTTTTTTGCCAGACAGAAATCTGCAGCTAAACATGTCATTTCCCAGTGCCTAGGTGCTAACCAAATAGCATATACCATAGTCAAGCACAAGTACATTCTCTCTGAGAATTAAAAACGGTTTGTTAAACAATGCCCTGGTAAAACATTGAAGGACCTACTGTACTTCCTGTCTAGTTACAAGATTTCAAAACTTTTTTCTTGACACAAGAAATGTAGAATAACATGACAATCAACCCTCCAGATGAGACTAGGATTCAGGTCAATGGATAGAGACAGAGGAGAAAATATGGGCCTTGGAGCCGGGAAACCTGGGTATGAGTCCTGTCGCCCAGGTGTTGTGTGGCTTTGGGCAACTCATATTACCTCCTAAGCCATAGGTTCTTTCTCTGCTCATTGAGAATGTTGAACTGCATAGGCTCTGGTCCCCGCTTTGGCCCTAATATTTTCTGAATTACAATGGATTATGAAACAAGGCCATCAGGCAAGTCCTTCTGTCTGTAGTGGCAGAGCAGAGGAAAAGTGCCATGGTAGGTCTTCAGATAACTGAAGAAGAGAGGGAAGGGGAGGAAGAGGGTGCATAAGAGCATCAAATGCAAAGACAGCGTACCAAAGACAGACAAAAGGATTTCCATCCAAGCTCTACCCTTCTCCCAGCCTCTTCTCCCAATCAGTAGTCTGGGATGTTGCAAAGAGTCAGGACAGGCTAGGTCATGCTGCAGTAACAAATTGATACTGAAATCTCAACTGCTGAACACAACCAAAGTTTATTTCTTCCTTGTAGAATTCTAGTGGGCAGCTGTCCCATGTGATGACTAAGAAATTCATACTTTTTCTACCCTATATATCTACTATCTTTGTGTGTAGCTTCCTGAGTCACTGTAGCAGAGCAAGAGAGAGCATAGAGCACCCACACCTGCTTTTAACTACATGTAACTTGTACTCTTGGGGCATTGGCTAAAACTAGTCACATGGTTCCAACTAAATCAAGGGGGCTGAGAAGTAAATCTTCCATGGATCTAGGAAGAAGAGAAGAACCAGATATTTGAGCCCTGATCTGGAAAGAATCTAGCTCCTATAAAGGCTGAGGATCTTTTGAGAACTCCAAGACACCATCATCCAGTCTCTGACTCTGGAACATCTGCTGGAATAAGGAAAAGTTCAGCCAGACACCTCGATACTCTGTGCAGCCAATCTGCAACCAGAGGCCTCCAAGCCTGGGGCCATGTCTACACAGTTCATGGAGAGGAGGCCTGGTTCATCTGAGTTATTACACCGTGTAGACAGCCACTTTGAGTCCTCAGGAAGCCAAAGCAGGGCTCTTAATTTCCCAGTGATCTGTGGCCTGAGGTTTCTGCATAGATCATTGCCAAAGTCCACTTTCTCGTGTTATAGAAGAAAGAATGTTCTTCTCAAAAGGAAAATCGTTTTTATTTGCTCCTGTGTATCATCCTCTGATTGTCCCTTGTTTATAACCTTGATTGTTTCAGAATCTAGATTCTTGTCTCTAGCAAGATTACAACTTCCTTGAGTAGGAACAATGTTGTTAGTTTTTCTAACAACAACAAATGCTGAGGATGGTGCTATTCATTGACTCATGCATGTATGATCAGAGCACCACAGGGCTGATGTCTGGATATGGATTAGTGACCAGGATTATTATGTATCACGGGTGCTAGTCAAGGATGCTGGTCAGAGATGTAAGGAAGGGGCTTTCCTAAACAGGCTAGACACATGAGAGTCTCTGACCCTTCCCTAACCACCAGCCTTCACCATTAACTATTTCTCTTTCAGTCTCTTTCTCTTTCAACTTGTTCCACATAATATTTGAGGTTTCATACAGATACACAGAAAATTGAACAACATTAAAAAATTGACAAAACGAGAATATCAGATTATCATTCTAAAAGGAACTCCCGGTCAGCATCACAAAAATTATTAACATTGTACTTGAGGCAGAGCATCTAGGACCGTCCCTAGTTCCTGGCGCCTCTGGCGGCCTCGCCTTTGCTCAGGGCACCAAACAGAACATGTGGGAGGTGGGACCCAGTGGAAGTGGCACAGGATGCCCATGTGTACAGGGCACATGATGAAGGTGCCACAATGTTCCTGGGCATGGAAACCAAAGCCACTCTCAGGGAATAGAAGAATACGTGCCCTTCTGAATGGAAGTAGATTTAAAAGGCACCCTCCTTCTTCTAAGCTCTGTCACCATATTCAATGGCACGTCACATCATGATGGGATTTGTAGCTTGAAGCCAGTGATGCCACCAAATTGCTGTGTGACCTTAGTAAGTTATATCACCTCACTGAATCCCAGCTTTTTCATCTGTAAAATGGGGATAAGACCAGTTGTCTTGCAGGGTTTTGTAAAGAATTCCTGTCAGTCTCTGAGTGACTTGCCTGATTTTCCTCCTCAGTCTGGGAACTGCAAAATGTTATTGAACTGAACCTGGGTCGGCTCACCCAGCACAGCAAAGCCAAACGCTGACACTGAGATTTGCAGGGAGAGAAAGAAAGCATTTATTGCAGGGCACCAAGCAAGGGAAATTCAACAGCTAACACTTAAGACCTGAGCTTCTCGATGGCTTACAAAAAAGGGCTTTCAAGGGCAGGGATACATTTCAGAAAGCAGAAGTTACAGGCAAAATCATAAATCAATACATGTAAGTTATTGGTTTGGCCCAAAAAGGTGAGCTATCTTTCTTTCTTTTTCTTTCTTTCTTCCTTTCTTTCTTTCTTTCTTTCTTTCTTTCTTTCTTTCTTTCTTTCTTTCTTTTCTGAGATGGAGTCTCTCTCTGTCACCCAGGCTTGAGTGCAGTGGCACAATCTTGGCTCACTGCAACCTCTGCCTCCCAGGTTCAAGTGATTCTCCCACCTCAGCCTCCTGAGTAGCTGGAACTACAGGCCCTCACTGCCACACCTGGCTAATTTTTGTATTTTTAATAGAGACAGGGTTTCACCATGTTGGCCAGGCTGGTCTCGAACTCCTGACCTCAGGTGATCCACCCACCTCGGCCTCCCAAAGTGCTGGGATTACAGGCATAAACCAGCACATCCGGCCTGGAATATCTTCAAGTAGGGCTTATAGGTCATGAGTAAATTCAGAGATTCATTGAATTGCAGTTGGTTAAGGGAGCAAGAGTTTATCTGAAAGCTTGGGGTCAGTAGAAAGGAATGTTAAGGCTTGGCCTTAACATAGGTTAGTTAGGATAAAGAAACCCATAAATTATCACGTGCTATGCCAGAGTCAGGTCATGCAAGCAAGCTGCAATATACTGGACCAGAGTGACCAGCTTAGCAAGATTGATGGCCTGTAGGCTTGACTCTCTCTGTGTCTCTCAGGAAGAAATTTAGAACAAAAAACAGTGGTCAGAGTTCAGTCCTCAGCTCCCCCTTATCTGATGTCTGTGTGACAGCAGTTGGCAATTTTCATCTAGCGGGAGTCCTGGTTTCTAAAAGAAAACTCAAGAACATATGCTAAGGTGTTATCTTTTTGTTTCTATGGGGAAGCAAATATCTCATGACTCAGGCTTACTTGGGTGGCTATTGTTTAAGCTACTACTACTCTCTTCTTTCTTATTGTGTTGTTCATTTTCTTCTCAAGGCTAGCTAGATGCCTGGAATTTCCCTTGAAGGGATTCAATATGTTTTCTTTATTTCCGTACATGAGGGGTGGGGTGGGGAGAATGGCAGGTGCCTAAGAGGGGTCCCTGCTTCTTCTTAAAAGGATTGTAGCTATGCATTGCCCACAGGACTGGGCTGTCCCATGAGCAGAGTGAAAGTCATTTCCCCATACTGGTCAGGGAGCTTTCTAAGGGAAGTGGTGACATTTTGAGAGTTCCAAACAATAAGTAGCTACTGTTATTTTTATCATTGTTGCAATCATCTTGTTTCCATCTGAGGGAAAAGCCAGGAGGAAGCTGAATAGGGGAAGTTCTGGGGCTCTTGGAACATTTGTTGTGCATGCAACAATTCCCAACTGGTAGTGTCTGTCCCTGCCTCCCTAAGTCCCAGGACATGTCTGATGCATTCCCATGAGACTTACAGGAGATGATTAATCTGTGATTGCTGATGTAGGGCTGAGGAATTTGGGTCTTGACTCTCCCTTCTGGGAACTGAGGGAGACACTCCCTCAGAGATCTAGAAATAGTGATGACATGATTTATCATCAAAACAGGGTCACTCTTGAGAGTAAAAGAGGACACTATTAATCATCACACTGGAACAACAGGCACAATGACAGGTATAAACTGGGACTGTCCTTTCTACAAAGCATGTGAAATCTACTTCTCAGGGCCACCTCTTCAGCCGTCTCTCAGCTCCTGTTCAGTTCATCTCCCATTTTCTTCAACACAAGTTTGCTAAAGTCTGGGGAGGAGCTGAACAGTGGTCAGAGGGGCAGGACTCAATAAGGCCATCCCTAAGGCCCTTATGGGCACAATCAGGAAGCCCTCAGATCCTGCACCTGCTGGGGAAAGTGTATTCCCAGCCTTTGCAGAACCCCTAGTCTGATAGGAGAGCCACGGGCCTTAACCTTGGTGAGTGCCTAGTCCGATGGGGGCAATGCAGACCCTTCTCTTGGGGAGCTCACACAGTACTGTGAGCGTGCCTGGACATTCTCACATCCTCAATCCCTTAAGCCTTTTTTCTGGGGAATAACCACTGCCATCAGTTTCTTGTGTCTCTTGTGTGAGCAGGCAATGCAAATTAGACATTTATTTTTTTGTATCATCTGCTGCAGTGTGATCAGCTGCTGGCCCGGAGCACCTGCACTGGTATCCACTGAGATGTGACTGGTCCCACGAAGTGCTGGCAGCCTCTGTCGTTGACCTCAGAGATTGCAAAGGCTTTCAGAATCAAGATTCTGCCCTCGGTGGCCTTTTATTCTAAGTCCAAGCTTCTCCTAGTGCTTCGGTCTAGTCCCCTGGTGCATTCATAGCTCCTTGGTGCCCCAGAACTCCCAGTGCCTTTGCCACATCTTATTGAGATATGCCCTCAGGTCCACCTGCCTCTCCTATGTGGCCCCCTTTTGCTGCTTAACCAGGTGAGCCATGACATTAAGCTGAAGGCTCATCTCCCCGTAGTAGTTTCCTGGAAAAGCAGCACAAGAGCCCCTGCCTGGTCCAATTTCCCACATTCCTGTCTTGGTACACCGCAAGGGGAGTGCGCCTCTGAACACTCACTCTGCTCAACCACTCCCTCCTTCCAGCACCTCCTGGCTGGCTGCTCCTTTAGCACTAGGAAGGGCCACCCCTTAGTCGATCACTTTATGTCATTTTATTGTCAATAACTCTGTGGCCTGCCCTCCAAACTTTGGTTCTTGAAATATGAAAATCCAGCTTTGGGAGTTGTGAGATGCACCCACTTTCTACTTCTGGAAATGTTGAACTTTCAAGAGTGTGTGCTCATTCTGAACCTTACAAGGTCCAGAAATCAAAACGGAAAAAGACTTCCCTGTTCTAAGCCAATCCAACCTTCCCGCACCCTGATGTGACAGCAAGCACTTTGCACAAGCCCAAGGATTCCGGACTAGACTTGATGGCCCAGGGTCAGGGAAAGAAAATGGAAAAAAAGAGAGAGAATTAGAAAGACAGAAATTACATGGGGTGATACTTCAAAAACATTACTGGGTTATAATAAGGCTCCGTTGTATGAATGGATCATAATTTATTTAACTGGCTTCCTATTAAGAAACATTCAATGTTTTTCTAGTGTTTTCCTTACAAACTCTGCCTCCATGAACATCCTTGACCACATCTATAAGAATACCTATGAAATAAATGCTTATAAGAGGACTCACTGAACCAAAAGACAGCTATATTCACAGATATGGCCAAATTGTTCTTCAAAGGAAGAGATGATTTACATTGCCATCAATTTTGCATGAGAATGCCTATTCTCCTGATACTTTTGCCAGTAATATTTTTTCAAGCTTTTATTATTTTTTCCAATCTGACCGATTTAAAAAAAGAAACACTAACTTGCATTATCGTTTGTTTATAACCCACTTCCGATGCTTTAGACTCCCTGTTTATGTGCTTTGTCCGTTCTCCTTGTAGTATTTTCATTTGTTTGTGGACTCTTAACATATTAAGAACATCAGCCCTTTGTGAAATGTGTTTTAACCGTTTTTTTTTGTCTTACCCTCTTTTTTTTTGAGATGGAGTCTCGCTCTGTCACCCAGGCTGGAGTGCAGTGGTGTGATCTCAGCTCACTGCAACCTCCACCTCCTGGGTTCAAGCAATTTTCTGTCTCAGCCTCCCTAGTAGCTGGGATGACAGGCACCTGCCATAATACCCAGCTAATTTTTGTATTTTTAGTAGAGATGGGGTTTCACCATCTTGGCCAGGCTGGTCTTGAACTCCTGATCTCGTGATCCACCCGCCTCAGCCTCCCAAAGTGCTGGGATTACAGGCGTGAGCCACCGCACCTGGCGTCTTATCCTCTTAAATTAAAACTTTGCTTACAGTATGTTCTCCCCATACAGCTATCTCTCATGTAGTCAAACTGATAGCTTCTATGTTTTGGTGTTGCTTGGAAAATTCTTCCCCATTCCAGAATGCAAAAAATAAACTAAAACATACCACCTTTCCTTCAGGTATTTCCCACTTTTTATTTTAATGCTATATATCTGATTCATCAGCATTTACTTTTTTGGTAAGGAGTTCCTAACCAGTTGTCCCAACATAATTTATTAAATAATCTATCTTTTCTGGTATAAAGCCTACCTTATTCTACACCTTGAATTTTAATGTTTATTTTCATATTTGTGGATTCTCTCTTCTCTTCCATTGCTGTTACTTAGTGATAGGTAGATAAGAGAAAACTCAGTTACAGTACCTTTATAGTACTTTATAATATATTGTAAGATAGTTCCCCCTCCATAACTCTTCATTTTCACTTTCGAGGCTATTCTTGCCTTTTTTTTTTTTTTTTTTTTTTTTTTTTGCACATAAATTTCAGAAGAAAATTGTATCTAATTTTCTCCTCTCAAAAAAATTCTGTTAGTGTTTTTATTGAACTTGCATTCAATTTATAGATTCATTTAGGGACAATTGATGTTGTTATAACATTGAATATCATTATTGAAGACATTCATTCATGTCTCTTAAAAATATACTTCAGTAGAATTTACAAGTTGTTTTTTTTCACATGGAGTCTTAAGATTTTGTTCGTTTGTTTTTAGAGACAGAGTCTCACTCTGTCACCTAGGCTGGAGGGCAGTGGTGCAATCACAGCTCACCATAGACTCAAACTCCTGGAATCAAATGATGCCCCCACCTCAGCTTCCCAAGTAGCTGGGATTACTGGTGCAAGCCATCATGCCCAGCTAATTTTAAAAAATTATTTGTTAGAAATGGGCTCTCACTACGTTGCTCAAGCTGGCCTTGAACTACTGACCGCAAACAATCCTCCCACCTTGGCTGCCCAAAGTGCTGAGATTACAGGCATGAGCCACCATGTTGGGCTGAGTCTTAACACATTTTCGTTACATTTATTTCCAGGTATTTCATCTCTTTGCAGTCTTAATGAGGTATTTTCTTATGTGTATTATCTATCCTAATTGATAGTTGTTTCTATAAAGAAAGCTACAGTTGCATATTAATTTTGCTACCAGCCATCTTACAGGATTTTCTTTATGTTTTTATTATTATTTCAGTTGATTCTTTTGAGCTTTCCAGGTAAGTAATCACAAATCTGCAAATAATGGTAATTTCTATAAAATTGTTAATCATTTTACATATAAGATATCACTAAAATCATCCCCTTCTCTGCCCCTAAATGCACCTGAAATAGCCATTGAGATGGCTTTCTCAACATCCCTTCACTCTTCCCTCAATTGACCCTTCAGCGTCCCCACCTTGCCTGCATTGTCCATGTGCTTTGGGAAAAGCTGCTTTCCCTTGCTTCTGGCAGTGAGGCATGTGGCTCACACCTACAGTAACCATGACAATCCTTCTACCACCCCTGGCCACAGATAAACACTCAGAGTTGGACATGTGGTCCAAGTTGGAGTGTGATGGGGGCTTCTGGATACGAGTCCATCACTCTTTCTAGGCAGTGAGGAGGCATTAGCAACCTTCAACTCCCAAAAGAACCCAAATCAGGATATAGCTGGCAGCAGAAAGATTGAACAATTGGTGGCATCATTGAGCTACTGAACTAAACCAACCCTATAGGCCATCCTCACTTTGAACTTACAACTAAAGCACCAATGGCTCCCCTGTTGTGTAAGCCAATTTAAGATAGGTGTTCTGATACTTGCAACTGAACACACTGTAGTCCACACACCACTATCAAAAGTTAGTCAAGCTCAGTGACCTTAAAGATTGCCTGGGTCTTAGGTCAGAATCCCTAGAAAGGGCCTCAGACTTCTCAATTTCTCCAAATGGATCATAGACCTTAATTGAAAATCTAAAGCTATAAAACTTATAGAAGAAACCATAGGAGAAAATCTTTGTGACCTTGGGTTAGTCAAAGAATTTAAAAATAGAACACCAAAAGCACGACACATAAAAGAAAAATAAATAAATAAATTGAATTTCAAAAATAAGAACATACTCATCAAAAGCCACTCGTAAGAGAGTGAAAATACAAATCATAAACTGAAAGAAAATATTTGGACATCACATAGCTGATAAAGGACTTGTGTCTACGGTATATAAACAACTCTCAAAACTAAGTAATAAAAAAGCAAAAACTCAATGTAGAATGAGAAAAATATGTGAACACTTTGCCAAATTGCAAATACTGCAATGTCTTGATTAGCTTTAAAATGAGTCTTAAAGTCAGTAAATGTAAGTCCTCCAACTTGGTCCTTCATTTCAAGTTTATTTTGGCTACTCTAGGCCCTTGACTTTTCTATATAAATTTAAGAATTTGCTTATCAATTTTGTTTGAGATTGCAATGAATCTACAAATCAGTCTGAGGAGAAATAACATCTTAACTACCTTGAGTTTTCTGATCCATGATGATGGTATACCTCTCTGCTTACTTAGGTCTTATTTAATTTCTTTCAAAAATGTTTTACTGATTTTTATCTATAGGCTTTCTACATCTCTTCTCAGACTTATCCCTAAGTATTTCATAGTTATAATACTACTGTGCATTGTATAATTTTAAATAATTTTAGTGATTGCTTATTACTAGCATATAGAAAATTGAGTTTTCTATATTCTCTTGTATTCTGTGCCCCTGCTAAACTTACTCTTTAGTTCTAGAAACATTTGTGTAGATTCCATTGAACTTTCTATGTATATGATTATGTTGCTTGTGAATAAAGACAGAATCAGTTTTTCTTTCCAACTGAGATTCTTTTATTTATTTATTTATTTTTGCCTTATAATAGGAGAAAAGCATTCAGTCTTTCATCATTAAATATAATACTTAATTTAAGGACTTTTATAATACCTTTTATCAGGTTAAAAAATTCCTTTCTGTTACAGATTTGTTGAGGGCCTTTATCAGTAATTGATGTTGGATTATGTCGCATGTTTTTTGTTGCATCTGAGACAACCATATAGTTTTTCCTTTAAATTTTTTTCTCTTTTAACAATCTCAAGAGAATGAAAAAAACAAATCAAGGGCTAGACACGGTGGTGCATGGCTGTAATACCAGCCCTTAGGGGTGCTGAGGCTGATGGATCACTTGAGACCAAGAGTTCAAGACCAGCCTGGGCAACATGGCAAAACCCCATCTCTACTAAAAATTAGCTGGATGTGGTGATGTGCCCCTGTAATGCCAGCTACTCAGGAGGCTGAGATGGGAGAATCACAAGACTCTGTCTCACAAAAGAAAAAAAAAGCAAGCCAAGTCTGAGAGAAAAATCTTTGCAAACTGTGTATCTGATAAGGGACTTGTAGTAATAAAATACAAGTAACTATACATAAATAAATAAATATTATTAGTCATTAAGAAAATGCAAACTAAAGCTATAAAGAAATAACATTGCATACCTAACAGAATGGCTCAGATTTTTAAAAGTCACCATGAGACATGTGTTGGCAAAAATGTGTAGGAACTGGAGCTTTCATACACTACCAATTGGAATGTAAAATGGTACAATTATTTTGAAAAACAGTTTGGCAATTTTTTGAAAAGTTGACCATAAACCTACCATGTGATATTCACTCCTAGGTATTTACCCAAGAGAAAAGCAAATAAATGTTTTCATACAAAGGCTTGTACACATGTTCTTTCAAAACAGCTTTATTTGTAATAGCCAAAAACTGAAAACAACCCAAATTCCATTAACAGGTGAATAGATAAACAAATTGTGGTATATCCATACAATGAAATACTACTAAGTAATAAAAAGAAAGGGCTATTGATACAAGCAACGAGATGAATATGTCTCAAAATAATTATGCTGAGTGAAAGAAGCCTGACAAACGGACTACATTCTATATGATTACATTTATATAAACCCTAGAAAATACAAACTAATCTGTAATAATAGAAAGCAGATGAGTGGTTACTTGGGGATGGGGTCAGGATGGAGACACTACAAAGGGGCCCAAGGAAACTTTTCAGGGTAATGGGTATCTTGATTGTGGTGATTATATCACAGGTGTATACATATGTCAAAACATCTCAAACTGTATACTTTAAATATATGCAGTCTATTGTGTGTCAATCATACCTCAATGAAGTTGCTTTAAACCTTTATTTAGTATTTTTAAGGTAATATAAGCACATGATACAAAAATTCAAGCAGTATAGAAAATTATTTGACTGAAAACTTCAGGAGGGAGTTCTCCAAGAAAAGTGGAATTATTAGAGTACTGAATATATCTGATGATTTGAAAACTAATATTTGTTACTTAAACATTTTATGGGACATTTGGAAAAACTTAAGGATGAATTCACAGAAAATGAAAACAATGTGGAAAAAAGCCAAGTATTAATTTAAAAAAACAAAAATCATACCAGAAAGGAAAGACAATTATGGTAGATGACTTGGCTCAGCTGTGTGTGTGTGTATATATATATATAGTCATGACGATTTAAGCACTACCTATAAATTTACAAATCATTCGCTAAGTGTTGGGAGAGCAGGAGTGGGAGAAATAAGAGATGGCAGTAGAAGAAAGCTATGCCTCATCTTCCATAACAAGAAGTCATGCTTGTAATGGAAGATTCTGTTCTAAAACAGGTAAATCAAAAATAGCAGCATAAACCTACATAAAAGAAAGAGGTAATGAACCAAAAGAAACAGACGAGTTTGGAAATGATTGCCTCTGGGGAGGGAGAGTAAGGCAGCAGATGCCTCCCTTTCAGATATCAGTACCTTATCAATTTTTCTGTTGTAATCTACATGCATGTACAGGCTGAAAATCCCTAATCCCAAAACTCCAAACCCAAAATGCTCCAAAATCCAAAACTTTTGAAAACTGACATAACACAAGTGGAAAATTCCACACCTGACCTCATGTGTCAGGTCACAGTGAAAATGCAGGCACACAACACACAGTTTAAGTGGCATTCCCAAGGGAAGAAAGACCTCTCAGCCCCCTTCAGCTGCGATGTAACTTTTCCATGCCTGCCTAAATTCCCTGACACAAGCACATCCACAAAGGAAAATAAAATGGCACTGCAGGCCGGACGCACCAAAGCAGGTTCCCACAAAGCCCCACGCGGGGCCAAGACCTGTGTGCATTACTCTGTGTTTTTTTCATTCATCTCTGCTCTGTGGTGTAAAGATAATTGTGGTGTTGAAAACCACACAGATACCCCTATGGGTAGCTTAGCGATAAGAATAAGAGGAAGCATTTATATTTATCTGTAACACAGAAAATCAAGCTGTTGGAGAACTTGGAAGGCAGTGTAAGTGTGAAATGTCTTACAGAAGAGTATGACGTTGGAATGGCCCCCATATGTGACCCGAAGAAACAGAAGGATAAACTGCTGAAGCTCTATAGTGATCAACAGAAGTTAATGAAACATTGAAAAACACTGCATAAAGCTAAAAAGGAAGATCTTGATCATGTATTGAAAGATTAGATTCATCAGCATCACAGTGAACACGTGCCTCTGAAAGGTATGCTGATCATAAAAGAGCAAAGATCTATCACAATGAACTGCAAATTGAAGAGAGCTGTGAATATTCAACAGGCTGGTTTCAGAAATCTAAGAAAAGACATGGCATTAATTTTAAAGTTTGTGGTGACAAAGCATCTGCTGATCACAAAGCAGGAGAGAAATTCATTGATGAGTTTGCCAAGGTTAAGGTCATCCCTGATGAAACTCTGATGTCAGAAGAAATCTATTATATATTGCTGATAAAACATCAATGTGTCGGCATTACTGCCCCAGAAAGACTGACTACAGCTGATGAGACAATCCCTGTAGGAATTAAGGATGCCAAGGGCAGAACTGTGCTGGAATGTGCAAATGCAGCAGGCTTGCATAAGTGTAAAGTTGCTGTGATAGAAAAATCTTGTGTACTCACTGTTTTCAAGGGATGACTTTCTTACCATTTCATTACTATGTTAACAAAAAGGCATGGATCACTAGGGACATCTTTTCCAATTGTTTTCACAACATTTTGTACCAGCGGCTGGTGCTCACTACAGGAAAACCAGATTGGATGATGACTGCAAGATTTTGTTATACCTTGACAACTGTTCTGCTTGTCCGCTAGTTGAAATTCTCATCAAAAATAATGTTCACGTAATATACTTTCCCCCAAATGTGACTTCATTAATTCAGCCATGTGACGAGGATATCCTTGGGAAAATAAAGAGTAAATATAAAAACACATTCTTGAACAGCATCCCAGCAGCAGCGAACCGAAGTGTGGGTGTGGAAGGTTTTCAAAAGAAGTTTAGCATGAAAGACGCCATATATGCTGTTGCCAATGCTTAGAACACAGTGACTGAAGACACAGCTGTGCCTACCTGGCACAGCCTCTGGCCTGTGACTGTGTTCAGGGATGATGACGAACAAGGCAGTGACTTTGAAGGAGTCTGTAAGTCAAGTGAGAATGAAATGATGTTTGATCTCGTATATGCAGATATATACCTTCAGAGTCTGTCAGTAAGCTGGAAGAAGTGGATATCAAAGAAGTGTTTGACATCAACAAGGAGTCTCCAGTTGTTCATTCACTGACCTATGGTGAAATGCCAAAATGGTTCTGAATCAAGGGGATCGTGATGATATTGACGATGAAGATGATGTTAATACTGCAGAAAAAGTGCCTATAGATGATGTGGTGAAAATATGTGATGGGCTTACTGAAAGGCTAGGGCAGTGTAACAGAACAAAAATCATGTCTGTGGCAGAGCAGGAGCATCACCATCTTGGACAAGCACTTCCATTTTAAAGTTCACCTTGATCAAAAACTGCCTAAATCCAAAGGGCATCAGCCTGATGGCTAAGGTCAGCATGATCATAAACCACAAATGACATCTCCAAACAGAAACATTCCAAAACCATAAAGTAAACCCCTTCCCAACCACAGACATGCCAGCCCCAAGATAACCTCACCTCTGGCCAGAGAGATGTCAGCCCAAGATAACCTCCCCTCTGACCAGAGACATTCCAACCCTGCCATAAACTTCTCCCCCACATGGAAACATTCCAAGCCTGTAATAAGCTCTCTCACCCTAAATCCAATAAATACTATTAGTCTGTAAGAGAGAGTGCTCCTGACCGAAATCAGCCAGAAGCCCCTCACAGGTTTACTCTCCAAAATAAGCCTATCTTTGACTGTTGAGCCACTTTTCATGTTTCTTTCCTCTTTAACTCTTACAGTCTGTTTATAAAATCGAAGACAGACTTCTAAGACAAAAACCGTTGCTAATGAGGCAGATGACTCTGGAGGAAACATTTTAAAAAGCCATCTAGCACAATGCCTCTTCATCCCTCAAGGACCCACTTCCTGGCCTCTCAACTGTTTCTAATATTTTCCTCACCTAAAGAGTAAAATACACTGTACAGTAATCTTTCAATTGAAGCACAGCATTGTAAATGGAGACTGAAAACCTGCCATTGTTTGTTGTGGCTGTTGTTTTGCAGCTGATCCAGGTATCTGGTGATGCTATTGTGCTGCCTAGTTACCATGAACACATTATTTTTTCACTCTATTAATGATGTAAGATTTTTTTACTCTTAAATACTTATGTGTGAGTAGTGTTGGAAAAGGATTGCTTATCCACAGCATACAAATTCAGTCAGGATGATGGTGATGCCAAACAACCACAGGTTGTCCACGTGGGTGGCTGAGATAGTGGCAGCTGTGCTTTCTGATGTGCACGAACTTCGTTTCATGAACAAAATTATTAAAACGATTGTATACAATTATCTTAATGCTATGTGTATACAGAGTATACAAAATATAAATGAATTTCGTGTTTAGACTTGGGTCCCCTCCCCAAGATATCTCATTACCTATATGCAAATATTCCAAAATCCAAAACTATCTGAAACTATCTGAAATCTGAGACACTTTTGGTCTCAACCATTTCAGGCAAGGGATACCCAACTTGTATTATGCTATTCTAGGAAGCAGTATTGTGCAGTGGTTATGAGCCTGAGTGCCTGAGCTCAAATCCCTACTCTGTTCCTTAAAGCTGTAAGACCGTGGACAAGTTACCTAACTTCTCTGCACCCAGATTTCCTCATCTGCAAGATGGAGATAACAATGGCACCAATTTTGTAGTGTTATCATGAGGATTAAATACTTTTTTAAAATTATCTTTTTAGAGACAGGGTCTCACTCTGTTGCCCAGACTGGAGTGCAGTGGCATGATAATAGCTCACTGTAGTCTTGAGACTCCTGGGCTTGAGAAATCCTCCTGCCTCAGCCTCCTGAGTAGCTGGGATTACAGGTGGGCACCACTGTGCCCCGATAGTTTTTTGAAAAGAGTTTTGTAGAGACAGCCTCTCACTTTGTTGTCCAGGTTGGTCTCAAACTCCTGGCTTCAAGTGATCCTCCCTCCTTGACTTCCCAAAATGCTGGGATAACAGGCATGAGCCACCATACCTGGCCTAAATACATTAAAATTCATAAAAAGCTCAGGACAGGGCAAAGGTGATATAAATATAATATAAGAATTACAATTCTTATAATAAAGTGATAATAAAATTGATCTAAGAAAAGACATTCTTCCCACCTTTATCTCAAAGGCAGCTACTGCTGAAATTCTGGTGTACTATTCTATTTTTTAAAAAAATTATAAATAACCCATCATATAGGTGTACATACGTATATACTTTTTAACTTGCATCACCAGAATCATATTACCTATTTGTTCCACTCCTCTGTTTTCTCCATAATAACAACTCTTGAAATTCTTTCCAAACTTACTTAATCAGATCTACCATATTCTTGTTAATGTCTTCATAACATTCCAGAATGTATTGATTGTGTTCCCTACTGAAGATCATTCAAGTTAATTCCAGGTTTTTGCTATGGCAAATAATACTGCAATGTATTCTGATCACAGTGAATTCTGTGAGTATCTCCTTAGGGCAATTCAGGCTGGGGAAGTGCTGAGTGCACAGCCTCTTGCAGAAGAAGAACAAGGACCTCAAGCCAGGGAAACAATGTATATATTTAAAAAAAGAACACGTCAAAGATATGTGCTGCGTAATTCACAAGTTTCCTATGGGCTCATCAGCTCCTTAGCACTTTGTGTTTGTTACAGTTGGTGGCATCAGTTATATTGCTTCAGAGAAAACTCCTCCCGTATACACACCACTTAAAAACGTTTGGCACCTCTTCAGTGCCCGGGTAACTCCAGCATTCAGTATGATACAGTGAACACATTGGACTCTGCAGCCAGTTGGGGCTGGTTGTGTGACCTTGGACAGGTGGCTTTTAATGGCTCCTGTGTCTCAGTTTCTGCATTTGTAGAAAGGATGAAAAAAATGATATTTACATTAAAGAGGATTGTTGTGGAGAAAGAACCTCTTTAAATGCCTAACTAAGCCTGGCCTGGAGTAGGCACTAAAATGTTAACTGTTCACCTCTCCTTCCTGGGGAAGTGATTCTATCCCATTTGCCATTTTGGAAGTGAGTCTATAGAAATACAGTCACTTCAGCTCCCTCCACCCAGCTCTTAAAAACTGCATCAGGACTTTGCTTCTGTTCTTATTTGTAACCAGTTTGCACAATCACCATTAGTTAACTTCTTTCTGTAATCAGAAATGACACAGGAAGAGAGATAATAATAGACTGGGAATTTTGTAGACTAATAATATCACTCTTTGCGTTTATGTTTTAGATCACTTTACTGCAGTCAGCTCTTAGAATTGTAAACCCCCAGATGTAAGCCTCATCTAGAAGAAAGGACAAAGAATCAGTCCAAAGGATGGAAAGAATCAAGCTGTGTTGCTTATTGCACATCTTTCAATCAAAAATGGTTAAAATGTGGAGAGAGGCAGAGTTTGCCTTTGAATGGCTAGAAATGCCCTTAGGTGTACACAATTTCCCAGCAGGGGCAGGGAAGTGAGGAGGTACAGCCTCCACCAAAGCCCTTAGCCCTCAGGGTCTCTTCTCTGCCAAAATTTAACCAATTTATAGTCTAAGTTCCCTATTAAAATGTGCAGTTCTTGGGAAGATGAATACCCAGGGTTAGTAGCAGCTGCTGGCAGCTGGGGGCTGAGGTTAAGAACCTTGAAGAATGAATCTCAGGTGCTCTTGGCCATAAACTTCCTCAGAGCATTCACAGCATAACTTTTTGTGCTGGACAAAAACAAATCACAGGTTCCACAGAGCCTTTCTGGATCGCTATTCTTTGAGATCTCATCTAACAGAGTCAACAAGAGAATAAAAGGGCCTTTGGCCTGCCCTTTCCTCCTCTTTCCTTCCACTTATTTCTAGGGGACATACACAAACCCTGGTGCAGCTGGAATGCTGCCTGGGAGCTGCTCCTTGGCACCTGGCTATTTCCCAATCATGCCTTGACTTCAGTCTTGGTTGAAATGGAGTTGAGGAGATGGTAATGTGTAGTTCCTGCTCTTGAGGAGCTCACAGTTTAGGAAGGAGACTAATAAACACAAGCACTGCGGAGTTACTGTGCTATGCATGAATCTCCATGCAGAATATACCTTGAAAAGGCAGGTAGGGAGGGTGGGGGTCAGCTCCACTTGGCAGTAGGTTTTATGGAGAAAGATACCTTTAGACTGAGTGACAGGCATTCACCAGATGAGATGCAGGAATGGGAAAGTGTCTTCAAGCTGAAGGAGCAGCCATGGTAACCTGTAGTAATTTCAGGATGACAGGAGAAATATGGGTTGGGTGGGGAAGAGGGTGGTGCTGACAAGCACAAAGGCCGTTATTTGCCAAGCTAAGGAATTTGGACCTTTTTATTCTCCAAAACTCTAATCACCTGGGCCTCCTGAGGGCCTGAATTGCTGATCACATCTCTTTGCTCTCTGTGTCAGTCTGCAGTATACTCTAAGCAACAGAAATGGATAACTGGCTGATTTAAGCTGAGAAGGAAATTCCTGGAAGACTGTTGGGATCTCATAGATTTACTGGTAAGACCACCAAATGAGGCTCCGGACAAGGTCAGGGACAAGGATAACAGTTCACAGCCGAAATCATGCCACAGAACCCATCCAGTGAGGACCCATCTGCTGCTGTGGCTACCTCTGCTGCCTATGCAGGAGGAGTGGGTAGGACCTGAGGCATTTTCTAGTTGCTGCCCCTTCCCTGGTGTGCAGCAATCCGTCTTCTTTAAAGGAATGTGGTGGCATGTCTGGTTGGCCACATGCCCATGCCTGTCTGCAAGTGAGGCTGAAAACTCAAGAAATTCAACCCTTCGGCCTCTTTAGTAGAATAGCATTTCTGCTTCCCATTAACTCTCCAAAGGCAGGGAAGACTCCAAACATTGAAACGGTGCTCAAAAACAGGTTAGTCATAAAGAAACAAGCATAAAACTGCCTTATCCAGGGCCTTTGGCACATTCTTGACTTGACACCAAGTCATGAGCTGCCTCTGAGTCCTTTCTTTTTTTTTATTTTATTATTATACTTCAAGTTTTAGGGTACATGTGCACAACGTGCAGGTTTGTTACATATGTATACATGTGCCATGTTGGTGTGCTGCACCCATTAACTCGTCATTTAGCATTAGGTATATCTCCTAATGCTATCCCTCCCCCCTCTCCCCACCCCACAACAGTCCCTGGTGTGTGATGTTCCCCTTCCTGTGTCCATGTGTTCTCATCGTTCAGTTCCCACCTATGAGTGAGAACATGCGCTGTTTGGTTTTTTGTCCTTGCGATAGTTTGCTTAGAATGATGGTTTCCAGCTTCATCCATGTCCCTAAAAAGGACATGAACTCATCCTTTTTTATGGCTGCATAGTATTCCATGGTGTGTATGTGACACATTTTCTTAATCCAGTCTATCATTGTTGGACATTTGGCTTGGTTCCAAGTCTTTGCTATTGTGAATAGTGCCGCGATAAACATACGTGTGCATGTGTCTTTATAGCAGCATGATTTATAATCCTTTGGGTGTATACCCAGTAATGGGATGGCTGGATCAAATGGTATTTCTAGTTCTAGATCCCTGAGGAATCGCCACACTGACTTCCACAGTGGTTGAACTAGTTTACAGTCCCACCAACAGTGTAAAAGTGTTCCTATTTCTCCACATCCTCTCCAGCACCTGTTGTTTCCTGACTTTTTAATGATCGCCGTTCTAACTGGTGTGAGATGGTATCTCATTGTCTGAGTCCTTTCTTAAGGGATCTTTGAGAGGGAGACCCTCTACTCATCACCATGAATGGCCCAAGCAATTCATGAGGGATCTCCTCCCATGAACCAAACACCTCCCACCAGACCCCATCTCCAGCACTGGGAACTACAATTCAACATGCGATATCCAAATGTATCAGAGACAATGTGACACCAGAAATACATTTGGACCTGCATAGCCAGCTGTCCACCATGATGCAGCAATCATCAATCATCTAGCTACTCATCTGTCAGTTACACCAACCTGCTACTCACCACTCTCCTTCCTCTCAAAGCCCTCTAGGTGCTCTCTGGATCTCCATGAGATTGTAAATGGATCATTCTTCACCCTACATTTCCAATTCACATAACCATTTACCCCTCCTCACATCAGAGCCTCACTGCTAGCAGTGTTCAGAAATGAAAGTCAGAAACAGAAGAGAAACCTAAGCAATTCTTCCTGACCAAGGTCCTCTTTCACAAGGACGTACTTCCATCTTTTAGGTTCAGATTACTCCATTTATCCTTGGGGTTCCCAGGGGGTCATATGACACTGAACAGCTAGTGAATGAACCCTGATTCTCCCCAAAGACAGTGTCCCTCTGAACCCAGACTTCTTGGAGACAGTGGGCAGGAACAGGTTTGAGGATGGAGAAAAGGCAAAATACACACCCATCCTCCAGATTTACTGGGTGTAAAGTTCTGCTATTTAGCAAGGAATGGTACTAGGCCATTTTGGCCAATCTGACTTACATTTTGTTTGTGTGTGATAAAATATACCAAACATAGTATTTATCATTTTAACCATTTATAAGTGTACATATGTTTTGGCTCTTTCTTGTTCCTTCTCTGGCCTTGTGATGTGCCTCCTCCCCCTTTGCCTTCTACCATGAGTAAAATCTCCCTGTGGCCTCCCCAGAAACTGAACAGGCACTGGCATCATGCTTGCACAGCCTGCTGAAACTGGAAGATATGAAATTAGCCGGGAATGACACATTTGTTCCTGTGCAAAGAATAGGTTCTGGACCTGAAGAGAAAGACAGTGTGCCCGATTTCATAATAATTAGGTGGAGATACAAGATTAATGTTGAATACAATAGTGGACAGCAAAGAAAAAGTTTCAGCATGCAGGGATTTTATATTAAGGGGAGAAGAGATATATAAAGAAATAAACAGAGCAAATTTGGACACAGAGACAGACATGCACAAAGGGAAGTGTGAAGACATGCTGGGAGAAGGTGACCATGTGACTGGAGTGTGCATCTACAAGCCAAGGACTGCCAGTCAATCACCAGAAGCTAGAAAACTCAAGGAAAGATTCTCTTTTAAAGCCTTCAAAGAGAGCATGACCCTGCCAATACCTTGATTTTTGACTTATAGTCTCCAGAGCTGTGAAAGAATAAATTTGTGTTGTTTTAAGCAAACAACAACAACAAAACAAACAAACAAAAAAAAACAAGTGTAAGTTTTGGTATGCTGTGTTTTCATTTTCATTCATCTTTAAATATTTTCTAATTTCCCTTGTGACGTTTTTCTTTGACCCACTGGCTGTTTAAGCGTGTGCTGTTTATTTTCACATGCTCGTGAATTTTCCAATTTTTCTTCTGCTATCGATTTCTGACTTCATCTTGCTATGGTTGGAGAAGATACTTTGTATGATACCAATCTTTTAAAATCTGTTGAGACTTGTTTTGTGGCCTAACAGGGTGTATCCTGGAGAAGGTTACTTGTGCCCTTGAGAAGAATGTGTATTGTATTGTTGAATGTAGTTTCTGTACATGTCTGTTGGGTCTAGTTGGCTTATTGTGTCTTTCAAGTCCCCTGTTTCCTTACTTATCTTCCGTCTGACTAATCTATCCATTATTGAAAATGTGGTATCGAAGTATCAATTTCCCCCTTCAATTCTATCAGTTTTGGCTTCGTATATTTCAAGAGTCCTTTATTAGGTTGATTTGTGTTGCTATAACAAAATACCTGAGACTGGTGATTTATAAACAGTAGAAATTAATTTTTTCACAGTTCTGGAGCCTGAGAAGCCCAAGATCAAGGTGCCAGCAAGTTTGGTTTTGTGGTGAGGGCTGCTCTTTGCTTCCAAGATGGCATCTTGTTGCTGTATCCTCCTGAGGGGCGAAATGCTGTGTGCTCACATGGCAGATGGTGGAAGGGCAAGAAAGTGGTACACTGCATGAAGAGAACATTTTTTATGGACTTTAATCACATTTGCAAGCGGAGGAGCCCTTATGACCTAATCACATTCCCCATTAATTTCAACACCTGAATTTTGGAGGGGATATATTCAAACCATACCAGTCTGTAAATCTTTATAATGGTTATATCTTCTTTCTGTATTGAGTCTTTTATTAATATATAATGTTCTTTTCTGTCTCTTGTGACCTTTTAGGGTTAAAGTCTATATTTTTCTAATATTAGTATAGCCACATCACCTCTCTTTTTGGTTACTATTTACATGGAATAATTTTTTCTATCCTTTCACTTTCAACCTACTTGTGTCTTTGAATCTAAAGTGAGTCTCATAGTTGGATCATGGTAGGTTTTTTAAAAATCCATTTTTCTCTCTTTTGATTGGAGGATTTAATTCATTTATATTTAAAGTAATTACTGATAAGAAGGGACTTACTTCTGCCATTTTGCTATTTGTTTTCCATATGACCTCTAGTTTTACATTCCTCATTTCCTCCATTACTGCCTTCTTTGTGTTTAGTTGATTTTTTTTGTAGTGAAACTTTTTGATTCCTGTGATGATTAGTTTTGAATGTCGACTTGACTGAATTAAGGAATACCTAGCAAACTAGCAAAGTATACTTTTTGATGTGTCTATAAAGCCATTTCCAGAGGATATTTGTGTGCAAGTTGGTGGAATGAGTGAAAAAGGTCCTCCCCAATGTGGGCAGGCACCATTCAAATGGCTTGGGGCCCAGATGAAACAAAAAGGCAGAAGAAGGGAGCATTCTAGCTCTCTGTCTTCTGGGCTATAATGCTCCTCTTTTCCTGCCTCTGGACATCAGAACTCTAGGCTTTCTGGCCTTAGGACCCCAGGACTTACACCAGCAGCCCTTTGAGTTCTCAGGGCTTTGCCCTAAGACCAAGAGTTACATCATCAGCCTTCCTGGTTCTGAGGCTTTCAGACTTGGACTGGGCCAATCTCTGGAATATCAAGGGAGCATATGGGACTTCCTCAGCCTCCATAATTGTATGAGCAAATTCCCCTAATAAATCTCCTCTCTTGTATATCTCCTGTTGGTTATGCCTCTCTGGAGAAACATGATGAATATGATTCCCTTGTCATTTTCTTTGGAAGGGACACATTCAAACCATAGCAGTCTGTAAATCTTTATAATTGTTATATCTTCTTGCTGTATTGAACCTCTTACTAATATATAATGCTCTCTGCCTCTTATAACCTTTTTGGGTTTAAAGTCTATTTTTACTTTAAAATGCATATTCTTTTTAATGAATTCAATCATTATTTTCTATTGTGTGAATTCAATAGATATTTTCTTTGTTCTCACTTCAGGGATTACATTGAATACACTAAAGTTGTAAAGTCTAATTTGAATTTATACCAACTTAAGTTCAGTAACATATAAAAACTTTGCTTTTATAGTGCCCAGTATTCTCTTTCTGTTATTAATGTCACAGATTAAGTCTTTATAAATTGTGTGCCCAATAATGTAGATTAATAATTCATTTTTATGCATTTGTCTTTCAATCACAGAGAAAATTTAAAATGTAGTTATGGACCAAAATTACAGTAATACTAACTTTTATAATAGTCTCTGTATTTACCTTTACTGGAGATCCTTATTTCTTCATGTGGCTTCTAGTTACTGTCTAGTTTTCTTTCATTTCACCCTGAAGGTACTCACTTAAGGATTTCTTGCAGGGAAGGTCTAGTGGTAACAAACTCATCTTTTGTTTATCTGAGAATATTGTAATTTCGCACTTATTTTTAAGAACAGTTTTGCTGAATATTGAATTCTTAGTTGACAGGTTTTTTTTCTTTAAGCACTTCGAATATATCAACTCACTGACTTCTGGCCTTCTAGATTGCTGATGAGAAATCAGCTGAAAACTTTTTTTTAGAGATGGGTTTTGTTATGTTGCCTAGGCTGTACTTGAACTCCTGGGCTCAAGTCATTTTCCTGCTTCAGCCTCTTGAATAGCTGGGACTACAGGTGCACACCACCATGCCTGGCTTGCTGAAATCTCATTGAGAGCCCTTCTATGTAATTAGTCACTTCTCTCTTGCTGCTTTTAAGATTCTCTCCTTGTCTTTTGATTATAATGTGCATCACTGTGCATCTCTTTGAGTCTACCCTACTTCTTAGTTTATCAAGCTTCTTGGATTTGTAAATTGATGTCTTTCATCAAATTTGGAGCATTATCAGGCATTAATTCTTCAAATATTATTTCTGCCCTTTCCTCTCTTTTCTCCTTCTGAGATTACCACAATATGTAAGTTGTTCTGTTTGATGATGCCCCACGGGATCTGTGGGGCTATGTTCACTTTTCCTTGTTTTTTTTCTTTCTGTTCATCACTCAGTAATCTCAATGGTTGTATCTTCAAGTTTGCTGGTTCTTTCTTCAGCTTGATCAAACCTGCTTTTGAACCCCTCTAATGTATTTTTTTTTCATTTCAGTGATTATATTTTTCAGCTCCAGAATTTCTTTTTGGCCCTCTTTTATACTTTCTACCTCTTCATTGATATTCTCATTTTATCTATGCATTGTTTTCCTGTCTTTGTTCATGTCTTCCTTCAGTTTTTTGAGCATCTTTAAGACAGTCATTTTAAAGTCTTTATCTAGGAAGTCCAATATTTGGGCTCCTTCAAATATGTTTTCCATTTATTTATTTTGCTCCTTTGAATGAGTCATACTTTCTATGTCTTGTTATTTTGTTGTTGTTGAGAGATGAACATTTGAATCTTATAACATGGTAACTCTGGAAATTGGGTTTTCTCCCTTCCTCAAAGTTTGTGTTGCTTTTGTTTTTTTGCATTTTGGTGGGATGTTTCTGTCTTGAGAATCAGTTTAAATAAAAACTTAAGGTCTTTTAGGTTTTATCTGATTCTACCTGTTTCCCTGGGAATGCACAATGGCTTTATAAATTTCTTCACATGCATGTTTTTGGTGTCCAAAACAACAGGTACTGCTTTTTTAAGTATCCTGGAATCTGTTCAATTTTTGGTGTCCAAAACAACAGGCACTGTTTTTTTAAGTCTCCTGGAAGCTGTTCAGTTAATGGGGTTTAAAACAATGACAAACAGCCCCCATGCCTGCCCCATCAGTGATCAGAAACAGCAATCCATAGTCAGAACACAGAACCCTAATATTTGGAGGACAAGGTCCTTATTGCCCACTCTAGCTCCAGTGAGCCATACAAGAAACATTGGTTGCTGTCCCTACAGCTGCCTGCTGCCAGCTGGGGATTTGAGATGGGTAGTCATAACTGTACTGATGGCTGAAATAAATAAAAAGTAGATAAAATTTGCCAGCCAAACTGTTCCCTGGAAGATGCAAACATTAAAATAAACTCCAGAGTTCCAAAATAGTCACTTCAGACTGTTTCTAACAGTATAATTGTTGTCTAGGTAGAGAGACAGATTCTTGCTGCTTCTTACTCCACCATTTTCCCTGTCATCACTCCTGACATATATTAAAAGGATCCCTCTGGCTGCTATATTGGATATGGACTGTATAGTAGCAAGGACAGAAGTATGTGTACCAATTAGAAAGTTACTGAATTAATCCAGGTGGGAGATCATGGTTACTTGTACCAGAGTGGTATCAGGGAGCTGGTGAGAAATTTCAAATTGTGAATATATTTGGAAGGTAAAGCCAATGGATTTCCTAACACATTGAATGTTGGGATAAAGAGAGTGAGAGAGATAAAGGAGATCAAGGTTGACATCAAAGTTTCTGACTAAAACAACTGGAGGGATGAAATTCCCATTAAGATTGAGGAAAAATCAGGAGTTTTGTTTTGGTATATAGTTTGAAATGCCTATGCAACATATATGTAAAAATTGAAATCTGAAGTTCAAGAGAGAAGTTTAATCCAGAAGTAGAAATTTGAAAATCATGGAATTTAAAACCATGAGACTAGATAACATCACCAAGAAAGTATGTATGAATGGAAAAGATGACAAAGGCTAGAACCCTGGGGCACTGCAACATTAAGAGGTAAGTAAAAGAGAAGGGATGAGCAGAATGAACCAAGAGTGACCAGTAAGATAGGAACACTATCAAGAAACTGTTATGTCTTTTTTTTTTTTTTTTTTCTGAGACAGAGTTTCACTCTTGTTGCCCAGGCTGCAGTGCAATGGCACGATCTTGGCTCACTGCAACCTCCGCCTCTGGGGTTCAAGTGATTCTCCTGACTCAGCCTCCTGTGTAGCTGGGATTACAGGCATGCATCACCACTCCTGGCTGATTTTGTATTTTTAGTAGAGATGGGGTTTCTCTATGTTGGTCAGGCTGGTCTCGAACACCCAACCTCAGGTGATCTGCCAACCTCGGCCTCCCAAAGTGCTGGCATTACAGGCGTGAGCCACTGTGCCCAGCCGAGAAACTGTTATGTCTTAAAGGAAAATGTAGAGATTACTTCCTGGAGGAGAGAGTGAGCAACCCTAAGAAATGCTTCTGACAAGTAAAATGAAAACTTGACTTTGACCATAGGATGTCACCATGCAGAGTTCATTGGTCATATTAACATGAGTAGTTTGGTTGAGTGACGGAAATGAAAACTCCACTGGAGTTGATCTAAAAGAGCATGGGAGGGGAGAAATTGAAGACAGTGGGTATAGACGATTCTTTTGAGAAAGTTTACTTGAATAGAGAGCAATAAATTAGGTAGTAAGTTGTAGGAAAGTGTGTCAAGAGTAGGAGTTTTAGAATGTGAGAAATAGTATCAATGTTCAGCAGTTGGAAATACTTCAGTAGAGACTAGAATCAATATTGTAGAGGAGATTGAAGGAAGAATTGCTACTGAGAAAAAGTTCATGAATAGAAGAGAGGGGATGGAAGTAGTGCACAGGTTGAAGTACTGGCTCCTGATAGGAACTTAGAAAGTTCATCCGTGTCAAAGAGAGGCAGGCAGAAGCCTTAGTGCAGATACTGGTGATGGTGGAGGTGCAGAGAATTTTCTTTCTGGTTGTTTGGATTTCCTCAGTGAAAGTGAGGTGAGAGCAAAGACAAGATTAAAGAGAAGACAGGTATGAAAGATTTACTTGGGAGAGTGAGTTGAATAAAGACTACTGTGCTATTGCCAGACAGGATTAGGGTTTATTTGCAGTTCACGTCACAAAATTAAAGTAAGACCATCAACATGGCCACATTGTTTTCTCCAGTTACACTCAGCTGCACTGAGAGTTGGATCTAACCAGGGTTGTGGGTTTTGTCAAATGAGGACAATGAAGCAAAAAAGGGATAAGGGAGTTAAGGATGTGTGCAAGGGGGTGAGTAACCATAAATTTAAGCTGGTTAAGTAGGGAAGAGAGGACATGAAGTAGATGATGGGCAGTGGCAGAGTAGCAGAATAATAGATAAGAGGTCCTAGAGTCAAAAGATTGTTGGAGTTAGTGCTAAAGAAATGAGCTGGAAAGATAGGAGGCATGGCCAGAAAGAGGAATGAATAAACAATTAGGAAGGAGTTACAGCTACTAAAAATGACAAGATAGGGCACAACCCGTGAGTACATGACTAAGGGAGGGTGAATTGCAAGCTCATTGGTAAGGGCAAGGTTCTGTTTTCTTTTCTTACTAGCACAGAGCTTGGAACATAGTAGGCACTCATTATATATCCGTTGAATGAATGAATAAGGAATGACTACCACCTCCCCAGCAGCTCTAATTGAATTCCTGGCTTCTCTATTCCACCCATTTGCTCTCAGTCCAGGATTGGAGAGGCAAAATGGTTTCAGGTCAATGCAAATTACCACGGGTGATCCTTGGTACAACTGTGAAACCTGTAAAGTTTTATTAGTGGCTCTTGCTTTTCTTTCCATGCATTTATAGCACTCTCCTGTGCAGAGCTTCTAGGGCCTGGGTGCTCCCACTCTCTCCTGTGCCCCTATTTCCTCCAATCCCCCAAACCTGCTCTGGAAAAGAATAATATTGCTCATTTACACTTCAGTGTATGTCTCTGTTTCCTCTCCTAGAGGGGATGTATGTTTACATCTCATTTCTGATTAAGGGAATATAAGGTTTGGTCCCCCGTGAAAACATTGCAGGTGTCAGGAAGGCAGGGCATGGTGTCTGGGGTCAGGAGAACTTGTGTTCCTGAAATCAGACCAAGAAAGCTGCTGCTTTTCCAGCCTCTGCCCTTTATGGTTCCTGAATTGGGAGTGCTGAGTCAGTGGAAGAGTCTCATAGGAGACCAGTTTGCTTCTCTTTTCTTTCCTCTGTACTCACGGCGGAGTTTGCAGTCCGGATTCTGCAATCCCAGTGTTCCCAGAACCAAGCTGGGTCTGGCTACGTTTTCTCAAGGCCCAATAATGAGAAGCAGACAAACTGGGAAAGAAGGGAATTTATTGCTGTAACCGGATTCAGGGAGAAGGCCAGAGATAATTCCACCAGACAAACCCAGAGTGTTACCATTTTCTTAGTGCTCATATAGTTGGTGTTATGTGCCTACATGCAGTATCGCATTCACTT
Source organism: Homo sapiens (assembly GCF_000001405.40). Taxonomy (NCBI): domain Eukaryota; kingdom Metazoa; phylum Chordata; class Mammalia; order Primates; family Hominidae; genus Homo; species Homo sapiens. The sequence continues at coordinate 118,937,440 of NC_000002.12, forward strand.
AAGTCTATTGGTAACTAATTTTGTTTCAGCTATAAGGTCAGAGGCAAAAAATGCTTGCTAAGTCCAACGAAAAGGGCCCCAGTACCTTCAAGGCCTGTCTACTGTGGTACCGGAGTGATTATTTCTATGTTATCTCCTTTACAGCTTGGTCCAGAGAGCTACCTTAGGCTCTCCAATGAATCTATTCAAACACTGCCTCTGTTACCTTTACTCATCTAAAATTTTGTCAACCTGAGACGAAGTGCTGGCACTAGGAATGTAAGACTGTCTCTATTATTTTGTTTGCTCTAGGTTAGGGAGAAGACTATGCAAGGCTCCTACTGACCATGTTTCATTTCTAGCTTTGATGTCTAGGCATTATTTCCCTAGGCTTAACTATTTGCTCAATGTTAAGGCAGCTCTGTGGAAATTTGTCTGTGTAACTAGGGTGCTATGCAGGCCTGTCTGTGTGACGGTCATGCCTGCTTGTCTGTGTGGTTGTCAGGGAGAATTGACCTGCCACACTAGCATGTGTAAGGATCCTCATCAGGCAAGAAAAAGTGTGGGTGGCCAGTCCACACCTGTTACTGGGAGGCTGGCACTGTCACCTCATTCCAATAGCTCTCAAAAGACAAACCTCTGTGAGTTGGGCCAAGGTTCAACAACAATAATTCCTTTTTGTCCTTTAACTTCTGTTTTAATTAACTTTATTGAGGCATGATTTACATGCCATAAAATGCACATACTTCAAGTGTAAAGTTTAGTGACTTTTGTAACTAACACCCCAAACAAGATACAGAAAACTTTCATTTCCTTAGAAGTTTCCTTTGTGCTCCACTCTGGTAGAGTCCCCCTTACTCCCACCCCAGGACCCAATGGCTCTGTTTGCTGACCCTTTGAATGAGTTTTGCTTGTTCTAGAAGCCTGTATAAATGGGATCATACCGTATGTCCTGTCTGAAGTCTAGCTTCTTTTGCTCAGCATAATGGGTTCTGAGATTCATTCATGTGGCATATTTCATTTTACTGCAGACTAGTATTCCATTGCATAGATAGGACACAATTCATTCGCCTGTTCACGGTCATTTGTGTTGTTAATTTTCTCTAATTTTTAAATGATCAACACTTCTTGAGCTTCATTAACTACCAGGAACTTACGTAAGCCTGGGCACTCACAACTGGCAGGAAAAATGAAGTCAATAGATAGAACTTTTAAATGTTTCTCTCTGATACATTCCCTTCAGTCCAGTCTCTCCATCCCTTCCGCTGGTGGGCATAGGCAGATGACTGAGCAGATGTGTGGAAGGGACTCCAGAGAGGTCCCCAAGGCTCGGTTCACCTGTCTGCTGTGGATTGGTTGGTTGGTTTCGGACACATGGGTTTGTGCCGGTAATTTTTATATCATGCGTTAACTTGGTTGCCCCAGTTTTAAGCTGGAATTGGGTTGCTCAAGGGTTCTTCTTGGTGATCTGCCAGGCAGCCCACTGACTGAACTAATTTGGAACCCACCAGCTGATAGGAAATCAAGCTCCATGGAGACCATCAAGAGTGGTCACACTTGCCTGGAACTCCAGCCCCACCACTCCTGTGTGATAAAGCACTGGGAGCCACTTGACCATCACTTCAGAGAATATCAGAACTTGATGTAACTACATTGGGCATTGAGCCCTCCCCAAATGCACATTTAAATACTCCAATCCAATTATATGCATGCTGCTAGACAAATAAAGCCAGACCCTGCATTTCTTGGACAACTTGTCTCCAAATGCAACTTCACCTGGGAAGAAACTGCTGGATCTGTGTTCCTGGAGATAAAAGTGTCTGAGTAAGACTTCAGAAGAGACTGTACCATATTTCCTAAATTGTGTGTTTTGTATTTATAGAAGATTTAAAGGATTTTTAAGGGATTCATTGACAGTGCAGGAGTTTCGTATGACACGCTCTTTTGATATAAAATGCTATTCTGCATATAGAACTTTTGTTTACAAATGTACTTACTCATTTATTATTTTATTTGATCCACACATCCACTCTATGGGTAAACACGGCAACTCTGGGCATCCCATTTTGTAATGGGGATGCTGAAACACAGAGCTAATGAGAGGGCCAGGACTAGGGTAAGCAAATGAGGAGGGTCATTGTACGTGCAAAGTGGGATTCTGTCTTCCTTTAAAATGATGATATTTTGTTCATCGCAGAATTTTTGCATTAACTTTGATTTTTTAAATATATTGCACTAAAATATTATTTATCTTGATTATTGAATCTTTTGTACTCAAGGCTAGTGAATTATTTGCTTCATCCTAATCCCTGAGTCTCAGGCCCTGCAAGGTGAATGGATTAGCTTGAGTCATATAAAGTATCCATTTATTGCATATGAAAAACAGATAAATATCTGTCATTCCATATGATTCAACCTAATGGATCCTCCTAGGATGGAGTCAGGAGGCCACACTGCACATGAGTGCTTCAATTATACCACTCGGTGGTCCTAAGCCTGGTGCACATTAGAGCTCTTTCTGAAATTTTTATTAAAACCAGAGCCTCAGGTTTGGGATGGGAAACTGGCATTCCTCTACTGCAAACCTCTGGATTGGAACCCCTGGATTAAACCAGAATTAAATCAGTCTATAGATTGAGGCAGAGAGTCTGGATTCAAATTCTGGTGTAGCTCTTTATAACCACACAATTTAAGGCAAGTTGCAAGTTATGAGTGTTGAGCAATGTATGCAAATGTTTAGCACAGTGTCTGGCATTAACAGTAAATCCTGGATAGGAATTAATGCTTGCACAAGCCATTACTCTGTGTGGAAGTTCAGAGAAGTAAGTCAACCAAGGTCACACAGAAAGTTAATGAAAGAGTTGAATTTGGGACCCAAGTCTCTCTGGTCTCTAGCCAGAGGTGAAGTGACTACACTTGACATCCACTAAGTGCTTCCTTTAAGAACAGGGATCCTCAATAATTAGCCCATGACATTTTCTAATAAGTCCCCTCCCCACACCCATGAGAATCAAAGATGAGCTGACCAGGCAGAGGCAGAGGGAGAGCAGGGAGCTCTGCCAGGCTAAGTGAGCGGGTTCCTTTGCCTAGGGGACTGCCCTCCAGTGGGCAAATCCCCTGTGTCCTCAATTATCTGGTCCTGTCTACCCCCCAGACTCTAGCTGGAGCCATCACTTCCTCATTTCCAATTTTCCTCTTTAAATTTTTCTGTCCTGGCTTCTGCTGCTTGTCCTCTGGCGGAACCAGTGACTTCCTGAATGTTGAAATTGTGGGCGCCACGGGGGACCTCTGCTTTTCAGGGCACTGCTAGGAGCTCACTTTCCTGAGTTTCATCCCCTTTCACTTTCTGACATACCACGGGCCAAAGAAAGTGACTTCGCCTGGCACAGCTTCACTTCCTGCCACCTGTCTTCCTCACCTCTTACATTTCAAATAGGCCAAAAGTCTACGGCTCCCCTGCTCCAGGCTGTCCCACCTCTGAGAGGCTGCACCTGCCCTCCTTCCTCCCTGGAGGGCCTTTGCCTCATCTTGATCTGGATCAATCCCCCATTATCCTTTTAAGCCCAGCTCTGGTATCTGATATCTCTTGATTCAGATGATAAAGCTATTTGTCATATTTCTGCCCTGTCTCCCCTGCCTCCCGGCACTTCTGTCTTTTCAGGGACATCAACCTTTGCCGCACTTCACAGCAATTTTCTGGAATGTAGTTGTAGCCGCAACCATCTTGCATGGTAGACTGTGAATATCTTTCATGAAAAAAGGCCATTTCTTCATCTCCTCGGTGCCCAGCAGGCTCACAATGTCTCTAATGATAATAACAACAACATGACCATAGTGTTTATTACCTAATACTTCCATCCTAGCCACCTTATATGATTTAATTCATTTAAGGCTCACGAAATTCATATCTTCCTTATTTATACAAACAGAAGAGTGAGATGCTCAAAGCTCAAGTGATTTGCCTACTGCCAGACAGCCCCTATGTGGAAGAGGTGGAATTTGAAGCCAGGCATTCTAGCTCTTAGTGTCTGTGTCTTAACCACCATGCTATACAGCATCCCTGGTAGAGATGCCTGACGGGAGGGAGAGAGGGGAGAAGCTACTTTCCTTAAGGAGCTCAGATCTCACTGGGGCCTGGACAAGGACACCTGTAACACATGTACACATGTGCACACATGTGTACACACACAGAGAGAGAACATGGGAAAACTACAAGAAGAAATACTAAGTGCTAAAATGTGTGGTTCAGAGCAAGGCTTCTCAAACTGTAATGTGTATATAAATCACCTGGGGATCTAGTTAAACTGTAGATTTGGATTTGATCTGATGGGGTGGGACCAGAGACTCATTGTTAGAACAAGTGAACTTGCATTTCTAACAAGTTCTCAGGTGATACTAATACTGCTGGTCCATGGACCACACTTTGAGCAGCAAGGATGAACTCTAAAGGTTGAGGCAGGTCAGAGAAGGGAGATTTCACTGTGGGCTGGAGAGGTCCTGGGACAGAGAGCTGAGTCTGGGCCCATGGCAGGGCTTGGTTGGCCCTCTCTGGAGCCATCCAGCTTTTGGGTCTCAGGGACCTGGGAGTGACGGGTGCATTCAGAGGCCCGTAACTTGTGTCCCAAAGCCTCCTCGATCCCCCTTAACAAGCAGCAGCACTGTGTGGGAGATCCACATGTGAATAGCCCGTGTTTGAGAAATGTCCAATCCTGATCATGTCAGGAAACATCCTGCAAATTCTGAAATCAGAGCCAAAGGGAAGTGCTGCGAGGTTTACAACCAGCTGCAGTGGTTCGATGGGAAGGATCTTTCTCCAAGTGGTTCCTCTTGAGGGGAGCATTTCTGCTGGCTCCAGGACTTTGGCCATCTATAAAGCTTGGCAATGAGAAATAAGAAAATTCTCAAGGAGGACGAGCTCTTGAGTGAGACCCAACAAGCTGCTTTTCACCAAATTGCAATGGAGCCTTTCGAAATCAATGGTAAAGTACGATTCCCCAATAATGGAAATGACCAGAAATGTAGTCTTTCTGCTAGCGAGATACGAAAATAGACAAGTCAATAGAAAGTCTAGGTTTGGCTTATTGCTGCATTTTGCACGTAATCATCACTAATACTGTCTGGAGTGCTTCAATTTGGAATTTCTGGAATGCTAATAATAGATGCTGTATTTTTAGCATATAGTCAGGTTTTTCTTAGCTTCACTATTGTTTTAATCATATTTAAATATTTTCCCTTGAAAAAATGCCAATGCTTATTAAATGTCCCCTTTTTTTAATGAATGTCTTATTCTGACACACAGGTTGGGTGATACAATGAAAACGCAAAACAGGGGCACTGAAAGGGGACCACAAAACTGAAGCCAAGCATGACAGTTTTCAAAACACAGCTTCTTTAAAATTCTTTAAGGGGATTTCTGTTATAACTGATGTGCTGGTCAGGAAACATATTCTGTATTTCATGTTGACTGAAATATGTTCATAGCTTCATAATTAGTTTGTCTTAGGTTAAACTCAGGTCTGTAATATTCAGTCAACTCTGTTGTCTTTATTTTCTCACTCAGCATTCAACAGGTGATGCATTTTTAAAATCTTCTAGAATTTGTAGCATTTGAAGTCATGGGTGGGCTTGCATTCCACAAATGAGCTCTGATTTCCTAGTCTAGAACGTTCTCTTGGGATCATCTTCCAAGTTGATCAGTCATTTCCACTCCCAGGCTTTGCTGGAAGTTGTCTATGCAGGAAAATTGGTGGCTTTATCTCCTGGCCAGAGTGTCCTTCTCATCCCACACCTGTCTGCCCAGGTCCCTGCCTGGAATTTTCAGCGCACAAAGATGAAGCGTCTGGGGCTCTGCCTCTAGGAATTTACAGTGTAATAACAGAGAAAGGTGTGAGTGCTAATGGCTATAATAATCATTGGCTATTTAGAACTTCTCAGAATGCAACATTCTGGATACATGACTGTTTAAGAGACTGAAGATGTTCAAGCAAAGTCAGCTGATCAAGCATACTCAGCACCTATTTCCAGCAGGGCACTGCACTCAGCACTGAGGAAACAGGCTTGAATAAACATAGCCTCTGGCCTCTGGCTTCTGGCACGAGGGGACAGGGGACAGGGTAAGCTGCCCATGAACTGACAATTTCCATGTTGTGACTGAGACTTCCACAGGACATGATGGACAGATCTAACCAGGTGTAGAGCCCTGGAGGGCAGAGCTGACACCTCTTCCAAAGTTTAAAGGATAAAGGGAGTCCGTTAGAGAAAGAAGTTAGTGCCTGGGGCGGGGTGGGCGCCACATGTTTGTATTGTATTCACAAGAAATATTCAGAGAAATATAAATACTTCCATACTGTTTGGCCAAAATTGGGACGGAAAGACCAGTGGGGACTGAGGCTGGAACCAAAAAATTTGACTTCATCCTGAGGTCAGTGGGGAAGCAGGAAGGGGCCGATGTGGGGCTGAAAGGCACTAATGTGCATGTGAGGTTGCTCTTTGTCCTACATAGGGATGGCTGGAGAGAGAAGCTGAGGACAGAGAGGAACTTGGCAGCAAGAGATGATGAGGGGCAGTGGATGGAAGGCAGGAAAATAAAGGAATGCTCTGGAGAAACACCGGAAATCAGATCAATTGGACTGCAATGGCAGGACAGGGCTGGGGAGGAAGACGCAGGAGTTAATAGTGAACCCTAGATTTCTGACCTGGGTTGTGTGTGTCACCAATTAAAAATGTAACTAAGCCAGTGCAGGAGGATTCCTTGAGCCCAGGAATTTGAGACCAACCTGGGCAACATAGTGAGACCCTATCTCCACCAATAAATAAATAAATAAAATGTTTAAAGTATCTCACCAAAAAACCAAAACTACTCCAATTTGGATGAAAGAAACATTTTCTTATATGCATTCACAACATCCTGCCTTCTAATACAAAGATTGTGGAACATATGAAACTTTCTAGAAGAGTGCCATTATGCAGGTAATCACTGTGAGGCTCTGGTAACACAGTGACCCCTCAGGGCCGGCTCTGCACATTACTTATTTTTTGTCTGCTGAAGATTTATTTATTTAGGCCATATATAGTTTTATTTTCTTTTGAAAATACATTATCTTAAAATTCCCACATATGGTTCATGAAAAACAGCACTGAAAAATATTTCTAATGTCATTTTCCTCATTTATTTTTCTCTATTGTTGGTATTGAAATATAAAATGCTGTTTTTCCCTGATTATAAAGTATTAAACTAGTTTTTTTTTATTATTATTACCCAAGGATACTGGACTAGGAAAGTTTTCAACACATGCTGAAGAAAATTTTAGAAGTGAGTTTGGGAAACTTTTGGAATATAACCTTCATTTTTTCTAAAATTAATCTTAAAAAAAGGATGAGGAGTGTAAATTTCACACTGTACCCTCTAGAAGCACAGTGCAACTTGCATCCCTCTTTCCTGCCATCACCTCCAGCCTCCCTCATTAGAACAAGCCTCCTTCATTCCATTATCTGCACTAGAATTAAGGTACTCTTTCTTTTCTTTATTTTTTATTCTAGCTTTTTAGGAGTGTGATTAACAATACAAACTGTATATATTTATGATGTACACGTGATGATTTGATATATGTATCCATGGATGAATAACCACCACAAAGACTGCTTTAGTTTCCTGAGGGGACTTGACATAGGGTTGGCTTCTGTGGCCCTCAGGGTCTCACAGAATCCCAGGTCTCTCCTCAGAGCCATAGAAACTGCTCTTTTGCCCCATCATCCACCTCAACAATGGAACATTTGGGCTTGAACGAGAGGATTTACCTGTTGGCAATATCTTTCTGGGATGTGTCTGTTTCTACCTTTTTGAAAATTAGCAATCTGTGTCTGGCTTTAGGCTTCCTGTCACACTCCTGGCCGTCTGGTTTCTCAAGGAAGACTACTGTTACCACAGCCTAACAAGACAAGCACTTGTTAGGCTGTGCAATGTGATCTGTCGGAACCTCTTGTTTCTTTTTTTTTTTTTTTTTTTCTTTTTTGAGATGGAGTCTCGCTCTGTCACCCATGCTGGAGTGCAGGGGAGCGATCTCGGCTCAGTGCAACCTCCATCTCCCGGGTTCAAGTGATTCTCCTGACTCAGTCTCCCTAGTAGCTGGGATTACAGGTGCCCACCACCATGCCCGGCTAACTTTTATATTTTTAGTAGAGACGGGGTTTCACCATGTTGGCCAAGCTGGTGTCCAACTCCTGACCTCAAGTGATCCGCCCCCCTTGGCCTCCCAAAGTGCTGGAATTACAGGCATGAGCCACCTACCTGGCCCTGTTGGGACCTCTTACTCCAATCTCTCAACTACTTCAGGCTTCCCACCAACTTCAGTCTGAAGAACATTCTTCTTGAGAGAGAAGTTTGAAACAAAATACAGGTAGAAAAGTTAGGGTTTTTATTGTTGTTTGTTTTAATTAACACTAACTATTGTCTCTCAGTAGTGAGCCTAACCATCCTTTCTTCCCACCCTTAACATACTCTAGAGCAACCTTCAACAAAACCCAAACCCTCAAGTCCGTTCAGGCTCAGTCTTGCAACACGACTGCTATTATTTCATGTCATTGTTCTGACTTTGCTCTTCATCATGCCAATATTTCTCAACATCTTTTAAACATCTGGCTTTATTGCAGAGTTTAGTCTTAACTTTTTATGGTGAAGTAGTTATAGAGTCAGAGAAAATTGCAAAAAATGTACAGAGAAGCTTTTCTGACTCTTGTCTCATTCTCCCCCAGTGGTAACATCTTACACTGCATTAATACAAAATTACAACCAGGAAACTGATATTGGTGCAATCCATAGAGCTTATTCATTAGTTTTACATGCACTCGTCTCTGTGTACATATATAGTTGTACCAATTCTATGCTTAAATAACCCCACATACCCCTCACTCCCCCACCAGCAGTCATCAACCCCTGGCAACCACTAATCTGCTTCCCATCTCTATAATTTTGCCATTTTGGGAATGTTACATAAAGAAATTACACAGTATGTGACTTCTTTAAGATTGATTTTTTTTTCACATAGTGTAATTCCTTTGAAACCCATCCAAGTTGTATCCATCCATAGTTGGCTCTTCTTATTGAGTAGCATTCCATGATATGAATATATCAAAGATTGTTTAACATTCACCCACTGAAGGACATTTGGGTTGTTTTCAGTTTGGGGGCTATTACAAATAAAGTTGCCATGACCATTTCTGTAAGTGTTTTGTGTGACTTTAAGTTCTCATTTCTCCAAGGTAAATGTCCAAAAGTGTAATTGCTGGATTCTAAGTGTGTTTGGTTTTACAAGAAGTAGTCGATATATTTTCCAGTGTGACTATACCATTTTACATTCCCAGCAGCAATGTACAACTGATCCAGTTTTCTGCAACCTCGTCAACATTTGACATTATCACTATTTTTAAATGTAGCCATTCTCGTAGATGTATACTGATATTTCATTGTAGATTTAATTTACATTTTCCTAATGGCCAGTAATGTTGACTATCTTCTCATGTGCTTAAATACCATATGTATAGCCTCTTCAGTGAAATGTCTCTTTGTGTCTTTTGCCCATGTTTTAATTGGATCTTTTATTTTTTATGGTTTGGTTTTAAGAGTTCTTTATATATTCTATATATAAGTCCTTTGCTAGATATGTGGTTTGCACATATTTTCTCCGAGTCTGTAACTTGCATTGTTATGTTCATATCAGCATCTTTTACAATGCAAAAGTTTTTAATTCTGACAAGGTCCAACCTAACAATTTTTCCATGTATGTATTATGCTTTCGGTGTCAAGTCTAAGAGTTCTTTAGCCCTTGTTGGTGAAGATTTTCTTCTCTATCTTATTCTAAAATTTTTGTAGTTTTACATTATTTTTATTTTTATATGTTAGAGACAAGATCTCACTATGTTGCCCAAGTTGGAGTGTGCAGTGGCTATTCACAGGTGTGATCATAGTGCATTGCAGCCTCAAACTCATGGGCTCATGTGATCTTCCCACTTCAGCCTCCCAAGTAGCTGGGACTAGAGGCTCATACCACCATGCCTGCCCGTGATCCATTTTGAATTGATTCTCGTATAACGTATAATGTGTAGGCCAAGGTTTTCATATGTTTCATTTTGTTGACCATGGATACATAGTCATTCCAGCACCATTTGTTGAAAGGCTATCCTTTCCCTGTTGAATTGCTTTTACACCTTTGTCAAAAACAACTTGGGTAAATTTGTGTGCATCTCATTCTGCATTCTTTATTCTATTCCAGTGATCTATGTGACTATCCCTCTACCAATACCACAGTGCTTTGATTACTATAGTTATATTGTAAGCGTTATTATCAAATAGAGTTATTCCTCAAATTTTAGTCTTCTTTTCAAAACTGCTTTAGCTATTCTAGGGTTTTTGCCTTTCCATATAAATTTAAGTGTCAGCTTGTCTACGGTTACAAAAAGATCTTGCTGAAATTTTGATAGGCATTGTGTTACACCTATAGATAAATGTAGAGAGAATTGATATCTTTATTATTGCAGACTTACAATCCATGCACATCTCTCCATTTACTTAGGTCTTTGGTTCTTTTAACTAAATTTTTAAAAAAATTTCAGCATACAGATCCTGTACATGTTTTATTAGATTTATATCTAAATATTCCATTTTCTTTGGTGTTAGAAATACCAAAATTGTTAGAAATAGATAATTGGTGCCAGGAAGAAAAGTTAGCACAGAGACAAAAGATCTCTCAGCAAGGCCATCTTTACTTTCTGCAGAAAGGGTGCTCAATTACAGATGGAACAATGGCAAGACCACACCTGAACAAAAGAAAAGCAGACATATTTATCCCTTACACATTTGGTTCATCCTTACTGCTGTGTCCTGCATCTATTGGCTGGAGCAGGACCTCACAATCTTAAACTGATACCCGATTTGCTAATAGCCTACAACTTTCCTAATAGTTAAGTACAGGGAAGAACAAAGAAATTGCTTACAAAAGGTTTAAGGAAGCAATAACATTTCCAAATAAGGAAGGAGCATAGGGTGTGAGCTGGAACGTGCCTGTGAGCATGTTCAGCAGTTACATAGGCTAGGGCTTAACAAAGAGTTATTAACGCAAAGCAAGAGGCTTGAAGAAAGTTATTCCTCAAAAGAAACCATCATTTCCAACACTCACAATTTATTCTTCAACAAGAAGGAAAACTTTGAAGAGGAAATTTTTACTTTCTACAATCCCTCCTCTTTTACTTTTTAGTTTTCCTCTTCAAACTTGCTTAACATGTCTTGGCTTAGTTGTTTTGATTAACTCTTGGATGTATGGTACAACATAATACTTAAGAAGAAGGAGTATACTTATTATAGTTGTTGAAGAGGTAAGAATTGAAGCTATGTTTGTTTGTTTGTTTGTTTGTTTCTTGTTGATGAAATACTAGAGTAAAAGGGATAGGCAATTGAACTAGAGCAAAAGTATTGCTCCAATTATTTGGCAGAGTGTCCAGTAATGGTCCTCCATAATACCACCATACATCCGCTAAGGGCAGGTGTATGAATAAGGGTGGACTGATGGGTCAGCTCTTGGAAGTGACTGACTTCACTGCATCCTGTTAAGTCTCCAAGGAATGCCAGATTTTTCCCCTTGTCATTGGATATATGAGGTAAAATTGGTTTTGGAAGATGGAGGCTGGATGGCCCTCGCAGGCTGATCCGCAGGGTGTTGAACTTCAGGAAATAGCAGAAAAAGAGCTTGGCACAATTCTTTATTCCAGGGGGTGGAATCTTGAAAAAGAGCTACCATGCACTCCATGTCCCCTTGATTTGAGGACCATGCTAGTGGAAAGGCAACAACGTGGGCCTCTGGCCTACCTTGCACACAAGAGTAGCAGTCACTTTTGTTTAAAGTGCAAACAGAATATTTAATCTATTTTAACCAGGCATTTACATCTTTATACCCTGTTTCAATGGCTATGGTTTGCCATAGGTCTCCTATTTCTACTACTGAGACCTTGCTTTTGTCATTTGGCATGAGGCGAGTCATAGTTTGATTTTGTAGGTTTGGGAAAGGTGCAGTTGTAGGAGGTAGAGGAGGGAGAACAAAGTGCACCTTAAAGAAGCCTATAGGATCCTTTCCAGTGACTTCTGCTCCTAAACCACAGAAGTGCCCTACAGTGGGGTTAGAGTTGCTGGTGGTAGGAATAGTAATGGATTTAAGCACTGGGTTAGGAAAGGAAAGGAAAAAGATAGACTAAGCTTTCCTTAGCTTTAATTTGGTAGGGCTTGACCCAGGAACAATGGCCCATGATTCTGAGGATAATGGCACTTGCTTGACTCAGGTGTCATGTGTCCATCCCTTTCCGCTGTACGAACAGCAGTCTCGATGGTTAGCAGCACAAGGTACGGTCCTTCCAAGGCTGGCCCGAGTTTCCCTTCTTTCTATCCTTTGATGAGAATGTGATCCCCAGGCTGATGCTGATGTACTGGAAACTCCAAGGGCGGCATCTGTGCTAAAAGACCTTTTGTTTCAAGGGAAGAGAAGGTGGAGGATAAACCAAGTATATAATTTCTAAGAAATTGATCTTTTGTTTTAAACGTGGGTACATCAACAGTGGACTTTATAGTCCTTTGTGCCTTCTTGCTGATAAATTTTCTTTAGCACCGATTTTTATTAGTTTTTAGACCAAAGAAAGCCAAACACCATTTTATATTTGACAGTGCTTCGTATATGATTTTATACTAGAAAAGCTAAATTTTACCTTTATATGAGTGTGTCATTAATGTTAAATTTAATTTTAATAAAACCTTGTTGACATATGTATCCAATTTTAATGTCTGACCATAAGGTAAGATTTTTATAGACTGTTTTTAACCTTTTATAATTTTTTGTTAAAGAGCAGGTTAGTGTTTTAAGAAAAACCTGTTGTTCTTTTATTTTAATATCCAGTTCACAGAAAAACTGGATGACACCCCTTTAACTTTAGCCAATATGTTTACACACAGAATTTCCTTTACAATTAAAGTTTCAAAACTTGCTTAAACCTTCAAAACAAAATTTTTTTAACCTTTTAATGTAGGTAGAAATCCACATTCTTATGCCTCCTTATAATCCTTTTACCAAAAGTTTATTTTGCTTTCCTTACATACCTTGCATATAAACTGTTTCTTCAATAGTTTTACATTCAGGAGGCCTAATTACTTTTAAGTTATACAACATTTCTTGCATAAATTCCCTTTTATAATTTTGTTTTTCACAACTTTTACAGACAATTCTTCGACATGCCTCAACTTTCTGAGTTGTTGCTAACATCGCTTTCTTTAAACAACCAGTTAATTTATTTTAGGACAAGAATTTACCATATAACATTCCTTTTTACATAAATTCTCCCCTCCCCCCTTTTTTTTTCCTCAAAGATGATAGCCATTCTTTTCCAAAGTGAACTTCCTTCATGTCTGTGGACTGGACTGTTAAAGGCCACAAGATTAGAAGTTAGGATAATACATATGACACTGTTAATATTTAGCAAATTTTACTTTTGTTGAAAACCTTGTAAGTTTGGGATTTCAATTATCCTTTGCTATTAATAAGACCTAATTTAGTCCAAATTTAACTTAGAATTGCTATAGATGACTCCTTCCTGAATCTGTAAGTATTTTAAGGCTTGGCTGAGTGCAAACAGCTCCCACCTTTGAGCAGACCAATTATTAGGCAATTTTCCTAACTCTGCTTCTACAAGAGTTTCCTTATCACTTACTGAATACCCATTGTGTCCTTTTCTCTCAATCACCTGGGAGGAACCATCTATCATCCTGTCACCAAGGAGGAACCGTCAATCATCCTGTCCTGAAGGGAGTTCCTCCTAGGTCTGGTGGGACCTTTCTATGGTAACTAAGATTTAGATCCCCGTTAGGAAACCTACTGAGTTAAGGGAATTTTCAGTGGCTAACGTTAAATCACTTTTTCTAACAGAATAGCCGCATACCTTAAGGTTCTTGAGTCAGTGAGCTACCTTTTAGCTTTTGGGTTTTGTTGTTTGTTTGTTTGACTTAGGTTAGTTCTGGCCTGATGAGGTGTGCTCACAATGAGGTTTCCTCTAAAAGTTATTTTTCTACTTTGCTCTCTTAGCAAAGCAGTTGCTGCTACAGATTGAATGCATTTGGGCCATCTACGGGTTACTGGGTTAAGGATTTTTTATTAGAAAGGCTTCAGGTTGTCAGTGGCCTCAGTGCTTTCGGGCTACGCCCCTGTTTACACTGACAACAAGGTGGTATTGGAGTGTTATAGGGTCATGAAGAAGACTTTCAATTATCAATTACAAGTTTTAAATTTACCCTGGCTTTTAAATGACTAGGGTACAGTTTTCTCTTTACTACTTCCATCTCTCTCTTTCTCTCTCTTCCTTGACTCTGTCTCTCTCTCTCTTTTACTACCTCTTTATCTCTCTGTCTCTTTCTCTCACTCTCTGATTCTCCATCTCTCTCTCTCTCTTTCTTCCTCTTTCTCTTTGACTCCCTCTTTGTCTCTCCGCCTCTCTCTCTTTCTCTCCCTTATTTCCTCTCCCAGTTTCTCTCTCCTCTCTGCTGGTCTTTCCCTGCCTCTGCCAGCCACTTATGTTGCTGCTCTCCCTTCTCCTTCCCCTTCCCCTAGGGGAGCAACCAGCAGGAGTGGAGCTTAGCCTCTTTCTTACCCCTTTCTTACCTCTTTCAGGGGAGTTCTGAATATTTTTCTTACTACCGGAGGTTTGTGTGAGGTTCAACCACCTGAAATTTGCAGAAGGTTCAACCCCTCAAACCAGGGATGTCTTGCCTTGCCTGTCCTGGAAGGCTCAACCCCTCAAACCAGTGGGTGTCTTGCCTTGCCTGCCCTGGGAGGTTGACCTGGTTTCTCCCTTCCCCTCTCTGAAGGTCCCTTGCACACTTCCCACTTGTGTTGTCCTCTCTGGCCGCTCCCCCAAGGGAGAATTAGGCCCCTTTTAGTGTTGGCGTGCAGGTATAAATCCCATGGCAGGATCCGCCCTAAGCCATATGAGGTAGCTATGGAACCGCAGAGAGGACCCACTCACTCCATCCAGCAGTAGGACTTGTCACCATCCACACAAACAACACCGCAAGCAGGGTTATCTGTGATCATTCACGCACATGTACATTTAGCCCTCCAGAATTTCATGACCAAGGAAGTACTTTACCGGCTCCTGTGGCTTTGCCTTCCTTGGTCTGTGCACAAAGTCATCGCTGCAGTATGTGAGGATCCTTTAAGCTAGGTTGCTGGCCAGTTTCTTTCTGCATTGCTGAGAGCTCGGGTTATTCCTCGCACCAGGTGGGTCTTGGTCCCTTACCCCTGAGGCCACCGCAAGAGGTGGTGTGGTGCCTCCTCATGAAAGAGGACTAGAGATGCCCCCGGAGGAGAATGTATCCCCATACGATTGCCACCAAAATTGTTAGAAATATCAAAATTGTTAGAAATACATCATTGGTGCCACAAAGGAAAGTCAGCACAGAGACAAAAGATCTCTCAGCAAGGCCATCTTTACTTTCTGCAGAAAGGGTGCTCAATTGCAGATGGAACAATGGCAGGAGAACACTTGAACAAAGGAAAAGCAGACATATTTATCCCTTACACATTTGGGTTGTCCTTGCTGCGTGTCCTATGTCCGTTGGCTGGAGCAGGACCTCACAATCTTAAACTGATATCCGATTTGCTAATAGCCTACAACTTTCCTAAATAGGTAAGTACAGGGAAGAGCAAAGAAGTTGGTTACAAAAGTTTTAAGGAAACAATAACATTTCCAAATAAGGAAGGGGCATAGGCTGTGAGCTGGAACGGGCCTGTGAGCACATTCAACAGTTACATAGGCTAGGGCTTAACAAAGAGTTATTAACACAAAGCAAGGAGGCTTGAAGAAAGTTAGTCCTCAAAAGAAACCATCATTTCCAACACACAATTTATTCTTCAACAAGAAGGAAAACTTTGAAGAGGAAACTTTTTACTTTCTACATTTGGTGTGATTGTCAGTTCTATTATGCTTTTAATTTGGTTTCCATTTATTGTTAGTATATAGAAATGTGGTTGATTTTTGTGTGTTCATCTTGTGTCTTCCAACTATGTGAATTTATTTATTCATTCGAAAAGTTTTCTGGAGGTGGGGGGAACGATGGTGGATGAGAGGCGGGACTAGATTTCTGCTCCAGACAGAGCAGCATGCAGAGGCTTGCATTGTGAATTTTAGCTCCATATCAACTGCAAGAACAAACCAGCAATCCTGAGAGGATCCACAGACCCTCTGAAGGAAGTGGACTGCTCCTGAAGGACCCAGTAGACACCCCAAATACTGCGAGTGCCCCAGCCGTGTAAGTGGAAAAGGGAGACCCTCGTCTCCTGAACACACACCCTCACTGGAGAAGATGAAGGTCTGTTTGCAGGAGAAGTTTCTGACTTTACCTGGAGCTGATCAAGTTAGAGAGCTGAGCCAAGTGAAATACAGGGGTGGGGGAAGCAGCAGAAAGGCCCTGGGAGCTTGCTGGGTCCCCAAGCAGCCCACTCCTGGCTGGCACCACAGGAATCCATCAGGAAGGTGGCCAGAGGAGCAGGGGCAAAACTCCACAGGGAGAAAGGATTCTCTAGCTGAACTTTGTAACAATTTGAACAGGGTGAGAAGCCTCCTGACCAGAACTCAGGGGAGGGTGCGAATCCAGCTTGCAGACTTCACAGGCAGGAGAAGATCTAAAGCCCTTGTCTTTGGCAGCTGGGAGGCAGAGAAAGCCTCAGGCAAGTTTTCAAGGCTGTCTCCCCCTCCCCCTGGAAACACACTTGGGGCTGTTGCTGGGGGCACAGTGGGAGTAAGACTGGCCCTTTGGTTTGTGTGGGAGCTGGGTGAGGCCTGTGACTGCCAGCTTTCCCCCACTTCCCTGACAACCTGCATGACTCAGCAGAGGCAGCCATAATCCTTCTAGGTACACAACTCCAGTGACCTGGGAATCTCACCCCTATCCCCCACGGCAGCTGCAGCAAGACCTGCCGAAGGAGACTCTGAGATCATACATGCCTAGTCCCACCCCTGGACCTGATGGTCCTTCCCTACCTGCCCTGGTGGCAGAAGACAAAAGACATGTGATATTGGGAGTTCTAGGGCCACACCCACTGCCAGTCCCCCTCCACACTACTACAGCTGATGCTTTCTGGAAATTGCTACCTCCTGGCAGGCCAACCAGCACAAAAATAGAGCATTAAACCACCAAAGCTAAGGACCCTCACAGAGTCCACTGCACCCTCTGCTGCGTCCGCTGGAACAGGTGCTGGTATCCACAGCTAAGAGGCCGTTAGTTGGTTCACATGAGAGGACTTTGTGCAGACAACCCCCAGTACCAGCCTGGAGCTGGGTAAAGTTGCTGGGTGACTAGACCCAGAAGAGAGACAAAAATCACTGCAGTTTGACTCACAGGAAGCCACATCCACAGGAAAACAGGAAGAATACTACATCAAGGGAACACCCCGTGGGACAAAAAAATCTGAACAGCAATCTTCAGCCCTAGACTTCCCTCTAACAGAACCTACCCAAATGAGAAGGAACTAGAAAACCAACCCTGGTAATATGACGAAACAAGGCTCATCAACACCACACCCTCAACCCCCGCCCTGCCAAAAATAGAAAAAAAAAAAATCACACTAGTTCACCAGCAATGGATCCAAGCCAAGAAGAAATCCCTGATTTACCTGAAAAAAAATTCAGGAGGTTAGTTATTAAGTTAATCAGGGAGGGACCAGGGAAAGGTGAAGCCCAATGCAAGGAAATCTAAAAAATTATATGAGAAGTGAAGGGAGAAATACTCAAGAAAATAGATAGTTTAAATAAAAAAACAATAAAAATTCAGGAAACTTTGGACACACTTTTAGAGATGTGAAATGCTCTGGAAAGTCTCAGTGATAGAATTGGATAAGTAGAAGAAAGAAATGCAGAGCTCAAAGACAAGGTCTTTGAATTAACCCAATCCAACAAAGACAAAGAAAAAAGAGTAAAAAAATATGAACAAACCTCCAAGAAGTCTGGAATTATGGTAAACAACCACACCTAAGAATAATTGATGTTCCTGAGGAAAAAGACAATTGTAAAAGCTTGGAAAACATACTTGGGGGAATAATCAAGGAAAACTTTCCTGGCCTTCCCAGAGACTTAGACATGGAAACACAAGAAGCACAAAGAAGACCTGGGAAATTCGTTGCAAAAAGATCTTCCCCTAGACACATTGTCATCAGGTTATCTAAAGTTAAGATGAAGGAAAGAGTCTTAAGAGCTGTGAGACAGAAGCACAAGGTAACCTATAAAGGAAAACCTATCAGATTAACAGCAGATTTCTCAGCAGAAACCCTACAAGCTAGAAGGGATTGGGGCCCTATCTTCTGCCTCCTCAAGCAAAACAATTATCAGCCAAGAATTTTGTATCCAGCAAAACTAAGCATCATATATGAAGGAAAGACACAGTCATTTTCTGCCAAGCAAATGCTGAGATAATTCACCATGGCCAAGCCACCACAACAAGAACTGCTAAAAACTTGAACTGTTTAAATCTGTTTAAATCTTGAAACAAATCCCAGAAATACATCAAAACAGAATCTCTTTAAGTCATATATCACACAGGACCTATAAAACAAAAATATAAGTTAAAAAGCAAAATCAAAAAACCAAAATGAAACAAAGTACAGGCAACAAAAAGCATGATGAATGCAATGGTACCTCACATTTCAATACTAGCATTAAATATAAATGGCCTAAATGCTCCACTTAAAAGATACAGAACTGCAGAATGGATAAGAACTCAACAACCAACTACCTGCTAACTTCAGGAGACTCACCTAACACATAAGGACTCACATAAACTTAAAATAAAGGGGTGGAGAAAGGCATTTCATGCAAATGGACACCAAAAGTGAGCAGGGGTAGATATTCTTATATCAGACAAAACAATCTTTAAAGTAACAGAGGTTAAAAGAGACAAAAAGGGACATTATGTAATGGTAAAAGTCCTTGTCCAACAGGAAGATATCACAATCCCAAACATTTATGCACCTAACACTGGAGCTCTCAAATTTATAAAACAATTACTAATAGACCTAAGAAATGAGATAGACAGCAACACAATAATAGTGAGGTACTTCAATACTCCACTGACAGCACAGGAGGGTCATCAAGACAGAAAGTCAACAAAGAAACAATGGATTTAAACTATACCTTTGAGCAAATGGACTTAGCAGATATATACAGAACATTTCATCCAACAACCAAAGAATACACATTCTATTCAACAGTGCATGGAACTTTCTCCAAGAGAGACCATATGATAGGCCATAAAATGACCCTCAATAAATTTAAGAAAATTGAAATTATATCAAGCATTCTCTCAGACCACAGTGGAATAAAACTGGAAATCAATTCCAAAAGGAACCTTCAAAGCCATGCAAATACATGGAAATTAAATAACCTGCTACTGAATGAGGATTGGGTCAAAAATGATATCAAGATGGAAATTTAAAAATTCTTTGAACTGAATGACAATAATGACACAACCTATCAAAACCTCTAGGATACAGCTAAGGTGTTGCTAAGAGGAAAGTTCATACTCCTAAAGATCTACATCAAAAAGTCTGAAAGAGCACAGACAATCTAAGGTCACACCTCAAGGAACTAGAGAAACAAGAACAAACCAAACGCAAACCCAGCAGAAGAAAGGAAGTAACCAAGATCAGAGCAGAACTAAATAAAATTGAAACAAAAAAATACAAAAGATAAATGAAACAAAAAGCTGGTTCTTTAAAATATAAACAAAATTGATAGACCGTTAACAAGATAAACGAAGGAAAGAAGAGAGAAAAACCAAATAACCTCACTAAGAAATAAAACAGGATATATTACAACTGACACCATTGAAATACAAAAGATCATTCAAGGCTACTATGAATAATACCTTTACTCACATAAACTAGAAAACCTAGAAGAGATGGATAAATTCCTGGAAAAATACAACGTTCCTAGCTTAAATCAGGAAGAATTAGATACCCTGAACAGACCAATAGCAAGCAGCGAGATTGTTTGGTAATTTAAAAATTACCCCCCAAAAACAAACAAACAAACAAACAGTCCAGGACCAGACAGATTCACAGCAGAATTCTATCAGACATTAAAAGAAGAATACTAAGGTACCAATCCTTTTGACACTATTCCACAAGACAGAGAAAGAAGGAACCCTCCCTAATTCATTCTATGAAGCCTTCATTACCCTAACACCAAAACCAGGAAAGGACACAACCAAAAAAGAAAACTACAGACCAGTATCCTTGATGAACATAGATGTGAAAATCCTTAACAAAATACTAGTTATGGTGGATATCATAAAGATAATCCACCATGGATCAAGTGGGTTTCATAGCAGGGGTGCAGGGATGGTTTAACATTCCCAGGTCAATAAATTTGATACACCACATAAACAGAATTAAAAACAAAAATCACATGATCATTTCAATAGATGCAGAAAAAGCATTCAATAAAATCCAGCATCCCTTTATGATTAAAACCCTCAGTAAAATCAGCATACAAGGGATATACCTTAATGTAATAAAGGCCATCTATGACAAACCCACAGACAACATAATACTGAATGGGGAAAAATTGAAAGCATTCCCTCTGAGAACGGGAACAAGATAAGGATGCTCACTCTCACCACTCCTCTTCAACATAGTGCTGAAAGTCCTAGCCAGAGCAATCAGACAAGATTAAAAAAAAAGGGCATCCAAATTGGTAAAGAGGAAATCAAACTGTCCCTTTTTGCTGATGATATGACTGCTTACTTTGAAAACCTTAAGGGCTCCTCCAGAAAGCTCCTAGAACTGATAAAAGAATTCAGCAAAGTTTCTGGATACAAGATTAATGTATGCAAATCAATAGCTCTTCCTTACACCAACAGTGACCAATCAGAGAATCAAATCAGGAACTCAATCACTTTTGCAATAGCTGCAAAAAAAAAAAAAAATACAATACTTAGGAAGATACCTAACAAAGGAGTCAAAAGACCTCTTCAAAGAAAATTACAAAACACTGCTGAAAGAATCATAGATGACACAAACAAATGGAAACACATCCCATGCTCATGGATGGGTAGAAACAATAATGTGAAAATAATCGTACTGCCAAAAGCAATCTACAAATTCGATGCAATCCCCATCAAAATACCACCATCATTCTTCACAGAGTTAGAAAAAACAATTCTAAAATTCATATGGAACCAAAAAAGAGAAGGCATAGCCAAAACAAGACTAAGCAAAAAGAACAAATTTGGAGGCATCACACTATCTGATTTCAAACTATACTATAAGGCCACAGTCACCAAAACAGTGTGGTACCAGTATAAAAAATAGCACATAGACCAATGGAAAAGAACAGAGAACCCAGAAATAAACCCAAATACTTAAAGCAAACAAAAATATAAAGTGGGGAAAGGACACCCTTTTCAACAAATGGTGCTGGGATAATTGGCTAGCCACATATAGGAGAATGAAACTTGATCCTCCTCTCTCACCTTGTACAAAAATCAACTCAAGATGGATTAAGGACTTAAACCAAAGACCTGAAACTGTAAACATTATAGAAGATAACATTGGGAAAACCCTTCTAGACATTGGCTTAAGCAAAGATTTCATGACCAAGAACCCAAAAGTAAATGCAATAAAAACAAAGATAAATAGCTGGGACCTAATTAAACTAAAGAGCTTTTGCACGGCAAAAGGAACAGTCAGCAGAGTAAACAGACAACCCACAGAGTGGGAGAAAATCTTCACAAATCTATACATCGGACAAAGGATTAATGTCCAGAATCTACAACAAACTCAAACAAATCAGTAAGAAAAAAAATTCCATCAAAAAGTGGGCTAAGGATATGAAAAAACAATTCTCAAAAGAAGATGTACAAATGGCCAAGTGACATGTGAAAAAATGCTCAACATCACTAATGATCAGGGAAATGCAAATCAAAACCACAGTGTGATACTACCTTACTCCTGCAAGAATGGCCATAATAAAAAAAATCAAAAAAACCACAGATGTTGGCATGGATGTGGTGATCAGGGAACACTTCTACACTGCTGGTAGGAATGTAAACTAGGACAGCTGCTATGGAAAACAGTGTGGAGATTCCTTAAAGAAGTAAAAGTAGAAATACCATTTGATCCAGCAATCCTACTACTGGGTATCTACCCAGAGGAAAAGAAGTCACTGTTTGAAAAAGATACTTGCACATGCATGTTTATAGCAGCACAATTCACAATTGCAAAATCATGGAACCCCAACAAGTGGATAAAGAAACTGTGGTGTATATATGATGGAATACTACTCAGCCATAAAAAGGAATGAATTAACAGCATTTTCAGTGACCTGGATGAGATTGGAGACTATTATTCTAAGTGAAGTAACTCAGGAATGGAAAACGAAACATCATATGTTATCACTGATATGAGGGAGCTAAGCCATGAAGGCATAAGAATGATATAGTGGACTTTGGGGACTTGGAGGGAAGAGTGGGAGGGTGGTGACGGATAAAAGACTACAAATACAGGGCAATGTATACTGCTTGGGTGATGGGTGCACCAAAATCTCACATATCACCACTAAACAACTTCCTCATGTAACCAAATACAACCTATACCCCAATAACTTATGGAAAAATAAAATAAAATAATAATAATAATAATAAATAAAAATAAAACTTTTTTTGTAGATTTTGTGGAATGGTTTATGTAGATGGTCATGTACTCTACAAATAAGAACATTTTAATTTCTTTCTTTCCAAACTGTATGCCTTTTATTTCTTTTTCTTGCCTTACTGCTCTGGCTAGAACTTCCCAGTGCTATGTTGAATAAGAAGGCAAGAACATATATCCTTGCCTTGTTTCGAATCTTAAGGGAAAAGTGTCCTGTCTTTCACCATTAAGTATGATGTTAGCTTTAGATAGTTTGTAGATGCAGTTTTTTAAGTTGAGGAAGTTCTCCTCTATTTCTAGTTTGCTAAGAATTTTTATTGTGAGTTTATTATTTGTTATGAGTCATAGTTTTGAATTATAATGATGAGAGTTTTACTATGAATTGGATTTTGGCAAGTGCTTTTTCTGCACTAATTTTATGGTTTTTCTTCTTTAGCTTGCTGATCTGGTGGAATATATTGATTAAGTTTAAAACATTGAACCATCCTTGCATATCTGGAATAAATCCCACTTTGTTGTGGCATATAATTTTTTAAATATATTGCTTGATATTATTTACTAACTTTTTTATGCAAGTTTTTTTTGAAATTTTTATTTCTATTTTAAGTTCCAGAGTACATGTGCAGAATGTGCAGGTTTGTTACACAGGTAAATGTATGCCATGGTGGTTTGCTGCACCCGTCAACCCATCACCTAGATATTAAGCTCAGAATGCATGAGCTATTATTCCTAATGCTCTCCCTATACCCCCACCCCCTGACTGGCCCCAGTGTGTGTTGTTCCCCTCCTTGTGTCCACGTGTTCTCATTGTTCAGCTCCCACATATAAGTGAGAACATGCAGTGTTTGGTTTTCTGTTCCTACATTAGTTTTCTGAGGATAATGGCTTCCAGCTCCATCCATGTCACTGCAAAGGACACGATCTCATTCCTTTTCATGGCTGCACAGTATTCCCTGGAGTAAATGTACCACATTTTCTTTATCCAGTCTATCATTGATGGACGTTTGGGTTGATTCCATGTCTTTGTTATTGTGAAGAGTGCTGCAATGAACATACATGTGCCATATATCTTTATAATAGAATGGTTTGTAATAGGATTGCTGGGTCAAATGGTATTTCTGGTTCTAGATCTTTGAGGAAACACCACACTGTCTTCCACAATGGTTGAACTAATTTACATTCCCACCAACAGTGTAAAAGTGTTCCTATTTCTCTGGAACCTCACCAGCATCTGCTGTTTCTTGACTTTTTAATAATCCCCATTCTGACTGATGTGAGATGGTATCTCATTGTGGTTTTGATTTTCATTTCTCTAATGATCAGTGATGTTGAACTTTCTTTTCTTGCGTATGTTGGCTACATGAATGTCTTCTTTTGAGAAGTGTCTGTTCATGTCCCTTATTCACTTTTTAATGAGGTTGTTTTTTTTTCTTGTAAATTTGTTCAAGTTCCTTGCAGATTCTGAATATTAGACCTTTGTCAGATGGATAGATCGCAAAAAATTTTCTCTCACTCTGTAGGTTGCCTGTTCACTCTGATGATAGTGTCTTTTGCTGTGCAAAAGCTCTTTAGTTTAATTAGATCCCATTTGTCAATTTTTGCTTTTGTTGCAGTTGCTTTTGGCAATTTCCTCATGAAATCTTTGCCCATGCCTATGTCCTGAATGGTATTGCCTAGATTTTCTTCCAGGGTTTTTATAGTTTTGGGTTTTACATTTAAGTCTTTAATCCATCTTGAGTTAATTTTTGTATAAGATGTAAGAAAGGGATCCAGTTTCAGTTTTCTGCATATGGCTAGCCAGTTTTCCCAGAACCATTTATTGAATAGGAGATCCTTTCCCCATTGCTTGTTTTTGTCAGGTTTGTTGAAGATCAGATGCTCGTAGACGTGCGGTCTTATTGCTGAGTTGTCTATTCTGTTCCATTAGTCTATGTGTCTGTTTTTGTACCAGTACTATGCTGTTTTGGTTACTGTAGACTTGTAGAATAGTTTGAAGTCTGGTAGTGTGATGCCTCCAGCTCTGTTCTTTTTGCTTAGGATTTTCTTGGATATACAAGCTCTTTTTTGGTTCTGTATAATTTTGAGATAGTTTCTTCTAATTCTGTGAAGAATGTCAGTGGTAGTTTAATGGGAAATGTGTTGAATCTATAAATTACTTTGGGCAGTATGGTCATTTTCATGATGTTGATTCTTCCTATTTATGAGTATGAAATGTTTTTCCATTTGTTCACGTCCTCTCTGATTTCCTTGAGCAGCAGTTTGTAGTTCTCCTTGAAGAGGTCCTTCACGTCCTCTATTAACTGTATTCCTAGGTATTTTATTCTCTGTAGCAATTGTGAATGGAAGTTCATTCACAATTTTGTTCTCTGCTTGCCTTTTACTGAAGATTTTTGTGTCAAAGTTCATGAAATAGTTTTGTTTGTTTCTTTCTTTCTTTTTACTGGACTATCTTTGATTTTCATATTAGGATCATTCTGATCTCATAAAATGAATTAGAAAGTGTTTCTTCCTTTTCTGTAAGAGATTGTGTAAAACTGATGCTAACTCTTCTTTAAATGTTTATTACGATATGCTGGTAAAACTATCTGGGCC
This sequence comes from Homo sapiens, assembly GCF_000001405.40. Lineage (NCBI taxonomy): Eukaryota > Metazoa > Chordata > Mammalia > Primates > Hominidae > Homo > Homo sapiens. Next base: position 118,962,738 of record NC_000002.12, read on the forward strand.
TGAATATTTCTTTTCTGGGAGCTTTTAAATTAAAATTTAGATTTATTTAATGATTATAGATATTCAGATTATCTATTTCACCTTGGCTGAGTTTTGGTAGTTTGTGGCTTTTCAGGAACTAGCCTATTTCCTTTAAATTGTGAGCATAAAGTTAGTGATAGTATTTTCTTATTTTCTTTTTAATGGCTGCAGGATCTGTAGTGATAGCACCTGTTTCATTTCTGATATTGGCTATCCGTGTCTTCTTTCATTTTTATTTTTGTTCAGTCTTGCTAGAGATTTGCCAATTTTATTGACTTTGTTCAAAGAGCTAGCTTTTGTTTCATTGATTTTTCTCTATCTTCCTATTTTAAATTTTATTTATTTATATTCTTATCTTTATTATTTCCTTTTCTGGTGATTAGGAGTTATTTTGTTCTTTTCTAATTTCTTGAGGAAAAAACTTAGTGTGTTGATTGGAGGCCTTTTTTATTTTTGGTGTAAGCAGTTCGTGCTATAAATTTTCTTTTCAGAGCTGCTTTTTTTTATCCCATAAATTTTAATATATTGTATTTTCATTTCCTTTCATTTGTATTTTTAAAATTTTTTTGATGCTTTCTTAATGACCCATGCATTATATAGAAGTCCTTTTTTAAATGTTCCAAATGTTTGGAGATTTTCCTGTTGCCTATCCATTGTTGATTTTTATTTTTATTGTATTATTGGCAAATAAGGTATTCTGTATGACCTTGGTTTTTTTTCATTTGGTTGAAATTTGTTTTATGACCTAGGATATCATCTATTTTGGTGTATGTTCCATGTGTCCTTGAAAAGGATGTACATTCTGCTGTTGCTACCTGGAGTATTCTGTGTGTTCATTAGATACTATCAGTCAGTAGTGCTAGTGTTTAGTTCTTCTGTAACTTTGCAGAGTTTCTATCAATTGCTGAAACTACGTGTTAAAGTCTCAACTATAATTGTGTATTGTCTATTTCTTTTTTCAGTTAAATCAGTTTTTGCTTCATGTATTTTGAAGTTCTATTGTTTGATTTCTTATTTATAGCACATTGTTGGATTATGTTTTTTAATACAGTTTGGCAATATCCGTCCTCTGATTTAGACCATTTATACCGAAAGTAATTATTGATATGTCAGTGCTTAAATTGGCCATCTTATTGTGTGTTTTCTGTTTTTTCTTTGTTTCCCATTCATGTATTTCTCTTTTCTTGCCTTCCTGTGGATTATTTGAATAATTTTTAGAATTCCATTTTGATTTATTTATAGTGTTTTTTATTGAATAGTTTTCTTAATGGTTTCTCTACTTATTGCAATATACATATGGAACTTATCGCAGCCTGGCTATTGCAATATACATACAGAACATATCAACATTTTACCATTTTGAGTCAAGTGTAGAAATCTTACTTTCATTTATGTTCTTTAGCCTTCTCCACTTTTTAAATATAATTGTCATTTTCTATTACATTCACTGAACACCACATCAGGTGGTATAATTTTTGTGTTAAAAATCAAATGTGATTTTTAAAACTCATGAGGAGAAGGATGCTGTAGTATATATCCCTATTTTTACTTGTTCTATTATTCTCTTTCTTTTTTGAAATTCTAGTTTACTATATCATTTCCTTTCTGTTAGGGGAACCTCCTCTAGTCATTCTTTAAAGTTAGTTCTGCCAGTAAAAGATTCTCTTCATTTCTCTTCCTCTGAGAGTGTCTTTATTTCTTGTCCATTCCCACAGTGTATTTTTATTGGCAATATAATTCCTGGTTGACAATTCTTCTTTTTCAGAACACAAAATAAGCTGTACCACTTACATCTGTTCTCCATAGTTTCTGATGAGAAACTTTCTGTCATTCAAATTGGTATTCCTGGCCAGGCACAGTGGCTCATGCCTGTAATCCCAGCATTTTGGGAGGCTGAGGTGGGCGGATCTCTTGAGGTCAGGAATTCAAGACCAGCCTGGACATCATAGTGAAACCCTGTCTCTACTAAAAATATAAAAATTAGCCGGGCATGGTGGCGTGCACCTGTAATCACAACTACTTGGGAGGCTGAGGCACAAGAATCACCTGAACCCAGGAGATGGAGGTTGAAGCGAGCAGAGATCATGCCAGTACACTCCAGCCTGGGCGACAGAGTGAGATACCATCTCAAAAAAAAAAAAAAAAGTATTCCTTTATAAGTAATGTGCCATTTGTCTCTGGCTGCTTTCTAGATTTTTCCTTTTTCCTTAGATGTTTAATTTTCTCTGCCTTTTTATGTTTTCAATGTTTTAGTTATGATGTGTCTTGATATGGATTTCTTTGAGTTTATCATGTTTGCGATTTTGGCAGTTTCTTTAATCTGTAGGTTTAGATCTTCCACGAAATTAGGGAAATTTTTAGCCATTATTTCTTTGAATATTTTTTAAGCCTCACACTTTTTCTAGGAATTAAATGATATGAATTGTAGGTGTTTTGTTACTGGCCCACAGGTCTCTGAGGCTCTGTTCATGTGTGTTTGTTTGTTTTCCCAGCTGATTTTCTGTTTTTCAGACGTGTAATTTCTATTGTTCTATCATCGAGTTAACTGATTCTTTCCTCTGTCACATCTATTACACTATTCAGCTCATCTACCAAGTCTTTTTTCTTTCATTGGTATTTTTTTAGTTCTATAGTTTCCATTTGGTTCTTTTTTTATATGTTGTACTATTTTGGTGAGCTTTTAAAAAATTTGTTTCAAGAATAGTTTTAATTGCTCACTAAGGCATTTTGTTACAGCTGCTTTAAAATTCTTGTGGAATAGTTTTAACATCTGTGTCATCTCAATGCTGGTATCTCTTGATTGTCTCCTCTCATCTGAGTTGTGATTTTCTCTATTCTTTGTATGATGGGTGATTTTCCATTATATAATGGATGTTTTGTATAGTATGTTAGGAGATTCTGAGTCCTATTTAAAACTTCTATTTTAGTAGACAGTCACAGAGTCACACAGTTTAGGTTTATTATGTAGGTTCTGGCCTACTTGTGTGGGCTATGGTACAATGACAATTTAGTTTTCAGAGCCCTGTCCACGTTATTTTGATCCACTTTGTTTACCTGGTGCCATTAGTTCTTGCTGGTCCCCTGCTGGTCCTTCCTGCAAGGCAGAAGGCACGTTCCAGTACTGCCTGGTGCTATCAGGTAGGAAGTGAGATACATCAGGCCCAAAGGGAAGACATTACTTCTCTGGGTCTGCTCACCAGGCAGCCCAGTGCTAGGGTAGAGTGAGGACACCTGCTCAATGTCCACTAGTGTTATAGCACGGGAGGAGGACACCCTACCAGCACTGCCTGCTACCCCAGGAGGTGGCAGACCTGGAGGAGGACACCCTACCAGCACTGCCTGCTACCCCAGGAGGTGGCAGACCTGGAAAGACTAGAATTTGTGTGCAGGCTTTTTTTCTTCACTGGGATCTTTTACAGACTTGAAAAATTATTTTTATTTCCCTCCTGAGCTATGTTTTCATTGTGGGCCAGACAATAGAGCTGTCAAATTTCTGAAACCTGCTTGCCTAAAATCTTTGCCCATACTCATCAAGGTTTACTCCAGGGAAGCCCATTTTTATTTACTAGCAGCTGTTTTTATCCTCTCATGTCAAGCAGCTCTTCCTCTTTGGTCAAACCTGATCCAGAATAGGTGTTTTCTTTATAGTTTCTTCTACCCTCTAAGAGATGAAATGAACAGTGTAGAGGCTAAAGACTTCATCAGACCCTCCATTTTGTACAGAATGAGTTATATAGGTCTACAGGCTCAACATTCCCAGTTTCTAAAATACTTTGCCTCTATGCCAGGTGGTAGCTCTGAATTTAAAAAGCATTCTGGGCCTGGATGGCTATCCATGAACTACTGTCACAGTATTACCATACCTTATTTTTTCTCATTGTATCCTTACTCACATGCCTTCCACCACGCTCTGACCATATGGTTTCAAAATATCTGTATTTTCCATGCTTGCTCCAGCCTCTGACTTCTGTAATACCTGTGTCTCTGAAGCACAATTTACCTTTCCATTCCCATGATGTTTGTTTCATAAAATTTAGTGCTGTCCAAAAACAGTGCTGTCCATGACACTGTATTTGCCAATTTGCCATCCACCACCTCGTGTTAAATGTGAGGCTCCCCTCGTGTGTTATTTGTCTTCATCATGACGGTTGCATGAATACCTGAGGCCCTGAGTTGCATTCCTGATGTTCTTTCAACACTTCTAACTCTGCACATGTTCAGCACCCAAACCTCTGTAGCCACTCATTCATTCATCTATTCAGTCATCATCTTCCCAGCATGTTGTGTGCCAGATACCACGTTGGTGCTGGAATACAGCTCAAAGAGCTTCCAGGCCATTTGGGGAGACAGAGACAAAAACACAATCCAGGGTGATCAGTGCTATGGCAGAGAGAAACAGAGTGATGTGGGAGAGCCAAGGGGGGTTCCACCCAGCCCAGAGGAACCAGAGAAGGTGTCCTGAAGCAGGACGGGCTCTACTGAACTTCCGAAGGATGAGCAGAAATTAGTCTTGTGAAAGGGAAGGAGGAGAGCCAGTATTCAGGGGACACACATTGCCCCAAGTCAGAAGAATGCCACCAGTTGTCATCTGGCCTGGCCATTGGTCAGGATCCATGTGGAGGTGTGACATGGAACTGCAGCCATAGGAGAGCTGGCCAGACGGGCTTCAGGTGCCAGGTTGGGAGCAGTGAGCCCCCACTGAAGGGCTGAGAGCAGGGAATGACTTGGGCAGGTTATGTGTTGTGGGGCTCACTCAGGCTGCTGTGTGAGCCTGGATTCTGGGGGGTAGGGTGCAGAGGAGACGGGGCACTCCATGCTAAACTGAGTATAATCGAGTACCACTAGCTAAACAACCAACCCACCAACAAAACCACTCCTCTCTGTGCTGCCAGAGCTACCCCTAGACCATTGTTCATCTGGGCATTTCTCAAGCAGGGGTCCCTGCTGTGCGGGGGTTGGAAGGAATATCAGCAGGGTAAACACAGGAGCTGCAGGTGATAGGAAAAGATCTGAGGTTTAAGTGCATCTGTCACAATAGTTAAAACCCACCTGCCCCTATCACAAAAGCAAACATGGTTGGGCACACATTCCCTTGGGCTCCTTCATTATTGTCTGTTTCCCTTTCAGATGTGCCCTTGGGGCCCATTTCAACTGGATCTTTCCTAGGGGCAGTGGTCAGTGCAGGCTAGTGAGGCAAGCTCAGGCCTTGAAGCTAGACCAACCTGGGGTCATATGCCTGCTGTGTCACCTGCCACCTTAACTTTTTAACCCCAGCTCTCTCCTCTGTAAAGGAGTGTAACCATGCCTACCTTGCAGGGTTGCTGCAATGGTTAGAGATGATGTTGGTAAATGCCTGGTGTGGAATAGGTGCTCATTTAATGTGAGCAGTAGGAACTGCAGGGCCTTCTGCAGTCTGGGGCCCTCCCTTTAATACCCCTAAACAAGACAGAGTAACAGCTGACGAAAGACTAGAGTCAGGACTTCCAGGCAAGAAATATTACAGCCTCTTTTGTAATGTCGCAAACTGGAAACAGCTCATTAAAAGGGAAATGTTAGCATGAACTGTGGCTTTTGTCTCTAAGGAGTATTAGGCAGCTAATCTCTCTCTACAAAGAAAACTAGGAAAATGTCCACGAAAATCTTTCACTGTGAAAAGCAATGTGTGGTATTTTATGTACTATGATATCATTTGTAAGATTAAAAGAAAAAAAGGCTTTCTCAGACTATATGGGTTTGTAGGATTTCTGGACAGGAGGGATGGGAGGAAGACCACACCCCAGAGTGCTAATAGAGATTATCTCATCGGGTTAGGACCTTAGGGGGTTGAGGGATGATTATTAACCCTTGTCATGCCCTGTACATTATTTGATAAAATATATCAAGCATGTTTTACTTTTATAATTTACAAATCTTAAGGAAAAAAAAGACCTAGACATGAATTCCAGATCTGCTTCTTATAACCTAATAAGTTATTTAATTTCTCCAAGTCTCACTACTTGTTTGCCAAATGGGAACAACCCTCCTCCTCCCAGAGTTTTGAAATTTAAACACATTAATTCATAATTTATTCCACAAACAGAGATTGAGAACCCAACAGGGCCAGGCACCATGCTGGGGCTTCACCAGTGAACAAGGTTGATATGACACCTTTTCCAGCAAATGATATATGGCACAGATGTTTATTTGCCCAGCCACACAGATGAGTGACCAACAGTGGCAATTTTTGCTTTGTGGCAAGAAAGAGGATTGGGGGATGATTTGGGAGTCATGAGCTTTTGGTGTCTTTCCCAGCTGACCTCACAGGGTGCCCCCTGCTCACATGGAGTAGGGCCTGGAGCAGGCAGGGACTTCCTGTGCTGTGTTCTCTGCAGCAGCCTCCTTCCTCCTGGCTTGTGTTTCAGTTCCAAAGCCCAAGAGGAGAAATGGGGTGAACTTCTCCCTAGCTGTGGTGGTCATCTACCTGATCCTGCTCACCGCTGGCGCTGGGCTGCTGGTGGTCCAAGGTAAAGCAGGCTTGGTCCTGTGTAGTCCCTCCTGGGGGGAGAGGGGTGACCCAGCTGGGCCCCTCAGATGAAGGGCTCAGGTTGAGTGGAGAGCCTCGGGCCACTGCTCCCATCTGCTGGGAGACAGTCTCAGCCCCTGGCAGCCACAGTGATGAGAGGAGCAAAGAAGGAGTGTATGTTGTGTGTATGTGTGCCTGAGGGAGGGAGAGAGAGAGACATTGAGAATGCTCTTGTGAGCCTATGTGTCTAAGCAGTGAAAGACATCATAATTTCACACGGGGGATGACACACACTTCTGACATCTAAGACTCCCAGCCTCTGAGTGGGAAGGGCTTTGCTGATCCAAGTGTCCATTTGAACATGATTTTACTTTTGAAGTATTCCCAATCTAAAGGTTAAAGTCATGAAGTCGTTCCATGAGCAGACACTGAAGTCACTCAAGAACGCTGAATGAGCAGTTGTCATAAACACGTCTTGTGTGTATTAAGATCACACACGAATGCTGCTTGCACATATTTAGGTCAGACCAGCATGTTAGCTGTCATGCATCTACACCCAGAGCATGCAGGAAGGTCTTAACTGCCTGAAGGTTGGAGATTGATTGTGGATGCAGTAGGCACAGCTTTAGGCCACGCAGAAATGTTTTGTGGACGTGCAATATCATGCCTGAGTGTGGAGCGCACATGGTCAAGATGTAGAAAAGGCCGTGTGCTCACGCTAGGTCCTGACAGCACATGGAATTTGTGTTTACAAATTCAGGGCCTGTAGAAGTTATGCACACATGACACAAGAATGTCAGGGATATGCTCAAATGCCTCAGTCCCTAAAAGAATGCTGTGGGGTGGGGCCCAGTTCTGAATCTGCAGGCGCGGCTCCGGGTCCTGGAGATGTATTTCCTCAATGACACTCTGGCGGCTGAGGACAGCCCGTCCTTCTCCTTGCTGCAGTCAGCACACCCTGGAGAACACCTGGCTCAGGGTGCATCGAGGCTGCAAGTCCTGCAGGCCCAACTCACCTGGGTCCGCGTCAGCCATGAGCACTTGCTGCAGCGGGTAGACAACTTCACTCAGAACCCAGGTTTGGCCTCCTCCCCTCTGGGTCAGGACTTCTCAACAGAGGTCTGGGAGACAGCGGGATCAGGAACCAGGAAATTAAGGACCCTGTCCAAGCAAAGTGTGACCTCCAAGAGCCAGGGACTTAGAGCAACCAGCTCAATGCCAAGTCTGAACCCAGAGTCCCCACATGGATCCAGAATGTCTGGGAGGGAGGGTAAAACACAGAGCCTGGGGCGGTTCCCTGGACCACTCCCCCACAGCTGACTTACACTGACATGAGGTTGGGGAGAGAGCAACTGAAGGCACCAAACTAGTTCAGACAATGTGGGGACTTTGTGGGGAGGAGGACACCCGGACCTGCTGGGGGAAAGGTGGTGACTTGGGTGGTAGGGCTGCAGGCTGGGGAAAATTGAGCCAAGGGTTAAAACCCCAAGGGTGCCCCTTCCCTCGGTGCTCTCAGGGCCTTGCAGCTGCACCCTCTCCTCTCTCAGCCTGCCCCAAAATGGGAAGAGCCTCGCCCTCAGACAGTTTCAGCAAAACCAGCTGCTAGGTGTGGCTCAACTGTTGTAGGGTTTACCCCGTGACACAGAGCTCCAGCCCCAGCAGGGTTCCTTGCTCTGGGCCCTGTGTGAGCTGAGGCTTAGGAGGGTGATCCCATGGCTAGGTCCTGTGACCAAGGGGTACGCCCAGCACGGGACCCAGGAGGCCAATCCCTCCAGAGGCTGTGGCCTCCCCAGGGAGAAAAGACGAAGGCTGAGTGGGGGTGTGAGGAGGGGCGATAGCTGTGGGCAGATGGAAGGAGTCCACGTTCAGACACAGACACCATGGGAGTGTCTCTTCCTTCCTTGAAATGTGAAGGAGCTCATTTTGACCAATACGAAGGGGTTCTACCTCCTCAGGCTGGTTTGAAGCAACCTCCTTTCCCCACCTCCAAGACTCCCAGGGATCTACAGGTCTCGGGGTGCAGTCCGCTAGTTGCAGCTGAGCATCTGGCTCTTTCCAAGGACTCTTTCCCAAAAAACAGCCAGGTGCTTGGCTCCTGTTGTCCAAACCCCCACAGTCTGATGGGAGCCCCACACAGGAGGGCTTACCCTCCCACTGCAGAACCTGGGCACTCTCAGTTGGGGCTTGGGCCAAGGGTACCCCACAGCTCAGCTGCAGCTCACTCTCCTTCCCTTGCAGGGATGTTCAGAATCAAAGGTGAACAAGGCGCCCCAGGTAGGTTCATTTCCACTCACACCCACCCTGCTCTTTCCCCAAAACCTCCCCAAAAGGGCCCCTTGGCCTGTGCCATTCTGGGTCTGGACAGCTGACCCTAGCTTACCTTCCCCTGTCTCCACAGCCTCCTTTGTCTTCAGTTGGGTCTCCTCTCTGTTCCCAGAACTTAACTGGACTCCCAGACCCTGGGCTGTCATCCCCCTCCTTACTTAAAGAGGCTTCCTCTCTCCACTCCCCCATCCAAATCTAGCTACCTTCCCAGGCCAGACCAGGCATCATCTGGCTGCCAGGGCAGCCTCTCTCCTGGTTTCCTGTAAGCATTCCTTCCAGGTGACTCTTACCTACCACATACATAGCACTTCCCACCAGAGGTGCTGTGCTCATTTCCATGGTGTCTCACTCCTCTCTCCTACAGGGCAGTAATGATGGGAGGCAGGTGTCATGGAGGCGCAGGCTGTGCGGTCAGGCCGATCTGAGTTCTAATCCTGGGCCTGGGGCTTACTGGCGGTGTGACTCTGGGTCAGTTACTTAAGTTTTCTGGAGCCCCAGCCACTCACCTGTGTAGGAAGCAGTGGAGATAATCGACTCGCCTCACAGAGTTGCTGTAGGACTCAAGGGAGTGCAAAAGCTGTCTGACAATGGCATGTGCTCTCTGAGGACAAGGCTATGGTTGTTTGCCTTTTCTTCCTGCCTCAACCCACATGTGTTGTGTTACACACACGCTTCACTCACAGCCCTGTTCCATTTCATCTGCTGAGTGGTTGAAATTTCCCCCTGAGGATAAATATACATGCCATTTTTGGGACAGAATCCTTTGGTCCCATAATATTTCAAGGATGGCCCAGATCACACCATTGGCCAGGGAGGGTTTTGAGGCAGCCTTGCAAAGTGATGGAAGCAGGGACTTGGGAGACTGGTGGGCCTACAGAAAATCCTGGATCTGCCCCTGTAAACTGGGTGGCCTTGAGTAAGTCACCTAACATTTCTGAGCTCTATGTCCTCCCCCGTAAGATGGAGATATGGTAGGACTTCCTAGGATTGGTGTCAGGATAAAACAATAAATGTACACCTCTTAGTCCAGTGTCCAGCAAAGAGCAAGTACTCAATGATGTTCTTGTCTTCGTTATTATTATGACTATTATTTGCTATTGTTATATATGGTTGTTATTCTGTTATTCTTGAGAAAACTAAATGCTGCTGCTAGGAGAGCCTCCAGCCTGATGAATGCTGGCTCCTCTCCTTTAAGGAGGGGCAGTTTCAACAATTTCAATTGCTTTTGCTGACAGAATCAATGCTTAAACTTCTTCTCAACCCAATGGGTTCAGTACAACCTTCAAAATCTGCCTGTCACCCGCCCTAGGCACAGTGCTGCCCACCTCACCCCAGAGCACAGAACATGGCTTCTATGGCTCTCTCTCTCTCTGTATGAATATAGATGTGCGTACATAGAGGAAAACTCCAACTCTCTCTCTCCATGTCTCTCTCTCTGTCTCTCTGAATATAGATGTATGTACATAGAGAAAAACTCCAACTCTCTCTCTCCATGTCTCTCTCTCTGTCTCTCTGAATATAGATGTATGTACATAGAGAAAAACTCCGACTCTCTCCATGTCTCTCTCTCTGTCTCTCTGAATATAGATGTATGTACACAGAGAAAAACTCCAACTCTCTCTCTCCATGTCTCTCTCTCTGTCTCTCTGAATATAGATGTATGTACATAGAGAAAAACTCCAACTATCTCTCTCCATGTCTCCCTCTCTCTCTCTCTGAATATAGATGTATGTACATAGAGAAAATCTCCAACTCTCACTCTCCATGTCTTTCTCAGTCTCTCTCTGTCTCTGACTTCTGTCTCTCTCTCTCTCTCTCTGTCTCTTCCCACTCTTTCTTTTTGTGCCCAGAAACCAGAGACAGGAAACTTCTTCCAGCAGCTGGGGCTATAGAAGTCTCGGCTCCTCCTCGGACACCACCTGCCTCTCCAGATTCCCCGCCCATCACCCTTTCCCACCCAGGGAGGCTGTGTTCTCTCCCCTTCCCCATGGCTTGCCTTGCCTGGTCAAGACTTCCCAGAGGTTCCTTTGTTGAAAAGGCTCCAGAGACAAATAGGTGGGTGGGGGAGGAGGGCTGGGTGTGGAACCCAGAAGTCATGGTCTCACTGGAGGCAGCCTGCCGGTGGAACTGCCTTCCCACGCAGGCTGCCTGGAACACAGTCAGGGGAACTGCTCCTCAGCCAAGCTTCAGGGAAGGGGATTGCGAAACCCACTTGCCTCTCTGTTTCTCTCCCCTATCCATCCTGGACTTCTTTCCTTCCTCCCAACAAATACCTATTGAAAGTTCCATGAGGATGAGAAGTCGCATAGGCACTGGGGATCCAGACATGAAGAAGACAGACAAGGCCCTGCCCTTGTGAGCCTTCCTGTGAGCTTGCCTTGTGTGTTTTCCATGATGGTCCCCACGTGGTAATCTCAGGACATCCCTGTGTAATTAGTACACTAATTCCATCTTACTGATGAGGGAGCTGAGGCTCAAAATGATGATGTAACTTGCACAAGGTCACCCAGCTAAAGGGGCAGTGCTAACACCTGCTCCTAGGACTGTGACTCAGTGTCTCTCTTTTGCTTTCTAGGCCATGGGTTTCTTGCAGGAGGAGCTCTGTCTTCTTTCCTTCTTTCCACACAGTTGGCTCATCCCCATGCTCAGTGAACGTTTGTTGAATGAATCACCATGTAAGTGATTGCATGGCGTTGTTGCCCCATCCTGTTGACTGACTCATTAGTGTCTCTGTTCCTCTTCCTCAGGTCTTCAAGGTCACAAGGGGGCCATGGGCATGCCTGGTGCCCCTGGCCCGCCGGGACCACCTGCTGAGAAGGGAGCCAAGGGGGCTATGGGACGAGATGGAGCAACAGGTACGGGTCTTTTTCTTCTGACCCTTAATCATTTTCCTCCTCCTTCTCTGGCTTCACTCTGAATTCCCTTTCCCTTCCAGGCCCCTCGGGACCCCAAGGCCCACCGGGAGTCAAGGGAGAGGCGGGTGAGTAGGTGCTGGGTATGTACCCAGAAATACACAGCAAGTTTCTCAGAGTGACTGCTGTGGGCTGCAGACGCAGCCTCCCTCCAGAGTCTGGACCTCTGAGGGGTCTGTAGGTGAACGGAGGCCTGGTGGGAGACCCCAGAGGGGATGAGAGGCTGGGAAGCACCCTTTCTGGTGGCCAGAGTAGGGCTGGGCAGCCGCCCTCAGGGGCAGGTATGGCTAGATGGCCTTCATCCTAGATGGGGCTGGGGGGTGTGACTCCTACCCCCTCCTCTGTGTGAGAATGTAAGTCTGCCAGTGCCACTTTGGAAAGTTGGCCTCCTTGGTCCAACAAGGACTCTGGTGTCAGGCACATGCACCTCCACCTTGGACTAGCTCTGTGCCCTTGGGAATGTTTCCTGATGTTCCCAAAGAAACCGAGCCTCAGTTTCTTTTTCTGTGATTGGGGATGAGAGGGCTGCAGAGGGCTGCCAGGGGGATTAGAGACAATGACACAAAGCTCATGATCGTTGCTTGGAAAGTATTAGTTTCCATTTTTTTAGACTGTTGCCTAATTCTGCCCAGCCATCTTATTAATATAAATGGGTTCACGGGGCCCGGTCAGAGAATGGGGGGCCCAGAGCTGTCCCTCCCCAGGGACAAACCCAAACATCAGTTTTCCATTCCACTCTGCTCCCATCCACCCTTAATTTAGAAACTCCAACTTGCAAATTCCGCAAGGGGTTGAGGCTGCTGGGATGTGAAGATGCGAAGACATTAAGACCTTTACTAGACAAAGGGCAGATGAGAGGATTTACAAGGGAGTGGGGAGTAAACAAAGCAGGTCTCTAAGCCGCCAGGCTGCTGAGGCAGAAAGAAAACACCACCAGTTACAAGAAAGGAAACTTGTTAGGAGGTAGAATCCTCCAGAAATTGATTTTGGGAAGGAATTTAATAGAAGGGACCCCAAAGAGCCTATTGATCTGTGTCCAGCAGGGGGTTTTCTGAGGAGGGTTTAAGCGGGGAGGATAGGCAGACCAGAAGAAGGAAGGTTTATGGTGCAGTCAGAGGTGTGCACATGCATTCACACCACACACACTCACACTCATGTCTGAGGGCACATCTGTGCACATACTTGCATTCTCACACTCACTCACGCACCAATGTAATCACACTCATGCACACACATGCACTCACATACACACATATACTCATGCACATATATGCACTCACATACACGCATATACTCATGCACACCCGTGTCTGAGCACACATCTATGTACATATTTGCATTCTTACACTTGCACAAGTACAATCACACTTGTGCACATATGCATATGCTCACACACATTTGCAGACATTCGCACCCCCCATGCACACACACTCACACTCAGCCTGTGGGGGCTTGAGCAGAGCAGGCTCACTCAGAGGGGAGTGGGTCTCCCTCCATCCTCTTTCCTCCGAGAGAGAGGGACTCAGGCTAGGTGACTGAAACTCACCAGAGTGGAGCCACTGAGGCTGGCTTGAAGGGAAAAGCCAGAAGCCTGAGGAGCACAGTCATTTCCTTCAAGAAGGAATAGAGCTGGAGCCTCCCCTTCTCTTTAGGACTCTGACAGGTAGGCACATCACACAGCCTTGACAGAGGGCTCAGAGCAGGACTGTGCAACCACTAGCACTAAAACCAGGCAACCCCTTTTTCAGCCCAAATCATCTGGAACCCACATACATGAAACAGATCCACAAAGTAGGCTGTTGTGGTTCCATAGAGAGTGTGGAGTCCAGAGCCCATCTGCACTTTCTGCTTGGGCCCCACTGGCATCCTCAGGAAAAGCTTGTGTAATTCAGCAACTCACTTAGAGCCTCTCTATATACACCCACCTCCTCTCACTCCTCTCCTTCCCATCCTTTTCCACTTTGCCTCCTGGATCCCTCAATTTCCCCTCATAGTCTCACCATTTCTCTCCTCAACAGATCCCTCCCTGCCCCTGCCCCTGCCCCAGGAACACCCAGCACCTCCAGTCTGTACTCCATATGCTAGCCTTGGATACCTGGGCCATGTGGGTGGGAATCACCGTTTCTCAATTCCAATTTTGTCTTAGAACACTAATTATGCATCTGCTGAGGACAGGTAGTCATTAGCAGCCCCATTTTACAGATGAGAAAATTCAGATGCAGAATACTTAAGTGACTTTTCCAAAGTTATCAGCCTGGGGAGTGACAGAGCTACAATTCAAACACACTTGCCTGACTCTAAAGCCTTTCCTGCACTGCCATGCAGGACATATTCCTAGGTGCTGTTCTGGACCTTTGGGAAGAGAGCTGTCTTAGCCTGTTTTGTGTCACTACTACAGAATACCTGAGACTGGGTAATTTACACAGAATAGAGGTTTACTTAGCTCATGATTCTGCAGGCTGGGAAGTTCAAGATTGGGCAGCTATCTCTGGCAGCTTCTGGTGAGGGCCTTGTGTTGAGTCAAAATGTGGTGGAGAAATGGAACTAGCTCTCTTGGTAACTAATCTAGTCTCACAAGAGCAGGAACTCACTCCATCTTGCCAGATGGGATTAATCTCTTCATAAGAGATCTGTCTTTGTGACCCAAACACCTCCCCACTAGGACCTGCTGCATTAAGGACCAGGCTTCCAATGCATGAACTTTTGAGGGACACTTTCATGCCATAGCAAGAGCAAACACTGCCTGGAACTGCCAGGGACTCTGCTGGTTGTGTTTGTGCAATCATATGTGTGTGATTGTGTGTGTGCATGTGTGTGAAAAAGAGAGAGAGAGAGAGAGTGAGAGTGAGAGAGAGAGAAAGATCTCCTTCTGGGAACCTTGCTCAACTAAGGGAATCTAGAATGTCAGCTGATTAAAGACATTTTAGACATTCTCAGGCCACAGCAACTGAGCTCTTTTTTCCTTCCTCACAGGCCTCCAAGGACCCCAGGGTGCTCCAGGGAAGCAAGGAGCCACTGGTAACTTGTACTTGCTCTGCTAGGGACAAATGATGCATAGCCTGAGGCACTGAGGCAGTTCCCCCCCACCCCCCATCCTCTTTCCACAGCCCCACCCCAGCCCCTGACAGTTACTGCCCACCCTACAGTCCTCTTCTCTTGAGTCCTGTCACATTTCTTCAAGACCACCCAAGAAATGAGCTAGCACATCCCCCAGAGGAAATCTGGGGATCCCATTCCCTTCTCTCCCAAATGCTTCCTGCCCCTTTGCCTCTGGTAGCCTGTCCCCAAAAGGATAGTGGGAGCCCATCTCACCAGCCATTCTCTTTGCAGGCACCCCAGGACCCCAAGGAGAGAAGGGCAGCAAAGGCGATGGGGGTCTCATTGGCCCAAAAGGGGAAACTGGAACTAAGGGAGAGAAAGGAGACCTGGGTCTCCCAGGTGAGGGCCGTATTGGGGGTGTCGGTGCTTGCCAGGAGGCCTGAGGGAACTAGGGCCTGACCTCTGTGCCATTGGGTCTATTCAGTGCCCACTGAGGGCAAGGCAGTGCTCTGTCTATGGGAATCTCTGGAGCACCACACATAGTCTCTTCTTTCCGGGTGAGCAAAGAGATGCAATATGAGAGGGAGAACAATGTCATTCCAGGCATGACTATGGCAAGCTGGGGCACAGGCAGTGCTAGGAGCTCAGAGAGGAAGCCAAGGGGATGAGGAGAGTGGGCCTGCACTGGGCC
This sequence comes from Homo sapiens, assembly GCF_000001405.40. Lineage (NCBI taxonomy): Eukaryota > Metazoa > Chordata > Mammalia > Primates > Hominidae > Homo > Homo sapiens. The sequence continues at coordinate 118,978,228 of NC_000002.12, forward strand.
TTGGGAAGCAGGGCAGACTGACTGGTGGCAAGGGCAAGGGGATTGATTCAAGGAGGGAGACCCCAGGCAGCCAGAATCCCCCATTGACTGAGGGTGCTATCTCTAGAACAGTGTTCCTCAAGCCAAGGGCCAATATCATAAGAGCTGTTTGGGTGCTTGCTTAAAATGCAGGGAGGGCTCGAGGGTCTGTTTCAAATGCCCTGGATGGTTCTGACCATGAAGGTCTGTGCACCACACTCGAAGAAACACTGGCTTATGGGCTCTGGACTTGACTGAGCATGCCACGCTCTCCGCCTCTCAGCCTCCTGCAGTCATTGGGGAGGCTCTGCAGTGAATGGCAGAGAGTGAGGATTGCGGGGCCAGGCGGGCTTGGTTCCCATCCCTGCTCTGCACCTGCTCCCCTGTGTGACTAACGCAATACTTCACCCTTCTGAGCTTTAATGTTCTCATTTTAGAAAAGAATGGTAATTAAGTTAAAAAATAATTAAATTAGATATATTTTACAAGACAGTAATAAGGGTTAGAGACCATGTTTTCAAGCTGTCTGCAACATGATAGGCATTAAATACATGACAACTAGTAATAGGCATTAAATATGTGATAGCTAGTAATAGTAATAGTATTAGTAATAATAATAGTAGTAGTAGTTATCCTGTAACGTAGAAAGGGAAGGACTTCAGTTTCAAGATCAGACAGACCTGGGTTCTGATATGGCTCACTAACTGTGTGACCTTGGGCAAATGAATTAACCTCTCTTAGCCTCAATTTACTCTCCTAGAAAAGGGAGCTAATAATAATACAAACCTTTAATGAGGATGAATTACTGCAGGAATATAAGACATATGAGATGTGTACCACTGTACCTGGCACATGGGAATTCCTTACAAAAAAACTGGGAAGCCTTGCCCTCAAGAAGACAGCCCTTAGTAGGGATGTGTCAGCCATCCTCAAATATTCAAAGGGCATTTGTGGGAAAGAAAATGGTCTTGCCCAGGGTGGTACCCAGCAGAAGAACAAGGACCAATGGACTAAGGTTTCAGGAGGACCAATTGTGCTAAGGCAAGGGAGGAAGAATGATTCAGAACCTGGGGCTGACCCATGATGAAGTGCGTGGGCATGGGTTTTAGCGGGAAGCTGACTGCTGGGAGGGGAGGAGGGGCTGCAGAATTCTCCTAGGCTGGTCTGATGAGGGATACTGGCACCAGGAACATGGTTGGGTGGTTGACCTCTGAGGATCCTTCCAAAGCTGGAACAACACAGTTCTCTTTATAGATGGGAAAGGGAGACCCAGACTTTCTCAAGGTGGTCCTGCCAGCCCCAGAGAAGGGGCCTCAGCCAGGTCTTTGCCCACTGAGTCTGAGTTATGCAGCTTCCCAACCACACTGTCACAAAGGCACGCATAGAATCCACACCCAGACTCAGGCTTGGAAACGCTGTGGTTGGCGAAGGGAAAGGCAGCAGTTTGAGTTCTTCAAAAATCAGGACTCAGGCCCACCCCTCCTCTTCCCAAATTTCCTCTCCCAAGATCATGAGGTCTCTCTTACCCATGGCTTGCTCAATCCACTGCTGGTGGCTGGGCTGTGCAAACCAAGAGAGACCTGACCCCAATAGTGCTGAGATTTTACCTATTCTCTTCCTGCTAGTAGACAGATAAGCCACCAACTTAAAGTCCCAGGGGATAAGCCTATTTTCCTCACTCTACTACTTAGCTACAGTTGGGAAGTTCTGAAGTCAGGCAGCTGTGCTTCCTTGGCTAGAGCCAGAGTGTGGTCCTCTGACTGATGTGATACTGCCCTCTTCCCAAAGCCATTCCCTTTGCTGGGGAGTGGAAGTTATAGCAACACAGATGCAGGTCCAGACCATTCTGAAGAAACTTCATGTGGCCCAGCAATGCTGTAACTTGATGGTCCTGGCCCACAGCAAAAAAGGCACCAACAGATTCCTCCAGGGAAACAGTTCTCAGTGCCTTCTAACAGGTGCCGTTGGCCCCTTCTCCAGGGTGGACACTCTGAACGGCCAAGAACAGCCTCCTCTGCTTTTTGCATCTCCAGCTGTTATAGGACGCCTCAGCCATAACCAAGTTCCTTAGGATTGCTTTGTCTTCCTCAAGGAGCAGCCACCCTTCAAGTATTCAGCCATCTCAAGGGGTCTGATTCATGAGCCTCATACCTCGTGAATTCACAGCACTCAATGCTAAGACCCAGGGCTCTCCCTTCTTCCTCACCTCTTCAGAGCTCTCTCTCCCCTTTTCTAATTCACTGGAGAGAAGGCTGGTGTCATGCCTGAGTCCTCCCCAGCTTCAGAATTATCAAAATCATAGATTGGAGCAATAAATGCCTTTTAGCAAAATTGCATCCCAATAAGCCTTTTTGAAAGCCTAAAATGTTGTGTTGAGGTGAGATATTCCTCTTTAGACCTTTGCCCCACTCTACCCACCCCCAGGGGAGTGGAGTTGAGCACGGACACCCAGCTGATGGTGGGACCTTGGCAGCCTACCAGTAGTACCCTGCATTGCATGGCTGGCAAGGTCCAGGCAGTCCACCCCTAAACCAAAGAAGTCACAGAGCCCTACCCCAGTGAGGAGCCTCTGTCAATTGATATGCACCAGGCACCAGCAAGAGAGGAGGGAGCGACAGAGGACTCAGAAGGGGACAGGCTAGGATGAGCTCTGAATTCTGATGATAAGTGGAAAATTTGAAATCTTGGGTACCAGGAAAGCCCATGTCTGAAGTGCTGGCAGGAATATGAGCTGCTGCAGTGTTTTTCTCTCTATTGATGCCTCAGAGTTGCTATTCTCAGCATTTGGGATCTGCTTTTCGGAATACTCAGGTTTCAATTTTTGAAGTGAATTCAAATAATTGCCAAAATGCAGACACTAAAACAAGCCAGACAGTGCTGGCTGAGCCTTGGCTATTGTCCCTCCCAAGGGGACCAGGGCTTTCTGTTGACTGTCAGCCATACCAGATCACCTCACCAAATTTTCATGAGTTTCTTTCTTGTCTCTGGGGCAAAGCGGTGCACTCCTTGAGGGCAGCGGTCATATCTTCCACTCGCGGGCACCAAGTAGGAGCTCAAGGAGTTTAGGGTTTGGGATTTCAGTGGAATGGGAAGTGTCAGAGGAGGACATGGTGGCCTGATTGGAGTTCCTCCCACAACTAACCAAGACTTTTTGGTTTTTCAGGAAGCAAAGGGGACAGGGGCATGAAAGGAGATGCAGGGGTCATGGGGCCTCCTGGAGCCCAGGGGAGTAAAGGTGACTTCGGGAGGCCAGGCCCACCAGGTAAGAGGGCACGTGGTCACATCCACTGACCTCTAGGTATTTCCTTTTTTTTTTTTTTCTGGCTGGCTGAGCCAAAGGAAAAAAAAATTCCTAAAAGTTCTTTTTCATCTTAGGTTTGGCTGGTTTTCCTGGAGCTAAAGGAGATCAAGGTAAGAACTACAGGAATCTGGGCATCATCCCAGCTACGACTGTCCCTGGCAGAGTGAAGCTGGGGACCAGACACCACCATCTTTTGCTTCATTGTAGTATTCACCCAGAACACCTGGGGTTTTTTAGACATCTGGCCCTGGCCAAGAGGAACAGAGCAGCCAGTGGGCGGTGGGGGCAGGCCTCACTGATGTTTCTCTCTAGACTTTACCCCACTTTGCCACCCAGGGGGTGGAGTTGGACAGTCACACCCAGAGCTCCTAGTAAGTCCATAAGTCCCAGGCCCTGCAGATGGAAAAGATTAGTAAGTTGCTGAGAATAATTTTCCTCCTACTAAGAGGGCTAGCTCATGGCTTCTAAAGAGAGGTGTTAAAGCTGCCAAGAGGACTGTAAGGTGTTAAGAGGTACATGTCTCACTGCTGAAAACAGAAGCACTGGGGGTTGGGGTATCTGGGCCCTCTGCCAACCACCACAGCCTGGCAGTCACTACTTTCCTTTCAGGACAACCTGGACTGCAGGGTGTTCCGGGCCCTCCTGGTGCAGTGGGACACCCAGGTGCCAAGGGTGAGCCTGGCAGTGCTGGCTCCCCTGGGCGAGCAGGTGAGGTCCTGGGTCCTATGGTGGGCACAGGGAGTGATGTGTGAAAACCTGCCTAGTCCAGCCCTTATGCTCTCTGTGGTGTCTGTTGTCCAGGACTTCCAGGGAGCCCCGGGAGTCCAGGAGCCACAGGCCTGAAAGGAAGCAAAGGGGACACAGGTAACAGAGGGTGCAGTGGGTGAGTAGGTGGGCTTGCTGGGTGGCAGGATGGATGGAGAGAAAAACTGCTTCTTCTTAGGCCCACGGAGGAGGCAGAGGGTCTTCTGTGCCTTGGCCTCTGAGGTTCCTGGTTATGGGGGCAGTTGCCCCTGCCAGGACCCCTTAAGCCCAAGGGCCTAGGGCTGTTCTTTCTCTTCTCAGAGCTCATGAAAGTCCTTGAATGCCATGACCAAACCTCCAGCATCACGGAGGAGAGCAAAGCACCTTGCCCATACCATCTCCCTGGTCTGCCTCCCAGCTGTACGTTTCTGCTGTCTCCTGCTAACCCTTCATTGGGGCCCCTAAGAGGGGGTCCAAGAGTCTAGATTCAGGCTGGAGGGTCCAGAAAACTCTTCTTCCACATTTTCCTAGGGGGGCAGCCTGGGAGCACTGACCCACACTAGCCAAAGACTAGTTTATACCATAATGCCAACAGAGTCTAGGTTAGTCTAGGTTATATACCATCATGTCTATTTAGTCTAGGTCGTAAACCATTGTACCAATATAGTCTACTTTATAAGCCGTTTTGGTCCAGTCACAGTGTGCTTGCTTGGTCTAGAAAGTCCAGACCACTATCACAATGCATAAGATCAATTCCTGCCTTTCTGCCCTGACATGCAGGGTATTGCAGTGAACAGAGACTGTTGCCAGATGATGTGGGCACACTCTGATTGGGCATTTCTGTGGAGAACTGTTGCACATTGGAAAGCCAAGAGCGGGCAGGAGGGGCAATGGGGAAGGCAGGGTTGTGATGTAAAGCTGCATGTCTGCCAAGGACATCTGTAGACAGTCTGCCTCCACCCCTGTCCTCTGCCTGAGAAGGTCACGCTTGTGTCAGACAACCTGGATGCCCTCACCCCCGTGCTGTGCTAGAGACCTACACTGGGACCTGGCCCTCCACAGCTCTAATCAATTGATTGATTCATTCATCACCACCTCCTGGCAAACCTTGGGCTCTGGGCTTGAGCTTTTGTGTTTCTTTGAAAGCTGTCGGGAGCCATGGCAAGCGCAGTTTTACACCCTCTCTGTCCTTGTAATCTGTCGAGCCCCAGAGCAATTGTGTTTTTTATGGACAGTGTGTTTGGGAGGATCCCTGCTACCTGATCCCATGTGGATGCCACCTGAAGGCCACTAGCTGGGTCTCACCATAGGAAAGTTTCCATCTGGGTATAGTCGTCAGATGTTCCTGACTTGTTCACTGTCCATTCTGATCTTATAATTCCATCTTCTCTGGTCCCCAGTCTCAGAGTCCATCTGACTATGAGACCTGATGCTCTCTTGCCCCTGAGCCTTCTGTGTGATTTCATGGAGATGATTGCTTTCATCTCTCGGTTGTAAATAGTAGTCACCCTCTGCCCCCACCCCCACTGCCAGACTAACGGTTCTCAACTAACCAAGAGTATTGGAGGTAAAACATGATTTTACCCACAGGAGCATTGTGCTTACTCCCCAAGCCCCAAGCTTGTGTCTTCCACAGTCTGAGGGTAGGGAATCCTGCCCTGCCCTTTGCATCCTGGGAGGATTTGCAGAACAAAAGCAGCTCCTGCTAATGAGCATCTTCTTGACACCCAGTGGGACAAGCACTCTTTGTAGCACAACTTTACGGTCAAACAGCCATTAAGAGATGCAGCCAGGTTCAAATCTAGGCCAGTACAAGACAAAGCTTGGGATCTTATTAGTACAGTCTATCATGAGTTCTCCCTCCCCAGCCCCACAATCAGGGTGTGCTGATGAGTGACACCTCCTCCCTTCATCCCAGTTCAGAAAGGATCAGAGCAGAAGGTAGCAGCTTGTTCCATTCCTGGGAAGAAACATGAAGCTTTCAGGCCCTATCATGGTTCTTAGTTATTTAACCAGGACCCCACACCCATTTTAGCAAAAGACTTTTGGCCCATAGCTTGGGGATCATTTTAATTTCATCCTCATCGAGACCTTTTATATCTGCTGAATACCCTTATGGAGTTCTCCAATAATTAGGCCTAGTGGTGAGTACCAGCCAGCAAATTCTAGGGGTTACCCTTAATTCTGGCTGACCAAGTAAACATGAGGAAGTGCATTTCAATTTGGGGCTTGTGATAATTCCCGTTTATCTAAAACTGTGCAGGTTGCCCACCCGAGTCCAAATGTTTTCCTTGATTTAGTAGCTGACAGTCCACATGGACATCTCAGAGGGGAATTCCAATAGGACCATAATCTGGCTAATTTAGCTGGGTATGTAGATCATCCTGGAGTCATAGGCTAATAAACTTCCGGAGAGATTAGATTTGACAACTTCTGAAGTGGGAGAAGCAGGGGCAGGCAGAGGGTGGGAGCCCAATCTCCCCATCATGGAGCACAGTGTATACTTGTCAATGTCAGGATGTCGGTATTCCCCAAACTAAAGCCACTGCAGTGCTTGGCCAGTGTTGATATATCAAGCCAGGTTTCCAAACTGATGTATTTCCCATTTTGTAAATAAAATCGTTAATCTCTCAAGAGAATATCTAGCCACTTTAGATGAAAACAGAAAAATTACAGTGCGTTGGCTTGACCTAGGTGACAGCTAGGTTTCATTACTGCGCATTAATTATTTTAAAAACATGAGCGGTCTGTTCATTATTATCAGTGCCTCTGGGCCAGGCACTGTGCCTGGGTCTTGACTCCCATGATCACACTGAACTTATCATTCCTACTTTACAAACAAGGAAGCAAAGGCTCAGAGAGAGTAAACCCTTTGCTCACAGTGTCACAGGGAGCATGAACTGAATTCAGAAGTGAATCCCAAAGTCTGATTCCAGAGTTGTGCTTTTCCAGAATCGGTTTTATGGAAGAACGTAGAGTGTATGATTTGAGAGAAATCGGTTACCTTCACCCTGTCCCCACCCCAGCCACACCTCCCACTCCTCCATAAATGGGTAAATCCTGGCTTGGTCACCAAGCCTTTCTACCTCCTCCACAGCCACTGACCACACTCTACCCCATTCAGGTGAAATGCTTCCTCTTGTTTGCATCTCTTGAGAGAGGAGCCAGCTCATATTAAAGAAGACAAAGAGGAAATTCTTCCCATTCTGGTGGGAAGATAACCTCCACAGTTTATTAAGCAAGGCACCATACCCTGCAGAACCTTCTCTCAGGGTCACTTTTTTTACCTACTAGAAACAGACCCTGTCCAGCCTCCATCACTTAGTATTTCTAACATTTTCACTTTCAAAGATTGCAGAAGAATAATCCAATTTTAGCTCTACATGTCTTAGCTATTTTGAAATAATATTTATTTAGAAATAAGGAAGGACTCCACTTCGGCTTGTAATCATGACATTTCTCTTTTTACCATTTACACCTCATGAAATAACATTAGAAGCAGCCAAAACATTTAAACTCCAAAACACCAATCTGATTGGAAATTCTTTATCTCAATGGCCTTTATGTCTAAACTATAGCAATGTGAATTTTCCATGCCCTTTTATTTTCCTCTTGGGGCAAAACCGAAGTGCAAATAACTCAAAATCCATTTTCTCATCTGTATTTGAAGATGTTTTACTTTAAAGATAAGCCAAAAAGATCATCCATAATAGCAATTGAGCCCTATGTCATGAATATAATTTCTTAGTTAATTCCATTCCTTATATCTAAGTTCTGAGATAGTCCAATAATTTATTAAATTCTACTAAGTCAAATCACTAAATTGTCATTTATAAAACTCTTCCTCATTTTCCTCTAAGTTTCTGAGAGAGCTTTGCAGAAGTCTACACATACCCCAATTTTGAGTCCCTTATCCTTCATCTCACTTCTTACCACAAGGTCGATTTGTCAGTTATTAGCTCAATCCTAAATTTGCCAGGTTGCATCTAGCCTCCAAGTTGGCATGGTATTTAGGAAAGTTTCCCCAGACGGGGCAAGACAGCAATGTCCCCCTCTCTACAAAACATAAAAAAATTAGCTGGGCATAGTGGCATGTACCTGTAGTCTCAGCTACTCAGGTGGCTGAAGGAGGAGGAGAAGGATCACTTGAGCCAAAGAATTTGAGCCTGCAGTGAGCTATGATTGCACCACTGCACTCCAGCCTGAGCAACAGAGTGAGACCCTGTCAAAAAGAAGAAAGAAAGAAAGAGAGAGAGAGGAAGGAAGGAAGGGAGGGAGGGAGGGAGGGAAGGAAAGAAGAAAGAAAGAAAGAAAGAAAGAAAGAAAGAAAGAAAGAAAGAAAGAAAGAAAGAAAGAAAGAAAGAAGGAAGGAAGGAAGGAAGGAAAGAAAGAAAGAAAGAAAGAAAGAAAGAAAGAAAGAAAGAAAGAAAGAAAAGAAAGAAAGAAAGAGAAAGAAAGAGAAAGAAAGAAGAAAGAAAGAAAAGAAAGAGTGTGAGAGAAAAGAAAAGAAAGGGAAAGAAAGAAAGTTTTCTTAATGTATTGGAGATTTCTCCATTTCACTCAGAATCAGGAGATCTGAGCCTCAGCTTGAACTTACCCCTGACTAGCTGAGTGACCACAGGCTCAGCTACTTGACGTTGCTGAGCCTGTTTCCTTTTCTGTGGCGTGCAAGCAGTATAGAAGAACACCAGGTCCCTGACAGTTTCACAGCACTCTGGGTTTGAAATAGGCAGCTTCCCTGGGAGCAGGAACAATTGAAGACTTTAGTCAGAACACCAGCTCAACACTAAACAACTGGAAGGCATATGTTTTCTAACTTAACACACATTTCTTGGGAGAATATTATTTCTGTAAAAACACTTTGCAAGTAAATATTTGGAACCCTTTCAGCTTGATAAGCTTGTGATACTTGGGGAAAGCCAGCTTGCTTATGGTTAAGAAGAAAAATCCAGCATTTATTTGCTCTCCAGCGTAGTTTTACAACATGCAGCTCTAGAACCTATTTTTTAGCCATTTCTCCCTCTACTCTGCAGGAGCTGATCCTATCAGGATGCTGCCTTGATTTATAGTGAAGTAATTACTAGTTCCTCCATCGATTAGTCCATGGACAACCACTCAGCCAGTGTTCTCTTAGAGTCCAGCGAGGCTTGGAGAGAAATGATACAAACCTCAATTCTAATTTCCAATACCCATTAAATACATATCAGAAGGCATTTCATCAAGGTCCAACCTCTGCTATAGGAACTGTGGGTCTGGGAGGATTCAGATGCGAGAGGGGCTGTGAGCTCCTAAAGAGACAAGGAAGGCTGCTCGTAGGAGGTGGGCTGTAAGCTGGTCGCTCAAGAATGAGTGAGAGTTGTTTAGGGCAGTGTTACTCAAAATGTGGTCCTGAGACTTGCAGCATTAGCATCACCTGGGAACTTGTTAGTACTGTGGATTCTTGGATTCCCACTCCAGTCCCACTAAATCAGTGACTCCGGTGGGACCTAGCAAGTTGTTTACTAACAAGATGCACCCAGATGATTCTGATGTATTCTCTAGTTTGACTACTCCTCTTTTAGGGGGAAGAAATGGCCTCAGGGAGGCTGGAGGTGTCTTGGGAACCAAGTGCGTAGACCAAGTGAAACTCCAGATAGGAGTGAGCCTAGTACTAGTGGAACAAAGGTGCCTTCAGGGAACATTGGGAGGCTGGGCCTGGGTGACAGCCCCAACTTCCCCCATTCACTCTTATGTGACCTTGAATTACTCACCTAGCATCTCTGAGTGTGTACTTTCTCCTCTGTAAAGGAGGGAAATCACACTGCCTTGGAGGGTGGCTGAAAGATCAAACAAGGTCATGGATGTAAAGCCCCTGGCACAGTGCCTGGCGTGATGCAGGCAGCAGAAAATGCTGAGTCCCCTGGAGGTGAGGAGCTAGGAAGGGAGAGTGTGGGAAATGAAGAGGGAGAGTCAGGCTTGGGGCTATGGACCTGGTGAACAGGGGCTTCCCTATGATTCCTGTCTTTAGAGGGTGTTTGCTGCTCGGTGCTTTAGGGGACAGTTGGAGGGGTGCATCTCTTTAGGTGGTCACAATAAAGGGTGGTCACAGTGTTTTGAGGCCCCTTCTACTTACCTGCATGTGAACAGCGTATGTCAAGACTGGTGGGGAGAAAGACCACAATCTATATGTCTATGATGGTGATGAAGCAGGAAACAGTCCACATCCAGACTCTTGGCCCCTTCTATCTGCATCCCAGAGGGTGCCATGTTGCAGAAATCTCTACCTTAAGAGCGTGTCCCTAGAGGTAGGGTTCAGGGACCCCAAGACATAGTGACCTCCCTGGATGTGGACTGTTTTCTACTTCATCACCATCATAGACATACAGAATGTGATCTTTCGCCCAACCCATCTTGGCGTATGCTGTTCAGATGCAGGTAAGCAGAAGGGAAACATCTGTCGCTTCTCCTGGGCAATCTCAGCTAAGCCCTTCAGGTCAATAGCAGACATTTTCTGGGTGCTAGCTGTGCAGCAATCCTGGTGCTCATGTGTGGACTCAACCTCAGTGCCTGAGGTGCTCCCCACCTGGAGGGGACACAGGACACTGTGGGTCCTGTTACATCATTTATTCAGCACTGGCTGGGCACCGGGCTCAGCGCTTGATACACACGATTTCATTTCAGCCTTACAACTGCCTCAGGAGGCAAACAAGGAGACTCAGAGAAGGAAACTGAGGCTCAGAGCAGGGACACCTGGCTCAAGGTCACAAAGTTAGTATAAGACAGAAGTGGACTCAAGTCCGGGCTGTCAGACTTTGGAACCACTTTGCTTTACTGCCTTGGGAGAAAGGATATCTTGTCTTGGGCGAGGGAGAGAAGGCTTCACAGGTGGTGACATCTGACATCTTTGCAGAGTTTACAAGCTAAATGTGAGTTCTCCAGGTGAACCAAAGCAGTGAGGCATTCTATTCAGAGGGACAGGTGTGTGCACAAATGGCCCTGTGTAAGCTGGGGCCTGTCTGCCAGGGGCTGACCTCTAAGGCACCTCCAGCTCTTACAAAAACCTATCCCAACCTCAGTTCTGTCCCTTTCCCTAACACGAGGAACAGAAGTAGCTGCCCTCTCAGAATCTTCTGGTGCTTCCTGCTTCTCTTGTTGCCTGGGTCTGCAGCGGCAGCTCCCAGCCCCTTAGCTCTCCAGCCCTCCTCCCCAGGCAGCACCAGGCCTGGAGGTGGGATCTGAAATGCCCCCAGAGTCACAACTTCTCTTGCTCGTTATTCCAAGAAGGGGCCCTGAAGAGGTCTGCCAGCCCCTTGCCTCTCCCTCCACTGACCAGCACACTGCAGGTGCTTGGGAAATCCAGGGATTGAAGTGAGAGGTGGGGCAGGGCAGGCAGAAACTTCCCCGAGGCAACTGCAAGGAGGTTGACTGAGCTCCATGCTTGGCTGGGGACACAGATACTTATGACTCACTGTTGGTGTTCCCCTCATTACCCTCTAGTAACTGTTATTGATAGTCAATAATGAGCTTGCATTTTCCCAAGTTTGTGTAACTGCCTTGAGGAGTCCTATTTCTCTGAAATAAAATAAATATTGGCACTTAAAATCAAGAGGACATGATCTTGCTAAATGAACAAATTATTATCTCAGTGACCCAGCAGGATGCTGGGGACAGTGGGCCTTCCATGAAAGTTTACTGAAAAAAAAGGATGAATGGATGGAAAGAAGGAAGAAAGGGGGACCTTTAACATTAACTACAATAGGATCATCATCAATGACTGTGGTTATTATTTTTCCATTTTCTGGACATTAGACCCTTTAGCCACATGAATCTTTAGCCACTGGGAGCCACAATGAAAAAAACCAACAAATACTTGAAGAGCATCTACTATGCAGGAGGACCTCCAAAGCTCCTGGTGGCCACTGAGCCCCTCCACAGTCTTTTAGCAATAAAGATAACTTTATTTACCAAATATCTCCCAATTCTCTTCCAATATAAATGCAACAGCAGGGAATGGGATTGGATTTAGATGCCAGGTCAGGTTACCGGGGGGCAGGGAAGGCCAGTGGTGCATCTGGGGTCTGTCTAATCCAGGCTTTCATCCAGTACTTTGCCGTTTCACCCCCAACACACCTGTTCTCATTCATCTGCAGACTGTCTCTTTTCATGATCTGCTGAAGAGGCTTTAAACAATCGTGGAGAACCAATGTATCTTTCCATCTGCATTAATCAGACAAAAGGTAGAGGTTGTCTAAGATTAAAAATGTCTAATACCTAAGTTTTATTATCTCCTCCCCCCCCCCTTTTTTGTTTTGATCTTAGGACTTCAAGGACAGCAAGGAAGAAAAGGAGAATCAGGAGTTCCAGGTAAAGGGCAGGCTGCATCTTCATCCCTCGGAGTGATGACGGGGAAGGCCTGCCTTCTCAGAGGGCAGGTCTTGTTGACATTGAATGCACAGCTGTGACCTTCTCCCAAAGTGGAGGTTAAGACTCCAGGGCTCTGTCACTCAAGCCTCAGATTTCTCCGCTGCAAAACCTGGGAACCACAGGAACTCAACATCCTGAGGGGTGTAGCGTATGGGGCAGGGGCTGAGGATGGCAAAGGGGCTGAGGATGGCAAAGGGGAAAAATGTCAGGAGAGCTGGGGGTGCAGGCAGAGGCTCCAGGCTCTACAGCCGCCATGGAGCTGTGCCCCTTCTGCTCCATCCACGGCTGCTGCTTCCCCACCTCAGCTGTGGCCCACTTGTCTCTTCTTGGCCCCCAAGCTTCTCCTCTCTGCCTCCTGCTGCCTGTCACTGGGCTTTCTTATTCTTATCCTCACCTCCAGAGCCTGTGCTTCAGTTGGGTACTGAGCTGGCACCAGCTGGACGGTGTTTCTAGGCCTCTCAAGAGCCCTGCCCCTGTGAGTGCAAAAGTGAGATTTTTCAGACACATTTCTTGAGCAAGTTTTCTTCCTCATAAGCTAGATATTCTATTATGTTTTATGGTTTTTTTTTTTTTCAATTTTTTTAGAGACAAATTCTCTGTGTCACCCAGGCCCGAATGCAGTGGTGCCAGGACAGGATAGCTCACTGTAGCCTTGGCCTCCCGGGATCAAGTGATCCTCCCACCTTCGTCTCCCAAAGCTTGGGATTACAGGAGTAAGCCACTGTACTCGGCCTCTGTTACTATTTCAATTCACTAAAGGAGACATCGAGGCTTAGAAACATTCTAGCAAATTCTCCCAGCATGGCTAGAACTTCCACATAACTATGTAATTCCAGAAGGACCAAGAATCTGTGGAATACCACCAGCTATTTTAGCCTGCCTGTTCTCGACAGCATTTACCTAAGAGTTGAGAGATCAGTGCAGCCCCCAGATGGACCAAAGACAGGCTGAACATTCAGATAGCCCAGCCATGGGGGAGGTCTGGCAGTTAAGGATAACTCATTTATTAAACAGTAATGCCCTTGGGTCTCTCTTGGGAAGGCAAAGCAGGGCACCTGATCAGGGCAGTGTCTCTCCTTCCAGGCCCTGCAGGTGTGAAGGGAGAACAGGGGAGCCCAGGGCTGGCAGGTCCCAAGGGAGCCCCTGGACAAGCTGGCCAGAAGGGAGACCAGGGAGTGAAAGGTAAGGCCTCTGCATCTGATTCCTTTGTTCTTAGGACTGTGCTTTACAGCCAGTTCTGTACCTTAAAATAGGAAAGGCGCTGTTTTAAGAGTTCTGGGGATTTTCAGAACCCAGGAGGGTAGAGGTTTATTTCCTTGATTGACAAGTCTTGTGCTGGGGCTTGCCCTAGGCATGGAGCACACAGCAGCGGGTTAGGCGCAGCTCTAGCATCCAAGGCAGGGGCGTGAACATGCACTTGAGCCATGCCCCACGACCCAACACTCCTAGGCAGTTTCCATGAAGGAGATGAGCCCATCCCACTCCATATCTCTGACCAGACCAAGCATCCCTCACCAATCTAACTTCAACCCCTCTTGCTGTAGCTCAGGCCCGTTTCTTCCTGCTCAGTCATTGACACCCGCAGGACATCCCATCCCCATAATGCCAGGCCACAGGCGAGACCCACGGAGCATCTGACCACTCCCAACCCTCCACCCGCTCCCCACTCATGCAAATGCAGGCAAAGGCGTCCTGCCTGGGTTTCTTTCAAACCGTGTGGGTTTTCTCCTCATGACAGGATCTTCTGGGGAGCAAGGAGTAAAGGGAGAAAAAGGTGAAAGAGGTAATCACTATTTATATTATCTTTAATGTGTGCTTTAAAGTCAATTCTGCACCTGAAAATTGTGTGTGTTGGGGGAAGAGACCTTGGTTCTCAAATAAATTTCTCATTTTGGGGAGGAGTTGAGGGTCTAGTCCCTTGAATGAGCCTGCCCACGGCACAGAGCAGCAGTTTCTCTCCCCAGCCACTCTCTCCCTTCCTTCCTTCTCTCCCTTCCTTCCCCCTTTCTCCTTCTTCCTTTCCTTTTCTCTCTCCCTCCCTCCCTTCCTCCCCTTTCCCTTCTTTCTTTCCTCTCCATCCCTCCTTCCTTTCCCTCTCTCTCTCCATTCTTTCCTTCCTTCCTTCTCTTTTCTCAGCTTTCCTTTTTTTCTCTCCACAACACATGACAAGACGTGGTGTATGCGATTTGCAAACCAGCCACAGGGGCACCTGCCCCTGTGGCCTTGTGCCTGCAGGCCCCAGGTGCATGGAGGCTGCGTGCCAGGTTGGGTTGGCACTGTAAAGTGGGATCTTCCAGGCTCTGGTGACAGTCAAGCAGGGGCATTTCTTTTCCTTAACTGTAGAACTCCAAAATGAAAAGAAAGAGCCCGCACTTACCCAAAGCCCCAAGGGGCCTTCCTTGCCTCTCCCATGTGTGTTTCTTCACCCAGGTGAAAACTCAGTGTCCGTCAGGATTGTCGGCAGTAGTAACCGAGGCCGGGCTGAAGTTTACTACAGTGGTACCTGGGGGACAATTTGCGATGACGAGTGGCAAAATTCTGATGCCATTGTCTTCTGCCGCATGCTGGGTTACTCCAAAGGAAGGGCCCTGTACAAAGTGGGAGCTGGTAAGTGAGTCATCAGCCGGGGGCCTCTTCCCCAGAGGTGTGGATGTGGCTTTCTCTCGCTGGTGGGGTGTTGGCAAGTGACTCAGTGTGGTTTTCTTTAAAAGAAAAATATTGGTCCAAGCAACCAAAAAGCTCTGCAGTGCAGGGCTCCAGGTATGCATCCTTCCAGCTTGGCAACCCCAGCAGAAAGATGGCCTGTCTTCTCCAGCGCTGACAGTGAAGGCTGGCCTGGCTTCGGTCAAGGTCCATCCAGCCCTGGAGTCAGAATGCCACATGGCTGAGGGTGTTTGCCGCAGATGGCTCTCCAAAGGACAGCTGAGTTGATGCAACTGGAAGAACAGAGAGAAGATTCAGGGCAGGCAAACGCAGATGTTCACTCCAGCTGTCTGTGAACCAGCAGCCTGGATTGACCAGCAAGCAGTCTTGGCTGTGATCATCTTTAAAGAGAAGATGGGAAGGGAAGAGAAAGCAAATCAGAGCAGGGACTTACTAAAATGTGTGGAAAATGTCTTCGGATGCTGGAGACTCAGCCTATATCTTTCAGCCAAAAGTTCAAGCCTTGAGCAAAGAAGTTAAGTCCCCAGGCAGAACCCTTTTCTCTGGCTATAGGATCTGGCCCAGCAGGACATGAGGCCAGTTTCCCTTGCTCCCAGCCCCAAGTGCTCCCTGTCCTTACCCAAACCAAAGCAAATGCCCACTTTAGAGCAGGGCGATGGCTTGATTACAGAGGCATGTGAGGCAGGTGGACGCAGCAGGAGTGAATTTGCAGGGAGGAAACTAAAGGACACCCGCCTAGGAAGATATTTCAAATAGTGTGGGGTTTAAGCATTAAAGATTTGCATGAGACTTTTGTCAAAGGGTAGAGAATAGAACGGAGGCAAAGTCATTATAAAAACAACAACAACAACAACAACAACAACAAAAACAGGCTAAGCCAGCCATCAGCACATTGGGCCGGAATGGGCCAGAATGAGTGAGAAGTCGGCAGTCCACCTCAGATGGAAGCTCCCAGGCGCACACGTGGCTTCTTTGCTTTGACTCTAATCCTACCCTTCTTCCTCTGTCTCTTGCTTTCTCTCTATCAAGGCACTGGGCAGATCTGGCTGGATAATGTTCAGTGTCGGGGCACGGAGAGTACCCTGTGGAGCTGCACCAAGAATAGCTGGGGCCATCATGACTGCAGCCACGAGGAGGACGCAGGCGTGGAGTGCAGCGTCTGACCCGGAAACCCTTTCACTTCTCTGCTCCCGAGGTGTCCTCGGGCTCATATGTGGGAAGGCAGAGGATCTCTGAGGAGTTCCCTGGGGACAACTGAGCAGCCTCTGGAGAGGGGCCATTAATAAAGCTCAACATCATTGGCTGTGGCTGAGTGTCACTGTGTTCATACCTCCCATCCCCATTGATGTGCCCACTCCATGCACCACAACATTTCATTGAATTCTCTCATGTCCGTAGCCAGGGGAAGGAGAGGTTGGAGGTGGTGAGGCAGAAGGTGAAGGTCACCTATGGTCAACCTTAGTCTTGACCATCTCTTCAGTCATTCAGACATAACATCTCTCATGGTGAGCTCTCTATCCCCCTTTTTGTCCTCCCCTGACAGTGACCTGGTAACATTCCAGCACACACATGAACTCTCTTCATGCCCTATGCTGTGTGCTCCACCCTGACTCCACCTGCCCAACCGGTCCTTGCTCTCTCTCAGCGCCCTGCCTGCTGGGCTAAGCCCACTCTCCATGTTGCAAACCACATAGTAAGCCTGAAATCAGTCTTAGAGTCTCATTGATCTTTCCTTCCATACATGGGTGGGATTTACAGAATGGAAATATTTATCTGGAGTGACAGTAATCAAAAAAGTTTTCTGAAGAAAGCACAATTTGAACTGGACCTTAAAGGGTGGGGAGGATGTGACCCCTTCTTGGCATGCAGTGACTGTCACTCTAGGACCTGTAGGTATAAAAGGCTTCGTTTTCCTGAGCCTCTCCTGTGTCCCTTCTTGTGGCAACAACTCACTAACCATCTACTGAAAGAACAAAGAACACTAGGTATCAGCTTGTTTTTTTTTTTAAGTTTTAGGGTACATGTGCACAACGTGCAGGTTTGTTACATATGTATACATGTGCCATGTTGGTGTGCTGCACCCATTAACTCATCATTTAGCATTAGGTATATCTCCTAATGCTATCCCTCCCCCCTCCCCCCACCCCACAACAGCCCCTGGTGTGTGATGTTCCCCTTCCTGTGTCCATGTGTTCTCATTGTTCAATTCCCACATATGAGTGAGGACATGTGGTGTTTGGTTTTTTGTCCTTGCAATAGTTTGCTGAGAATGATGGTTTCCAGCTTCATCCATGTCCCTACAAAGGACATGAACTCATCCTTTTTTATGGATGTGTAGTATTCCATGGTGTATATGTGCCACATTTTCTTAATCCAGTCTATTGTTGTTGCACATTTGGGTTGGTTCCAAGTCTTTGCTGTTGTGAATAATGCCACAATAAACATATGTGTGCATGTGTCTTTATAGCAGCATGATTTATAATCCTTTGGGTATATACCCAGTAATGGGATGGCTGGGTCAAATGGTATTTCTAGTTCTAGATCCCTGAGGAATCACCACACTGACTTCCACAATGGTTGAACTAGTTTACAGTCCCACCAACAGTGTAAAAGTGTTCCTAATTCTCCACATCCTCTCCAGCACCTGTTGTTTCCTGACTTTTTAATGATCGCCATTCTAACTGGTGTGAGATAGTATCTCACTGTGGTTTTGATTTGCATTTCTCTGATGGCCAGTGATGATGAGCATTTTTTCATGTGTCTTTTGGCTGCATAA
The DNA here is from genome assembly GCF_000001405.40 of Homo sapiens. Lineage (NCBI taxonomy): Eukaryota > Metazoa > Chordata > Mammalia > Primates > Hominidae > Homo > Homo sapiens. Next base: position 118,996,134 of record NC_000002.12, read on the forward strand.
ATGTCTTCTTTTGAGAAGTGTCTGTTCATATCCTTTACCTACTTTTTGATGGGGTTGTTTGTTTTTTTCTTGTAAATTTGAGTTCATTGTAGATTCTGGATACTAGCCCTTTGTCAGATGGTTAGATTGCAGAAATTTTCTCCCATTCTGTAGCTTGCCAGTTCACTATGATGGTAGTTTCTTTTGCTGTGCAGAAGCTCTTTAGTTTAATTAGATGCCATTTGTCAATTTTGGCTTTTGTTGCCGTTGCTTTTGGTGTTTTAGACATGAAGTCCTTGCCCATGCCTATGTCCTGAATGGTATTGCCTAGGTTTTCTTCTAGGGTTTTTATGGTTTTAGGTCTAACGTTTAAGTCTTTAATCCATCTTGAATTGATTTTTGTATAAGGTATAAAGAAGGGATCCAGTTTCAGCTTTCTACATATGGCTAGCCAGTTTTCCCAGCAAAATTTATTAATAGAGAATCCTTTCCCCATTGCTTGTTTTTCTCAGGTTTGTCAAAGATCAGATAGTTGTAGATACGCAGCATTATTTCTGAGGGCTCTGTTCTGTTCCATTGGTCTATATCTCTGTTTTGGTACCAGTACCATGCTGTTTTGGTTACTGTAGCCTTGCAGTATAGTTTGAAGTCAGGTAGCGTGATGCCTCCAACTTTGTTCTTTTGGCTTAGGATTGACTTGACAATGCGGGCTCTTTTTTGGTTCCACATGAACTTTAAAGTAGTTTTTCCCAATTCTGTGAAGAAAGTCATTGGTAGCTTGATGGGGATGGCATTGAATCTATAAATTACCTTGGGCAGTATGGCTATTTTCATGATATTGATTCTTCCTAACCATGAGCATGGAATGTTCTTCCATTTGTTTGTATCCTCTTTTATTTCCTTGAGCAGTGGTTTGTAGTTCTCCTTGAAGAGGTCCTTCACATCCCTTGTAAGTTGGATTCCTAGGTATTTTATTCTCTTTGAAGCAATTCTGAATGGGAGTTCACTCATGATTTGGCTCTCTGTTTGTTTGTTATTGGTGTATAAGAATGCTTGTGATTTTTGTACATTGATTTTTTATCCTGAGACTTTGCTGAAGTTGCTTATCAGCTTAAGGAGATTTTGGGCTGAGACAATGGGGTTTTCTAGATATACAATCATGTCGTCTGCAAACAGGGACAATTTGACTTCCTCTTTTCCTATTTGAATACCCTTTATTTCCTTCACCTGCCTGATTGACCTGGCCAGAATTTCCAACACTATGTTGAATAGGAGTGGTGAGAGAGGGCAACCCTGTCTTGTGCCAGTTTTCAAAGGGAATGCTTCCAGTTTTTGCCCATTCAGTATGATATTGGCTGTGGGTTTGTCATAGATAGCTCTTATTATTTTGAGATACATCCCATTGATACCTAATTTATCGAGAGTTTTTACCATGAGGGGTTCTTGAATTTTGTCGAAGGCCTTTTCTGCATCTATTGAGATATTGAGATAATCGTGTGGTTTTTGTCATTGGTTCTGTTTATATGCTGGATTACGTTAATTGATTTGCATATGTTGAACCAGCCTTGCATCCCAGGGATGAAGCCCACTTCATCATGGTGGATAAGCTTTTTGATGTGCTGCTGGATTCGGTTTGCCAGTATTTTACTGAGGATTTTTGCATCAATGTTCATCAGGGATATTGGTCTAAAATTCTCTTTTTTTGTTGTGTCTCTGCCAGGCTTTGTTATCAGGATGACGATGGCCTCATAAAATGAGTTAGGGAGGATTCCCTCTTTTTCTATTGATTGGAATAGTTTCAGAAGGAATGGTACCAGCTCCTCCTTGTACCTCTGGTAGAATTCAGCTGTGAATCCATCTGGTCCTGGACTTTTTTTGGTTGGTAAGCTATTAATTATTGCCTCAAATTCAGAGCCTGTTATTGGACTATTCAGAGATTCAACTTCTTCCTGGTTTAGTCTTGGGAGGGTGTATGTGTCCAGGAATTTATCCATTTCTTCTAGATTTTCTAGTTTATTTGTATAGAGGTGTTTATAGTATTCTCTAATGGTAGTTTGTATTTCTGTGGGATCGGTGGTGATATCCCCTTTATCACTTTTTATTGCATCTATTTGATTCTTCTCTCTTTTCTTCTTTACTAGTCTTACTAGCAGTCTATCAATTTTGTTAATCTTTTCAAAAAACCAGCTCCTGGATTCATTGATTTTTTGAAGGGCTTTTTGTGTCTCTATTTCCTTCAGTTCTGCTCTGATCTTAGTTATTTCTTGCCTTCTGCTGGCTTTTGAATGTGTTTGCTCTTGCTTCTTTAGTTCTTTTAATTGTGATGTTAGGGTGTCAGTTTTAGATCTTTCCTGTTTTCTCTTGTGGGCATTTAGTGCTACAAATTTCCCTCTACACACTGCTTTGAATGTGTCCCAGAGATTCTGGTATGTTGTGTCTTTGTTCTTATTGGTTTCAAAGAACATCTTTATTTCTGCCTTCATTTTGTTATGTACCCAGTAGTCATTCAGGAGCAGGTTGTTCAGTTTCCATGTAGTTGAGGGTTTTTTTTTTTTGTTAATTATACTTTAAGTTTTAGGGTACATGTGCACATTGTGCAGGTTAGTTACATATGTATACATGGGCCATGCTCGTGCGCTGCACCCATTAACTCGTCATCTAGCATTAGGTATATCTCCCGATGCTATCCCTCCCCCCTTCCCGCACCCCACAACAGTCCCAGAGTGTGATATTCCCCTTCCTGTGTCCATGTGATCTCATTGTTCAATTCCCACCTATGAGTGAGAATATGTGGTGTTTGGTTTTTTGTTCTTGAGATAGTTTACTGAGAATGATGATTTCCAATTTCATCCACGTCCCTACAAAGGACATGAACTAATCATTTTTTATGGCTGCATAGTATTCCATGGTGTATATGTGCCACATTTTCTTAACCCAGTCTATCATTGTTGGACATTTGGGTTGGTTCCAAGTCTTTGCTATTGTGAATAATGCCGCACTAAACATACGTGTGCATGTGTCTTTATAGCAGCATGATTTATAATCCTTTGGGTATATACCCAGTAATGGGATGGCTGGGTCAAATGGTATTTCCAGTTCTAGATCCCTGAGGAATTGCCACACTGACTTCCACAATGGTTGAACTAGTTTACAGTCCCATCAACAGTGTAAAAGTGTTCCTGCTTCTCCACATCCTCTCCGGCACCTGTTGTTTCCTGACTTTTTAATGATTGCCATTCTAACTGGTGTGAGATGGTATCTCACTGTGGTTTTGATTTGCATTTCTCTGATGGCCAGTGATGATGAGCATTTTTTCATGTGTTTTTTGGCTGCATAAATGTCTTCTTTTGAGAAGTGTCTGTTCATGTCCTTTGCCCACTTTTTGATGGGGTTGTTTGTTTTTTTCTTGTAAATTTGTTTGAGTTCATTGTAGATTCTGGGTATTAGCCCTTTAAGGAAATAGAGACACAAAAACCCTTCAAAAAATTAATGAATCCAGGAGCTGGTTTTTTTGAAAGGATCAACAAAATTGATAGACCGCTAGCAAGACTAATAAAGAAAAAAAGAGAGAAGAATCAAATAGACGCAATAAAAAATGATAAAGGGGATATCACCACCGATCCCACAGAAATACAAACTACCATCAGAGAATACTACAAACACCTCTACGCAAATAAACTAGAAAATCTAGAAGAAATGGATAAATTCCTGGACACATACACTCTCCCAAGACTAAACCAGGAAGAAGTTGAATCTCTGAATAGACCAATAACAGGAGCTGAAATTGTGGCAATAATCAATAGCTTACCAACCAGAAAGAGTCCAGGACCAGATGGATTCACAGCCGAATTCTACCAGAGGTACAAGGAGGAACTGGTACCATTCCTTCTGAAACTATTCCAATCAATAGAAAAAGAGGGAATCCTCCCTAACTCATTTTATGAGGCCAGCATCATTCTGATACCAAAGCCAGGCAGAGACACAATAAAAAAAGAGAATTTTAGACCAATATCCTTGATGAACATTGATGCAAAAATCCTCAGTAAAATACTGGCAAAACAAATCCAGCAGCACATCAAAAAGCTTATCCACCATGATCAAGGGGGCTTCATCCCTGGGATGCAAGGCTGGTTCAATATACACAAATCAATAAATGTAATCCAGCACATAAACAGAGCCAAAGACAAAAACCACAGGATTGTCTCAATAGATGCAGAAAAAGCCTTTGACAAAATTCAACAACCCTTCTTGCTAAAAACTCTCAATAAATTAGGTATTGATGGGACGTATTTCAAAATAATAAGAGCTATCTATGACTAACCCACAGCCAATATCATACTGAATGGGCAAAAACTGGAAGCATTCCCTTTGAAAACTGGCACAAGACAGGGATGCCCTCTCTCACCACTCCTATTCAACATAGTGTTGGAAATTCTGGCCAGGGCAATTAGGCAGGAGAAGGAAATAAAGGGTATTCAATTAGGAAAAGAGGAAGTCAAATTGTCCCTGTTTGCAGACGACATGATTGTATATCTAGAAAACCCCATTGTCTCAGCTCAAAATCTCCTCAAGCTGATAAGCAACTTCAGCAAAGTCTCAGGATACAAAATCAATGTACAAAAATCACAAGCATTCTTATACAACAACAACAGACAAACAGAGAGCCAAATCATGAGTGAACTCCCATTCACAATTGCTTCAAAGAGAATAAAATGCCTAGGAATCCAACTTACAAGGGATGTGAAGGACCTCTTCAAGGAGAACTACAAACCACTGCTCAAGGAAATAAAAGAGGATACAAACAAATGGAAGAACATTCCATGCTCATGGGTAGGAAGAATCAATATCGTGAAAATGGCCATACTGCCTAAGGTAATTTACAGATTCAATGCCATCCCCATCAAGCTACCAATGACTTTCTTCACAGAATTGGGAAAAACTACTTTAAAGTTCATGTGGAACCAAAAAAGAGCCCGCATTGTCAAGTCAATCCTAAGCCAAAAGAACAAAGATGGAGGCATCACACTACCTGACTTCAAACTATACTGCAAGGCTACAGTAACCAAAACAGCATGGTACTGGTACCAAAACAGAGATATAGATCAATGGAACAGAACAGAGCCCTCAGAAATAATGCCGCATATCTACAATTATCTGATCTTTGACAAACCTGAGAAAAACAAGCAATGGGGAAAGGATTCCCTATTTAATAAATGGTGCTGGGAAAACTGGCTAGCCATATGTAGAAAGCTGAAACTGGATCCCTTCCTTACACCTTATACAAAAATCAATTCAAGATGGATTAAAGACTTAAACGTTAGACCTAAAACCATAAAAACCCTAGAAGAAAACCTAGGCATTACCATTCAGGACATAGGCATGGGCAAGGACTTCATGTCTAAAACACCAAAAGCAATGGCAACAAAAGCCAAAATTGACAAATGGGATCTAATTAAACTAAAGAGCTTCTGCACAGCAAAAGAAACTACCATCAGAGTGAACAGGCAACCTACAAAATGGGAGTTGAGGGGTTTTGAGTGAGTTTCTTAATCCTGAGTTCTAGTTTGATTGCACTGTGGTCTGAGAAACAGTTTGTTATAATTTCTGTTCTTTCACATTTGCTGAGGAGTGCTTTACTCCCAACTATGTGGTCAGTTTTGGAATAGGTGTGGTGTGGTGCTGAAAAGAATGTATATTCTGTTGATTTGGGGTGGAGAGTTCTATAGATGTCTATTAGGTCTGCTTGGTGCAGAGCTGAGTTCAATTCCTGGATATCCTTGTTGACTTTCTGTCTCATTGATCTGTCTAATATTGACAGTGGGGTGTTAAAGTCTCCCATTATTATTGTGTGGGAGTCTAAGTCTCTTTGTAGGTCTCTAAGGGCTTGCTTTATGAATCTGGGTGCTCCTGTATTGGGTGCATATATATTTAGGATAGTTAGCTCTTCTCATTGAATTGATCCCTTTACCATTATGTAATGGCCTTCTTTGTCTCTTTTGATCTTTGTTGGTTTAAAGTCGTTTTATCAGAGACTAGGACTGCAACCCCTGCCACTTTGTTTTCCATTTGCTTGGTAGATCTTCCTCCATCCCTTTATTTTGAGCCTATGTGTGTCTCTGCAAGTGAGATGGGTTTCCTGAATACAGCACACTGATGGGTCTTGACTCTTTATCCAATTTGCCAGTCTGTGTCTTTTAATTGGAGCATTTAGCCCATTTACATTTAAGGTTAATATTGTTATGTGTGAATCTGATCCTGTCATTATGATGTTAGCTGGTTATTCTGCTCATTAGTCGATGCAGTTTCTTCCTAGTCTTGATGGTCTTTACAATTTGGCATGTTTTTGCAGTGGCTGGTACTGGTTGTTCCTCTGCATGTTTAGTGCTTCCTTCAGGAGCTCTTTTAGGGCAGGCCTAGTGGTGACAAAATCTCTCAGCATTTGCTTGTCTGTAAAGTATTTTTTTTCTCCTTCACTTACAAGGCTAAGTTTGGCTGGATATGAAATTCTGGGTTGAAAATTCTTTTCTTTAAGAATGTTGAATATTGGCCCCCCACTCTCTTCTGGCTTGTAGAGTTTCTGCCCAGAGATCAGCTGTTAGTCTGATGGGCTTCCCTTCGTGGGTAACCCAACCTTTCTCTCTGGCTGCCCTTAACATTTTTTCCTTCATTTCAACTTTGGTGAATCTGACAATTATGTGTCTTGGAGTTGCTCTTCTAGAGGAGTATCTTTATGGCGTTCTTTGTATTTCCTGAATTTGAATGTTGGCCTGCCTTGCTAGATTGGGGAAGTTCTCCTGGATAATATCCTGCAGAGTGTTTTCCAACTTTGTTCCATTCTCCCCTTCACTTTCAGGTACACCAATCAGATGTAGATTTGGTCTTTTCACATAGTCCCATATTTCTTGGAGGCCTTGTTCATTTCTTTTTATTCTTTTTTCTCTAAACTTCTCTTCTCACTTCATTTCATTCATTTGATCTTCCATCACTGATACCCTTTCTTCCAGTTGATCGAATCGGCTACTGAGGCTTGTGCATTCATCATGTAGTTCTCATGCCATGGTTTTCAGCTCCATCAGGTCCTTTAAGGACTTCTCTCATTGATTATTCTAGTTAGCCATTCGTCTAATCTTTTCTCAAGGTTTTTAACTTCTTTGCCGTGGGTTCGAACTTCCTCCTTTAGCTCGGAGTAGTTTGATTGTCTGAAGACTTCTTCTCTCAACTTATGAAAGTCATTCTCCGTCCAGCTTTGTTCCATTGCTGGTGAGAAGCTGCGTTCCTTTGGAGGAGGAGAGGTGCTCTGGTTTTTAGAGTTTCCAGTTTTTCTGCTCTGTTTTTTTCCCATCTTTGTGGTTTTATCTACCTTTGGTCTTTGATGATGGTGACGTACAGATGGGGTTTTGGTGTAGATGTCCTTTCTGTTTGTTAGTTTTCCTTCTAACAGTCAGGACCCTCAGCTGCAGGTCTGTTGGAATTTGCCAGAGGTCCACTCCAGACCCTGTTTGCCTGGGTATCAGCAGCAGAGACTGCAGAACAGCAGATATTGGTGAACAGCAAATGTTGCTGCCTGATCGTTCCTCTGGAAGTTTTGTCTCAGAGGAGTACCCGGCTCTGTGAGGTGTCAGTTTACCCCTAATGGGGGGTGCCTCCCAGTTAGGCTAGTCGGGGGTCAGGGACCAACTTGAGGAGGCAGTCTCTCTGTTCTCAGATCTCAAGCTGCACGCTGGGAGAACCACTACTCTCTTCAAAGCTGTCAGACAGGGACATTAAAGTCTGCAGAGGTTTCTGCTGCCTTTTGTTTGGCTATGCCCTGCCCCTAGAGGTGGAGTCTACAGAGGCAGGCAGGCCTCCTTGAGCTGGGGTGGGCTCCACCCAGTTCAAGCTTCCCAGATGCTTTGTTTACCTACTCAAGCCTTGGCAATGGCAGGTGCCCCTCCCCCAGCCTCACTGCCGCCTTGCAGTTTGATCTCAGCTAGACTGCTGTGCTAGCAATGAGCAAGGCTCTGTGGGCATAGGACCCTCTGAGCCATGCGCAGGATATAATCTCCTGGTGTGCCATTTGCTAAGACCATTGAAAAAGCGCAGTGTTAGGGTGGGAGTGACCCGATTTTCCAGGTGCCATCTGTCACCCCTTTCCTTGGCTAGGAAAGGGAACTCCCTGACCCCTTGCACTTCCTGGGTGAGGTGATGCCTTGCCCTGCTTCAGCTCACGCTCAGTGTGCTGCTGTACCCACGGTCCCGCACCCACTGTCTGACAATCCCCAGTGAGATGAACCCTGTACCTCAGTTGGAAATGCAGAAATCATTCGTCTTCTGCGTCACTCATGCTGGGAGCTGTAGACTGGAGCTGTTCCTATTTGGCCATTTTGGCTCCATGCCTCAGGTGTCAGGTTTTGACTGAGGTCTGAGGGGAATCAGTGGGCAAGTGGCAGGTAACTGGAAGAACACTCGAGGAATCGTAGGGAGTTTCGACATGGCTTTATTCTCTCTCTGGACACAAGCCAGCTGTGGGCACAAGTGAGCTGTGGGCACAAGTGAGCCATGGGCACAAGCAAGCCACGAGTGCAAGCTGTATGTACAGTGTCTGCAAGGTAGTTATACCTTTTACAGACAACAGTGGCTCCAAGCCTCACATGAGCACGTGTCAGTGGTTACATAATGTGCCTCACATGGCATGGTTACATAATGTTTGGAGTGGTGCACCTGCACTCCAAACCCACTGAGTCATGCTGCACCGGCAGGCTGCCTTGGCCTATTCCTGACTAAAGTGCAGGCATTTCCCTTACACTAGGGCATCACATAATATAAATAATATTATTCCCATTTTATAAATGAGCAAACCCAGCCTCAGAGTGGGGAAGCAATGCAGTATGCTGGCTGTGCTTTGCCCAGCTTATATTCATGGCACTAACAATGTAACTGCAGCTCCTTTCCCCAGAAGCAAGGTCTGCTTCCCACACCTTGACTCTGGGCTTGTCTCAAGACTTGCTTTGGCTAACAGAAAGTGGCAGAAGTGCTGGGAAGCAGTTCCAAGCCTGGGCCTCAAGGGACCTTGCACTCGCTTGCTGTCTCTTGGAATCCAAGCTACGTTATGAAAACAAGACTGGCTGGCCCATTAGCGGGGGAGTGAGCAGGTGGAGGGGGCCCAGTTGCCCCAGCTGAGGTCATTGTTCATCAGCCGGCTTACAGCTAACCACAGCTGTATTAGTAAGCCCAGCCGAGCTGGTCAAGCCCAGCCCACAGCAGAAGAACTACCTGCCCAACCAACCCACAAACTCTTGAGAAATCACAAATGGCTGTGGCTTACCACCACTAGGTTTGGGGGTGGCTTGTTATGCAGCAACTGATAAAAATTAGTTTACAGAGGACACACAGCTAGGAAGGGCAGAGCTGGGATTCAAACCCAGGTCTGTCTGGCACCAATAAGATTGAGAGAAAGGAGGGTTGCTGCTGCCGGCATCTCTGCCAGGTGACTCCTCCCATAAGCTCTCAGGCTGTGCTAAGCTGAAGAGATTTCTCTTGCAGATCCACAGGGGCTGCCGCATGCACATGACTGCTGTGTGTCAGGACACTGGTTTTGTGGGTGATGAGCAACTGGGTAAAATCAGCACTACAGCGTCATCTGGGGCCACTGAATGTGAGGCATGGCCTCCACATGACTCTGTGGCAGGAGACGTGGCTGCACTGTCCACTTGAAATGTGTTTTCCCTCCTATGCTCCATTCCTGGCTGCGGCCTGCAGCTCTGGGCAGACTGGCTGGGCAGGACAGAGATGGTAGGCCTCTCAAAAAAAACCCTGTGCACAAGCCCTCCTGCCACTCCCCCACCTAGCAGGGCACCCCGCAGGGCACTTCCCAGCAGCAGATCATAGTGGTGTGGCTGAGAACAAAAGTTCTGGACTCCAATGGCACAGGTTAGGGTCCCAGTGCTGCTGTGCAATGGCTCTGTCACCTGCACAAGAAAGGCATCAAGCCTCTCCAGGCCCAGTTTCCGTCCCTGTAAAATAAATAGTAACAGTTTCTTCCTCGTAGAGTTCTTGTGAGGATTCATTGAAATAATAAGCAAAAAGACAGCATTTAAAATGGTGTCTGGCACACAGTGGGCACTCAGCCTTTGTTGTAGTCATCCTTTAAGGCCCTTCCCAGCTCACCCCACCCCAACATTGGCCCCACTGAGCCCTCTGCACATGGCGGATGGGTCTTCTCAGGCCCTCCCATCAGCACCAGGCTTGGGAGGTCTAGGATAGTGAGTCTGTGGCTCCTCCAGAAGCCGACAGTGATGAAGTGAGGAGTGCAAGAGAAATATTGGGGGTAGCATCTGTGAAAGGGAAAACATGGAGGGAGCAGGATGAGCAGGAGAACCTCAGACTGTAATGCAGACATGCCCCCGACTTGGCCACATTGACAAGGAGACCCAGAGCAAGGATGGCCTCTCAGAGGGGTCCTCGGTGGGCAGGAGTTGCAGATCCTAGTGCCCTGCCCTGCCCTGCTTTGTCCCTGGCCGGGTGCTGCCCCAAATGCACAGCCTTGACTAAGGAGTGGAAGGGAGTCCTGAAGGTGCCGCCGAAAGGCTGGAGGCTCCCATGCTCTCTGTGGCCCGATGGCAGGTTCTCTCTAGAGGCCAGAGATTCAGAAGCACTAGAGAGATTCAGAGAATCCCTGGCTGCTAGGTGGTTTGCTGAAAAGAGAGTGGGAGTTGAGATCAGATTCGGATCCCAGCACTAATGACCAGCTGTGTGGCTTTGAGGATGCCACAAAGCCTCTCTGAATTTCTGTTTGTCATCTGTAAGGTGGGAATAATGATAATGAAAATACTGCCATCTGGAGTGACTGCTGTGCTCTTGGCACATACTGGGGACTGAATAACCGTAGCTTGATTAGAATAGCTTCTGATACCAAGCCTCATTCTTACCACGTCTCCACCCAGCATATCTTCCCTTCTTCCTTCCACTACTCCAGAATTCTCCACACTCTTTAAGTCCCAGGACAAATTGTGCCTCCTTTAGAAAATCTTTTTGATTGCTCTCACTTCAGATAAATATTTCGTTTCTCTTTATCCATATAGCCCACCCATGTAAAGAAGGAAAGTTCAGTGAGAATCTAAGACTTACTTACTATGTGGTTTGTAGCATGCTAGATGCTAGATGCATTGTATTTTTGCACTGAATACCCATGATCGTTTATATTCCTCTCAGCAACATTGAATGAAAAATTCCATTATTATCTCCATTTCACAAATGTAAAAACTGAGGCTGAGAGAAATAAAATGATTTTCCTTTGGTCTTTAAAACTCATCTTCTGGTCTTTCAGTTTTAAATACATTTTTGCTTGCACCACGCTAGATTCAAGAGGCATTCAGAAAACATGCATTGTTGCAAAATGAATCAGACAGTATATAGGAATCTTTATTATTAAAATTGTACACAAATAGCACTCACCTGATGGGGTTGTTGTAAGTCTGTGGGATTAGCCAGGTGATAAAGCCGACTTCAAGGAATTTGTTTAAACACTCTTCAGTTCCCCTTTGTGGCAGGGTAATCAGAAGTGAATAAGGCCAAGTCCTAGGAATATAAACCAAAAACTCACAAAAAGAGAGACTATAGGCTAGTAAACATATTTTTAAATGTTTATCCTCACTTATAATAAAAGAAATGCAAAAAAAAAGAGAACACTTATTTGCATGTTAAATTGGCAATTTAAAAAAAATCCTTGATGTTGATGAGACAGGAAGAAAACAGGCCCCAGTATCCACTGGAAATAGAAATAGAGATGGATTTTCAGTGAGGGAAAGGGGCAATATGGCAAGATGGAACCCAAGCTTTTTGAAACAAACAAAAAAAACTAATTGAAATGCCCACTGTATTGGTCAGCTATTGCTGTGTAACGAATCAAACTCAGATGGTAGGTTACAACAATTATTTATGCTCACCCACACATCTTTGGATCAGCTGGGGATTGGCTATCTAAGCTAGACTCCACTAAGCAGCTCTGCCTCAAGCCACAGGACCAGCTGGATTTGGCTCCTTGCTGTGGCTCAGGCTCAGGTCTGCTCCATCTGTCTTCTCTCTGGAGCTCTTCTGGTGAAAGTAGTGGATACAAAGGCAAGCAGGAAGACATTGATTTCTCCTAAGGCCTGGGCTCAGAAGTGGCACATTTCCCTGGTCAAAGCAAGTCACATGGTCAAGTCCAAAGTCAGAGCAGGGAAGTTCACTCCATCTAGAGTTGAAGGATGGTAAAACCACACGGAAAAGGGAGTGGACAGGAGGGGTACAGAACCAGGCTAATGAGACAATCTGCCAACCACAGAAGTACATGTGAGCTCCTCGGAGTATTGTGAAGAGCACTGTGGAGTCACACAAATGTGCCTTTAACTTATGTAAATTCTACTACCTGTGTTCAGAAACATGTAAAGAAAGCAGCCATTTAAGCAGTAGTCTAAAGTGCTATTTCATATGTATCTTCTTTATTATAGGCTACACATTATACCTTTACACATATACTTTAGTATACATGGTGTGTATATGAAACAAAGAACACTGTACTTTATGGATGACTTAAGAGGTTTTCCAAGGAATTTCACTTTATTTGACTATATGCGTGAGCTGAGATTTGCTTCTATTCTAGAGAAGAATTAGAAATAGCCAATGACTGACAGTAGAGGTTTGGTTAACTAAATGATAGTACGTTAAATGTAATTACAGACTCTTAACTATTATAAACCATATTACAGAGGATGCTTAGGAATATGGGGAAGTATTCGTGATATATTTAAGGAAAAAAGTTGTAAAACAATATGTACAGAAGGACTACAATGAAATAAGAACAGTTTCCTCCTTCTCCTTCACCGTCTCCACTCCAGATTCAATCCAGCACCAAAGACCTGTGAGTCTCCCTCGATGTTTCTTGGGTCTGTCCTCTTATCTCCCACCCCCAGCCACTCCACACCTACCCCTTCCATGCCCAAGCCACACCATTCGTGACCTAGAAGACTGCAATAGCCTCTGAACTGGTCTCTTTCCCTTCAATCATGCTCCCTTCTATCCATTAGACCAAAAGAGCCAGAAGGACCTCAGATCTAGTCACTTCCCTTGTTTAAAACACTTCCAAGACCACCTGCTGCCATTACAAGGAAGTCCCCACTCCCAGCCACAGTGGAAGAGGTCCTCGGTCATCTGGCCCTGATGACCTCTCAGCTTTCAGATCACCACTTTCCACCTACCCAGAATTTACTCTCCAGCCTGAGGTCAACCTTAGTGTAAGTACCCAGAGTGCCTGTGGTCATTCATCTCTCCCTCCACCCTTTTTGTCCTGAGGCTCAAACACCTGGATTCTGCTTACGTGATGGTACTCAGCGAGGTCTGGAACTGCTGTTTCTCTCTGCTCTGAGGCAGGGGCCATATCTACCTTGCTACAACCCCATTGTTGAGTGCGGTGCATGGCACACAGCGTGTGTATATATATTTAATAAATGAACTGTTTAAAAAATGTACACGCTGAGGGGAAAATTACAAAGAAATGGAGGAAAACACACCAAAATGTTTCTCTTTGGTAGAAGGATTATGATTGATTTTAATTTTATTTTTTATACTTTTCCATGGCTTGAGGGTTGTCTACCATGAGTGTAAGTTTATAAACAGAGAAAAATTGCCAGTTGAAGCCAACAATAAAAGTGCAATATGCATCATCGAAGAACCCAGAAACCTCCTCCTCCTGAGTTCAGGCTTTCGGTCTTGGTCGTCGTGGGTCTGCTGTGTGTCACTGGTGGGCGGGCCCATTCTAGGACAGGAGGTACAGTGTCCAGAGAACATGGATGCTGGGCGGGCTGAGAAGAGAAATGGGACTGAAGATTGGGGGAGAGAGAGATGGGGTGCAGGAGAGAACTTGATGTTTTAGAGCAAAATATAATACATCCTGTTTGTATGCTGATGGGAATGACCCAGTAGAGAGGGAGAAATCAATAATTCAAGAGAGAGGGCATAATTTCAGGAGCAGAGTTGTTATGAGGACGAGGGGGCAAAGGATCCTGAGCAATCGGTGGGAACAGGAATAGTTTTTCTAGTACAGCAGTAAGGAAGGCAAAGCTATGAATAAAGATGCAGTCACCAGTGGATCTGGTGGTGGGAAGATGAGGGATGAAGGAATTCTCATCTGAAAATTGCTTCTATTTTCTTAGAGGGCATGAGCCAAGGTCAGCAGCTGAGTGGATGGGGAGGAACAGGTGCTGGCGGGTTGTCAAGGGAAAAGGATCCAACTCTAGAGTGGGGAGGGTGTGCTGCCGCCTTTCCTGGAAGTGTTGGGGATCGTCAGGAGGCTATCGTTTGAGGGCTCACCCTGTGCCAGGCACACGCTTTCTCATGTAATCTGTAGAGCAACCTGCAAGGTAGATACTACAAGGACCATCTACGGATGAGGAGCTGTGTGTTCACAGTTACACAGCTGGTAGGAGGCCGAGGCAGGATTTGAACACAGGTGTGTGTAGAGCTGAGTGGTCCTCCACTCATCCTGCTGAAGACACCTGCGCAGCACCTTCACGTGCTTCCTCTCCTTCCTACCCAGCTGGGCACCAAGTCTTGCCGTGGCTAGCCTCCTGGTTAAGTCCCATTTCCTGAGAATGGCAAATTTGGGAGCTCTAATACATTGATGGCTACTGATAGTTTAATGTCCTAACCCAAGGGTTCTTCACTGCTTCATCCTGTGCCGCACCTCTGTTTTCCTTTGTACCGGTCACAACCGTGTCCCCAACCTCACTATCTCACGCTTGCATCTTCCCCACCGCAACTTAGCAGATATTGACACATGCCTACTCTCCATGAGGCACTGTGCTGAACACTGCTGATAGGAAGATCAGAGACCCAGTTCCTGCACCAAGGCTAGGATCCACAGAAAACCACGAGGAAATGTGATTTCAAAACAGTGATGAGTTAGGGTGGCCCAGGACGGTGAGGGCCAGCAGGGCCTCTGATGTGAACTCCTACCAGGCCCAGGGCCAGAGTGGGATTCCTTCCTGCACCCCGCTCCCGAACTCCATATAGTACAACCTTAATGAACACGGACAAAATTGCTTTGTCTCCTCAAAATAGCATTAAAGATAACACACGAAATTTGCAGGTCTGTTCAAATGCATGTTAAAACAGTATTTTCCTGGATTTTCTGATTGCAGTGCTTGGATCAGCTGATGAGAGCTTTTCTCCACATCTCCACACCTTTTGGCGGGGCTTGGGAAGAACGTAGCAGGTGCTCCATGGCACACAGAAGGTGCTTGGTACACACGGATGCTTGGCCCCCGAGGAACCTGGCAAACCCTGGGCGGATGACTGGCTGTTGCAAGTAGTGGCAGGGCTGGAAACTGAGGAACAGCCTGGGGAAGGGGGAGTTTCACGTCGCTGGGCTCCACAAACATGACCTGGGGCTGCTCCACCCCTCTGTCCCTTCTGAGTAGAAGGGGGGCTTAGTCCAGTGGCGGCCGCGCCGCAGGAGGTTGCTTTCTCTCTCCCGGCACGCGGGGTCGCTGCAGGCCGTGCTCAGCCCTCCAGGAGCCGGCCGGTGTCCGCGCTCGCGGGCGGCTCTGGGACCGGGAGAGGCTGCGGCTCCCCGCTAAGGCTCCTGCGGCCGGCGCCTCCTGGACCCACCCACCCACCTCGGAAGACAGACGCCTCTCTTCAGCTGTACCGGCCCCAGGCTCCGCCAAACTCCCTCCTCGCCCTCTCCTTCCGACCCCCTAGTAATAACAAATTCACTGTTGACCCTGGACAGATGGTGTTCAAAAAGCTACGTGCAGGGGGCCAGTACACTTAGGTCGCAGGGAAACTCCCACGTATTAAGCACCGACTGTGAACTGGTACACTGTGGGGTTCTTTATAGACATTAATTCCCCAGAACAATCCCACGATACGCTATACTGCCCATTTTAGTAAGAAGAAAACAAGCTCAGAGAGGTTAGGTTATTTGCCCAGGGCCACACAGCGAGAAGGTAAGCAACAGAACTGGTGGTCCAAACCCAAGGTTGACCCAGAAGGCCATGTCTTCCCCTATACCTGCCACCATCTTCCCATGCCAACCCCCACAGGGTAAAGAGTTTGGGCAGGAGGAGGTGGCTACTCCAGCAGGTTTGCTGGAGGGACTTCTGAAGAGCCTGGGGAGACTAGGAGTTCTGTAGTGGGAAAGCATCAAAGTAGTCAAGGGGCCTGAGTTCTAGTCCCTAGTCTGCCAAATAGTGGGTTATGACGTCAAGCCAAGTCTTTCTCCTCCAGGTCCTGTTTCCTCATTTGGACTAGGAAGAGTGGGACGGGGTCATTTAAACACCAGCACCATCTTCTACAGTTTGTGCATGGAAGACTCCTGGATCAGGGCTGGTTAGTGAGAAGAGAAGAGAGCCAGGAGGAGGCCTTCACGCAACTCATGTTGGGGCTGTGCCATCTGCGAAGTGAGGTTGCTGGATACCAGAGGCCCAGAGCCCCTGAAGAGTGGCCCCGGCCACAGGCCCACCTGGGTGGCAGGGCAGCACAGGCCCACACCAGTGGGCACTCACCCATGGACTCGGTGAGTGCCACCTACTGTCTCATGCCCTCTGGCATTTGATAGCCCCCCTTCCCTCTGCTGGAAGCTGCCTCTCTCCTCCAGCTCTTTTCCTGGGGAGTGTTTCTGGTTTAATTCTGTTTCAACAAACTTACCTGGGCGGCTCATTCTAAGTGCCAGGCCTGCAGCAGGTGCTGGGCATGTGACCTGGGCCAGCTGGACCCTCAAGGTGCTCAGCCCGGTGGGGGGACAGAACCATCAACAGACAACTAGATGATCTAATATGAGATGCAGGGACACAGAAGAGGA
This sequence comes from Homo sapiens, assembly GCF_000001405.40. NCBI lineage: Eukaryota > Metazoa > Chordata > Mammalia > Primates > Hominidae > Homo > Homo sapiens. The sequence continues at coordinate 119,012,932 of NC_000002.12, forward strand.
TGGGAACCCGCCTGGGCTGGTGAAGGGCAGAGAGCCTTCCCCTGGGAGCCCCACCTGAATTGGAAAATGAGTACAAGACAACAAGGGGAGAAGCAGACACTGCAGGAGGAGGGAGCTGCATGAGCCAGGGTGGGGCTGGACATTCAGGGAACATGACCAGTGAGGAGGCCAGCCCAGCAGCGGAGCCACGACAGCATGGGGCAGGGACAGGCCAAGGGGCATGGGATGGGAGGGCCTGCAATGCACAGAACGGAGGGCAGGGTCCTAGCTGATTCCAGGTTCCCAGCTGGGGTGCTCAGGAGTGTCACCAAAACAGAGAATGCAGGAGACAGGCAGGTCAGAGAGAGATAGGCTTGGGTTTCCCTGTGGAACCTGAGAAGAGCTGTCCAACTGGCATGGGCAGCAGGGACCCTTTGGGGCTACCTGGGCCTGCTGAGGTGGCCCTCTCATGGCACCCCAAGTGTGGAAAGTTCTCAGAGACAATAAAGGCTACTCTGTGATGCTGATTGTGGCTCCTGCTGTCATTGATAAAAGAGGCTGAAATTAAAAATCAGCCTCCTCCCCAGGTGGGCTGCATTTACAGATGCTCCTAGCTCTGCACCCGGTGGCACTTTATCTCCTGGATGAGTGGACTTGACTCTTGGAGAAGCTGACAGTCCAAGGCCACATCCCCATGAGGCACGGAGACCAAGGTGTCACTGCTTATATCAGTATGCCCAGAGAGCCCTCTTCACTCCCATCCATAGAGGGTTAGCTTACAGAGCTGAGGCATATGGCAGACCAGAGGGAAAATTACCCTGTAAAGACTGCGGGCCTCTCAGGCCTTCCTGTAGCAGGAAACCACAGTGATGCACTTACTTAACAAAAGTGTATTGAGCAGCTTCTTTGGGCCAGGCACTGTGCCAGGTACTGGGGATCCAGGGATGAAAGTCCAGATCGAGGCCCCTCAGGACTTCACAGTCTAGTGGACATCAGGCAATTTCAGCAGGGCATGACACACACAGTCACAGGATGGTGACATAAATGCCTAGAGGAAGGGCATTTGAGAAGACTTGAAGAAGAAGAGGAAGCAGGGCACGCTGTGCTCCCCTATCATACTTTCTGGTGCGATCATATGAATTTTTTAATTGAGCATCTACTATCTACCAGGTTCCTGAGATGAAGCATCTCTAATCTGTGCCACCACTTAGAAGGCAATTTATAGTGGGAGAAACCACTCTCAGAAAGGATAACTGGCTTGTTCTAGCCCACACTGCTGGTGAGGAGAGGAAAAGAGGTTCAAATCCAGGGGTATCTGACTCCCAAGGCCCAAACTCTCCATCCTACAGTGCCGTGCACTCCAGCCCTCTGTAGGCTCCGCTCTACGGGAGCCGCTATAGTAAAGTAGAGAAATGGAAGAATACATAACCAAGGCTTGAGCGAAGGCCTAGAACAAAATGTAGAAAAATCAGAATGCCAGTGTGGGAGGATTATTAAACGGCATGACAGCCAGGCACGGTGGCTCACGCCTATAATCCCAGCACTTTGGGAGGCCAAGGCGGGTGGATCACCTGAGGTCAGGGGTTCCAGGCCAGTCTGGCCAACATGGTGAAACCCCATCTCTACTAAAAATACAAAAATTAGCCGGACATGGTGGCACACGCCTGTAATCCCAGCTACTTGGGAGGCTGAGGCAGCAGAATTGCTTGAACCCAGGAGGAGGAGGTTGCAGTAAGCTGAGATCACACCACTGCACTCCAGCCTGGGCAGCAGATGAGACTTAGTCTCCAAATAAATACATAAATACATAAATAAGGTCATGACTTTAGTTGAAGTCCTTCATTTAGAGACAATGGAGGCCTATGGTGGCAATAAGATTGGCCCCAGGACATAGCTGGTTGACTGCTGATCTGGATTAGAACTCAGGTCTCCTGGCTCCCAATTCAGGGCTTCATTCACTCAAGAAGCTGTGCCACTCTTGGAACACACACACACACACACACACACACACACACACACAGAGTTGCTCAAATCAGTGAATGATTCTGTCTTTGGGCAGCACAAATCTTTAATGTTTTGAGATCACAATGAAATGGAAATTACTCAGAACAAACTTCTGCTATGGGAGTGTCTTGGGCCAGATGAAGGGGGCTGGTGGTAGGGAACATCTCAGACACTTTGTAGGAGATCTTCCTGAGGGTGTCAGTGAACAAGACGCAGTGACAAAACGACTTCACAAAATAGAGAAACAATGTGGTCAGAGGGATTGATCAGAGAGACTCCCTGTCCTGGCCCCTGTTCGCTGAGCAATTCAATGACATTTGTCCTGTGTGGGCCAGTTACTCAATTGTTGTCTTAGTATGTAATTTTATTTAAAATATTTGATAAAATAGCAACATATTTAGCTGATTAAAAAGTTCAAACAGTTTTTAAATTTTTTTGTTTTGTTTTTCATTTTTTTAATTAATTTTTAATTTTATTTTAAGTTCCAGGGTACATGTGCAGGATGTACAGACATGTTACACAGGTAAACGTGTGCCATGGTGGTTTGCTGCAGCTATCAACCCATCACTTAGGTATTAAGACCAGCAGGCGTTAGCTATTTCTCCCAGTGCTCTCCCTCCCCACACCCCGCCTCCCGCCATGCCCCAGTGTGTGGTGTTCCCCTCCCAAAACAGTTCTTGAAAACATAAAATACACTACCAGCTTTAGCCTTCCTTTCTACACCGACCCCCACTCAGTTCTCCTCCCAGATGTACTTTAAACTCCACAGTCAAAAGTCAGACTCATGGTTTACACCAAAGGGGCATGCCTTTTTTTTTTTTTTTTAACATATTTTTTCTTAGGAATCTGCTCCTACATTTCTTATCTCACTTGATGAAGCAACCATTCGCACAGTGTGTCAAGCCAGAGGTGGTTATTAGTTCACATGTATTCTCCCCTCAGAATAATTTACTGTAATCCGTATACAGTATATAGGGTTTTTATTAACACAAATGGCATGATACTGAACACACTGTTCTCTGCCGAGCCGATTTTTATCCTTCCTTATGGCTACGGCATATTCCACAGTACAGACGCTGCGTAACTCACTCGCCTGGTCCTCAGTGGGTGGTGTTAGTTGTTTGCAGTCAGCGCTATCGCAAACAGTGCTGCCGGGAGACCCTGCCCAGTGCCTCTTGGTGAATCTCTGCAGAGGCAGCTGCAGCGGAATTGCTGGATTAAGTAGTATATGCACTTGAAATGCTGACATATTCCTAAATTGTCTTCCGATAAGGTTGCGCTGATTGACTCCCACCAGCAATAAGAGGGTGGCTATTTCCCCACACCTTTGGTAATAATTTTCATTTTAATATTTGCCAATCTGAGATGTGACTAACGAAGTGAAGGTTCGTTGTTGTTTTGAATTACACTTCTTTAATTATGAGTTGAGATGAGAATTTTTCCTCCAAGCTTGCATGTTTAAGAACTTCCTGTTCACATCTGCTCATCTAGGGTCTTTTTTTCAATGATTCTCTCAATGTAAATTAAGGAAATTAGTCTTTTGTCTGTCATATGCATTTCAAATACCTTTACAGTTTATCCTGAAGCTTTTTTTTCCCCTCTCTGTACTAAAGCTTTTAAATTTTCGTGTAGTCAAATTTATCAGTCTTTTCCTTTGTGGCTTCGGGGTTAAGCTGTTATTTAAATATTTTATAGCTCATTTCACTTTTCACCCAAATAAAGTGTAAGCTGCTTATAATGTTGCCTGCAGATTCTAACACAATGCCTTGTGTTTGGCAGGTATGCCTTACAGTATTTACTGATAAGATAGATAGATGATAGACTAGATAGATAGATGATAGACTAGATAGATAGATAGATAGATAGATAGATAGATAGATAGATAGATATGAATAGATAGATGGATACAGGAAATATTTTACAGTGTTAACCCTTGCTTTGCCCCATTTAAAAAACTGGTTTTAAAATACCAAATGCATTGTGTATTTTTTGAAACATCTTCTGCTCTTGATTTTCTCAACCTTTCTGGAGTCTCAAGCTGCTTGTCTCCCAGCCTCTCCCTGAGCCTTCCTCCCTGGCTCCTTTCTCACAGCTTGCCCCCTAAAAGTTGACACTGCCCTCGTCTTTCTTCTCTGTCTACATGTTCCCTAGCAGGGATGACACCAAGGGGTGGCTGGGGGTGGTTACCACCCAACTTCATCTGCTTCCTCCCAAAGAGCACCCCCAAAGCAGACAAGGAAGAAAGAGAGGGGAGAAGAGGAGAAAAAAAAGCAGCAAAGTGTGTGTTTTCTCATTCTTAAGTAAAGCTTGAATGAACACATATTTCAAAGACTTTGCTATTTCTATTAGGGTCATCTGAGCAAGAGCAGGGTGCTATATGTGTACATGCAGCCTTGAGCCAAGTGCCCCTCCAGCATTACTACTGCTGCTCTGTCCCTCCTGGGTGTCACCTTGCTGCCTGAGCCACCTTGCCCACTGCCACAGCACTGCCACAGCTCTGCCACCCTCCAGATGCCCCATAAATGCCTTCAACCCACACAATGGGATATATTGTGAAAAGTAAGACTCACCCTGACTGAAACCCCTTGTTCTCATTCCTCGTCTCTGTTAACAGTTTCTTGTGTATCATTCCAAATATATTCTATACATATAAAAGCATGTGTGCTTATCTTTCCACAAGTGTCACCTTAGTACTCATCCTGCTCTGCATGGCACTTTTCACTTAGCAAAGTATCTGGGAGATGGATCCCTGTGACCACAACCTCAATATCACGTTCACATCCTCAGCAGCCTGGTATTCCACTGAATGGCTGTATTGGAACCAATTTAACTAGCTGGCTATTAAAGAGTAGTTAGGCTTCTCAAGTTCTTTGAGGCTACAAATAATGCTTCCATTAATATCTTTGTGTATCACTATCCCTAGAATATTGACTCCATAAGGCAGTGTGGCAGGCAGAATAATTGATCTCCAAAGATGTCCATATCCTAGTCCCCAGACCTGTGAATGTGTTACCCTACGTGGCAAAGGGGAGTTTGGAAATGTGATTCAATTAAAGATTTTGAGGAGGGAAGATGATCTGGGGTTATCTGGGTGGGCCCAATAGCAAATCCCAGGGTCCGAGGAAGAGGAATGCAGGAGGGTCAAAGTCAGAGCAAGAGTGAGGGGGCCATGAACCCAGGAGCGCTGGCAGCCTCTAAAGCTGGAAACAGAAGGAAACATTCTTCCCAAGAGCCTCCAGAAGGAACGCAGCCCTGCTGACACCTCCACAGTAGACCGCTGACCTCTAGAACTGTAAATAATACATCTGTGTTAAGTTACTCTGTTTGTAGCAATTTGTTACCGCTGCAACGAGGAACTAATACAAAGGTGGTTTTGCTGCCTGCACATTGCATTCCCAATGTCACGACCAGTGCCTGGCATGTAGTAGGAGCTTACTACAGATTTGTTGAGTGACTAGAGGTGCATGTGTATTACAAGTGTAAAATAACTCCTGCCAGTGGCACTGCCCTCTGAAAGGGGAGACACATTTAAATATTGGTAAATATTTTAAAAATATTGGTAAATATTGCCGGATTCTCATCCAAAGAGGCTGCGCTGATTTACATTCCCATTAGCAGTACATGACTGCACCTTCCTCCCCATGCCCTGGCCTGCACTGTATATCATCATCATTATTTTGCCAATATAATTCTGAAAAATGGCATCTCATTGTGTTGATGTGCGTTTTTTAATGACGAGTGAGTCTGAGCTTCTTTTCATGTGCTTAGTGATCATTTGTACTTCCCCATTTGTAAACTGCCTAAACGCGTTCATTCCCTCTTTTTAAAAAATGGAGTTATTGTTCTTTTTCACTAATTTGTAAGAATCCTTCATGTTGCATGGATATGAATATGTAAATATATTCCCTTGGTTTGTCCTTTTGCTTCGTTCATGGTATTTTTTCACCATGGAGAAAATTTTAATTTGACAAAGGCATGAATGAGGTGCGCATCCTAGTTTGGCAGAGAGGAGAGGGGAGATCATTCAGTCGCACCTGACAGGAGCAAAGACTCTGAGATAAGAAAGAACAAGGAAGATTAATATGACTGGAGCAGTTAGGGGAGAGAAGGATTGATGAGGTGTGTGTTGTCAGGCCGGGGGAGCTGGAGAGCGACAGTGGAGATAACTAAGAGCTGGATGGGGGATTTGGATCCTCTACTCCGTACAGGCAAGTGAACAGTCTTTATTTTTAAACATGGTAAAAATTCCTATAAAGTGTAGGTACTGCGTTAGGTATTTAAAATACTTTATCCTGGCTAGGCGTGGTGGCTCACGCCTGTAATCCCAGCACTTTGGGAGGCCAAGGCGGGCAGATGGCCTGAGGTCAGGAGTTTAAGACCATCCTGGCCAACATGGTGAAACACCATCTCTACTAAAAATACAAAAATTAGCTGGGTGTGGTGGCATGCTCCTGTAATCCCAGCCACTCGGGAGGCTGAGGCAGGAGAATTGCTTGAACCCGGGGAGGCAGAGGTTGCAGTGAGCCGAGATCACGCTACTACACTCCCCAGACAGAGTGACAGGGCAAGACTCCGTCTCAAAAAAAAATAAAAAAATAATAAAAATTAAATAAATAAATAATAAAATAAAATAAAACAAAACACTTTATCCTATTCTGTCTTCACAGTCCTGGGAGGTAATACTATTATACCCATTTAAAAACTGAAGAGATGAAGGTTCAGAGAGGTTAGGTACTTTGCCTAAGGTCATCCAGCCAGTAAAAAACAGAAGCATCTCTGCTTGACCTACAAGTCAAGCTTTCATCACTGTACTCATGACAGTCCTATGAGGCTTAAGCATGCCATTCACAGAGGAGGAAACTAGGTCTCAGAGCAGTTAGTTAATTTGTTCAAGGTCACACAGCTTATAAGGGGAGAAATTAGATTTGGACTCAGACCTGCTGACCCCAAAGCCCTTGCTGTTCTCATTCCCTCTTTTTATCCATTCTCTGAGCACAGAAGTCACCAAAGAACCTGATTAAACTGATCTGGTGTGACTTTGGGAACATCCCCAATTAATGCCAATGTCCCACCAGGTTGGGAACCCCTGCCCTAGCACAGGAAGGCAAGGCCCAGGGAGAAATGCCAGCCTGTTGAGTTATTCTCTGCAAGTAATGGCCTCCCTGGGAGAGCTGGGCCATCACCACCCAAGCTGAGCCCATTTGCCCAGCTTCAGCCCAGCAGGCCCGCAGCAGTGAGGCTGAATGCTGGACAGGCCAGAGAAATTCCTAAGCAATTCAGTTTTTTGTTAACCTTAGATTAAAAATCTCATTCAGCACTTTCTTTAGAAGTATTCCCTAAGGCCCAGGCAAGGAGGCCCTGCCCTGGCCCTTTGCCTCAGGAGTCCCCACTTTGGGGTACTTTCCTTGAAATTCTCTGAGTTCCCCTTGGGTACCTGGGCCCAGTCAGGGCTAGGAGTTCTGTTCAGAAAGGGCATCCCAGGTCCAGGCCAGGTCCTGTGTACATCTGGGATTCTAGAAGCACCCCCAATGACATTTCCTTAAGGTCCCTCTAGTACCTGAAAATCCCCAGGGCTGGCAGAGCCATCTATGCTGGACATCTCTAGCCACCCAGACCCAAACCAGCAAGGCCTCTGTCCATATTTCTCCCCTTCCAGGTGCTCGCAGGCCCTCTTCTCTGCACATAAGATCTGTAAGACAACTGATGGAGCTCCAGGATACATGCCTGGAGGGTTGTCCCAGCCTAGCCCATGGTTCCAGAAGGGTGCTCTGCTGAGCGGATTGTGACTGCTGACCAGGATAGTATTTATTTCACTGGATGGCAAGAACATGGGCCTCCAGAATGGGGCTGACTTGCTGACTCGAGGTAAGCCTCACTCAAGATGGGCAGAGGAGGAATTTAGGGCTCTGAGCTACCCACTATCTCCTTCGGACCCTTGAGTGCAAGCAACATTTGTGTGCCCATGTATTGGTCTCACCGTGCATGTTTCCACCGCAATGCTCTCTCAAGTCTATGGCACCTAAGAATGGTGAGGATGGTGGCAGGCATCCTTTACCCCATGCACTTTCCATCACTGGACCCAGGATGGTGCCCGCCTCTCCTCCACAGATTCCAAGACTGGGAGCCTCCGGGGGTGGCCATGCCCATCTCTGAGGGCTTTGGAGAGAATGCCAATGGACCTGTCCAATGGATGCATGCTCTTGTAGTGATGGGTGTAGTGACATCATATTCCCTCCACTCATCTTAAGACACACTAAAGTGGGGATGGACCAGTCTTCTTGCTCCCCTCATCTCCTTGCCTATCCTCCACCTTGTGATGGTGTGTGGAAGGCAGGGGCATGAGCCACGATGACAGCGATCACATTCTAGAGATGCAGCGATCACAGCCTAACAAGTTCAAGAGAAGATGTGGGTGGAGGATGTGCTGTTTTATGTTTATGCTACAAAACATTCCAAGTGGTAAATTTAACACGACTGGAAGATGAATTATTGTTCTTGCATTATTAGGGCAAGTTGTTGCACATTAGGGCAAGGCTTGTGGTCATCAGCAACAAAGCACAATAACAACTCAGAGAGAGTCACTGAAGTCAGCACTGGTGGGTAGCACATGGGTGAGGAAGGATGTAACCAGCATTAAGTAAACAACATGAAGGAACCACAGAGGTAAAAAGACTAATATGGTTTCAATCCATACAGGTTACAAAAAGCTGTGGCATTGTGAGCTACAATGGTGCTGCCACATCTTTCTCACAGTAGGAAATATGAAATAAGCCAGGTATGTGCATTTGACAGGAAGATGGCTCCTGGACCTGACCAGGAAGACACAGTGCCTATTCATTCCAAATGATCTTCACTGCCACTGATTGGACAATAAGCACACGCTTAATTTCCTTTTCTCTGGTCATTATTCTAAATCTTCATCAGTAAATCATTATACTCCACGTGGATTTCATAATACAGTTTTAATCAAATGTTTTCCTGGGGCTCCAGGCACCCTAAGGACCATTCTGTTCTTCGGGCTTGTTGAAGCTGTAAAAATGCACATATTTACTAATGTATATAATTCATTCAATGCTTCTTATGTTCCATGAACCATGTTAAGCATGGTGTTAGCATTGTTTCATTTCATCTTCACATCACCCTCTGTGAGGCCTGTTCCAGCACCATCTTCATTTTCTACCTGGGGTATCTGAGGCTCAGAGAGCTAAACCAGCTTGCCTGAAGTCACACAGCAGAATAGGTGACCAAAGCAGGATCTGACCAGTGCCTGTGTACTTGCTGTCACATTCCCCTGCCCTTGGTCTCTGTTACATTTCAACAGGGCTAGGGTGTCTGCAACTGGGCAGACCCACTTCCTCCAGTCACAACAAACACACCCTTAGAGCAGCAGAAGGTAAGGTGTTTGATGAGCTTCTATTTTCGTCTTTGAGTGCCCAGCTCCCCAGGCCCTCCGCTCCCACCTCTGCACTCTCCAGGCTTCCCTCTGCCATGGTTGTTTTCTCTCACCTTAACCGTACAAGCCAAAGGATGCTGTAGGGAAGCTTTGCCCATCTGGCCAAGCCTCACTGGCCCTGAAAGGCTCACCTGGGCCAAAGAGAGGTGTTAGGGGTGGAGAATGACATTGAAGGATGGGAAGCAGGCTAGGAGGGAATGGGTGGAGGCAGTGAAAGGTGTCAAGCATTGGAGAGAGAAATGGATTTTTATTGGGGATCTCCAAGGTGCCAGGCACTGGGCCATGTAAGTATCACAACTGTGTGAAGATCTTATGATGATCAAGTGATTCAGAGGAACCTGAGGCCCCAAGAGCCAAAGCAAGTGGCCCAGGCATGATGGTGTAAGTGGCAGGGCCATGCCTGACTCCGAAGCTCAGAGTGTCTCATTCCTCCTACACCTCCCAGCAGGCAGGGTCTAAGGAGAGCTGGGAGGAGGAGTGGAGATGTAGGGCCACCAGGAGAGATGACCAGACCAACACCATACATAGTGAGCGCCCTCACAGCAGGGATGCCGTTGGGCTGGGTTTGGCTAACAGCTCAGTTTGACCCAGGTGGCATTTGTGGAGCATCTGCTGTATGCCAGGGCTCATGGTGGGATGGGGTCAGAAATGAGTAAGGTAAGACAGTTTTGGCCAGGTGCGGTGGCTTGCACCTGCAACCTCAGTGTTTTGGGAGGCCAAAGCAGGAGGATTGCTTGAGGCCAGGAGTTCAAGACCTGCCTATGTGATATAGCAAGACCCTGACTCTACAAAAAATAATAATAATAATAATAAAAGTTTTTTAACTAGCTGAGCAAAGTGGCATGTACCTGTACTCCCAGCTGCTCAGGAGGCTGGGGTGGGAGGATCACTTGAGCCCAGGGGTTTATGGTTCCAGTGAGCTATGATCCCACCAATGCATTCCAGCCTGGGTGACAGAGCAAGACCCTGTCTCTCTCTCTAAAAAACAATCAAACAAAGAGGCAGCCAGTCCCAGGGAGGGAATAGTGGGGAAGAGCAAGCCATGAAAGTCAGGTGGCAGGTGGTGGGGGCATGAGGAGCAGGAGTGGGACAGGAAGGGATGATTCACTCTCCTGGGCTGTGGGCTTTGGGCTTTGGAGAGAAGAGGCTGCTCGCAGGGTTTTGCAGAAATCCCAGGAGATTTGGACAGGGATAAGCCAGCATGCAAAGGCTTGGGGATGGGAGCCAGCTCTTGTGGTACCAGGTGAGTATAAGAAGCCTGAGTGTAAAATGTAGTGGTGGGTGGGACATGTCACAAGGCCTGCCTGAGCCTGCAAATGCCCCTCCTCACTTCATCCATTCCTCCAAGTTCCAGTCACACCCCAGCTGCCTATGGACTTGTTCCTTCCCTTCCATCAGCCCCATCCTCCCCTTGAGGCCCTCATTCCCCAGGATCGCCCACCACCTGCAGTCCCAGCTGCTCCATGAAGCTCTCCCACGGCTTTAGTTGTTCCCAGACATTGTCTCTTGAAAGGGACTCCAAGCTCCTAGAGGGAGATCCTCTGTCTTCTCATTCTCTGGAAACTCTGCAGCCACATCTGGCAACTGGCAGATGAGCAGCCTGCTCACCAGGCCACAGACAGAAGACTCTGCATGCGGGTGTAGCTGGTCAGCCTCTTCCAGGCTGGCTGAGGGGCTGCATCTGTATGTGGGAGGGAACTGGCCAGAGTGGGACACCAGCTAGTGGATGTTTAATGAGAACCAGCTCCTCTAAGGAGGACCTAAAGGCTGGGATGCAAGGCCAAAGGCCCCATGGCAGGCAGGAAACCAGGGTGCTCAAGAGGAGCAACCCCAGAGAGCCCACAGCTGCGGATTCTTTAACCTTCATACCCAGGACTTGGCAGACTTTTGCAGCTCAGGGAGGACTGGGAGACAGGCAGACAGATGGGAGGGTGGGTGTACTGCTGGGCAGGCCAGAGAACCCATGGTGAGGGTGACTGTTTCCAGGCTGGGCGGCCTGGATGGTCAGACAGGCTGGCTACCCCATCGTGGGTCAGCGATCAAGACTGCCAGCCGCATCTTTCAGCCAGCGTTTTTGTGTCTGACAGTGCAGGGACGGTGTGCAGAGCTGAACATGAAGACACTATGGCCCCCCTCAAGAGGGCTCACACTCTGCTCTCGTGGAAGCGCAGTGGCCCTGCTTCTCCCTGGCTGGCTGGCTGGCTCCTGGCTTCTCCTGGACGAAGAGGGTAATGAAATGTGAAATGGAAAGCCCTATCTTCTACCTCAAAATTAGCTGTAGGCTGCAAGTGAACAAGCAGGGAGGGGGAGAAATCTCATGCTTAACAGGCAATTAGGCACCTAATAGATGGGTTTTGTTGATGACATAGACCAGAACCCAAGGTAAGACCTGTGATGGGTATGTCCTCAGGCACTTTGTAGATCCCACATCTGGCCAGCCCTTGTCCAGCAAGTTCGCTGGCCTCTGATGAGCCCTAAATGCTCACACAGTCGAGATAATAATCATCTCAACCCATGATAAGCCACTATACATATACATATTTCTATAGGGTGCCAGTCTTCTCCCTAATTTTCTAGTTTTTAAAAATTCTTTATCATATGCTTGTATTTTACAGGCAGTAAATGAAAGCTTATTGGTCCTACAAACTCCACTTATTCATTCATTCTCAATTACAGAGTTTGCTTGGTGAATAAATGTGGCTAGCCTCTTTGGGAAGATTTAAAAGTCAGTACATGTAATTCCTGCCCTCTGTAGACTCCTTGAAGCTGGGAGCTGTCATGTCTCACTTATCTCGTGGCACTGAGCCCAGTGCCTGGCGTGTAGTAGATGGTCAGTAGGCATGGAAGGAATGCATGAATGAATGGATAGATGGATGGATGAACAGATGTTTCTAAAGGACCGCGGTATCCTCAAGACATCCTGGTATGAAAGCTACAGAGCTCTACTCCATATAACGGTGACGAGAATGATGTGGGTAAAATGTGTCTCAGCCACTTTGTGCCCTAACCGTTGAGGTCCTCCTCTGCACCCTCAGAGACCTGTTAAAACACGCAGATTACTGGGGCTCACCCTACAGAGTCTGACTCACTAGATCTGACATTGGGCCTGTGAATCTGCATTTTAGCAAGCAACCCCAGCAGATTCCAATGTTGATGGACATCGGAACACACATTAAAAAACACCACAGTTAGCTCAACGCAAATCTCAGTTGCCCAGTGGATATTTTTGCTAATTTTTCACTGTATGAGAGGGAGAGTTTTCCCTGCAGACTGCTCTGTGTTCAAACCTGATCACTACCGCTTCACAGTCAGGTATCTTTGAACAAAACCAGTGACAATGGTGGTTTTCGTCAGCCTAACTCTGCCTTCATCTCCTGCAACAATGCCCCTCCTACTCATTACTCACACCCCCACCCCCACACACTGCCTTGAAAAACTGCCCTTCAGATTCCAGCTGCACCACTGGCTTCCCAGCTGTGGTGCCACTGTGAGGGGTCCAGAGGGTGGGCACGTAATCCTACCTGGATAAATCGAAGAGCATCAGAGCTGCCAAGCGGAGGGTGAGAGCGTGCAGGGAGTGAGACAGCCAGGAGAGGTGGCCAGAGAGCAAGGTGGGGCCAAAGTCTCTGAGGTCCACAGCACCAGGGTTCACACAACACTTTGCTGCCTTTCTGTGAACCTGAAGATGCGCGGGCACTTCTGGGTAGGCGACGAGCTGCACTGTGAGAAGCTCGCTCTCCGGCGCTCCTCTGCACCTGCCACCCTCAGCTCTCGGCCTGAGCTCGCCATGCCCTCCGCCTGCCGCACTGCCAGGCCAGGGTCCTGCCCACACAAGTTGATATGGTAGGGGCAATAGTGGGTGGTGGCTCTTACGTGAGCTAAGTTTGGGGACCTGAGGCCTCTTTGTCCTCGCTGGGTGGGTCAAGGTCTGGGACCTGTCTTGGGCTGCGGGTGCCTCACCCTTAACTTGCCAGGCCTCTCCCCTGCAGGATGAGCACTGTGGCAGTCTGAGGTGGCCACGGCCTTTGATCAATCTTTGTGTGCCAGGGTCTAAGCAGGGTGGGACACATAAGTGTCCAGCAGGAGAAAGGTGGGCCAGGGGCTAATGGTATCACCGTGTAAATTTTTGACATATGAGCTCTATAAATGTATGAATATGGACAAAAAACAAAACAAAACAAAAGCTCCCCCAGGACCCTTTCCCTAAATGCCCTTCCTTGCCTAAGCTACATTGAATTGGGCCCCTGTCTCTTGAATCTGGAAGAATTCTCACCTCACTGATGCTCAGCAGCTTCATTGGTAAAATGGGGATAATATCTATGAGGCTCTCTTTTGTGAAAATTCCTATTTGAGAGCTCCTTATGCATGATAGATGCTCAACAGCTATGAATTTCTTCTGTTTCATTTTAATATCACCTACTTCTTCCCTGGGATCCAGCTGGACCTCTGGGACTTGGTGAGCTCTCTGTATTGAGCTGGCAGTTCCGTTGGGTATGTGAACTTTGTCTCATGCTCAGCAGAAGCTCAGCAAGTGAATGGACTGGGTGCACGCGGGCACAGAGAGTGTGTCCTCTGGAAGCTTGTAAGGAGTGGTAATTTTCTAAACTGCAGTCTCAATCTATCTGCCTATAGAATAAGATTTGCATAGTGGCGTGGGGGAGAACTCAGCAGCTTGTGATTTACAGATGTAAATTGCTTTTTAATTTGGAAGAAAAAACTGCTTGGTCGTGAGCAGGGCTTCTCTTTAGACGTACAGCCCTGGCTTGTGAGTTATTCTTCCAGCTACAGGGCATTGGTTAAAGACTCTGGTGCTCCCTATAATTCTGGGAGGGCTGTAATTGCTGCACTAGCTCCTTAATTTCCCTCTGGCCAGAGAGCTGCAATCCAGTCTCTTTTAGCAAATCTGCTCAAGATTTATTATTTTCTTTCAGACTTATTTCAACCTTAAATTTTCCGCTTTCATAAAGTTCCTGATGCTCTCATACATTTGTGTCCTGGGAACCACCCCAACCCTGTCCTTCACAGACACAAACTCCTGCCTCTGCTTCCTAGAGGAAGAGGTGATAGTGCCCTCAGTTAAACAACCACCACCCAGCAATCACTGGTTCAATGCCCGCAACACTCCAAGCCTGTGCTAAGCATTATATATGTATAGATATATATACATGCACACATATATGTGTATATATAATACACTGCATAGTATATTGTCCACATATATGTATATAAACACATTTATATATACATATAAATGCATATATAAAATATGCTATACATGTATATGTAAAATATGCCATGCATGTATATATAATATATGCCATATATATGGCATATATTATATGTATGTATACAAACAGATGCATGTTCATACACATATTGTATGTGTGTATATGTATAATTTATGTGTGTATGTATAATTTTGTAAGTGGAAGTAGGCATTATCTCCCATTTTACAGATGGGGAAACTAAGCCTCAGAAACATTAAGTTTATTTGATCATGCACCTGCTAAGTGATTGAGCTAAGATTTAAGTATAGAAAGTTCATCCAAGTTCAAAAACTGTGCTTTTAACCACCTGGCTGGCCTGTCTCCCTTTTGAGTAAAGCAGAGCCTGCCTGAACCCAGCCTTGTGACAGCTCACTAGAGACCCTTCAGACTGACTCAGGTCTTCTCATGAACACGCTTCTGGGCCACCTCGTCAAATCCAACCCGAGTCCTCCCCCTGCAGCCGTGTAGCCCACATGCTTCTCTCTCATGAACCAGACAATGCTGAGAGACTGTGAAGAGCTTTGCAGATGGGCAGACACCTTCATCAACCAGGTCCATGTGGCACCGCTCTTCTTCGTGAGCCCTCACTGGCCAGCTGCTTCCCTCCTCACACATGCACAACTGGACCATTTAACAACTGCGTTCGGAGTTTTTTCCCAGGAATTAATGCCAAGGTCAATGGCCTTTAGTTTTAGATTTGGAAATTGACTTTGTTTTGTTTTTTCGGATTTTGAACATCCAGACAGCTTTTGTTGGTTGTGAGCCTTCTCTTCCCTTTCTCCTTTCTGAGTCTTCAGTGATTCCACACAGTGGATTCCCTGGGCTCATGTCAGTGAGTTCTTTCTGGATTCAAAGTACAATTTGTGGGAGCCCAGGACTTGAATGAAGTCAATGCTGGTGATGCTCCTAGCAGGAATGGCCGGCAGGGGGCTTCCTTCCTCTCTCTAATCTACCTGCCTCACAGTTCATTCTCTCCCTGTCTTGAAAATCCCTCAGGAGGAAAACGATGGAGTGGGTGGCTGGGCGGGTGCGCTTTCCCTCTGTGCCCTGTTACACACCTGTCTGCCCTGTGGACTTGGGGAGCACCTGGTCACCGAAGGCAGAGAACCCCAGTAGCCCCAAATTGTGGCCACATTTGTATTTTCCTGGCTCCAAACAAAATGAGAGTAAAAAGAAGAATTAATTTTCTCTTGTCCTTGACTTTTTTCTTCCAAACCTCAGCTCATTCCAAACGGTAGTTTTTCCTGATGCTGTTCTTACCGCCCCAGAGCACGCTTCAGCATTTGTCCTTGGCTGTGTATCTGCCTTTTGTGTGTCTCCTTCCAACATCCCACACAGACTCAGCTCCCTGTGCACCCGCGGCCCTGCCTTCCCCACTGTTTCCCTTGGGCTCAGGCAGGATGTGCAGTCAGGACGGCTGGTGGCATTTAACTTTTGCCCCCATTGAGAGTAATGGAGCAGCCCTTCTGGGAGTCATCAGCTCTTCCTTGCTCCTCCACACAGGGGTACTTCAATTAACACGTCTATTCCCAAGCTTACATAGTGTTGCGAGTTATTTTTTTAGACAGCCTCTTTGCTTTAATAAAGAGCCTCTGTGTTTCAGCCTCATGAATATGTTTAAATTTCAAAGGACCTGGATCACAGAGATCTGCACCAGAGCTTCAGGCTGAGTAAACATTTCCCCCGCACATACTCATCTATAAGACATAAGGCTTTACTTAAATACGTAAATGCTGATGGCGAAGTGCAGGGACGGTGGCAGGAGCTTGCTCACTGTTCCTCCTTCTGTTCCCCATGGGTCCTAGCCCAGGGCTGGGAACTCACAATTGAGTAACCTGTGTGGTGACTGATTAAACTTTTCCCTTGCCTCAAGTGGAATGTGTTTGTCTCTTTTCTGCCTACAGCCCAGTTCTTACTGGCTGCACTGGCTGCTGAGTTAGCATGCTGATTTCAGCTACTCAATGAACAAAATACTTTACATGACTCTCATAAACACGGTGACAAAGGAGAAAGGCAGGAGGAAGGGATTCTCAGGAGAAGGCCACTTGTCTACAGCTCCCTTCCTCTCCATTAACAGATCTCATCAATTTGATTCTCCCAAGACAACCAGTCTCTGTGGCCATTGTGTGGCCTGTATGAGGCCATGGGTATCAGGTGAGTCATGGCCAAGGAAACCAACGTAGAACTCTCTCCTACAGGCCCCTTTGCAAGGATGGTAAGGCAGCAGGTCCTCCTGTAGGGAGCTGCCACCCTCCTCTCCCCCTGTTCTCATGTGCCTGGCCAAGAGAGAGAGTTGAATGAGTAGACTGAGTTTGCCCTGCTCCAGCAGCTGGGAGAATAGGAGCGGCCAAGAAAATGTCCTCCAGATGCCATACATGGTCACCCTCACTGCCGCTGCAGTGAGGGGACTGCTCCACCACTCACCACCAGTTCTGAAACTGCTGCTTTTTGTGAGATGCAGTAACAGGCCAAAAACTCAGGGGAGAATAAAGAAAAATACCAGCTCATCTGTAGTGGATGCTGTAATGTGTCACCCAGACTCTGCTACAGTAATGAAGGCTCCTCCCTCCCTCAGCTTCTGAGAGGCTCTTGGCAGATGGCACTCAATTGTCAGGCCTCTTTGGGAGTTGCCTTGGCATATCCAAGGCAGGCAATATCAAATGCCTCATTGATGCAGGGATATAAAAGTCCAGCCCTCTCACCTCAGTTCAAGACAACTCTGAAGAGTCCTAACAGCCTGGTGGCTCTTCATAGAGGGTGGCTTTGTGGAGGCAACCTGCCACACTCCAACATCTCCCTCTTCTCAACCCTGCTTTCTTTCCTTTTCCTCCAGGGATGGTCCCAAGAGAACTCCCTGATGTAGGGAGTGTCCTGTGCAGGACACTCTCCCACTTGCTCTCCTTCCTGGGGATCCCACCTGCAACAACGCTCAAGGTGTCCAGACTGAGGATGACCTATCAAAGTGCACACCGAGCCACAGAAGGCTGCTCTCTTAATCTTTCAATGTCCAACACAATTCAGCTGTGATATCACTGGGCCCTGGTTGTTGATTAAAAGGTAGTTTACTTTCTCTCTCTTCTGTCATAATAGGTCTTTTGAAGCGTTCCACTTCTTCTGAAGTCAATTGCGGAAACTTTTATTTGCTGGAAAATCATCCATTTCTTCTAGATTTTAAAATTATTGCCAAAAGTTACATATACTCTTCTCTTGTAAGTATTTTAATTTCTCTTGTATCTGTGGCTGTGTCTGCTTTCAAATACTTATCTCTGAGACTGAACAGAAAAACAGAGCACTTATTGGTAATCAAGAGCAGGACACACCCAAAAAGGCTTTCAAAAGCTAAAATGTGGATTTCCCAACTACACAGCATAACAAGTGAAGGAAAGAAAAATGTGGCTACTGTTGAGACCTGAATTGAGTCAAATGGAAGTAATATATGCCAACACACAGAGCAAAACTATAAGACGATGAAAATGATGAAGACAAAAGCAAGAGTTGGGGAATGGATGCATGAACCTAACATTCAAGTATTGTGGCTTCAGAAGGAAAAAAAGGGGCTATATAGCAAAAAGATAATAATTCAGTAACAGGAGAAAAATTCTGAATGGAGAAGAATGAATTCTCTGGAAATGTGAAATATTAATCTTAAATAATCTGGAAATTGAAGGGAGATATTTCAAGGGAAATTCTTACAATAGCCTAAAACTAATAGCACGAAACAATTTCAGCAACACTATTTCAGCAGGGGCAGTGGGAGGGGAAGGAGGTTAGAGACATTCCAAATGTCCATCTCAGGACTGAGAGAAGGAGGGATGAAGGGGAGGATAACAGAGGAAGGTGTTCTAGTGGTCTCATCCCATGCGGGGAGGAAGGGGAGAAAGCTGTGGCAATGTCATACCTGGTGAAATAGTTGGTATCTTGTTTCAAAGAACAATAGAGAACTATATGTTTGATTATGAGTACAAGGAAATAGAAACCATTAATAAAATTTAACAGTTTTGCTAGACACTACACATTAAAAGATGAGTAACAATTTGACCAAACCAATGGGAAATAAGGGGAAAAAAGCAATTTAAAATAAAGTACAAATATAAAACAATAGGAAACAGAAAAGACAGGCAAGTACATTATTAAACATATAAATTATTAAATATGTGAACAAACTGAATCATCTCGTCAAAAGATACAGCTTATTCAGAGAGGGTTAAAAACCAAAAGCAGGCTGAACATAGTGGTTCACGCTTGTAATCAGCATTTTGGGAGGCTGAGGTGGGAACATTCCTTGTAGCCAGACCTACAAAACCAGCCTGGGTAACACAGTGAGACCCCATCTCTACAAAAATAAAATAAATAGCTGAGTGCGGTGGCACACACCTTTATCCCCAGCTACTCAGGATGCTGAGGCAGGAAGATCACTTGAGTCCAGGAGTTTGAGGCTGCAGTGAGCTATGATGCAGTTTCATTGCACTCCAACTTGGGTAAGAAAGTGAGACCGTGTTTCAAAAAAAGAAAAAAGAAAAGAAAAAACCTACAACATTTATACCCTTAAGGGTATAGATACACTTAAATTGGTGACAACGGATTCAAATTATAGGGATAAAAGGAGGAATACCAGGCAAATTGCAAACAAATAAAAAGCAAGATTGGCAATATTTAATATTAAATAAGATAGAATTCAAGATTATATACTAAACAGGATTAAAAAAGTGACGCATAACAACAAATTGTAAAATTTATGAAAATATTTCAAAAACCGTATGTACAAAACAACATATAAGCTAAACATATGAAGCTAAAGCTTTTAGAAATATAAGAATAGTACCAGTACCATGCTGTTTTGGTTACTGTAGCCTTTACAGTATAGTTTGAAGTCAGGTAGTGTGATGCCTCCAGCTTTGGTCTTTTGGCTTAGGATTGACTTGGCAATACAGGCTCCTTTTTGGTTCTGTATGAACTTTAAAGTAGTTTTTCCCAATTCTGTGAAGAAAGTCATTGGTAGCTTGATGGCAATGGCATTGAATCTGTAAATTACCTTGGGCAGTATGGCCATTTTCATGATATTGATTCTTCCTACCCATGAGCATGGAATGTTCTTCCATTTGTTTGTATCCTCTTTTATTTCCTTGAGCAGTGGTTTGTAGTTCTCCTTGAAGAGGTCCTTCACATCCCTTGTAAGTTGGATTCCTAGGCATTTTATTCTCTTTGAAGCAATTGTGAATGGGAGTTCACTCATGATTTGGCTCTCTGTTTGTATGTTATTGATGTATAAGAATGCTTGTGATTTTTGCACATTGATTTTGTATCCTGAGAATTTGCTGAAGTTGCCTATCAGCTTAAGGAGATTTTGGGCTGAGACGATGGGGTTTTCTAGATATAAAATCATGTCATCTGCAAACAGGGACAAGTACCAAAACAGAGACAAAGACCAATGGAACAGAACAGAGCCCTCAGAAATAACACCACACAACTAAAACCATCTGATCTTTGACAAACCTGACAAAAACAAGAAATGGGGAAAGGATTCTCTATTTAATAAATGGTGCTGGGAAAACTGGCTAGCCATATGTAGAAAGCTGAAACTGGATCCCTTCCTTACACCTTATACAAAAATTAATTCAAGATGGATTAAGGACTTAAATGTTAGACCTAAAACCATAAAACCCTAGAAGAAAACCCAGGCAATACCATTCAGGACATAGGCATGGGCAAGGGCTTCATGACTAAAACACCAAAAGCAATGGCACAAAAGCCAAAATTGACAAATGGGATCTAATTAAACTAAAGCGCCTCGGCACGGCAAAGGAAACTACCATCAGAGTGAACAGGCAACCTACAGAATGGGAGAAAATTTTTGCAATCTACCCATATGACAAAGGGCTAATATCCAGAATCTACAAAGAAATCAAACAAATTTACAAGAAAAAAACAAACAACCCCATCAAAAAGTGGGCGAAGTGTATGAACAGACACTTCTCAAAAAAAGACATCTATGCAGCCAACAGACACATGAAAAAATGCTCATCATTACTGGTTATCAGAGGAATGCAAATCAAAACCACAATAAGACACCATCTCATGCCATTAGAATGGCAATCATTAAAAAGTCAGGAAAAAACAGATGCTGGAGAGGATGTGGAGAAATAGGAACACTTTTACACTGTTGCTGGGAGTTTAAATTAGTTCAACCATTGTGGAAGACAGTGTGGTGATTCCTCAAGGATCTAGAACTAGAATTACCATTTGACCCAGCAACCCCATTACTGGGGTTATACCCAAAGGATTATAAATCATGCTACTATAAAGACACATGCACATGTATGTTTATTGCGGCACTATTCACAATAGCAAAGACTTCGAACCAACACAAATGTACATCAATGATAGACTGGATTAAGAAAATGTGGCACATAAACACCATGGAATACCCTGCCACCATAAAAAATGATGAGTTCATGTCCTTTGCAGGGACATGGATGAAGCTGGAAACCATCATTCTCAGCAAACTATCACAAGGACAGAAAACCGAACACTGCATGTTCTCACTCATAGGTGGGAATTGAACAATGAGATCAGTTGGACACAAGGTGGGGAACGTCACACACTGGGGCCTGTCAGGGGGTGGGGGGTTGGGGGAGGGATAGCATTAGGAGAAATACCTAATGTAAATGATGAGTTGATGGGTGCAGCAAACCAACATGGCACATGTATACCTATGTATCAAACCTGCACGTGGTGCACATGTGCCCTAGAACCTGAAGTATAATAAAAAAAGAAAAGAAAATTAACAGATAAATTATAAGTCACAAAGAATCTCTAAGCAAACATACCTAAGAGAAAAATCAGAATAAGCCAGACAGGGAAGACTAGAATAAATAATCCTTCAATGTAACTCATTATTTCCAAGACAACACAGAAAGGCAATTTGGAAATTTATTAGAGAAATTTAACAAGGAGAATAAAGTACTTAAAAAATCAAATAGAACCCTTGGAACTGATAAAGACTTTTGCTAAACTGAAAAATTCATTAGAGACTCTCAATAGTGGAATAGGTAAAATAGAGGAAATAACCAGTGAACTCAAAGATAGGCTATTTGAAAATACAGTTGGAGTAGAAAAAAGAAAAAAAAGAATAAAAAAATGAAGGTCACCTACAAGATACAGAAAATTACCTCAAAAGAACAAATTTAAGAATTACTGTTGTTCAAGATGGAGTATAGCAAGAGCAAGGGGAAGAAAGCTTATTTAAACCAAAACAGAAACAAAAAAAAAAACCAGAAAACTTCAAAACTTGAGAAAGGGAGAAATATCCAGCTATATGAAAGTCAGAGAAAACCAAACAGATTCAAACCAAATAATACACAAGTCACATAATAATCAAACTCTCAAAGGTCAAGGATGAAGAGAAGATCTTAAAAGTACAAAGAGAAAATAAGTCAATAACGTATGAAGGATCTCCAATTCATTTGGCAACAGATTTCTCAATGGAAATCATACAGGGCAGGAATGGGATGACATTTTCAAAGTGCGAAACTAAAAAACAAAACAATGAAAAACTGCCATCCAAGAATACTGTGTCCAGCAAAGCTATCCTTCAAATATGAAGGAGAGATAAAGCTTTTCCAGATGAAAAGCTGAGAAAATTCACCACCACCAGACCTGTATTAAAAGAATTGCAAAAGGAAGTCTACAATCTGAAAGAAAATCTTGTCAGACACCAGACGTGTCTTACAAGGATTGCAAAAGGAAGTCTAAAATCTGAAGAAAAAAAAAAAAACACTAACATACAAAAATAAAACATGTAAAAGTATAAAACTCACTGGTAAAATTAAGTACACAGACAAACCTAGAATACTCTAATACTGCAATCGTGGTGTGCAATTCACTCACAATTCTACTATGAAGATTTTTTTTAAGTGAAAGCCAGTTTATCAAGAAAGTAAAGGAATGAAAAGGTGTTATCTACTCCACAGGCAGAGCAGCCCTACTATGAAGATTAAAAGACAAAGCTGTCAAAAATAATAATAGATATAGCAACCTGTTAAGAGACAACACAAAGTCAAAATGTAGGCAGGGGTGGAATTAAAGTGTCAAGTTTTAAAATTGTTTCTTTGTTTCTATTCTTTTAATTGTCATCTAAAATAAGTTGTCATCACTTTAAAATAACTTGTTATATCTATAAGATGTGTTGTGTAAGCCTCATGGTAACAATGATGCAAAAACCAATAAGAGATTCACTAGAAACAAAAGCAATGAATTAAAACATCCTACCAGAGAAAATCACTTAATCACAAAAAAAGACAGTAAGAAAGGAAAAAGGAAGAGAGGACTTACAAAACAACCAGAAAGCAAGCAACAACATTAGCGTAGTAAATCCTTACTCATTAAAAAAAAGAATCAATGAAAATTGACACAATTTTTCAATTAAAAGGCATAGAGTGGCTGAGTGGGTAAGGAAACAAGAACCAACTCTGTGCTGCCTACAAGAAACCTACTTCACCTATAAAGACATATATAGGCTGAAGGTGAAGGGGTGAAATAAGATATTCCAGGCAGTTGAAAACCAGAAAAAGAGCAGGAATACCTACGCTTTTTAGATAAAATGGACTACAAATGGGATTACATCAAGTTAAAAACTTCTGCATAGCAAAGGAAGCAATCATCGTAATGAAGACACAACCCACAGAAATAAGAGTAAATATTTGCAAACTAGCTGTGTGACAAGAGATTTTTTTCTCTCCTCCCGTGACAGATTATGACAAGAGGTTAATAACCAGAATACATAAGGAGCTCAAACAACTCAACAGCAAAAATAAGCAAATAATTTGATTTAAAAACAGACAAAAAGATCTGAATAGATATTTACCAAAAAAAGCATACAAATAATAGGTATATGGAAAAAATGTTCAACATTTTTCAACATTATAAGATAAATGTAAATCAAAATCACAATGAAATATCATCTCACCCCAACTTAAATGGCTTTTATCCAAAAGAAAGGGAATAACAGATGTAGGTGCGGATGTGGAAAAAGAACACTTATATATTGTTGATGGGAATATAAATTAGTACAGCAACCATAGAAAACTATTTGGATGTTCCTCAAAAACCTAAAAACGGAACTACCATATGATCTAGAAATTCCACTGCGGGTATATATCCAAAAGAAATGAAATAAATATATCAAAGAGGTATCTACACTCCCATGTTAACTGCAGTACTAGTCACAATAGCCAAAATATGGCATCAACCTAAGTGCCCATCAAGGGATGAATTGATAAAGAAAATGTGGCGTACATGCACAATGGAATATTATTCAGCTGTAAAAAGAATAAATCTTGCCTTTTGCAGCAACGTGGATGGAGCTGTAGTTCACTATGTTAAGTGAAATAAGCACAGAAAGACAAATATCACATGTTCTCACTCATTTATGGAAGCTAAAAATGCATGTCTCATGAAGATAGAGTGTAGATTGGTGGTTACCAGAGGCAGCAAGGGTAGGAGAGAAGGGGAGGGTGAAGAGAGATTGATTAATTGATGCAAACATATAGTTTGATGGAAATTTGATAGAAGCAATAAAACCTGGTGTGATGGTTAATATTGAGTGTCAACTTGACTGGATTAAAGAATGTAAAGTATCGTTCCTGGATGTGTCTGTGAGGGTGTTATCAAAGGAGGTTAACATTTGAGTCAGTGGACTCGGAAAGGCAGACCCACCCTTAATCTGGGTGGGCACAATCTAAACATCTGCCAGTATGGCCAGAATAAAAGCAGGCAGAAGAAGGTGAAAAGACTGGACTGGCTTACTCTCCCAGCCTACATCTTTCACCTGTTAGGGATCTTTCCTACCATCGAACATCAGACTCCAGGTTCTTCAGCTTTGGAACTCGGACTGGCTTCCTTGCTCCTCAGCTTGCAGACAGCCTATTGTGGGACCTTGTGATCTTGTGTGAGCCAATGCTACTTAATAAACCCCGCTATATATAACCTATTAGTTCTGTCCCTCTAGAGAACCCTAACACACCTAGAGTTTGATAGATCAGTAGCATGACTATAGTTTAATCTATTGTATATTTCAAAATAACTAAAAGATAAAAATTTGAATGTTTCTAGCATAAATAAAAGACAAATGTTTATGATGATGGATATTCCAAATATGATCTTTACAAATTATATTAATGTGTTAAATTATCCAATTGCCAAAATATATGTACATCTATTATGTATCAATTTTTAAAATATAAAGAGTTAGGAAAATGATTAGAGAGCTACCATAAATAAGTAGGGGCCCACTGGAATCACAGTTGGTTGTTTTGTTTTGTTTTGTTTTGTTTTGTTTTGTTTTGTTTTGTTTTTGAGACAGAGTCTCCCTCTGTTGCCCAGGCTGGAGTGCAATGGCATGATCTTGGCTCACTGCAACCTCCACCTCCTGGGTTCAAGTGATTCTCGTGCCTCAACCTCCCAAGTAGCTGAGATTACAGGCATGCACCACCATGCCTAGCTATTTTTTTGTTGTTGTTGTATTTTTAGTACAGACGGAGTTTCACCATGTTGCCCAGGCTGGTCTCAAACTCCTGAGTTCAGGCAATCCACCCACCTCGGCCTCCAAAAGTGGTAGGATTACAGGCGTGAGCCACCACGCCCAGCCTGGTTAGGTTTTATTTAATATTTAAAGACCAGATAAATCCACTGTCAGGTAAACTAATTTAGGTCTTATGAAAACATGGAAAGATGGCTTGACTTATTTTATAAAGTCAGTATAACTGTAATGCCAAAAACCAAAAAGGAGATTATTTTAATAAGGGATAGGCTAATTTCACTTGTTTATAAATGTAAACACTCTAACTAAACTATTACTGAGTGGATCCAATGATATTTAAAAGAAAAATACTCCATAAAGCAGAGTTTATTGAAGAAAGCAGACTAACTCAGTATGTAGAATTCTATCAACATAATCGAATGTATCAACACACTAAAGAAAAAATATATAATCCCATCAATGAATGCTGAAAGAACATTTGCTATGTCTCTAGCCATTCCTAATTAAAACTTAAATAAAACAGTAAAAGATTACTTAAATATAAATATAATATAAAAGATGAATATTAACAATTAAATATTAATTAGGCAAATTGATAAAAGTTGGACAAACAATTAATAGAAAAATAAGCAGACAAGTGGAGAAGACAATCCATAGGAAAGTAGAATTAAGTGCCTAAAAAAAATACAATATACCTAAATTCTGAAGGAGCCAGAGAAATGTAAATTAAACTAACAATACAACAAAAAAAAATCAAATATTATTCTAAATGCCAAATTCCTGAAAATATTTAACTTAGAAATCAGAAACCAGACAGGAATGCTTGTTCTCATAATGGTTATTCAATTATTTTGTTCTGGTAAACACTGTGAGCTGAAAAAAATGGAATACACATTAGAAAAGAAAAGATAAAATAGTCTCTCTTTTTTTTTTTGCTAAGACTATTACATTTCTAGAAACTCAATAGACTCTAGAAAAAAATATTCTTAGACTGTATAAGAGAATTTGGTAAAATCTTACAGGTTGCAGGATGTAAGGTGAATACACAAAAATCAATAGATTTCTTCTATTCTAACAAGGAGTATGACAAAAGAAAATGAGAAAAAGCATTCTACACACAAATTAGGAAATGCTTAGGAATGAGGTTAGCAAGAAAGGCATGAGTCCTATGTGAAGCAAATCATAACATGTTATTTAAAAATATAAAATAAGATCTGAACAAATAGAAACAGATTTTCATTTTCAAGAGGAGAAACTTAGTATCATGTCAATTTGATTTTCCCAGATTTGATATCTATAAATTTAATGCAAGTCAAATTTGAATCCTAATATTATGTAAATTGGATAAAATGATATTATGCTTTATATTTTTAAAACTCTGGAACTAGACAAGATATTTTTAAGAAGAAAGAGTGAGCTCTTGCCTTAACAAATATTACAACACACTACAAAGTCCCTATAAACATATTAATGTGTTATTTGGAAAAATACAAATGAAGAGGTCTGTGGAACACAAAAGAAAATTCAGAAATAAATTATAAAATAAATGATTAGTAAAACACAGTAAAGCTGGTATTTCAATTTGTGAAAAATAAATTTTTGTTACTCTAGTTACAAAAATAAATTTCAGGTGGCTTAAAAATTTTAAATGTGAAAAAAATGAAAATTATTTTAAAAAATCCAAGAATCTACACATTTAACGTAGGAACAAACACCTTCCAAACAGAGACTGGAAAACCGGAGGCTTAAAAGCACAGCACAGCAGAGCAATTACAAATTTATGAACACAAGAGATACCATAGATTAAGTCAATAGACATAAAATAGATTTTGGGAAATACTTGCTATGTAGTGGATAAAGAGAGTTAAATCCATGTGCAGAGCGTTTGTGAAAAGTGATAAGAATTGGACAATTAGAGGAAAAATAAGCAAAGAAATTGAGAAGACAATTCATAGAAGAGCAGATTTAAATGATCAACAAACATAAAATATACCTAAATTCTGATAAAGTCAGGGATGTGTAAATTAAACTTACAATGATAATTCACTTTATGCCTATTAAGTATGCAAAAATTAAAAGACTGGGACTATTCACTGCATGCTTGAATGTGGAAATCTTAATTATTATGACCATTTTGGGAAAATGATCTGGCAACATTTATTAATATTAAGATATTAAAATTAAGAGCAATCTCATTTCTCAGAATTTATACCATAGAAATAAAAGCACCAACATATAAGAATATATATGCAAGAATATTTATTTATTGTAGCAGAAAAATGTAAATGCCTATCAATTCAATATAGTTGAATAAATTATGGCACATTAATTCATATTATAGCCTATTATAATAGCCTATTTAAAAACAATTTATAGCTATTAATTTGTACTTATAATTGATTATGGAAATATTACGTAGATATATAAAATTGTTTGACTATAAACAGTAGAGAGAATGTCAATATCTTAATAGCACTTATGTCTTGATTTAGTTTCCTAATTAATTTTACTCACTCAACTCTTGTATAGTTGTGAGTCATAAAAGATCATTATATTGGGCCAGGCATGGTGGCACATGCCTATAATACCAACACTTTTTGAGGCTGAGAAGGAGGGATCACTTGAGGCCAGGAGTTCAAGAGCAGCCTGGGTAACACAGCAAGACCCTTACTCTACAAAGAATGTTTTTTGTTTGTTAGTTAGTTCGTTCGTTCTTTCGTTCGTTCGTTCGTTCTTTCGTTTGTTCGTTCGTTCGTTCGTTTTAATTAGCTGGGTGTGGTGGCTTGTGCAAGTAATCCTAGGGATTCAGGAAGCTTAGGCAGGACATCCCTTGAGCCCAGGAGTTTGAGGTTCTGGTGAGCTAGGATCACACTGCTGCACTTGAGCCTGTGCAACAGAGCAAGATCTTGTCTCTAAAAACAATAATAATAATAATAATTGTATTGCTTCCATTTAATTATTTATTTAAGTGTTCTATCCTAAAATTGTGTGTGTGTTTACAGTGCTTTAATTATGAGTGCCCCCTCTGATCCTGTGCATTTATTTTTAAAAAAACTTTTTATCCTGAAATAATTATAGAAGGATATGAAAACATAGATCTCATATACTCTTCACACAGTTTATCCCAATGGTAACATCTTCCATAATTATGGTACCATGTCAAATCTAGGAAACTGACAGGTACAATTCACGCATCCTTATTCAGAATTTCACCCATTGTACTTGCACTCATTTGTGTATTCAGTTCTAGGCAATTTTATGATGTTTAGATTTGTGTGATCCACCCTAACCCAGTTAAGATACAGAGCACTTCCATCACAAGGATTCTTCATGCCATCCTTTTATAGCCAAAGCCACCTCCTTCCTTAACCCCGGCAACCACTAATGTGTTCTCTATCGCTATAATTTTATAACTTCAATGATGTTATATAAATGGAATTACACAATGTAATGTTTTGAGATTGGCTTTCTTTACTTAATACAATTCCCTTGAGATCAATCCAACATGTGTGCACAACAACTTGTTCCTTTTTATGGATTTGTTGTTTTGTTGTTTGTTTGTTTGGTTGTTTTTTTTTACTTTATATCTGGGTATTTTATACAGAGATGTAACAGTGCCTAGCAACATTCCATCAAAATATGTAAATCAAAAATACAAAAAACGGATGGAGAATTTGATGAAAATCGCAGTCTTAACCCAGAAAAAAAGATAGCAGATTTTTATATAAATATATTCTTTTTAAAAAATTGAAAATAATTGTACATATTTATTGGGTACAAAATATGTGATATTTTGACACATGCATATAACTATAATGACAAAATCAGGGAAATTAGGATATCTATGACCTCAACCATTGATCACTTCTTTGTGTTGGGAACATTTCAAATCTTCCTTTCTGTTTTAAAATATACAATAAATTATTGTTAATTATAGCCACCCTACTATGTAATTGAACATTAAAACTTATTCCTTCGATCTAACTGTATTTTATTTTAGTGCTGTGTCTTGAATCTATTCATTTATTTTGTAAAAATAAATTTTATAGCACGTATTTGAAGTTTACAACGTGATGTTATGGGATACATATAAAACATGGTTCCTGTAATAAAGAAGATTAACGTATCTATCATTTCACAGTTACTTTTTTTGTGTCTGAGAAGAGTACCCAAAATCTACTTTTTTAACAAAAATCCTGAATATAATACAATTTTATTAACTTTAGTCCTCATGTAATACACTACATCTCTGGACTTGTTCATCTTACATATCTGCTATTTTGTGTCTTTTGACCTACACTTCCCCATTTCCTCTCCCCTCACCACTTCTGGTAACCACTATTTCATTTTCTGCCTCTGTGTATTTGAGCTTGTGTGTGTGTGTGTGTGTGTGTGTGTGTGTATATATATATATGTATATATATATATTTCACATATAAGTAAAATCATGCAATATTTTTCCTTCTGTGCCTGGCTTATTTCACTTAGCACAATATCCTCCAGGTCTATCCATGCTGTGGTAAATGGCAAAAACCTCTTCTTTTCAAGTCTGAATAATATTCCATTGGGTGTGTGTGTGTGTATGTGTGTGTGTGTGTGTGTAAACACCACTTTTTTTATCCATTTGTCCATTGATGGACATTAAATTTGTTCTATAGCTTTCCTGGCTCTTGTGAATACTGCTGCAACGAAAATGGGAGTTCAGATCTCTTTACAAGGTGATGATTTTATCTCCTTTGGGTATGTATCCAGGAGTGGCATTGCTAGGTCATGTAGTACTATTTTTTAATTTCTTTAAGAATCTCCTTTCTCTTTTCCATACTAGCTGGAAATGTGTCAGTCTTCTGTATCAGTCTTCTCTCCCATCAACAATGAACTAAGGTCCTCTTTTCTCCACACCCTCATCTGTCATCTCTTGCCTTTTGATAGTAGCTGTCTTTACGGGTGTGAGGTGATAACTCACAGTGGTTTTAGTTTGCATTTTCCTTATGATTAGTGATATTGAGCACCTTTGTATATACCTATTGGCCATTCTTATGCCTTCTTTGGAGAAATGTCTGTTCAGGTCTTTTGCTCACTTTTCAATTGGTTTATCTGCTTTTCTGCTATTGAGTTGCAAGAGTTCTTTATAAATTTTAGATCTTAACCTCTTAACAGATATGTGGTTTGCAATTATTTTTTCGCAGTCCATAGGTTGCTTTTTTGTCAGTTGTTTACTTTGCTGTACAGAGGCTTTTTAGTTTAATGCTGTTCTATTTATTTATTTCTGTTTTTGTAGCCTGTGCTTTTGGTGTGATATCCAAAATAAATATTGCCAAGACCAATGTGAAATAGCTTTTCCCTTAGGTTCTCTTCTAGTTTTATGGTTTCATATCTTACATTTAAATCTTTTATTCATTTTAAGTTAATTTTTGTTTACAGAGTAAGGGTCCAATTTCATTTGTTTGCATGAAATTGTGGAAAGTTCTGTAGCGCTGTCTATTGGAGAGACTATTCTTTTCCCATTGTGTTATTTTGATGTCCTTGTCAAAATATAGTTGTCCATATATGTGTGAATTTATTTCTGGGCTCTCTAAAATGTTCTATTGGTTTATATATCTATTTTTATACTGGTACCATACTGTTTTGATTACTATAACTTTGTAACAAAATTTTAAATTAGAAATTGAGTTGCCTCGAACTTTTTTTTCTGTCCAGGATTGCTTGGGCTATTCAGGGTGTGTGTGTGTGTGTGTGTGTGTGTGTGTGTGTGTGTGTGTGTTTCCCTGTGGATTTTAGAATTGTTTTTTCTATTTCTGTGAAGAATGCTATTGGTATTTTGATAGCAGTTGTGTTAAATCTGTATATTCCTATGGGTTGTATGAATAGTTTAACAATATTATTTCTTCCAATTCATGAACACAGGATATCTTTCCAGTGATTTGTGTCTTGTTCAGTTTCTTTCTTTGGTGTTTTATTGTTTTTACTGTAACAATCTTTCACTTCCTTGGTTAAATTTATTCCTAGGTATTTTTGTCTGATGCTATCATAAATGGAATTGTTTTCTTAATGTCTTTTTCAGCTAGATCATTATTTGTGTATAGAAGTGCTGATTTTTGATGTTGAGTTTCTATCCTGCAACCTTGTTGAAATTTATTTCTTAGTTCTAACAGGGTTTTTGTAGAGTTCTTGAGGTTTTCTATATATAGGATCACATCACCTGCAAATAGAGATAATTCTACTTTTCCCTTTTATTTTTTACTTTTTAAATTTAAATTATTCTATTTTATTTTTTCATAAGTTTTTGGGGTACAGGTGGTATTTGGTTACATGAGTAGGTTCTTTAGTGGTGATTTGTGAGATTTTGGTGCACCCACCACTCGAGCAGTATACACTGCACCATATTTGTAGACTACTTTTATCTCTCACCCCCCTCCCACTCTTCCCAAGTCCCCAAAGTACACTGTATTATGCTTATGCCTTTGCACCCTCATAGCTTAGCTCCCACATATCAGTGAGAAGATACTATCTTTGGTTTTCCATTCCTAAGTTACTTCGCTTAGAATAATAGTTTCCAATCTCATCCAGGTCATTGTAAATGCTGTTAATTCATTCCCTTTTATGGCTGAGTAGTATTCCATTGTATATATATTTCCCTTGAAAACCCTAAGGACTCCTCCAGAAAGCTCCTAGAACTGATAAATAATTCAGCAAAATTTCCAGGTACATGATTAAAGTACAAAAATCAGTAGCTCTTCTACACACCAACAGCGACCAAGCATATATGTGTATATATATATACATATACACACACTATATGTTATATGTTTTATATATATATATACACACTATATGTTATATGTTATATATATATATATATATATATATATATAAAACAGTTTCTCTGTTCACTTGTTAAGTGATGAGCATTTGGGTTGGTTCCACGATTTTTGCAGTTGTGAATTATGCTGCTAAACATGCGTGTGGAAGTATCTTTTTCGAATAATGACTTCTTTTCCTCTGGATAGATACCCAGTACTAGGATTGCTGGAACAAATGGTAGTTCTACTTTTAGTTCTTTAAGGAATCTCCACACTATTTTCCATAGTGGCTGTACTAGCTTACATTCCAACCAGCACTGTAGAAGTGTTCCCCAATAGTTGCATCCACACCAACATCTACTGTTATTTTTTATTTTTATTTTTTAATTATGGCCATTCTTGGAATAAGGTGGTATTGCATTGTGGTTTTGATTTGCATTTTCGTGATCATTAGAGATGTTGAGCATTTTTTCATGTTTGTTGGCTATTTGTATATCTTCTTTTGAGAACTGTCTATTCATGTCCTTGGCCCACTTTTTGGTGGGATTTTTTTTCCCTTACTGATTTGTTTGAGTTCATTGTAGATTCTGGATATTAGTTCTTTGTCAGATGTATAGATTGTGAAGATTTTCTCCCTCTCTATGGGTTGTCTGTTTACTTTGCTGACTGTTCCCCTTGCCGTGCAAAAGCTCTTTAGTTTCATTAAGTCCCAGCTATTTATCTTTGTTTTTATTGCATTTGCTTTTGGGTTCTTGGTCATGAAATCCTTGTCTAAGCCAATGTCTAGAAGGGTTTTTCCAATGTTATCTTCTAGAATTTTTATAGTTTCAGGTCTTAGGTTTAAGTCCTTAATCCATCTTCAGTTGATTTTTGTATAAGATGAGAGATGAGGATCCAGTTTCATTCCCCTACGTGTGGCTAGCCAATTATCCCAGCACCATTTGTTGAAAAGGGTGTTCTTCCCACTTTATGTTTTTGTTTGCTTTGCAAAGATCGTGGGCTGTAAGTATTTGGGTTTATTTCTGGGTTCTCTATTCCACTACACTGGCCTATGTGCCTATTTTTATACCAGTACCATACTGTTGTGGTGGCTATGGCCTTATAGTTTAGTTTGAAATCAGGTAGTGTGATGCCTCCAGATTTTTTCTTTTTGCTTAGTCTTGCTTTGGATAAGTGGGCTCTTTTTTGGTTCTGTATTAATGTTATAATTGTTTTTTATAACTCTGAAGAATGATCGTGGCATTTTGATGGGGATTGCACTGAATTTGTAGATTTTGCTGTGTGGTCATTTTCACAATATTGATTCTACCCATCCATGAGCATAAGAGGTGTTTCCATTTGTTTGTGTCATCTATGATTGCTTTCAGCGTGTTTTGTAGTTTTCTTGAGGAGGTTTTTCAACTCCTTTCTTAGGTGTATTCCTAAGTTTGTTTGTTTGTTTGCAGCTATTGTAAAAATGGTTGAGTTATTGATTTGATTCTCTGCTTGGTCGCTGTTGGTGTATAGAAGAGCTACTGATTTGTGTACTTTAATCATGTACCTGGAAATTTTGCTGAATTATTTATCAGTTCTAGGAGCTTTCTGGAGGAGTCCTTAGGGTTTTCAAGGGAAATGATCATATCATCAGCAAACTGGGACAATTTGACTTCCTCCTTACCAATTTGGATACCCTTTATTTCTTTCTCCTGTCTGATTGCTCTGACTAGGACTTCCAGTACTATGTTGAAGAGCAGTGGTGAGAGTGAGCATCCTTGTCTTGTTCCCATTTTCAGAGGGAATGCTTTCAACTTTTCCCATTCAGTATTATGTTAGCTGTGGGTTTGTCATAGATGGCTTTTACTATGTTAAGATATGCCCCTTGTATGCCAATTTTGCTGAGGGCTTTGTTCATAAAGGGATGCTGGATTTTGTTGAATGCTTTTTCTGCATCTATTGAGATGATCATGTGATTTTTGTTTTTAATTCTGCTTATGTGGTGTATCACATTTATTGACTTGCACATATTAAACCATCCCTGCATCCCTGGTATGAAACCCACTTGATCCATGGTGGTTTACCTTATATGTTGTTGGATTTGGTTAGCAAGTATTTTGTTAAGGATTTTAGCATCTATGTTCATCAAGGGTATCAGTCTGTAGTTTTCTTTTTTGTTTGTGTCCTTTCCTGGTTTGATATTAGGCTGATGCTGGCTTCATAGAATGAATTAGGGAGGGTTCCTTCTTTCTCTTTCTTGTGGAATAGTGTCAAAAGGATTGGTACCAATTCTTTGAATGTCTGGTAGAAGTCTGCTGTGAATCTGTCTGGCCCTGGACTTTTTTTGTTGGTAATTTTTAAATTACCATTTTAATCTCACTGCATGTTGTTTGTCTATTCAGGGTATCTAATTCTTCCCGATTTAAGCTAGGAGGGTTGTATTTTTCCAGGAATTTATTCATCTCTTCTAGGTTTTCTAGTTTATGTGCATAAAGGCATTCACAGTAGCCTTGAATAATCTTTCACATTTCAGTAGTGTCAGTTGTAACATCTCCTGTTTCGTTTCTTAGTGAGGTTATTTGGATTTTCTCTCTTCTTTTCTTGTTAATCTTGCTAACAGTCTATCAGTTTTATTTATCCTTTGAATTGTTTTTTTAGTTTCAATTTCATTTAGTTCTCCTCTGATTTTGGTTATTTCCTTTCTTCTGCTGGGTTTGAGATTGGTTTGTTCCTGTTCCTCTAGTTCCTTGAGGTGTTAGCATAGATTGTTTCTGCTCTTTCAGATTTTTTGATGTAGGTGTTTAAGGGTATGAGCTTTCCTCTTAGTGCCGCCTTAGCTGTATCCCACAGGTTTGGATAGGTTGTGTCATCCTTGTCATTCAGTTCAAAGAAATTTTTTAATTTCCATCTTGATTTCATTTTTTACCCAATGCTCATTCAGGAGCAGGTTATTTAATTTCCATGTATTTGTGTGGTGTTGAAGGTTCCTTTTGGAGTTAATTTCTAGTTTTATTACACTGTGGTCTGACAGAAAGCTTGATATAATTTCAGTTTTCTTAAATTTATTGTGGCTTGTTTTATGGCCTATTATATGGTCTATCTCAGAGAAAGTTCCATCCACTGTTGAATAGAATCTGTATTCTGCAGTTGTTGGATGAAATGTTCTGTATAAATCTGTTAAGTCCATTTGTTTCAAGTATAGTTTAAATCCATTCTTTCTTTGTTGACTTTCTGTCTTGATGACCTTCTGTCTTGATGACCTCTTTAGTGCTGTCAGTGGAGTATTTGAAGTATCCCACTATTACTGTGTTGCTGTCTATCTCATTTCTTAGGTCTATTAGTAATTGTTTTATAAATTTGGGAGCTCCAGGGTTAGGTGCCCATATGTTTAGGATTGTGATTTTTTTTTGTTGTTAGACGCGGCCTTTTACCATTATATAACATCCCTCTTTTCTCTTTTAACCACTGTTGCTTTAAAATTGGTTTTGTCTGATATAAGAATAGCTACCCCTGCTGGCTTTTGGTGTCCATTTGCATGAAATGCCGTTTTCCACCCCTTCACTTTAAGTTTACCTGAGCCCTTATGTGTTAGGTGAGTCTCCTGAAGGCAGCAGATGGTTGGTGAGTGCTTATCCATTCTGTGGTTCTGTATTTTTTAAGTGGAGCATTTAGGCCATTTATATTCAACGTTAGTATTGAAATGTGAAGTACCCTTGCATTCATCATGCTCTTTATTGCCTGTGTACCTTGTTTTTTTTTAAGTTTCTTGTTTTTGCTTTTTAACTTGTATTTTTGTTTTATAAGTCCTGTGTGATTTATGCTTTAAAGAGATTCTGTTTTGATGTGTTTCCAGGATTTGTTTCAAGATTTTGATCTCCTTTTAGCAGTTCTTGTAGTGGTGGCTTGGTAATTGTGAATTCTCTCAGCATTTGTTTGTCTGAAAATGACTGTATCTTTCTTTTGTATATGATGCTTATTTTCACTCGATACAAAATTCTTGGCTGATAATTGTTTTGTGTGAGGAGGCTGAAGATAGGGCCCCAATCCCTTCTCACTTATAGGGTTAATGCTGAGACGTCTGCTGTTAATCTGATAGGTTTTCCTTTATAGGTTACCTGATGCTCTTACAATTTTTTCCTTCATCTTAACTTTGGATAACCTGATGACAATGTACCTAGGTGAAGATCTTGTTGCAATGAATTTCCCAGGTGTTCTTTGTGCTTCTTGTATTTGAATGTCAGGTCTCTAGCAAGGCCAGGGAAGTTTTAAAGTTTTCCTTGATTATTCCCCCAAATATGTTCTCCAAGATTTTAGAATTGCCCTCTTCCTCAGGAACACCGATTATTCTTAGGTTTGGTCGTTTAACATAATCCCAGACTACTTGGAGGGTATGGTCATATTTTCTTAGTCTTTGTTGGAGTGGGTTAATTCAAAGACCTTGTCTTCGAGCTCTTTATTTCTTTCTTCTACTTGTTCAATTCTATTGCTGAGACTTTCCAGAGCATTTCACATTTCTTAAAGTGTTTCCAAAGTTTCCCAAATTTTTTATTGCTTTTTCTTTAAGCTATCTATTTCCTTGACTATTTTTCCCTTCACTTCTTGTCTCTTTTTTTTATTTCCTTGCATTGGGCTTTGCCTTTCTCTGATCCCTCCCTGATTAGCTTAATAACTAACTTCCTGAATTCTTTTTCAGGTAAATCAGGGATTTCTTCTTGGTTTGGATCCATTGCTGGTGAAGTAGTGTGATTTTTGGGGGGTATTGACGAGCTTGTTTTGTCATATTACCAGGGTTGGTGTTCTGGTTCCTTCTCATTTGGGTAGGCTCTGTCAGAAGGAAGGTCTATGGCTGAAGGCTGTTGTCCAGATTTTTTTTGTCCCACGGGGTGTTCCCTTGATGTAGTACTCTCCCTTTTTTTCTGTGGATGTGGCCTCCTGTGAGCCGAACTGCAGTGATTGTTGTCTCTTTTCTCTCTTCTGGGTCTAACCACCCAGCAAGTCTACCCAGCTCTGGACTGGTACTGGGGGTTGTCTGCACAAAGTCCTGTGATGTGAACTGTTTATGGGTCTCTCAGCTGTGGATACCAGCGCCTCTTCCAGTGGAGTTGGCAGAGGGTGCAATGGACTCCATGAGTGTCCTTAGCTTTGGTGGTTTAATGCTCTATTTTTGTGCTTGTTGGCCTCCTGCCAGGAGATGGCGCTTTTCATAAAGGATCAGCTGTAGCAGTGTGGAGAGGGACTGGTGGTGGGCATGGCTCTAGAACTCCCAAGATTATATGCCCTTTGTCTTCCAGTACCAGGGTGGGAAGGGAAGGACTATCAGGTGGTGGTGGTGCTAGGTGTGTCTGAGCTCAGACCCTCCTTGGGCGGGTCTTGCTGGAGTTGCTGTGGGGGATGGGGGTGGGATTCCCAGGTTACTGGAGTTGTGTACCTAGGAGGATTATGGCTGTCTCTGCTGAGTCATGCAGGTTGTGAGGGAAGTGGGGGAAAGCTGAAAGTCACAGGCCTCACCCAGCTCCCACACAAACCGAAGGGCCAGTCTCACTCCCACGGTGCACTCCCCCGTCCGCCCGCCCGCCGCCCTGCCAACAGCCCCAAGTCTGTTTCCAGGAAGAGCCTCCCAGCTGTGAAAGAAAAGAACTTTAGTTCTTTCCCAACCTGAGAAGTCTGCAAGCTGGATTTGCGCCCTCCCCCGAGTTCTGGTCAGGAGGCTTCTCACCCTGTTCACCCTGTTCAAGTTGTTACAAAGTTCAGCTAGAGAATTCTTCTCCCTGTGGAGTTTTACCCCCTGCGACTCTGGCCACTCACCTGATGGATCCCTGTGGTTCCAGGCAGGAATGGGCTGCTTGGGG
The DNA here is from genome assembly GCF_000001405.40 of Homo sapiens. Taxonomy (NCBI): domain Eukaryota; kingdom Metazoa; phylum Chordata; class Mammalia; order Primates; family Hominidae; genus Homo; species Homo sapiens. The sequence continues at coordinate 119,050,794 of NC_000002.12, forward strand.
TCCCAGCAAACTCCCAGGGCCTTTCTGCTTCTTCCTCTACCCCTGTATTTCACTTGACTCAGCTCTCTAACTTGACTCAGCTCCAGGTAAAGTTGGAAACTTCTGCAAACAGACCTTCAGCTTCTCCAGTGGGGGTGCGTGTTTGAGAGAGGAGGGTCTCCCTTTCCCACTTCCACAGTTGGGGCACTCTCAGTATTTGGCATGTCTCTTGGGTCCTGCAGGAGCAGTCTGCTTCCTTCACAGAGACTGTGGATCCTCTCAGGATTGCTTGTTTGTTCTTGCAGTTGTTCTGGAGCTAAAATTCACAACGCAAACCTCCACATGCTGCTCTGTCTGGAGCTGCAATCTAATCCTGCTTCCCATCTGCCTTGATCCTGCAAAAAAGGAATACTACTTTTTCCTTTTCAATTTGGATGCCTTTTATTTCTTTTTCTTGTCTGATTGGTGGAAAAGTTTTCAGTTTTTCACTGTTGATTATGATGTTAGCTGTGAGTTTTTCATAAATGGCTTTTATTATGTCAAGAAACTTTCCTTCTACACGTAAACAGTCAAGAGTTGTTATCAAGAAACAATGTTGAACCTTGTCAAATGCTTTCTCTGTGTCAAATGAGATGATTATGTGGTTCTTATCTTTCATTCTGTTAAAGGGATGTGTCACACTGATTGATCTGCATATGTTAAATCAGCTTTGCATGCCAGGGATAAATCCAACTTGGTCATGATGTGTAATCTTTTTGATGTGTTGTTGAATTTGGTTTGCTAATATTTTATTGAAGATTTTTGTATCAATGCTCCATGATAGCCTGTTATGCGACCACTTAACAGGGTGCATTAGAACTATAGTAGTGGTCCAGGAGTCATTTTCACAAGTTATTTTTTGGTAAAAGAAGATAAAGATAAATGTGTAAGATATGATCCAAATAATAGAAAATGCTGACAAAAAAACCAATACTATATATGTGAGTGATGTATGTGTCTCTATTTATATTTACATATGAGCATAAAAAGGACACATAACACATACCAATTTATTAACCTAGGTTACCCGCAGAAGGGCTGGGGCTGAGTATAGGGGCCGTTGTAAGCAGAGGGTTGAAGAGGAGAGGGGAAAGCCAAGCAAAATGGGGACTGTTCTAAAAATATGTAAAAAATGGTGATATATAGGGGCGGGTATGATGGCTCACGCCTGTAATCCCAGCACTTCGGGAGACCAAGGTGGGTGGATCACCGGAGGTCAGGAGTTTGATACCAGCCTGACCAACATGGTAAAACCCCGTCTCTACTAAAATACAAAAATTATCCGGCCGTGGTGGCATGTGCCTGTAATCCCAGCTACTCGGGAGGCTGAGGCAGGAGAATCACTTGCACCCAGGAGGCACAGGTTACAGTGAGCTGAGATCGCATCATTGCACTCAGGCCTGGGCAACAAGAGAGAAGCTGCATCTCAAAAAAAAAAAAAAAAAAAGAATATATATATATATATATATATATACACACACACACACACACACACACACGTATATATATAGTGATATGCATGTAAAATTGTGAGTGTATATACAAATAAATTTGTAATAAAAATTTCTAAAATAGAAAAGTGTAGGAGTATGCACAAGTGGGAGAGATAACATTTGAACTGGCTGAATCACTGCAGTGTTGTGATGAACATATTGGTTTGAACGTATTGAAACCAGTCTGGTGGCAAGACCTGGAACTCTCCTCTTGGCCCCGTTCTCATTATCTTGGTCATAATAGGGGAAAGATGTGGAAATCATGTTGATTACACTTGCAGGTAAAAGAAAGAAAGATGGGATAACTTTTTATGTTTGAAAACAGAAATAAAATGTAAAACAAGCCAGAAGATTTAGCCCAAAGCTATTAAGTGAACATTAATCAAGATAAAGTTCTGTCTCTAGTTTTAAATACATCCATTTACCTAAACTATTTGTGTGGGAATGATCAGTTTCTTGTGCGTAAGTTCCATTAAGTCACTGGCTTTGTCTTATTTATCTTTAAGCCCTGACTACCCACTACCCAGCACAGTGCCTGGCCCATAATCTATTCTGGACAGAGACCAGAGAGGATCTGATGGGATGGTAGAAGGTGATGAGATGGAACACAAAAGCAGTGTGTACAAAGAGAAGGAAGGACAAACCCGAGGGGCACCATGATGCCAGATTCTATGCCAGGGGTACCTTGAACTCCTGAGAACCCTGGGATGTAGGTGATATTAGATCTACTTTGCAGATGAAGAAACTAGGGGTAAAACTGGATTTGAACCCCAGGTTTGCCCGACTTCAAATTTTCCCCCAGGAAACTGGTAGGACAGCAAGTATTATTTTAGATCATAGACACTTAGAGCTGGGAAATCCCAGGCGCCAGAAGCCAGGGTGGGCTGGGGCCCGGCAGCGGAGCTCTGGGCACACTCCAGCTGTCACTTTCAACCACAGCAGCTTTGCTTCATTCTTTTTTCCTTGTTCTTTGTAAGATTCTTTTTTCTTTGTAAGATTTCATTTGAATAAAGAATTCCCTGGCTGAAAAGAAGAAGCTTAAAATCATTATGTATGTCATCCATCCTGCCTCAGTCTTCATTATAGAAATAAGAAAGATAAGGTCCAGAGAAGGGATTGATACACATGGTCCAGCTAGGGCTGGCCCCAGAACACCACCAGACTGGGCTTCTCCTGATACCTGAGCCCCTGGCCTGGAGTTTTCCTAGAGAGGTTGTTGTCAGGGGAAAGCCCCCACAAAGCTGCTGCCTCTCCACTCCTCAGCCAGGCTTGCCCAGTGCCTCACTCCCACAGGCCATCAGTCTTCTTTTCTTGGTCGTCCTTTTGGGGAGGGCCAAGAGCTTGAAGGGAGCCTCTCGGGCCTGTCAATCTTTCTTCAAGTGCATCTGCTTTTCCAGAGGACAGCGCTACCCCCAGATGCTTAAAAGCCCATTTGGGACCCCCTGATGGATGCCTGAAGCTGCCCCACACCAGGAAGCCGGTGAGTTGCTTGCTTGGTTGGGTTCCGCCTGCATTCGCTTGACTCAGCAATGCTGACTGAGAGTTGCCCCTCCATGTTCCTTCCCAATAGGAGGCTGGCCTGAGAACCTGGCCAGGCCCCCTCTCCTCAGGCCCCTCTGTCCCAACCATTGCATTGCCTCCCTGCCCTTCCAGAATTGGGCAGCCTCAGGCATGACAGGACCAAGGTTTGGGGCAGCAGGCTTGATTTGAGGGGCCTGCTCGCAGACAAGCCCCTCAATCTTTATTCCTTTCAGCCAGGAAATTCTCCAATGGCTCCCTTCTTGAATGGAAACCACTGGAGTAAAAAAGTCTTCTGTAAAGTAAATAACACAGACCAGAGGTAGTACTATGACCACCAGTGAGTGCATCTGTCTGAGGCGCTGGTCAGCATACAGGACAGAGTGTGAAATGGGCAGGACTCCACAGCCCCAGGGACAGGCAGCCTGGCTTCCAGATCAGTGTATTCCAGAGCAAGCCACTCCCTCTTCAGTAGCCTCAGTGTGTTTTTCACTCTTTCAAACTTTAAGACTCTTATTAACAAGTCCATGCAGTTTGTGAGCTTGAAAAAATCTCTCTATATATAAAGGTGGAGTTTTGGTGGGGTTTTGTTTGTTCACTGTTTTGTGGGTTGGGATTTCAGGAGGGCTAAACCAAGCAGCTCTACTTTGGAGATCTCTATGGGGGGAAGCCGCCCCCAATATTTCAACATAGGTTCTTTCTATTTTCCAAAAGTGTCGGCCTGCTGAGAAATAAAGAGAAAGAGTACAAAGAGAGGAATTTTACAGCTGGGCTGCCGGGGGTGACATCACATATCGGTAGGACCATGATGCCCACCTGAGCCACAAAACCAGCAAGTTTTATTAAGGATCTCAAAAGGGGAGGGGGTGCAAGAACAAGGAGTAGGTCACAAGATCACATGCTTCAAAGGGCAAAAAGGAGAACAAAGATCACATGCTTCTGAGGAAACAGGACAAGGGCAAAATCAGAAACTCCTGATAAGGGTCCAACAAAGATAACAAGGCAAAGGGCAAAAGCAAGGATCACAAGGCAAAGGGCAAAAGCAGAACTAATGATAAGGTTCTATGTTCAGTGGTGCACATATTGTCTTGATAAACATCTTAAACAACAGAAAACAGGGTTCGAGAGCAGAGAACCAGTCTGACCTCAAATTTACCAGGGTACAGTTTTTGTTTTTTCCCCACCCTAACAAGCCTGAGGGTACTGCAGGAGACCAGGGTGTATTTCAGTCCTTATTTCAACTGCATAAGACAGATACTCCCAGAGTGGCCGTTTATAGGTCTCCCCCAAGGAATGCATTCCTTCCCCAAGGTATTAATTATTAATATTCCTTGCTAGGAAAAAAATCTAGCAATATCTTCCTTACTTGTACATCTTCTTGCAGAGGCTCTCTGCAAGAAGAAAAATATGGCTCTATTTTGCCCGACCTTGCAGGCAGTCAGACCTTATGGTTGTCTTCCCTTGTTCCCTGAAAATAGCTGTTATTCTGTTCTTTTTCAAGGTGCACTGATTTTATATTGTTCAAACACACATGTTTTACATTCAATGTGTACAGTTAACACAATTATCACAGTGGTCCTGTGGTGACGTACATCCTCAGCTTACGAAGATAACAGGATTAAGAGATTAAAGTAAGACAGACATAAGAAATTATGACAGTATTATTTGGTAACTGGTAAATGTCCATGAAATTTTCATAATTTATGTTTCTCTGCCACGGCTCCAGCCAGTCCCTCCATTCGGGATCCCTGACTTCCTGCAACAGGTCTCAAGTCAGGTTACAAAACTCAGAGGTTTGCCCAGGTTGAAGTCATCCAAAGGTTCAACTGTGTTGGATGGCCCAGCTGGCCCATTCAAAAGGCTGGTGGTTGATGCTGGCTGTCTATGGTGAGCTCAGCCTGGGCTGTCACAGGAGTGCCTACCCACAGCCTCCACCTGTGGCCTGGGCTTCCTCACAGCATGGCAGTCTTGGGTCATTAGATTTCTTACATGGCCGACCTCAGCTCCAAAAGCAAGTATTACAACCTGTCAAGCTTTCCTTGATTAAAACTCTTTCAAATGTCAACTCCACAAGATGTGAAAGAATTGAAGGCTTTAAAAACATCATGTTTGCTGTCACTAAAAAGAAAAGTATATGAATAAACACAAAATGAAAACCCTGTGCTACATAGATAATGCTTAGAGCTCTAGTTACTGTGTCAACAGTTTTGTATTGGACGACCTCAGCTCCAACCTCTTTTGTTCACATCTTATTGCTAGAATCTCATATTTGTTAGTCCTTGCTGGCTGTCCACAGGGGCTAATGGTAGAAAAAGCCAACAATTCCTCAGCTCTGCCCTAGTCAGTCTTGGCAGAGGACTTGTTTTCAGCTGCTGAGGCATTTTTCTCTTTGTCCTCATAATTTAGGGCTTGAAGGCATCTGCAAGATGATCCTGGCAGTAATGGTGAGGAGGCTGCTGACCCAGGCTCCTGTCTCCTTGGCTGTCTTTATCTGTGTCTCTGCTGCTTGGCTGGCTACCTACCAGGGGTCCTGTGGAATAGTGGTCGTAGTCTGGACACACACATCTTGTGTCTTCCAGTTGTCTTGCTTGTTCTGCTGCCAGCTATTGTCAACCCTTTCACCATAGCTTCCCGCTCAGGAGGGCTGGGATCCTGGGGTCAGTGCCCACTGGGTGTCCACATGTTGGGAGGTAGGGACAGCTACCTGAAGTGAAGCAGGAAGGCATTATTGAAGCTGGCCTCCTGGTGCACACCCCCATTCCTCCTTGCTTTTCTCACTCTCATCTTTCTGGTTGTTCTGTTAGTGTGATGTGAGGAGTCCTTTTTACCACAGTTATGTGCATTTTACCTGTTGCTACCAGGAAACTCCCCACCTGGGCCCCTCACCTGCTCCTTGGCAATACCCAACCTCTCAGACCCTCCTGCATGGTCAACAGACATCCTTAGCACTTTTTCCTATTAGCCAGGGTATAGATGCATCTTGCTCATGAAATCCCGTTGTTCCCACATTGGGCCATGTTACTGGGTCCTATCTTTTTTTGTGATGACCTTCTGGTCTCCGCTGGCCGCCCCGGTGATGTGTGCCTCCTGTCTGGGAGCTGACTTGGCCTGGTGGACTTCTGGACCTCAGCCTCTTGGCTTATGGTGGCATTGATGGTAGCAGCCTGTGACAATAGTGCTTCCAGGATGTGAAGTATTTAGGGAATCGGGCAGCAGTGGGGCCACACAATGCTTTTTGGGGTTCTCACTCCTTCTTGCTACCAGTCTGCTTTCTCGGCCTCAATCTCTTCATCTATTAAATAGGGCTCCTGGACTAGAGGACCTCCTCGGTTATGCCCCAATGATGCTATAAAGTGAGCTTATCAGGTATAAAGCCTCTGCCCAGGTAGGACTGACCAAAGGGCAGATGGACCAGCCACTTCCTCACCATTCCCAACTTCTTGGTCAGCCTAATCCAGCCTGCAGACACAGCCTCCTCTGATATAAGCTTGACTGTTCCAGGAGTGTGGTGATCCACAACATATACCAAGACTTAACCATTACAGCTTTGTATATCATGCCCAGAACTAAGACCCAGAAACCTACCCCCAGCCTTCCCTGCCCTCAGTGGATGGTGGCATTTCTGTAAAGGGCACAGTTGGCCAAAGGTTCCTCCAAGGACCTTGACAGACAAACGATATCCACAAGGGGTGCTGGAGGAGCAGAGAGGGATGGGAACCCTGCAAGGTGACTGCAGCTCACACCCTATATGCATAAGGAACACCCATTTGGAAAGCTTTGGTTGAGGTGGGCAAATGCAGAAATGGGCAAAACCTGGGACTTAGAGAAAGCTATGCTGATGTGACAGCATTAGCGTTTGCAGACTGGGCCCACACTGGGTTACCTGAGTAACGCCAAAGCCCCATCAGGGACCGAGGGGGTCACTGTTAAAGGGGCAGATGTTGGGTGCAATGCAGAATGCTGGATGAGAATAGAATCCATCAGAGTATGGGAATTAGGGGGCAAAGCAAGAGCTCTAGCTTTAACTGTCTTGGAGTGAAAAGGGAAAAAGAAAAGCAAGCAGAGAAAATATTCCTTCTTGCTCCAGAAAGGACAATGGCGGGGAAATGGCCCTGCGGTCAAAGAAAAACCCAAGAAAAGGAAGAAATCAGGGAAGCCCAAGGCATTGGAAACTGCAGGAGTTGGTGTGGCTGCTGAAGGGCTGGCAGGATTTCCATTAACAGTGCATTTTACATAAGAGTTTACCAATAGAGTTTTCTGTGATGATGGAAATGTCCCATGTCTGTCCTGTGTAATACAGTAGCCTCAGCCACATGTAGCTACTGAGCACTTAAAATTTGGTCAGTGCAACTGAGAAACTGAAATTTTATTTTTACGTAATTTTAATGGACTTAAATCTATATATCTACATTGGCTAGTGGCTACCTTATTGGACAGCATAGAAATAATGGATTTGTTTCAAACATATAAAACAATATCATCTCTTGTATTGAAAAGAGGTGTTCAAATGAAAACTCGTACATGGGTGTTCATAGCAGCACTATTCATAACATCCAAAAGGTGGAAGCAACCCAGTGGCCATCAACAAATGAGTGGATAAGCAATGTAATATGTATATGCAATGGAGTATTATTCAGCCATAAGAAAGGAACAAGTACTAATGACAACATGAATGACCCTTGAACATACTATGCCAAGTGAAAGAAGCCAAACACAAAAGACCACATATTATATGATTCTATTTATATGAAATGTCCAAAATAGGCAAATCCAAATAGAACGTAGAATAGTGGTTGCCTGGGGCTGGGGAGGAGGAATTGTGGAATGACCGCTAATGAGTATGGTGTTTCCTTTTGGGGATGGTGAAAACATCTTGGAACTGGAGAGAGGCAAGGCCACACAACACTGTAAATGTACTAAATGTCACTAATGAGTAAATTTTATGCTATGTGCATTTTACCACAATAAAACAAAACGAAACAAAAACAAAGAAACAAATATTATCTCTCTTTATTCCTTTGGAAAGGGGAATGACGTTCTCTGGCCTCCCTTGAATTTAATTTTCTTCTTCTTTTCCTTCCTTCCTCCCTTTCCTTTCCTTTCCTTTCCCTTTCCCTTTCTTTCTTTTCTTTCTTTCTTTCTTTTCTCTCTTTTCTTACTTTCTTTCTTTCTTTTTTTCTTTCTTTCTTTCTTTCTTTCTTTCTTCCTTTCCTTTCCTTTCCTTTCTTTCTTTCTTCCCTTCTTTCTTTCTTTCTTCCCTTTTTTGAGACAGGGTCTCACTCTGCCACCCAGGCTGCTAGAGTGCAGTGGTGTGAACATGGCTCACTGTCTTCTTAACCTCCCAGACTCCAGCAATCCTCCCACCTCAGCTTCCTGAGTACCTGGGACCATAGGCACAAAAATCCACACCTGGCTGGACTTCAAAAAAAAAAAATTGTACAGACGGAGTGTTGCTATATTGCCCAGGTTCTCAGTGGAATTTTGTCCCCAAGGCATGTTTGGCTTTTTGCCATTTTTCCCCCACCCTCGAGGGCAGAGTATATCACTCAGAGGTGAAGCTGAGCTGCTATCTCCAGTGGGGCTGGGAAGCGCTTGGTGAGAGGCGTACAGTGATGGGAGTGGAACAAGCCCCCCAGGTAAGGCCTTCCTGGTCCTCCCAGGAACATTTTGGTAGCCATGGACAGGCTGGCAGCTTGGCCCTACCTGAGAGTTTGAGGCACACCTCTCCCCGGACATGGGGAGCACGTGGGCACTCCTGTGCTCTGATGAAGGGAACTGTGGTGAGATGATTAACAGCCCTCCAGCCCTGCCCCCGTAGAGGGAGAGTGCATGCCTATTAATCAGTGGTGAGTGCTCTTTGCTCAGACATCTATTCTCCTGTGGAGTGGTCCACAGTGTTCATCGAGGATGCTGCATGGAGCTCCTAACCTTTTCCCAGCAGTCTGCTGGGAACCCTGCCTCCCTTCACGTCCAAGGTGCTGGCCAAAAGGACAAGGTACCGTCTTCACCATGGGATGCCACTCAAGAAGTGGTGTGGTTCAGAGATGACCCAAATGAGAGCACACTCCTGGCCCCCAAAAATCAATATTCACTGTTGGGACCACCACAGGAGAGACCTCTCCCCACCTGCCAAATAAAATCAATTGTGAAGTCACCTGGCCAAAAGAGGAAACTAGGACATATGAGAAAGGGGAAACGTGGTCTCTGGAGGAAGCACAGAACTCAGAGGTGGATCAGGGTCCCAGGTTTTGTCCTCTATGCTGCTACCAAGCCCTGCGTCCCCAGGCTGTCATGCCACCTGTAAGTCTCCGAGTCTGTCAGTGTGGCTAGGGAGGCAGTACTGCTCCACCCACAAGACTTACAAGAGCAAGAGTTTCAAGTCAGACAGCGCTGAGTGCAAATTTCAGCTCTGCCAGTTGCTAGCTCTTCAACCTTTGATAGGTCACTCGATCTCCCTAAGATTGTTTCCACACCTGGGAAATGGGTAGAAGAAAACCTACTTGACAGAACTGTTAGGAATATCAAGTGACATAATGGCCTATGAAACCATCAGCACATTCCTGGCCCTTAGTAAGACAAGCCCAAGTAATTATACCTAACATTATAATCGTGTATACTGTCAAATAACTCTAGATGGAAAAGCTGTTTCAAAATGTGTGTCCTGTTTCACCAGGGTGAAGTGGTGGAAAGAGGACTGGGAGGGGAATCAGAGGACATGGGAGTGAGTCCTGGTTCTGTGAATGACTACCTTTCACTGCTTTTTAAAATCCTGTGCTCCTTCTTGGGTTTGTAAAATAGATGCAGACTGTTCAAGAAATGGGCCCCAGAGAACATCACATACCGGGGCCGGTGGGTGGGTGGGGGGTTGGGGGAGGGATAGCATTAGGAGAAATACCTAATGTAAATGACGAGTTGATGGGTGCAGCCAACCAACGTGGTACATGTATAACTATGTAACAAACCTGCACTTCGTGCACATGTACCCTAGAACTTAAAGTATAATAAAAATAAACAAACACATATGATATTCACTATTGTTAAAAATCTCAAAAAAAGAAAAAAGAAATGGGCCCCAGCAACCCAGGAGAGTCTTTGGGTGGGCCCTGAGGGGTGCTCTGCTAATTGCCCAGAATGTGGGTCCACCCCTCTCTGGCTGACCTCACCTGCCCCAGCTTTCTGTCTGCCTGGACCCCACCGCTCTCCTCCCCACCCCTTGCTCAGATCTTGGATACGTGTCTGTGGGTGTGCCCCCAGCTCCCTTTCTTGGGATCCTGTGGCCTTTTCCTCTGGCTTCATCAGCTCAGTTATGGGAGGAAGGCTGTCTCCTTTCCCACAGCCCATCCTGCAGGACTAGACCAGCGAGGCCAACACCCAGCTTGTCCACAGCTATCCTTTGAATGTTTGTGCCCCCTGCAAAATTCATGCTGAAACTTAATCCCCAATACAACCATCCTAAGGGGTGGGAACTTTAGAAAGTGATTATACCATGAGAGATGGGATTAGCATCTTATAAAAGGCTGGAGGAAACTAGCTAGGCCCCTTTTCATCTTTCTTTTCCTTCTGTCATGTAAGGACAAAGCATTCGTCCCCTCCAGAGGATGCAGTAATAAGACACCATCCTGGAAGCAGAGAGCAGCCCTCACCACACACCAAACCTGCTGGCACCTTGATCTTGAACTTCCAGCCACCAGTAAGAAATAAATTTCTGTTATTTGTAAATTACCTACTCTCAGGTATTTTATTATAGCAGTAGGAACAGATTAAGACACCCATGCTAAAATTAGGATGAGTCCATTTCCCCACCCATAAAATAAGGATGTTGAGTCAGATGCTCTTGAAGGTTCCCTTCAGCTTTCACATTTTGTGGTCCTGGCTCTTCTTATTGGTGTATAGAGGACTTTTGTTGTTGTTCTTCTTCTGTAAAATGCAACCTGTGAATGCAACCAAGAGACAGGTGGCTGTAAAGGTATGAGTTGCGCTGGGGGAACTGAAACCCCGGATTAATTAAATCTTCTCCAAGTGTCTCCCATTTATCTCACCCCCACTAACTTTTGGGCCTGTCGATTGTGAGAACACTGAGCCGCAGAATTGAAGCAAGATGATCCCCAACCAAGTCGTCAGCTGACTGCTCCACCCTGGGGTGGGGGTGGGGGGGGCTGCTAGGAGTTGGGGGGAGCAGGGGCCAGGGCTGGAGATGGTCAAAGCAGAGACCCTTCTGAAGCAGCCTCCTAAGGGTGGAAAGTGAGACATTGCCAGTGAGCCTTCCCTAAAGGCACCATCTGGCTGCCCCTACCCCAGGTGTCAGAGCCCCTGAGGTGTATTCTACAGCACGAACAGCTCTAGCTGCACTCTCTATCCAGTGGCTGCTAGTCACAAGTGGTTATTTAAATTTCAAAGATTAAAATTGAATTCAATTTTTAAATTCATTTCCTCAGTAAAATTAGCCCTCTTTCATGGGTTCAGTAGCCAGCTGTGGCTATTGGCTACCATACTAGACAGCACTAATAGGAAACATTCCCTTCATCACATTGGAATGTGTATGGCACTGCTCAGAGCGTAGGAAAGGAGGCAACAAATTTCCCTGGCATGAGAAAATGCTGAAGATGGACGTAACAGACACCCTGAGGTCATACCTCAGTTCACTCTGAAGATGTGCTAGCATGTCTTACAATGTCCCAAACCTCCTATTGGACTCCAGTGGGCAGAGGGGTCAGGCTGTTCTATTAAATGGGGAGCTGTCCTAAATGTCAATATCAACTCAGGATGGTCCCTGAAACCTCAGGCAGTTTCCTGTCTTATGGAGCTCTCCATAAGATGGAAGTGGGGGATTGGTGGGAGATGGCAACTGGCATTTTTTTTTAACATTATCTGCATGCCAGGAGTTCTGCTAGATGTTTCACATGTTTATTTAGTCCTTACAACCAATCAGTGAGATGAGGTAAGTTGCCGTCCTCCCTAATGGCTCCTTGAGATCAGGGACTGCTGAGTTAATATTTGCCAAGTTCTTAGATTATTGCCTGCAACACCGTTAAGTGCCATACAAGTGTTTGTGAAGAAAGAATCCACAGAATTCAGCTTTCGGTGTTCCAAGCAAGTTAGTGGCAGAGTAGTGGATAAAATCCAGCCCATGTCAGCTCTCCAAGGCTCTTTCTGTTACACCATTGGCTTGGAAGTCTGACAAAGAGGACATCAGGTTTTTTTTTTGGACATCTTATCTCATTCTCTCTTCCTAATAGCATTCTGACTTTCTTTTGGGAAGCCACTATTTCCTACTTTGGATAGTGCTGGAAATCTATAAACTGTGGTGCCCTACCCTGTCCTGACCAAGAGACAGGAGTTAAGCCAATGAGACTCTCTTTTAGGACTTTGAATCCTGAGCCCAAAGACACAGTGTCGGAAAGCCTTGTGGGAGCTCCCTTGCCCCAGCATCAGTGCCTGGCAGAGAGTTGTGCAGGTTCTGCTGCGAGGATCCCCAGAGCTGGCCTGCTGTCATATGCTCTGTTTTTAGCCTGGTTCTCCAGCTTCCTGAACGTCTTTGAGCTGCCTGATAGCCTTCATTTGATTCCCTTTTTGATAGAATGGCAAGAGTTGTTTGCTTTGGCTTACAATCAAAGAAGCTTGACTGACCCTCCTTGAAAGGAACACAAAGTCACAGCCCTGAAAAAGAATTGCTGGGAGGAACATGGAGATGAAAGAAACTAGAGTGGAAAAGAGACTTGGGTCTCAACAGCCATTTTTCTATCCCTGAATGATCCCAAATGATTCTTCGTGGAAAAGCAGAGGTGTTGAAGAGTGATGCGATAAATAGGGCAATTGGCCCTAATTCTTCACCCTCCCTATGTCCACATTCTTTGTCATGTGATTTTGCAATTCCTCCCACTAGAGGTGAAGTATATTTTTCCACTTCTTGAATTTGGCTGTGTGACTCTCTTCTCCAAAGATACACTGGTGAACATGATGCAGGCAGAGGTTTGAAATATGCTGGTATATTTAAGCTGGCCCTCTTGTGCTCCTGCAGCTGCAATGAGAATGGCATGCCCAAGACCTGTGGAGCAGATCTGGACCCAGTAGATTCCTAGAATCACCTGTGGAGCCTGAGCTCAGCAGAACTCAGCTAACCTACAAATAAAAGAGTGAAAGTAAATGCTTATTTTTTTAAGCCACTGACTTTTGGAGTTGTTTGTTATGCAGCATTATTATTGCAATAGCTAGCTGATACAGGCAGACTGTAAATCAAGGTGCTAAAGTCCTCTGATAAACAGTAGCATAATTATAAATAATAATTACAATAACCTTTTATTAATCCTGTTTCAGGTACTGGGTATTCACTTTGCATGTGCCATTTCATCTATCCATCACAAGCAACATTGCATTGGTGCTATTATTTTCATTTTATAGACAAAGACCCTGAGGCTCAGACTCGATGAGTGACTGATAAACCTCATACATAGCAGATGGCAGGGCTGAGCTTCAAAGCCAGCTGTGTCTATCTCTGCTTACTGTGGCTTTAATCCCTCTCCACTCCTCACCCCACTCCACTGCTTCCCATGGCTCTGCCACTGGATTTAGATGCCTCTACTCAGTTCAGCCCAAGTATGATATATATACAATTTTAGGCCCAAGAATTTTATCTCAGGAACTAGTAGAAGGCAACACAAGTGTTTGGAGTGTGCTGCATTTCTCATTAAGAATTTGTAGCCAATTGTTTAATAATAGGAAAAGACCCTGAGTTTCATTTTCTACATTCTGTCTACATTCATGATTAAAAGACACAATCTTTCTATTTTCTCTCTTCATCCCTCATACCAGCATATTGAAAAGTACTGCTGGTTTCCTTACCTTCTAAATATCTTGTCAATCTGCCAGTTTCTGTCCACAGTTTTATCATCTCTTTGCTGGATTGTGCAATCACCTCCTTCTGGGTCTTCCACTTGCAGTCTGGTGCTCTCCAATTCATTTTCCTCTCTGCAGCCAGAGTGATCTTTCAAAAATGGACACCTGGACAGCTCCTGCCTCTGTTTAAAGTGCTTTAATGGTGTCTCATTGCTTTTCTAATCATAACAAATGACCTGCATATGGCCTGCAAGCCTTTCGAGCATCTTCTCTAACATGCTCTCTTCCCTGCTGTTTTCCAGGTACTCTGCCTGTTCTACTCTTCCTCAAATGTCCGACGCTGTCATGCTTTCTCTGACCACAGGACCTTCACATATGCTGTTCCTCTTACTGGGACGCCCTTCCCACATCCAGCCCTTTTACCTATTAATAGTTAACTCTCACACATCCTTCATATTGCCCCGTGATCATCACTTCCCCTAATGAGCAGCTCCCTCCCCAGACTAGGTTAGATTTTCCTACCACCTACCCTTCAAAATGTATGTTCTCCTCCTGTGTAGACCTTGTGGTAATGCTATTTATGCACTTATTGCATGATTACTGGATTATGGTACCTCTTCCCAGCTGGGCCATTAGGATAACAAGGTAAGGGACCATCCTAGGCATCACTCCCCACTACTTCCAGCCCTGGCACACTGCCAAGCATTTAGATGTGCCTAATAAGTAGCTTATGGAATGAATGAATGATCAATGCTACCCTTCCATCTTCACCACCCCCAAACCTGTTCCCTGTGCAGTCACCTCCAACTCAGCCAACAGCAAATCCATTATGTTTGTTCTCAAGCCAAAAATCCTGGGGTCATTCCTGACTCCTTTCTTTTTCTCACACTCTGTATCTGGGTCTAGCAGCAAATTCCATCAGCTCTCCCTTTACCACACACCCAGCATCCGAGTGCTTCTCACCTCCACCACTGCCCATCCTGGTACCACTTGGATCACTGAAGTAGCCTCCTAACTGCTCTCACTTCTCTGCTGTCTCTTCTCAACAGAGCATCCAGAGCAACCTTGTTAAAGCGTTAGTCGGTTAATGTCTCTCCCTGCTCACACCCTCTCATAGCTGCCATCTCAGCATAAAAGCCAGGTCCATTTCCAGCCTCCTTGCCATCAGACCCCTTCCTGTTACTAGGACACTCTTCCCACACCCACCCCTTTCACCTATTAATAGTTAACTCCCACCTATCCTTCATCCTTCATATTGCCCTATGATCATCACTTCCCCTAACCAGCAACCCCCTCCTCAGATCAGGTCAGATTTTCCTACCACATACTCTTCAAAACCCATATTCATCTGCTATTGCTCTCCCCTCACTCACTCCTGTGCTGGCTGCTGATCTCCTCACTGTGCCAGAAACATCCCAGACATGCCCAGCCGCAAGGCCTTTGCACGTGCCATTGTATATATCACCCTGGAGCCCTTCCTTGCTTGCCTCCAATCTTTACCTAAAATTCACCTCTCCGCAAGGGTTTCCCCAGTTACTGGTTTAAAATTCAACCCTACTCCAACAGTTCATTCCCCTTCCTTCGTTATTTTCTTCTTCTTAGTTCTTATCACTTTCTAGTATACCATGTATTTAATTATTTACTTTGTTTATCAGCTGCCCCCCTGACTAGAATACAAGCTCCATGAGGACAGGGATTTTGTCTTTCTGTTCACTGCTGCATTCTCAGTGCCTAAACTATGACTGATACATAGTTGGTGCTCAACAAATGCTTGTTAAATGAATCACTGATGGCCATAGCTGAGTCAACCTTGCAAACCAGACAGCTGATGCCAGATACTAAGGATCTCTGTTTCCCAGCCTGCCCACTGATTCACCAGGGGTGCCAAGTCTTCCTTAGCTGTATAGAGGTTTTTATTTCACTCCAGATTTGTTCACCTGAGGCCCATGCAGCCAGGAGGTGATCGGCCACACCCCAGCCAGCTCCCTCCTGCTCCCTGGGACCTGAAGTTCCATTCTGCAACCAGAGAGCAGATTTAAAGCCAGTCTCCCTGGGGCAAGTGACACTAGCTTACATTGGGGTGCAAATGAGAGGTATCAGGACTTCTCCGACAGCAAGCTTGGTTGGAGGAATGAGAAAAATGGGCTTGAGTTAATTGGGAAAAGAAGGCAGAACAGGATGAGGGAGTGAGCTCCAGGTAGAAAAGAGGAAAAGTCGGTGCATGGAAGACATGGGCCTCTGAGGCCATGGTTTTTCTGAGGCCTGGATCAGTCAGTCAGAGCTGTCCTGTGCTATGCTACAAAGTTAGAAAAATGCAGATTAGAAAACATGTCCTGAGGGACAGTGCCAGGGTCCCTGGAAACTGAAATGAAAGGATGAGTCCAGGTCTGAGAGAGCTGGCAGCTGTGAGTTAACAGTCACCAGTATATCTGGAAATAGAAGGAGAAGTTGGTAGGCTGGGGGTAAGGGGCTGATATTAAAGGGTGATACCAGCAAGCCTAACACTCAGAAGAGATAGCATCCTGTCCAAGGCTCACCCCTGGGAGTCAGGTTGCTGAATCAAGCCCAAGCCCCCAAGGCATGTGGCATCCATGCTATCTCCTGGTGTGGAGAGGGGGAACAGGCAGCACAAAGGGCTCAGGGGAATGGACCCCTACCTCCGTGATCCTGAGGCAGCCCCAAGACAGCTGGCCAGACAACTCAAGAGGACAAGAGGTGGGACATGTAATTTTCCATTTTTCTCTGCCCCTAATTCAGGAGGGCCTTTGACACCCTCTGTTTTGTGGAGCCTCAAACTATGCAGCCTGGTCTCTCAGTTTCCTCCCATTCCCTGACGTCTGAGCAGGAATCCCAGAACACAAAGTTCATTTCTTGAGGCAGTTCAGCCTGTCCTCTTGGTAAAGTAGGGATGCAGGAAGGCCGGGGAATGTTAAAGGCAAGAAGGGCAAAGAAAGGCACCACATCTGGGCCCATGAAGCCATTTCTGCTTCTGCACGAACTGGGGCTTTAAAAAATTCTTCCGCGATGGTGTGATTTGTAGGGAGCGCCACCAAAGCTTTCTCACAAAAAGCCCATTCGAACTATAAAGGGAGCACATGCGCCAGGTTGTGAGTTAACAGCCAGAAAAAATCCCATGCCTTAACCTTTTGTGGAACACACAGGCCAAGGTGAGGCCCAAGTCCCTCCAGGCCCATCTACAGGGGAAGCGGAGAGGGAAACACCTTGGGGAGAAAGGAGGGTGTCCTCCCACCCAGGTGCCAGGTCAGATTCATGGGAATGAGGGCAGTGTCCAGGGGATAGGTGCGGTTCTGGCACAGCCTTGGTGACCTGGGGGCCCTCTATTGGCCTCAACTTAAGGAACTGCAAATTGACAGCCCATTTTAGCCAGTAGACATTTTATTTGGTCTGCAAAGCATTTTTAAAAATATGGACATTTCACCTACATATCTGGATGTATATACAAAGCCATATTTATACACATATTACATACTTATAAACATATACACAACACATACATATAATACTTCATATGTACAATACATACATACATGCATGTGTGTGTGTACATATCTCAGAAGCAGCTCCCATGAAACGTAGCTGTTTAAGGGCTCTGTGTATATGCTGGAGTTACAGCTGAAACCACTTCTTCTGTGCTCCTTGAAGCCCAGGGCCCTGGTTTAGTCACTTCTAGAATCACAGCCCCAGACAAGGAGCTGAGCCTCTAGAAAGGGCTCACGTAAGCAGAGTCATGATTTCTTCACTGCACTCTCTCCCACGGGAGTGGGGACAAACCACTGAAAGCCTAGAATACCCCAATGGGACAGGTCAGTGTCAGGCCGGGGGTGGGGGGAGTCTGCCAGGATGACCTAGCCCAGAAGCCAGCAAATTAGCACCGTGATATCACAAGCAATGAGGTACAAACAGACACAGGGCCCAGAGCCGGCTCCCCAAAGGGAATGGACACGGCAGCCTTGCAAATACAGCTGGCTGGTGTGTATTTGTTGGAGAGGGGTTAGAGCTTTAATTATAGTGTAGACACCTCATAATTAGTGTTTGCCAGTTTGCATTTTATCCTTGTTAAACTGTGGTTACCCTTGCCAGAGGAGGAAAGCATGCTTTCCTGTATTTCCTCTGAACTGGTGTAACCTAGGACTCAAAGACGTGGGCTACAGAGGAATAACAATGATTGCTCAGTGCTCTCTCATCTAAATAATCTTTGTGCATTTGGATTTCACATTTTCTTTCAAATTGGAGATGCAAGTTAGTCTCCCTGCTAACAAAACACTTTCTTCATCCTACACTGAATCCCTCAGCAAATCCTCAAATATCTTTGCAAATCTCAAAGATATTAAGGCATTTAACTTTTTTTTCATTTAGACCTTTGAAGTATGCTGTGACTAGAATAATTTCTGAGCTAAAACCTGTCAACTGCATAGAAAATTAAGGAAACTGCCTGTCACCCTGGTAGCTGGGCTGATAACTAATTACTTATAGATTTTAAGTCAAATTTGAGAAAGATAAATATTTAAATAAAACGTATAATCATTTAGAAATACTGCTAAGTGTTTTGTAATTATTGTGTTGAAAGGAATCATTGCTCAGATGGTGCATTTCGTCATCTGTGATAGGCCAGGCAGCAGCCAGGAAGCAGAAGAGCTGCAGGGAGGTGTTGGATTGTTCTTGTATATTTCTCTCTCTCTCTCTCTCTCTCTCTCTCTCTCTCTCAGGTGTTGGATTGTTCTTGTACATTTCTCCCTCTCTCTCTCTCTCTCTCTCTCTGTGTGTGTGTGTGTGTGTGTGTGTGTGTGTGTGTTATGTGTTTTAATAAAGATATTAAAGGGCAATGTAATACTTGGAAACATTGAGCTCTGATGGGAAGGGCCAAATTTATCAGAGGAGCTTCTAGCTTCATCAATCACATGTCCAGTTCTGCTCTAGGCAGGGGTACCTCACAGAGCACCCCGAAGCCAGAATGGCGGCTTTGCTGGGGCTTGGGGAGGAGTATGTCCAGGAGAAGGAAGGAGGTGATGGGAACCCTAGAAGGAGGGTCTAGGACCATTCCCCCCTCCATCACCTGCTGGGGAAATCACAAACGCTCTGCCCTACCTTTGTCCCTCTCAGACTCTCTCCTATTTCTCAAGCTTTTCTTCTTCCACTATCTTCATGCTGTCCTCTCTCCTTTTTTTGCATTTTTTTACTTTTAAGATTTTAAAACTCTTCCCCTAGATTCGTTTTCTTTGTCTCTGAACCATTTGAAATTAAGTTGCAGACACCGCGGCGCCTCATCCTTTGGCATGCATCTGGAGATGCAAGGAGAATTAGAATATCCTTTCACAGACCCACCACGCAGCACTCACCTCTAAGAAAATTAACATTAGTTCAATATCATTTCCATTTTCCCGGTTGTCCCCCAAAGGATTTTTGTAGCTCCCTGCTCCCCTCCAGCAGGCCAGGACCCAATCAAGGTTTCTCCATGACACGTGGCTGTTATGTGACTTCGGTGGCTTTTACTCTAAAACAGCCCTCTCAGTTTTGTTTTTGTCTTTCATGACACCGACATTTGTAAAGATTTCAGGTCAATTGTCTCATAAAATTTCCTGCGTTCTGGGTTGGTCTGATTGTTTTCTTATGATTAGATTCTTGTCAAGCATTTTTGCCAAGGATATGCTATGGGTGTTGATGGTGTGCCTTAGTGCTTCCTATCAGAAGACACATCATTTTGGGTCCAACATGCATGATGCTTCATTACTTGTACTTGATTAGAGTAAGGATGCCCCATCTTGCCATTGTAACCATTCACTTTCTCACTGGGTAATTAACAAATAAACTCTGTGTGTGTGTGTGTGTGTGTGTGTGTGTGTGTGTGTGTGTGTGATAATTTTAGTCCATGTGAATATCTCATTCTTGAATGACCTTTTACAAAATTCTTTATCATATTTGTTTATATTTACCTGAATCAATTATTTTATTGCCAGTCACAAAATGGTGATTTTCTACTTTCTTGTTCCTTTCACTTTTATTAGCTGACAGTCTCCTGGGAAGAATAAACTTTTCACCCTTTTACCTTCTCATTCTGTCCTTGTCCCTTCCCTTCCTCTCCCCTTTTCTCTCTTTGTCTTCTGTTCTATCTTGTTTTCTCTCTCCTTTCTCACTTTCTCTGTCTCTCATTCTCTCATCACTACACACTCATTATTTTTTCAATGTGTTGATATCCATTATCAACATTATCCTTCCTGACGCTCAGATTGTCACAGATTTGTGCACTGAAGCCTCTTCCAGCTAGTCCTGTGTCCTTTATACATGACCCAATTAATCTTTTTTTCCTTGTTTTTCAGAAAAAACAGAATGTTCTAGGCAGCCCTTATGCTTTCCAGCCATCTCTCCATGTAACCTTTAGAGAAGAATGATATTCTGAAATCAAGATATGGGTACTAGGTGTGTTCATGGATATTAGGAGGTCATTGCTTATTGCTTCCAGGTCCATACATATAGTGAGCAGAGTTGGAAGTACACACACACACACACACACACACACACACTCTTAAAGATACTAAATTGCCACTTGAAGCATCACACTTATTTAAAAGTTAAAGTTTTTTGGTGTTGCTCCAGTTCTTATATCTCTCTGGGATTTTTTTTTGTCGGGGGGCAAGAATCTTTATCACTACTATCTAATTTACTAATTCAGACATTCATTCAAAAGATAATTATCAAGCATGTCTACCATGGAAGCACCTGAGCTAGGTTCTCATGATTCTATAGGGTTGCCAGTTAAAATACAGTTAAATTTGAATTTCACATAGCAAATAATTGTATAGTATAAGTATGTCCCAAATAAGTATGTTCCAGGGGACATACTTATACTAAAATCATATTCATTGGGCTTCCTGTATTTTTATTTGCCAAATCTGACCACCCTAAGATCCAAAGACCAGCAAATCACCACTCCTGTCTCAAAGAGCTCACAACCAGAGGAGACAGACAAACTAGATATAAATAGGAGCAACAAAGTGTGTTCAGTGCTGTGCTAAAAATACTTTCAGGGCATGATGGTAGCATGTGGGGTATGGGAGATGGTCCAGGAAATGCTAAGTTTTAAAAGTAAGTGAATAATTTCCCACCAATGTCTACCCTCTGCTCTCCAATCAACAGGCAGGCCGATGGGAAGGCAGTGCTGTGTGGCTGACACAGAGGATGCAGGAATAAGGGAGGAAGTGGCAATGTGGCTGGAGAAATAAGCAGGAGGAGGTCATGATAGGGGAGTGGTAAGCCATGGTGAAGAATTTAGAATTCACTCTGTAGGCCAATGAATTTCAAATATTTTTTGATGCTCACCCCATCACAAAATATCTAACGATATCCCCCAATACATGTATTTATAAATGAAGTCCATGTACAGCTCTGCTGAGGTACTATGCATGTTATAAGCATGGACTAAATAGCCCAGAGATAATTGAAGTGAAAACTAGCTATAATTATAAGTTTCAACATTTTCAACTTTTGCTCTAAAAGATTATCTTGCACATCCTCCGGGCTGATGCAGCCTACCTTGGAGACCCCTGTTGTAAGTGTTAGGAAATCTGGTTCCCAAGGGGAACCAGAATGATTAAAGGAGAACGGAAAAAGAGAAACATGTTCTACTTGACTCATTGATTGTTAACGTCATGTCCCCAAAACAATTTATAATTTCACCAGTGGGGCCCTTGGACAGAGGTGGTGGAGGGCCTGGCTCAGGGCCACTAACAGCATCTTCAGGGCCACTCCAGGTGCTATATGTAGGATTCGAGGAGAGGCTCATCCAAGCTCTGAGCGTTCCAGGCTTCCCTGGTCTCTTGCCTAGACTCTGGAGAAGTCACCCAATGGGTGTCTCCTGTCTCCATCGGGCTTGCCACAAGTCTCTAGTACACTGGGTGGCCAGAGTGATCTTTCTAAGGAAATTCAGATCATGCCAGCCTCTCTTCAAAAATTTTCAAATGGTCTCATTATATTCAGTGTAGAAATGAAGCTCCATGCCATCAGCCCCTGCCTGATCCTCTGACCCCAACTACTGCTCTCTTTCTCTCACCCAACCAAACTGGCCTCTGCCATTCTTCGGACACAAGAGCTTCTTTCACACCTCAGGGCCTGTGCACCTGCTGCCCACTCCCTGGCATGCTAGTCTCCTGACCTGTGAATGTCTGCTCATTTCAGGCCCCCACAGAGAGGTCACTCTTCATCACCTTCCCTATCCTATCTCCAGTCCCAGACCCACTACCCTTAGCTGCTGTATTTGTCTCCCTTGCACTTGACAATATGCAAGATACTTTATATCATTTGTTGTGTGTATTTGTTTGATTTTTCATAGTGGGTCTCTCCTACCAGACTGTAAGCTCCTTGACAGCAAGGACTCACTGCTGTGTTCACCACAGCATCTCTAGTGTCTGGCACATTGTCGGTGCTCCACGAATACGTATTGGAAGGCAGGCAGGAAGGAGGGATGGAGGGAGCAGAGGAGGGATGGAGGGAGGAGAGGAGGGAGGAAAGGAAGAAAGAAAGGAGTGGGGCTCTTGGGCAGGGGTGGGGGAGGGCCTGACTCAGGCCGATTAACGGGATATTCAGGGGCCCAGCTTCAAGAAGGAAAGGTGGGAGGAAGGAGGTGGGGAGGCAAAAAGGAAAGGAAGGGAGGAAGGGAGGCAGGCAGGGAGGGAGGAAGGAGGGAAGGAAGAAAGGAAGGGAGGAAGAGAGGGAGAGAGGAAGGCTGAGGGAGGGAAGGAAGAAAGGAAGGGAGGAAGGGAGGGAAGGAGGAAGGAAGGAGGCGAAAGGAAAGGAGGGAAGGAAGAAAGGAAGGGAGGAGAGAAGGAAAAAAGGGAGGGAGAGAGGGAGGGAGGGAAGAAGGAAGGAAGGAAGGAAGGAAAGAAGGAAGGAAAGGTCTTTTTTCAGCCAGATGTGAGGTCAATCACTGCACCCCCAGTAAATAATCAGTAAGTGCCTTGAGTGCATAGTGCCCAGGGGAATCTGATGTGCTCCTGTACAGTCTAGCTGGGGAGATGCAGCAAGTTCTGACTGAGGAGTCTGGGCTTTGGGCTTTTTTCCCCACTGGTGGCTTCTCCTCTACTCACTGCCACCCCCAAGGTGCCTCTGCACTGTGACCTCTGACCCCTGGAAAAGAGCATCTCCCTGTCCTCCATAAAAACTTCCCAGACATGAAGGCTGTGCTGCTTTTCCTCCAACTGGAAAAGCAGTGAGCATGGAAGGAGGGAGATTGATAGCTTGGAGGGGACCAGCCTTTGTCTAGTCTGGGGCTTGACTCCAGGTAGGATCCTCACTTTGGGAAATACTGCCATTTTTGTCTGGATTCCCAATTGGAGGAGTTTGTAACTCAGGCATGCTTGGACATGTTTCTTAATCTCTCTGAGCCTTGGTTTCCCCTCTGGAAAATGAAGCTGGAGATGCCTGCTGTGAAGATGCTTGTAAGGAGTGATGTGGGGCCCACAGGAAGTAGTTAGTGCAGTGCCGGGCACCGGGAAAAGAGAGGTTCAATGGACATCCACTATTCTATTATTGTTGTGGGTGGCATTACTTTTTAACGGAGAGAGTATGCACATATGATAAAGGGCATCAATCTCAGGCGTATGATTTGGTGGGTTCCTACTTGTGTGTGCACCACCCACATCATGGTGTAGATCACTGCCACACTCACACACCGAGAGGTAACCCCGAGCCTGACCTCCAGCACCTTGGATGAGTTTTGCCTCTTCCTGACTTCGTGTTGGTGGAATCCCACAGTATGTGTTCTTTTGTGCCTGGCTTCTTTGGCTCAGCACTAGGTCTGTGCAATTCATCCAGGCTGTGCAGGCTGTTATTCCTGGTCCTCTGCCCTTCCCTGCCCCACTGTTCTGCACCCCCGCCCTAACTTGGAGTGTCCATATGAGTGCCTGGCCCTCCAGAAGGAGGAGTCCAGATTCTCTACCTTGACTCCAGTTTTACATTTACTTTCCTAAAGTCCCTCTGGCAATTTTAAAGCAGTTCCTGAGGCATCATTTTATATTTTCTTACAACTACTTAAAGTATGTCTTTTAAACTAAAGGCAGTATCATATCTTTTATGCAGCAAGCAGAGTCACAGATGAAACAATTAACAAATAACTGCAGAAGGGCATAATTAAGCCCTCCATGGCGGGGTCCTGGGAGCCCTGGGTTCGGATGGAAGGGAACATAGTGTGGCAGCAAGGAATAGCCTCTGAGCTCAGGTGAGTCTGACAGCTTGATGTGGCCCAGAGAGGCAAGGGAGGGCGTGGAGGGGATGGGTGGCGTGGGCAAGAGGAAGACAAGAATTAATGAGAAATAGAAAATAATTTAGCAGGACAGCAAACCCCTAGAGACGAATTCCTTCTCCAAACATCTCATTTGTCCAAAGGAAATGAGGAAGGTCTATGGCAGAAAGGCCGGCCTCAAGAATTTCATTTCCCTGGTGCTATTCAGGTTCCCAATGTGATCGATAAAAGTACAATTAGCGTACCAGATCGCATCAGATGTTTTTAACCTTTAGATGATGGCAACATGCATACTAAGGCTCTATATCCTCTCTGCCACCTCTCACATGGGCAGGATAGGTCATCGCAACATTTGACATTTGATGTTATGATTTTAACATACCTTTAAAAATTCAGATAAAGATTATTTCCATTTTTTAAAAGTTGGGAGCCAGATGTAATTGCCATGCTCTGGACTTCAGATCTAAATCATTCTGCCAAGTCATCCTGTAGTTATTAAGGACTTTATCATTGGGATGTGTATTGCATACACCGGAGGTTAGAATGCTCCAGAGAATGGGAAGTAAACTTTTGAATTCTCTTAGATGAGGAATGGCTTTTAATATAGAAACCGTAAACTCTTAGTTTAGTAAATTGTTCAATCAACAAATTAATCAATTAACAAATCTGTTTCAGTACCTACTGTATGTCCAGAACATCAATTCCTTGCATCAAACAGTTTTAGAGCTAAATGGGAGGACACAAAAAACAGGCTTGGAGCTCTTTGTAATTTGGTGCCTGAAGCAGAGTTATACAGTGGTGCTCAATAAATGTTTGATAAATAAAGTGGAAAATACAAAGTGGCACCAGGCCAACAGGGCTAATGCAGCACATGATTTTGGCATCCTGAACCACTTCCCCTCAGTGCCCCTCTGGTTTCAGCAGCAGCAGGGACAGGTCCCAGGCAGCCCAGACTCATGCAGACAATGCATCGCTTGCAGCACAAGCAGCTCTCTCCCTTTCCCAGCCTCAGGGCCTGCCCTGAAGGAGAGTCCATTCAGCCTGCCAGCCCATGTGGCAGGGAGCATATGGATTAAAGTCCCGGTTTCCAGCATGGAATAGACAATTCTGAGGGGCACTTTGTACAGTTCTCAGAGGTCCCAGTGGACCCTGCTCCTGCTGCCTCAATAGCTCTCCTTCATGTTGCCTTTTCCTCCATCCCCATCTCCCACTTGCCCAACTCCTTGATTCCTGTTTCCTCTGGGATCACTTCTCCAAGACATTTCCTGCACTTAAGTTTTTTCTTAGGCTTTAGTTTCAGGGCAACCCAATCTAGACACCTGCAGAAGCTCATTTCCATCAAGCACTCGATAAGGCCACCCCGATTCCTTTAGAGACTTAGGTTGCGCTCCATGATGCACTGCAAAGCACAGCCTCTGCACGCTGCGGCCCTCTGAGTAGGGGGTCGCAGAGCCTGGGACAGTCAGGCATGTTCATGGAGGGAAAGGCGGCTGAGCCTGAACATGTGGGAAGGATGAGGCAGGAGGGATGAGAGTCATTTCAAGAGAGAAGACAGAGAGGTAGGAGTGAGTATACCAGTGCATGGGACAGTGAGGAGCTCACACAGGCTTCAGTGGAGGCCAAGTGTTATCCACAGGGAAGGGTGAGATGAGACAGAAGCAGAGAACTGCCTGCCCTTGGAGAGCTCAGTCGGGGCTCCATCCCCACATTCACAGCTGACCCAGTCACCCAGAAGAAGAGACACACAGGCACACACGAGCAAACACACACACTTAATACATACCTATGTGAGATGCACCCAGATTGTATGTGGATGCACAGACAGGTGCCAGAAGAAGTTTGCTGTAGTACAGAAGGGCGAATTACAGAGTCTTCAGGCAATAAGAAGCCTTGGCGAAGGGTTGGCCAGCACACAGCCTGAGCATCATCACTCCTTACGCCTGCTCTCACAGGCATTCTTCAGTGATTTGCTGACCCCGGAAGTGGCCTTCCCATGCTTTCTCATCACCACGCCCTAGACAGCCACTGCCAATCAGCTAGGGTTACTTCTCGGATCAAGTTCAGTCTCCACTCAGGGCAGTGGTGCATGTCTCCCACATGTGAACAGGAAGCCTCTCTTTAAGTGTTTCCCGGGATTAGGACGCCCTTCTCTGACAGACTGTGCTGTCAGTGAGCAACACTCATTTTAGAAAGGGCTCTGCACCCCGAGTAGGTCTAGTCATTCCTCCATATGAAGCTATTTAGACATTTGAGAGTCACCATCAGGCCCCACTCCCACCTCCAGGCAAAACATATCTTCTCCAGGGTAAAGGGTTTTGATTCTTTCAAGCTGCATGAATATGAATCCATGAGTATCACATATCACATGAATCCATGGTCCCTGGATCTCCAAGCTTCCTTTCTCTGGACATAATCCTTTTCCTCAACTCACATGGCCAAGTGCAGCTCCTAGACCTAAGGACAGTCCCTCAGATGCTTGCCCAGTGTGCCAAGGCTGTGTTCCCTCCTGGGGTAATCCAGACATGCACCAACCATTTATACCTCCCGAGGTCCCCAGAGTTTTGGGGCATTCTCATCTCCGAACAGCATGGAGACCACAGTCACCACAGCTTCTGCCATTTTTTTCAGAAATGTAAGATTCTTCCAATTCATACGTGGACAACGGGCTTATAACCTGAATATGTTCTGTTACATTTGCCCTTTGCTGTAACTTTTACCTGGTCTTAGTTTTCCATTGTCCAATCGGCTGAGATATTTTTGAATCTTGATTTTTTTCATACAGAGTATTAGCTATCCCTATACATTTTGTGTTGATTTCAGCCTTATATTAAATCACTGATTTAAAACAAAACATATGTTGTAAAGAATAGACACTGGGGACTTCACAGAGGGGGAAGATGGAAGGGAAGGCAAGGGTTAAAAAATTACCTATCAAGTCTAGTGTTCACTATTTGGGTTAATGGATATACTAGAAGCCCAGTCCCCACCAGTACACAGCATACTCATGTAACAAACATGCACCTGTTTTCTCTCAATCTAAAATAAAATAACATTTATAAATAAATATATGTATGCAACATTTTATTTAACTTTTCACTTTTAAAAAGTTTAGGAAATCTTTATTCCTTATGAATTACAGTTAATATACAGGAAAAAAATTTTGGAGATTAATGAGTTAAAAATCTTAGCATAGACAGTTCTCTGTCCATTAGTCTTCTCTATTATTTCTGTAACTGTAACTTGCTATTATCTCTTAAAATTCAATTCAATTCAATTTTATGGCCTTGATGGTGAATAAATAAATAAATAAAAGAATAAAATAAAATGAGGCATATGTTGTATAGAACAAGGCCAAGAGCAGGGCCTCATGTTTCCCATTTAGACTTCCCTCCAGAGTAACAGTCATTTGTAAATCAAATCTCTTTGAGAATGGTTTTTCCACCAGCTCAGCATCCATCCAGATCCTGCCTTCAAAAATGAAATTACAAATTTGGCCTGATCAGATGAAATCCAACTTTACCTGTGGAAGGAGTCCTTAACTTTGGGTTAGTGTACTTTGGCTTCAGGGAGTTTATGAACTGCCCTCCCAAAATTATATGCAAATATGTGTTTGTGCATCCTCATGTATACTCACTCATACTCATCCATTGATTTTTTATGCCAGTGTCCATAGATTTTTTCACCTTCTCAAAAGGATTAATGACCTGCAGAATTTCAAGAACCACTAATCAATTACATTCCCTTGGAACTCTAGGTTGTAATCCTCTCCACAATGGAAACAGATCAGTGTGTTGCATCAGGGTGCGTTACTCAAGAGCAACCACAGGTCTCCAGTGATCAAAGTTTCCCTCTCTAGTTGTTTATGAACCACTGGAAGATCATCGTGGTTCTTTAGTGTAACAGGTTCTAGAAGGTTTCCTGGGAGATAGAGAAAAACAGCATCCTTGGCCAAGGACTAGGGGACTGAAAAAGTGTTCTACCAGCCTCCTCAGAAATACATGGAGAGCTTGGCTTCATTTTGGTAATGAGAGAATTCTGTCTGTGTGACTCAGGATGGTTCTGGAAGCCTTGTTAGCCACCTTACCCTGAGGCAAGAGAGTAACCACTTTGCAGGACTTTGAGGATGCAATATGCATCGGCCCTTGTTAGCGTGCTTAGCATGAAGCATGGCTCCTGCAAAAAATCTCTACCATTAAGTCCTGATTCCAAAACGACCAACTATTGTGTTGGTCTGTGATCTGTAGTTGCTTAACTACAACTCAACAACTCAAATTACTTTTGGCAAAGAAGGTAATTTTACAAGAAGAAAGCAGAAAAATCTCAAGGAATTTGGGGAGCAGTAGCAACAGGGACTGAGAGGCTCATAGCAAGGGTGCTGAATGCGTCTTCTCTGAAGGGCAGCTTTTGTTCTGTGCAGCTGACTGTTCCTCTCTCTTCCTGCAGATCAGCTTTCTCTCTCTCCAGGCCCTGGCAGAGCATGGCCACCCAGAACCACATCACTTCCCAGATTCAGGGACAACAACCCCAGGGGTGCCAGAGTTCCAAATTTAAATTCCCAGGAAATATTATATATTTTATTATTGGCCCAGCTTGGGTCAGGTGTGCACACCTGCTCCATTGGGCTGTGATGAGGGAGGGTGAGGGACACATATTATAACATGATTGTGGGGACTCATTCCTATAGAGAAAGGCAGTTATCAGAGAAGAAATGTGTAGGCTGCTAAATCACCCCAAAAGATGTCTTATTCTAGATGTTTTAAAAATACCACATCTTTCCACATTAACTTAGATCATATATGAAACAGTTTCCTTAAAGTCACAAAAGGATACTTTAGAGAGTTGGTAGGTAAGGTGGTGGGGGTCAAGGGAGCTTGAAAACTGCTAAACTTCATTGAGAAAATTAAAAGGCTGAGGATAGCCAAGCAAATCTGATAAAAGAGTAAAATGTTGATGAATTTACATCATGTATTAAAATACATTATAAAGCTATTTTAAAAGTACAATAGATTAAGAGCTGCACAGCAAAAAAACTAGTAAACCCCTCCAACCGGGGTCTGTACTTTTAAATTTTCCCAAATGTAGAGACCAAAAACATACATATACATTTGCTATATAATAAAGGTATTGTTATGAATTAACAGAGGTAAAAAAATGAGAATCCAGTCAAAGATGTTGGGATAGTTTGATAGCAATTGGGGAGGGGAATCATATCTTAATTTAACATCATAAACCTACACAAATTGTTGATGAATAAAAGATTAATTATAAATACAAAACCATAAAGCTGGAAGAAAATATGAAGATTGAGAGGACTTTCTAAAGATTAAAGAAAGGAAGAAACCACAAAACAAAATCAATAGATTTGACTGCATAAAATTAAGAACCTCTGTGCTTTAAAACAAAAAATGCCAAAAGAAAATTAAAAGGCAAGTGGAAAAATTGAGAACAACAGTGCATAATGTAACACAGTTTGAATATATAATATCCTTGTATAAATTAACAACAACAACAAAAAAACGGGCAAAGGGAAGAGTCAAATCACAGAGGAAAAAATAGAAAAATTTAACCAGTGTGTGTTTGGAAAAATGATTAACCTCACTACTGAATTTTTAAAAAATCAGTTAAATAATCTACCATTTTCCCCCATTGGTCTGGCTTTTTGTATATTTAATAATATTCCATGTGAAGAAGGTATGATTAATTGGGCAATCTGATTGGCTATTTCTGGGATAAGTTGGTAACTTGTAAGAAGAATCTTAAATCCTTTAGGAATCTGTCCTAAGGAACAGATTTGTAAATTTGTATAACAATGCACATGGCATTGATTATTATTAATAATATTAATTTATTATTAATAAATAATAACATTTATTGTTAAGGATAGTTTTCTCTATCCTGACCACTGGAGGAAAACACTGTAAATGCCCAGAAATAAAGTTTTGACTAAATAGATTCTGGTTTACTCACATGATGAAATATTATGCAACTATTATAAATATATTTTGAAAGAATGCTTAATGATCAAACAATTCACCCACAATACATTTTTAACAGCCTTATTGAGATATAGTTCATATGTGATATAATGTATTCATTTAAAGTATGTAATTCAATGGTTTTTTTTTTTTTTTAGTATGTTCACAGAATTCTGTAACAATCAATTTTAGAATGTTTTCATTCCTCAAAAAGAAACCCTGCCATTAGGAGCCACTTCCATCACCCACTTCCCAAACCTCCCAGCCTTGGGCAACCACTAATCTACTTTTCTGTCTCTACAGATTTGTCTTTTTTAAGCATTTAATGTCAATGGGTATGTATCAGTGGATATGATATGTGGACTTTTGAAATTGGCATCTTTCACTTAGCATAAGGTTTTCAAGGTTTATTTATGTTGTAGAATGTGTCAGTACCTCTCATTGCTGAATTACATTTCATTGTGTGGATATACCACATTTATTTATTCATCCAGCTGTCAATGGATATTTGGGCTGTTTTCATTTTTTGGCTATTATGAATAATACCACTATTAACATTTAAGTACAATTTTTTTTCTGTGGGTGCA
The DNA here is from genome assembly GCF_000001405.40 of Homo sapiens. Lineage (NCBI taxonomy): Eukaryota > Metazoa > Chordata > Mammalia > Primates > Hominidae > Homo > Homo sapiens. The sequence continues at coordinate 119,081,470 of NC_000002.12, forward strand.
AGTTTTTATTTCTCTTGGGTCTATACATAGGAGTGGAATTACTGGATCAGATGGTGACTCTATTCTTGACTCTGTGAGGAGCTGCCAGACTGTTTTCCAGTGCAGCTGCACCATCTTCTATTCCCAGCAGCAGTATACAAGAATTCCAATTTTTCCACATTCTCACCAACACTTGTTATTATTTGTATTTTTATTATAGCCATCCTCACTGTGGTTTTGATTTGCATTTTCCTGATGGCAAATGACATTGAACATATTTTCATGTGCTTATTGGCTATTTGTATATCTTCTTTGGAGAAATATCTACTCAGATCCTCTGGTCATTTCTAAATTGGGTTATTTATCTTTCTATTATTGAGTTACAAGAGTGCTTTGTATATTCTGGATACAAGCCCCTATCAGTTATATGATTTGCAAATACTTTCTCCCATTGTGTGGGTTACCTTGTCATGTTATACAAATTTATAATTTCTAAGTATTTTTCAATTACCTACTATATGCCATGAAACTGTGAAGTAGCCCAAAGATGCAGAATACAGATACTTTCTCTCCCAAGAAAGTACTAGTAAAATATTCAAAAGATAGTATAAGGTAAAGTGCTAGTATTAAAAGAATCCATTCATGAACATATAAGATTCCAAGTTAGAACCCCGGGCAGTCAGAGTGGGCCTCATGGAGGAGGTGGGCCTCATAGAATGAGCAGCAATCAACAGGGCAGAAGCAGGGAAGAGTCAAGGTAGAAGAACAAAAGCGTCCAAACCAGGTGGTCATGGTTGGGGGGTAGTGCAGTATGGAGACCTACACCTCAGTCAGGGTTACAGGACAGTGATGTCAGGGAGAGGACCTGGAATTTAAATCTGCCCCCACTGTGGGCTATGATAAGGGAAAGAGATGAGGAAACCAAGGTAAAGAAAATTATGTTTGAGTAAGATTTATCAAGCACCAAAGGCAGAATCAACTAGGGGGAGCACTGAGATTGAGAAGAGCCTAGAGGCATGGGCCTAACCTAGTTGGTTGCAGCCAGGGTTGGAGAGTTCAAGAAACAGTCTGAAGTCCGTTGAGGGAACTTATAATCAACTATGTGATCTTGGGTGGGTCCTGGCCCCTTGCCTGGCCTAAGGATCCTCTGTAAAATCAAGCATGTATCCACCAGGAGGATTTTCAGCTGCAAGTAATAAAACACTAACAAGCAGTGGCTTAAGCAATAAATATATTAATTATCTCTCATAACAAGAAATCCAGAGTTAGACTGCTTTGGTCTTGGTGCAGTGGCCCAGTGACATCATCAAAGATTCCAACCTCTTTCTACTTTCCTGCTCTGCCACCATGGGCGTGTTGGCTTGCACCCAGGATCACACAACGTCTGCTGCAGCTCTAGAACATCCAATGTGCTCAAGGCAGGACACGGATTCGAAGACAGCACCAGGCTCATCTGAACTTTCTATTAGGACAGTAAAACTCTCGTAGAGTCCTCCAGGAGACATGCTTTGTTCTTCATTGGCCATGATTAAGTCTCACGTCCCCAACCCCAGCTAGAGGAGCATCTGGGAAAACGGAAACAGAATTGTCCTGACTGGCTTAGGCCAACCATGCTCCATTGCCTGTATGAGAATTCTGTTAGCTGGGACAAGGGATAGGCATTGGGAAGAGAATTAACCCAGGGACTGAACAAGGCCCCTCCCAATGCTCACAGCCCACGGGGTTCTCTCATCTCCAGCTGTTCTGCTTTGTGGCTCCTCTCACCCGCTTCCTGCAACTGCTTCTTCCCTTCTTATTTGGCCTGTAGAGAAAGCAGCTGCTCTCTCTCTATCTCTTTGTTTTGATGAACTTAAAAGTCGATTCCATCAAACAACCCTTTTCTTCCATCAATGCCAGTCAGACTGACTTTCCTAGCATGGCCAGTATTTTAATCACTCAAAAATTGAGGCGTGATTATGGACCCCCACCCCTGCCACTCAGTGATGAGCACAGCCTCTGTGTGTCCCTCTGGTTGTACCCTGCCTCTGCCTCGATGCTCTTGTGGCATTCATTTAATTTTTCATCCTGAAATTTCTCCTTCAAGTCCATCATGTGGAACATGTGACACCCCCAGCCCTGCCTGGCCCTCCTTCCTCCCAAGGGCCTGTGCCGAGTGTGACAGTCATCAGAGGCTCTGCCTCAGCTCAGCCACAGGCCCTGAAAGGTAACTGGACAAAGATTACTTGAGCTTCCTAGAGCCCCCTACAATGCCTACACAGGGCCCATCAGGTGAGGGACTACGGTCGATGACTGTCACGAGGAGGAGTTGTCCACATGGCCACCAGCCGACCTGGTTCCAAAGTTCTCAGGGACCTCGTACATTAAAGTTTCCCACATCTGGCCAGGCACAGTGGCTCATGTCTATAATCCCAGCACTTTGGGAGGCCAAGGCAGGTGGATCACCTCAGGTCAGGAGTTTGAGACCAGCCTGGCCAACATGGGGAAACCCTGTCTCTACTAAAAATACAAAAAGTAGCCAGGTGTGGTGGCACATGCCTGTAATCCCAGGTACTCAGGAGGCTGAGGCAGAGAGAATCGCTTGAACCTGGGAGGCGGAGGTTGCAGTGAGCTGAGATCATACCACGGCACTCCAGCCTGGGCAACAGAGCAAGACTCCATCTCAAAAAACAAAAAAAAAAAGTTTCCCACGTCTGTGACCAGGGCTGGGTTGGAGCCACGTATAAGCCAGCCCAGCTCTTGGAGAGAGTTTGTTTCCAAGGTTCTTTCCTATCACTTAACTGCTCATCTGACCCAGGCATGCCCAACCGGCACCCACTGCCACCTCCTTAGTCTGTTGCAGTGCAGCATTTTAATTCAAATTGTTTCCTCTCTCCTCTATTTCATCCCTCAAAATTACACAGGGCAATATCTCCTATTTCTATACCACGTGCACTATTGTTTTCATCTCCTCATAGCATCTGTATAATCATATCTTCATATTTTTACACGAACTGTCTGTTCTTGCTTAAATACATTTTTTTAAAATAAAACTTTATATCACTATCCCCCATGGAAAACAAACATTATTTTCCTGAAATGGACAGTAACTACAAAAATAAATGCAATGAAAACAAAACAATGGCAACCTGGTACTGCATAATAAACAGTATTTGTGTAGAGTAGGTGAAAAAGCTGGAAGTATTAAGAAGATGGAAGGTGCATCAGCCCCCTGAGAAGGCGGTGCACAGGGACACCCGTGATGAGAATATGGAGGAAGACTGAGCTGCAATTACTCAGCTCACTCAGAGGCCGCTAGGTCTGGATTTGGTCCAAATAGCTGGGAGAGATTTTTAGACCAAACTTCACAATTCAGCATTTTCTGTGTTTCCCCCTCTTGCTGGTATTCTATCCTAAGCGTATTAGACACCTCCCGATGCCTGGTGCCTTTGTCTTTGAATTTCTGATGATGGTGGCAATGTGTGGTAGGGATGGGGGATCTTTCTGACTCTGGCAGGACGAAGTGCCTGTCCATGTTCACTTTGGGGCCCATTCTGGGATGCTTGGGCCAAAGGTGGAGAGGAAGAAATGCAGGACCACAACAATATCCTGTCCCCAGGTGCTGCGCCCATGTATTTGGGTACAACTTCAAGCCCCATGGTTGTCCTAAGGCAATGGATGGGGTTTTCCACAAAGGTGATCCAAGAGAGGCAAGGATGCTTCTAATGTGGGTGAAAACATCTCAAGCAGAGTTAAGTTGCAACACTAATGATCATGCAGAAGCCTAACATTAATATAGACGTGACAATGAAATCAAAGAGAAAACTTCCAAAACTGCCACCCTTTGGTCTCTGGAGTTCTTCAAGCAAGTGGCTTTGGATGCCCAGGGATATGGGCCAGGAGAAGCTATATGAGAAGGTGCTACCTAAGAAGCTCTTGCATTCCAGGCATGAGGAACTAAGCAGGAAGCAACATCTGTGAAGTACTGGAGATCTTGCTGAGGATTTAGCCAGACATGCTTTTGACTTCTAGCTTTGGCATCTAGGAGCTGTGTGACCTCAGGAAGTTGCATAACCTGTCTCTGAGCCTCATCAATTAGATGAAGCTGGCAATACTTATCTCACAGTGCTGTTGCAAGGATTATTATTATTATTATTGTTATTATTATTATTATTTTGAGACAGAGTTTTTGCTCTTATTGCCCAGGCTGGAGTGCAATGGCCTGATCTCAGCTCACCGCAAACTCTACCTCCCAGGATCAAGTGATTCTCCTGCCTCAACCCCCCGAGTAGCTGAGATTACAAGCATGCGCCACCATGCCTGGCTAATGTTTTATTTTTAGTAGAGATAAGGTTTCTCCATGTTTGTCAGGCTGGTCTTGAACTCCTGACCTCAGATGATCCGCCCACCTCGGCCTCCCCAAGTGCTGGGATTATAGGCATGAGTCACTGCACCTGGCCCGCAAGGATTAAACTTAAAAGCACATGTAAAACACCAAGTGCAGTATCTGGCATATTGTAGATGATCACTAACAGTAATTTTAAAATTATTATTCTCATTTTCCCTGGATTTGTCTGACATGGTAGGACTACACTGGCCCTATTTTCTAAATAAACCAACAAAGGAGCAAATAAAGAGAAGCCAAGAGCAATCTGTTCTATGACAAAAAGAATAACAAATAGCAAGAAAAAACATCCACCTCCGGCCTGAGACAGCTGAGAGGACAAAGGAACATTCCAGGGGTACTGCCCCCGGCACCAAAGATAACTTCGTGGGTTAAAAGAGAAAAAAAAAAATGGAGCCTTTCAAAAGTGGTAAAGATTAGAGTGGAGATTGCATTTTAAAAACATCACTCTTGTTTAAAAAAAAAAAAAGACAAGAAATTAAAGCATTTGTGTTTAGGATGAAAAAAATAGCTAGTTTTATAATCTGCCATTTGGAAAATCAAATCTATATAAAGGAAGAAAGCTGTGAGCTGAGGCAAGAATGAGGTTTCTTGGCGACAGCTTCATTTATAAGTTTTGTGCAGCTCTTGAAGGTCACTTGTTCCAGGGACTTCATCCCACTTCGCAAACAGAAGACGAATCTGCAGTCCCTTCGGTGGAGCAGGTTATACAAGGAAACAATACATGTGAGAGGCAGCGGCACTCCTTAAGAGGTCTAAATTGAATTGCATTGACTTTTTACAAAGCCACAAATTGCTTATCTTATTCAAGTGCCTGAGTGTTTGCTTTTTGATGAGCTCGGTACAAAGATACCTTGAAGTTCGACAGTGGCTTCAGTCGCCCAATTTGAGCTGTCAGTGGAGGGGCTGGGGGCAATGCTTAGGGTACATGTTTTCTGAGCCTCCCTGCTTTCTGAATCCTTACCAAGGCCAAGGGAAGCAGAAAGGGGATTATCCTAAAAGATGATCCTAAAACAACAAGGTCTTATGAGGTTAGGCCCATTCTACCAACAAAATATATCTCCATCCAGCTCATTTCTGCAGATCAAATAAGATAACAGATGTGAAAATCAAGCAGTTTCTGGATCTAGGTAGTCAAGAAATAAAGACAGAGGAACAGCAATTCCAGCCAAATGTCACCTGTGCCTGAAGCTTTGTTTGTAGCAGCAGATTGTGGGGGCAGGGGAGTGAAATTAGGTGTTGGACTATCCGTGGCTCTCAATTTCAACTGCACAGCAGAGTCACATGGAAACTTCTTTGAAGCTTTCTGGCTATCCCTCAGCCAATTAAATCAAAATCTCTGGGTGTAAGGCTCCAGGCTTCATAATCCTATGCCACTGCCCTCATGACACTAAAAAGCAAATGAAGTTATAGACCAAGGAAAAAGGAGTAAAAAGAGGCCATGACTTGTCCCATTTGTTTCAGAAGGTTGGTGTTACTGAGTTTTATTGAGATGATGGCTACCATGTCGGGGGTGGGCGTAGGTGTAGTCACATCAGTGGCACCAGCAATGTCATTCCCCATTCATCAAAGAGACACCAGTGCTGGAAAGACATCGTCTGAAAGGCTGGAGAAGGGATGTTCTTAGTTTGGGGATAGTAGGGTATCTAGGAAGATCCCTGTGGGTGCTGGGGTTTGGATGACCTCTGGCACACAGGACTGGCCTCACCCGTGACTCCACAATTTGCATGAGCTACTCTTGCATTAAGGGTGAGGGGCCAGCTCTGTTTGCCCCATTTCCAGATGCTTCTACAGGGAGTTAGTGCAAACCCCTCCAATGACTTTTCCCTTGTCCAAAAGTTCCAAGGGCATTCATTCATTTAAAAGAATTTAGTGGGCCCATAACATGTACCATCACTGTGACAGATGAACGAGATGGAGACACCCCACACCAGCCTCCCTGGGGTTTACAGTCAGGGAAGGCTGGCCCCAAGGACATGGATACATCAACAGCAAATCCTCAGAAGTGGGCCTGGCCCTCTGGAATTGGTCCCACTGCTTCTCTCAGACCTTTCCATGCTTATCCTTGCGTCCCAGGGGCCACCTACCAAAGACATGTGATTTGATAAGAACTGCACAGGCTGCGCATTGCTGACTTCTTTTGCCGCTCGCTGGGCTGTGTGCTTGTTAGAAATGCTGAGAGATTATTAGCATTTACAGCAAGAATACATCTCTAATTGTAAAATTCAGGCACTGAGCTGAGAGAGTTCTTTGGAGACAGATCTGTTTTGGGGCACGACCTGAAGACTTCTAGAGATGGATGCATGGGTGGATGGAGGGACAGAGGGACAGATGGATGGATGCATGGATGGATGGATGGATGGATGGATGCATGGATGGATGGATGGATGGTAGATAAATCACAGGTAGGTAGTTGGATAGATGGCAAAGAAAGTATAGGAAGATCTATGAAGAGAGAACAATAGAAGTGGATAGTGTGGATAAATGGCAGCTAAATGATAGAAACACAATAGTTCAAAAATATTCCAGCAAGGCCGACCCACCCGTGATCTTCCAGCTCACTCTCTTCCACATCCCTTTGGCCACTTCTCCAGCTCGGTGCTCCCCTCCTGCCCTTTGGCAACTGTGCTACTCCACACATCTGAGTCCCAGAGGCCTTTCCTGACCTCACCTGGCTGGGTTGGATGAGATCTCCTCTGCAACAGACTGTGAACCCACCTCCATGCTAGCATTTACAATATTGCTGGCTACTACCTGTAGACCTGTCAGCCCCCTGTCTCCTAGACTGTGAGCCTTTTGAGGGTAGGGTTGTGATCTACTATCCCCACTGTATCCTGAGCACTTAGCTTGTCCAGTGTTGATGAAATGAACTCAGTACACTATGCATGTGCCCATGAGAATTCACAGGGGAGACAGACTACAAGGTGGGTTTCTGCCTGGGGTCTCCTCCTCAGTTCAGTTGCAGGGCCCCCCTGACAAATGCTCCCTCCCACAGTGGCCATTTCCGGCAGGCTCTGCGAAGCAGACTCACTGTGCTGGGTGAGACTCTGCCGAGTGCCTCACTGGGTGACTGTAGCAGGCCTAGATGATTGCACAGTGAGCCCCAGGTGCAGCATCCGCAGGGAGGCCGACACAATGAGACCTGCACACCCTTCTGCTGTTAGCACTAACAAAGACAAATCGGATGCAGTGCTGGAGTGCTTTGCCTGTTAAGTGTTAAGTAGCAGACTGATTGCTCTGAAGTTGACAAGTGACAAGGAGTAAGGAAGGCAGCAGGTGCTTCCGACTGCCCTCCTGGGGGTAGCAGGGAACGGGGCTCTATCTAGGCAAGAGGAGATCTCTGACTGAGGGACCCTCACATCCCAGAGCAGGGCGATTCCTGTCTCGATCAAGGCTGGCCCTTGGTCCAGGCCCTGTTTCCTTGGTCACCTTCTGCAAACTTTCCCCAAAGCCTCAATTTTCCCCACTGCCTCTCAAGGACTGTCACAATGGAAAGCCCCATCTGTAGAAAACTAAGACTTTTATTAGGGGGTTGAGAGTGCAGCGGCATTTTTTTTTCTTTTTTTTTTTTGTTTTGTTTTTGAGATGGAGTCTCACTCTGTCGCCTAGGCTGGAGTGCAGTGGCAGGATCTCGGCTCACTGCAAGCTCTGCCTCCCAGGTTCACGCCATTCTCCTGCCTCAGCCTCCCAGGTAGCTGGTACTACAGGCACCCGCCACCACGCCCGGCTAATTTTTTTGTATTTTTAGTAGAGACGGGGTTTCACCGTTTTAGCCAGGATGGTCTCGATCTCCTGAATTTGTGATCTGCCCACCTTGGCCTCCCAAGCAGCAGCATTCTTGATGGGAAATAGAACATGAATGAAATCTTACCGGAAGTGTATTATCCCTGAAACAGGTGTCAGTGGAGCTGGTTAAAGCAGAAAAGAGGTCAGAGCACCCCCTGTTGTGCCGTCCCACCACATCTCCCACAGTGGCCCTGCGTCTCCTATACAGAAACCTAGACTCTCAGCACACAGTCTGGGGAACACAAGGCCCACGCCATACATTTAGTCTTGTATCACATCAGCATGCTCTTCTGATCTGTGTCTCCTGTTCAGTTGGTCCATCTTTATGGCCATCACCTTCCCAATAAGGTTATGAGCCGTGGATCAGACCTTCCGGCTCTTTTGGGAGCACAGTGCCAGGCCCCAGCAGACACCATGTAAAAGCCGTCATTTGATTGATGGGGAGTTCAAGGGGCATACATGCACAGCTCTCTGTAGGCTAGGCAGAGGGGTGGCAGGCAGGCACTCCCCACCATGCTGTGCTCTTCCCTGAGTAAATTCAAATAAATGGATGCTGCCTGACAGACCAATGTGCTCACTAATTTATATCGATGAACAAGATGAGAACTAAGGGACTGCATGAAACTTGGCTCCTGAGCTCTATCCCAGGGAATCTCAAGCTGCATTTCGTGTGCACACATGCATGTCTGCATGCCTACATGCATGAGGTGGGGGGCCATGTGGGGACTACCCAGGGCAGCTCCAGAGAGAAAATGCCTTTGTTTAGATTGATTCTTCTCCCCCCCTAAAATGATAATGCGATCATCCATGTAAACACTGACCTTGGCCAATAGGGAAAAATCATAAGTGCTTCTCAAACTAGTAATCATTTGTTACTGTTAACATAATGCCCTCCAGGATCCTCATCATATCTATATGCTTCCCAAATCTTGTTTTCAAGCCCCATTCCTTCAGGAAGCCCCTTCAGACTACATCTGCCTTCCTTCACCTCCCTTCTTCCCTGTTAGTTTTCATCAATTCTCCTCTGACACTGCTCCTCCTGAATTGCTTCAGGAACACAGGTGCAGTTCCTGTGCTGGGACAGAGGGTCTCTGAGGTTTGGCCCTGACCCAGCTTTCTCTCTGTACATCCCACACAGGCTGGCTGAAAACTGAGCAGGCAGGAGACGTGGCCAGACCAATGGATTGTTCCTGAGGGATTGTTTTTCTAGGTTCTTCCCCTCAAAGCTCAGTGGAACGGCAGTATCCTCTTGTGGAGGCACAGTGGCCGGTCCAGGATGAGTGAATGAGGGAAGGAAGACAAAAGGAAAGGGCAGCAGCTGAGGTTTGTCCTTCCTGGTCCACCTCCTCACCCTTTCCCAACCAGAAAGTATATAACCGTTCTCTCCTCTGGAGACATCGCTGTGCCCAGTCCAGAAGCGACGGAGACCCAAGGAACGTTGTGGCAGAAGGAGATCATCTCAAGTGCAGTGCCCTTCCGTCCTGTTCTGAAAGCCTCCCAGCAATAACTAACTAGGTGGGGCTTCTCCTCTGTGCCTTCACAGCCCCCCGGGCCTTCCTTTGTCCTAGCAGGCATCACACGGGAGTCTACTTGCTGATCCCTCTGCCGCTGTTTCAGACTGTGAGCTGCTCAGGGGCCTTGCTGAAAGTTGATTGGATATGGATGAAGGGGTAGGTGGATGGGTGAGTGGGTGAGAGGTGGGTGGAATGATGGGTAGCAGATTTTGCTCAAAGGTCCTCAGAGTCTCAAAATTCAAATGAATTATTTAAGAGCATAGGCTTAGGAGAAAGGAAAGGAAAGGAGAGGAGAGGGGAGGGGAGGGGAATAATCCCTTTAAGTCCTATGCTTTAGTGAAGTGGCTATCAAAATATTTTTCATTTTTATTGGAGTGTTTGTGTTTTTACTGTTGATGTATAAGAATTATTTCCATATTCTAGATTCAAGACATGTGTCAGGTATATAGATTGTTCTCCCAGCCTGTAATGTGTTCTACATCTTCTTAATAGTGTCTTTTGCTCAGCAGAAATTATTAATTTTGATGAAATCTAATGTATCAACTTTTTCTTCTATGGATAGAGCTTCTTGTGTCCTCTCTAAGAAATCTCTGCCTACCTCCAGGTGTCAAAAATTTTTCAAAAATGTTTTTTTTGCTTAGAAACTTTTTACTTAGCTTTTGTTTTGGTCTGTGATCCACCTCAACTTACTTTTTGTGTTATGTGTGAAGTAGAGAGGGTCAGGGATTTTTTTCTATATTTTATATTTGTCCCTCAACCCTAGCACTTTTTGCCCAAAAGACTTTCTTTTCCACCCACTGATTTGCGTCAGTGCCTTTCTAGAAAATCAACTGGTCATATATACATGGGTCTGATTCTCTTTTCTTTCATTGATTTTCCTGGTCTTAGTATAGCCCAATGCCAAGAGTATATTGTCTCAATAATATAGTTTTACAGTAAGTCTTGAGATCAATTAATATAAGCCTTCCAGTTTTTTTTTCAAGATTATTTTCACTATAGTTGGTTCTTTACATTTCCTTTTAAATTTTTGAATCAATCTGTCAACTTCTACAAGAAAATTTTCTGACAATTTGATTGGATAGCTTTGAATTTATACATCAGTTTGAGGAGAACTGACATCTTAATAACGTTGATTCTTCTGATCCATGAATACCAGAATATCTTTTTATTTACTTTATTTTTAAATTGTATTTATTAAATTTTTTTTGAGACGAAGTCTCACTCTGTCACACAGGCGGGAGCACAGTGGCATGATCTCGGCTCACTGCAACCTCTGCTTCCCAGGTTCAAGCAATTCTCCTGCCTCAGCCTCCAGAGTAGCTGGGATTACAGGTGGACACCATCATGCCCAGCTAATTTTTGTATTTTTAGTAGAAACGGGGTTTCACCATGTTGGCCAGGCTGGCCTCGAACTCCTGACCTGAAGTGATCCTCCTGCCTTGGCCTCCCAAAGTGCTGGGATTACAGGCATAAGCCACTGCGCCTAGCCTTTTTATTTACTTTAGATCTTCTTTAATTTTTCATGATATTTTATAGTATTTAGTATGCAGGCTCACGTGTATTTTGTTAAATTTATTCCTAATATTTTATGCTATTTTAAATGGTACTTTTTCAAAGTTCAATTTCAAATTTTTCCTAGACATAGTCAATAGACAAAAAAACTTTTTATGTATATTGACTTTATATCTTGAAAAGTGTATTAAAATTGCTTATTAGTTCTCATAGGGTTTTTTTGGTAAACTCATGATTTTCTGCGTAGACAATCATGTTGTCTACTAATAAAGGCAGATTTACTTCTTCCTTTTCAATCACTCTACTTTTTAATTCAATTTCTTGCCTTATTGCACTGGCTATGACCTTCAGTAAAATACTGAATATATATGATCAGAGTGGGCATACTTTACTTGTTCCCAGTTTTGGTGTGAATATATACAGTTTGTCTCCATTGAGAATGGTATTAGCTGCAGGATTTTTGAGAAACTCCTCATCAGATGAGGAAGTTCCATTCTATTCCTAGTTTATTGAAAAGTTTTAACCTGAATGGATGTTGAATTTCATCAAATATTTGTTTACATCTATGGAAATAGTTCTTTTTTTTCTCTTTATCCTGTTAGTATAATTATCGTGATGGATTTTTGAATGCTAAATGATTTTTGTATTCTTGTGTTTCCATTCTACTTGCTCATGGTATTACTAACTTTTTGCATATTGGTAAATTCAACTTGCTAAAATTTTCTTGAGGATTTTTGCATATAAGTTCATGTGTAATGCTGATTTCTTCTAATATCTTTGTCTGGTTTTGCTAATACAGGGTAATGCTGACCTCATACAATGAATTAAGCAGGGAAGACTATTCCTCTATTTTCTGAAAAAGTTTGTGTAAGATTGGTACTGTTTCTTAGGTGTTTGATTGAACTGGCCTATGAATTTAACTAGGCCTGGTGTTTGATTGAACTGGCCTATGAATTTAACTAGGCCTGGAGTTTTCTTCTGGGGAAGGCCTTTGAAGACAAATTCAATTTATTTCATAGATATAGGGCTATTCAGAAATACTGTTCCATCTTGTGCCAATTTTTTGGAATTTATTTGCAATAGGAAAAATATTTTTGTAAAATTTTATAATACTTACTTCACAGTCAGTATTAAGGTCTACCTTGGTCAATGTTCTCTATACACATGAGAAGAATGTGTGCTCTGCCGTTGTTGGAGGAAGTGCTCTATAAATGTCAATTAGGGCAAGTTGGTAGCTAGCGTTGTTCAAGTCTTCTATATCATGGCTGATTTCTTTTGTCTAATTGTTCTATCAATCACTAAGGAGGCTGTTAAAATTTTCTAATATGATTGTTGCTTTAAATATTTCTCCTTTTATTTCCATCAGTTTGTGCTTTATATATGTTGAAGCTCTCTTATTAGATGCAAACACAGTAATTGACTGCTGAATTAGCCTTTTAAAAAATTTTTTGAAAACTCTTTATCTCTGTCTAACATTCCTTAACAGTTCTTATCCTGTAATTTATTTTGATATTAAAATAGCCACACACCAGCTTTATTATGTTTACCATTTGTGTTAGATATTTTTGCATTGTTTTGCTTTCAACACATCTGTGTCTTTATACTTAAAGATGCGTTTTTAAATATAAAAGGGTATGCTGGGCCCAGTGGCTTATGCCTGTAATCCCAACATTTTGGGAGGCTGAGAAGGGAGAATCATTTGAGACATAGAGTTCGAGACCAGCCTGGGCAATATAGTGAGACCCCTTCTCTACAAAAAATATTTTCTTATTTAAAAAAAGAAAATGTAGAAGTTTTTGTAGATGTAATATAGTTGGTTTTATTTATTTTTTCTGGTCTAAAAATCTCTGCCTTTTTCTTGCAGGTAAAACTATTTATATGTAATGCCATTGCTGATACAGTTGGGTTTAAGTCTACCATCTCCCTATTTGTTTTCTTTGCTTTAGCTTTATTTTTGGTTTCTCTACTATTTTTCTGCCTTCTTTTATGTTAGTCAAATATTTTTTAGAATTGTATTTTATTTTTCATGCTAGCTCTTTAGCTATTCCTCTCTACATTTTTTTAGTAGTTTCTGTAGATTACAATGTACATCTTTAAGTCATCACAGTCTACTGAGCACCACTTCAGGCAAAATGTATAAATCTTAAAGATATATAATACACTCCCTATCCTTTGTTCCACTATTGTCATGTAAATCCCACAATACAATGTTAATCCCACAATACAATGTTATTATTTTTGCTTTGAAATTGCTTAAATAAATTTTTTAAAATGAAACAATAAGCATTTATATTCACTCACATTTGCCATTTCCAATGTTTGGTTACTTTCCATAGACCTTAGTTTTTATTTGATACTATTTTCCTTTAACCTAAATTTAATATTTCACTTAAAGAATGTTTTTTGGTAATGAACTATCTTGGCTTTTATTTATTTCATTTTTATTTTTGAAGAATATTTTTCTTCAATATAAAAACCCACACCCAAAGACACTACAAGAAAGCTACACACCAATATCCCTAGTTAACACTGATGCAAAAATCTCAGCAAAATTCTAGGAAAACAAATTCAGCAGCAGTGTATTGAAAGGATTATATACCATGACCAGTGGAATTTATTCCTGGAATGCAAGGATGATTCGATACATAAAAATCAATCAATGCAATACATTACATGAACAGAATGAAGAAAAAGAAAACACATGATTATTTTAATTGCTGTAGAAAAAGCATTTGACAAAATTCAATATCATTTCATGATTTGAAAAAAAACAAAAAAAAACCCACTATCCTGGATCAGTGGCTCACACCGGTAATACCAACACTTTGGGAGGCCAAGGCGAGTGGATCATTTGAGCCTGAGAGTTTGAGACCAGCCTGGGCAACATGGCAAAATTTATCTCTACCAAAAATAAAAAGAAAAGAAAGAAAGAAATAGCAATACATGGTAGCATGTGCCTTTAGTCTCAGCTACTCAGGATGTTGAGGTGGGAGGATCGATTGAGCCTGGAAGGTCAAGAATGTAGTGAGCTGCGATCACAACATTGCACTCCAGCCTAAACACAGTGAGACCCTGTCCAAAAAAAAAAAAAACAACAACAACAGCAAAAAACACTGAACAGGGGGAGGTTCCAAGATGGCCGAATAGGAAGAGCTCCAGTCTACAGCTCCCAGTGTGAGCGACACAGAAGATGGGTGATTCTGCATTTCCAACTGAGGTACCGGGTTCACCTCACTGGGGCTTGTCAGACGGTGGGTGCAGCCCACAGAGCACCTCACGCCGGAAGCACAAGGGGTTGGGGAATTCCCTTTCCTAGCCAAGGGAAGCCATGACAGAGGGTACCTGGAAAATCGAGACACTCCCACCCTAATACTGTGCTTTTCCAACAGTCTTAGCAAATGGCACACCAGGAGATTATGTCCCATGCCTGGCTCGGAGGGTCGCAAGCCCATGGAGCCTCACTCACTGCCAGCACAGCAGTCTGAGATTGAACTGCAAGGCAGCAGCAAGGCTGGGGGAGGGGCACCTGCCATTGCCGAGGCTTGAGTAAGTAAACAAAGCGGCCTGGAAGTTCGGACTGGTTGGAGCCCAACACAGCTCAAGGAGGCCTGCCTGCCTCTGTAGACTCCAACTCTGGAGGCAGGGCATAGCTGAAAAAAAGGCAGCAGAAACTTCTGCAGACTTAAATGTCCCTGACTGACAGCTTTGAAGAGAGTAGTGGTTCTCCCAGCACGGAGTTTGAGATCTGAGAACGGACAGACTGCCTCCTCAAGTGGGTCCCTGACCTCCAAGTAGCCTAACTGGGAGGCACCTCCTCGTAGAGGCCAACTGACACCTCATATAGCCGGGTGCCCCTCTGAGATGAAGCTTCCAGAGGAAGGATCGAGCAGCAATATTTGCTGTTCTGCAGCCTCCGCTGGTGATATCCAGGCAAATAGGGTCTGTAGTGGACCTCCAGCAAACTCCAGCAGACCTGCAGCTGAGGCTCCTGACTGTTAGAATGAAAACTAACAAACAGAAAGGACATACACACCAAAACCCCATCTGTACGTCACCATCATCAAAGACCAAAGGTAGATAAAACCACAAAGATGGGGAGAAACCTGAGCAGCAAAGCTGAAAATTCTAAAAATCAGAGCGCCTCTTCTCCTCCAAAGGAACGCAGCTTCTCACCAGCAATGGAACAAAGCTGGACAGAGAATGGTTTTGACGAGTTGAGAGAAAAAGGCTTCAGAAGATCAGTAATAACAAACTTATCCAAGCCAAAGGAGGATGTTCGAACCCCATCACAAAGAAGCTAAAAACCTTGAAAAAAGATTAGGCGAATGGCTAACTAGAATAAATAGTGTAGAGAAGACCTTAAATGACCTGATGGAACTGAAAACCATGGCACAAGAACTACGTGACGCATGCACAAGCTTCAGTAGCCGATTTGATCAAGTGGAAGAAAGGGTATCAGTGAATGAAGACCAAATGAATGAAATGAAGTGAGAAGAGAAGTTTAGAGAAAAAAGAGTAAAAAGAAACAAACAAAGCCTCCAAGAGATATGGGACTATGTGAAAAGACCAAATCTACGTCTGACTGGTGTACCTGAAAGTGACGGGGAGAATGGAACCAAGTTGCAAAACACTCTGCAGGATATTATCCGGGAGAACTTCCCCAACCTAGCGAGGCAGGCCAACATTCAAATTCAGGAAATACAGAGAATGCCACAAAGATACTTCTCGAGAAGAGCAACTCCAAGACACATAATTGTCAGATTCACCAAAGTTGAAATGAAGGAAAAAGTGTTAAGGACAGCAAGAGAGAAAGGTCGAGTTACCCAGAAAGGGAAGCCCATCAGACTAACAGCAGATCTCTTGACAGAAACTCTATAAGCCAGAAGAGAGTGGGGGCCAATATTCAGCATTCTTAAAGAAAAGAATTTTCAACCCAGAATTTCATATCCAGCCAAACTAAGCTTCATAAGTGAAGGAGAAATAAAATCCTTTATAGGCAAACAAATGCTGAGAGATTTTGTCACCACCAGGCCTGCTTTACAAGAGCTCCTGAAGGAAGCACTAAAAGTGGAAAGGAACGACAGGTACCAGTCAATGCAAAAACATGCCAAATTGTAAAGACCATCGAGACTAGGAAGAAACTGCATCAACTAATGAGCAAAACAACCAGCTAACATCATAATGTCAGGATCAAATTCACACATAACAATATTAACCTTAAATGTAAATGGGCTAAATTCTCCAATTAAAGGACACAGACTGGCAAATTGGATAGAGTCAAGACCCATCAGTGTGCTATATTCAGGAGACACATCTCACATGCAGAGACACACATAGGCTCAAAATAAAGGGATGGAAGAAGATCTGCCAAGCAAATGGAAAACAAAAAAAAGCAGGAGTTGAAATCCTAGTCTCTGATAAAACAGATTTTAAACCAAAAAAGATCAAAAGAGACAAAGAAGGCCATTACAAATGGTAAAGGGATCAATTCAACAAGAAGAGTTAACTATCCTAAATATATATGCACCCAAGACAGGAGCACCCAGATACATAAAGCAAGCCCTTAGAGACCTACAAAGAGACTTCGACTCCCACACAATAATAATGGGAGACTTTAACACCCCACTGTCAACATCAGACAGATCAATGAGACAGAAAGTTAACAAGGATTTCCAGGAATTGAACTCAGCTCTGCACCAAGCAGACCTAATAGACATCTACAGAACTCTCCACCCCAAATCAACAGAATATACATTCTTCTAAGCACCACATCACACTTATTCCAAAATCGACCACGTAGTTGGAAGTAAAGCACTCCTCAGCAAATGTAAAAGAAGAGATATTATAACAAACTGTCTCTCAGACAACAGTGCAGTCAAACTAGAACTCAGGATTAAGAAACTCACTCAAAACCGCTCAACTACATGGAAACTGAACAACCTGCTCCTGAATGACTACCAGGTACATAACAAAATGAAGGCAGAAATAAAGATGTTCTTTGAAACCAATAAGAACAAAGACACAACATACCAGAATCTCTGGGACACATTCAAAGCAGTGTGTAGAGGGAAATTTATAGCACTAAATGCCCACAAGAGAAAGCAGGAAAGATCTAAAATCGACACACTAACATCACAATTAAAAGAACTAAAGAAGCAAGAGCAAACACATTCAAAAGTTAGCAGAAGGCAAGAAATAACTAAGATCAGAGCAGAACTGAAGGAAATAGAGACACAAAACACCCTTAAAAAATCAATGAATCCAGGAGCTGGTTTTTGGAAAAGATTAACAAAATTGATAGACTGCTAGCAAGAGTAATAAAGAAGAAAAGAGAGAAGAATCAAATAGATGCAATAAAAAATGATAAAGGGGGTATCACCACCGATCCCACAGAAATACAAACTACCATCAGAGAATACTATAAACACCTCTACACAAATAAACTAGAAAATCTAGAAGAAATGGATAAATTCCTGGACACATACACCCTCCCAAGACTAAACCAGGAAGAAGCTGAATCCCTGAATAGACCAATGACAGGCTCTGAAATTCAGGCAATAATTAATAGCCTACCAACCAAAAAAAAGTCTAGGAACAGACAGATTCACAGCCGAATTCTACCAGAGGTACAAAGAGGAACTGGTACCTTTCCTTCTGAAACTATTCCAATCAATAGAAAAAGAGGGAATCCTCCCTAACTCATTTTATGAGGCCATCATCATCCTGATAACAAAGCCTGGCAGAGACACAACAAAAAAAGAGAATTTTAGACCAATATCCCTGACGAACATTGATGCAAAAATCCTCAATAAAATACTGGCAAACCGAATCCAGCAGCACATCAAAAAGCTTATCCACCATGATCAAGTTGGCTTCATCCCTGGGAAGCAAGGCTGGTTCAACATATGCAAATCAATACACATAATTCATCATATAAACAGAACCAATGACAAAAACCACATGATTATCTCAATAGATGCAGAAAAGGCCTTCAGCAAAATTCAACAGCCCTTCATGCTAAAAACTCTCAATAAACTAGGTATTGATGGAATGTATCTCAAAATAATAAGAGCTATTTATGACAAACCCACAGCCAATATCATACTGAATGAGCAAAAACTGGAAGCATTCCTTTTGGAAACTGGCACAAGACAGGGATGCCCTCTCTCACCACTCCTATTCAACATAGTGTTGGACGTTCTGGCCAGGGCGATCAGGCAAGAGAAAGAAATAAAGGGTATTCAAATAGGAAGAGAGGAAGTCAAATTGTCTCTTTGCAGATGACATGATTGTATATTTAAAAAACCCCATTGTCTGAGCCCCAAATCTCCTTAAGCTGATAAGCAACTTCAGCAAAGTCTCAGGATACAAAATCAATATGCAAAAATCACAAGCATTCCTATACACCAATCAAAGACAAATAGAGAGCCAAATCATGAGTGAACTCCCATACACAATTGCTTCAAAGAGATAAAAAAATACCTAGGAATCCAATTTACAAGGGATGTGAAGGATCTCTTCAAGGAGAAATGCAAACCACTGCTCAATGAAATAAAAGAGGATACAAACAAATGGAAGAACATTCCATGCTCATTGATAGGAAGAATCAACATTGTGAAAATGGCTATACTGCCCAAGGTAATTTATAGATTCAATGCCATCCCCATCAAGCTACCAATGACTTTCTTCACAGAATTGGAAAAAACTACTTTAAAGTTCATATGGTACGAAAAAAGAGCCCACATTGCCAAGACAATCCTAAGCCAAAAGAACAAAGCTGGAGGCATCACACTACCTGACTTCAAACTATACTACAAGGCTACAGTAACCAAAACAGTATGGTACTGGTAGCAAAACAGAGATATAGACCAATGGAACAGAATAGAGCCCTCGGAAATCATCTACAACCATCTGATCTTTGACAAATCTAATGAAAACAAGAAATGGGGAAAGGATTCCCTATTTAATAAATGGTGCTGGGAAAACTGGCTAGCCATATGTAGAAAGCTGAAACTGGATCCCTTCCTTACACCTTACACAAAAATTAATTCAAGATGGATTAAAGACTTAAATGTTAGACCTAAACCATAAAAACCCTAGAAGGAAACCTAGGCAATACCATTCAGGACATAGGCATGGGCAAGGACTTCATGACTAAAACACCAAAAGCAAAGGCAACAGAAGCCAAAATTGACAAATGGGATCTAATTAAACTAAAGAGCTTCTGCACAGCAAAAGAAACTACCATCAGAGTGAACTGGCAACCTACAGAATGGGAGAAAATTTTTACAATCTACCCATCTGGCAAAGGGCTAATATCCAGAATCTACAAAGAACTTAAACAAATTTACAAGAAAAAAAACAAACAAACCCATCAAAAAGTGGGTAAAGGATATGAAAAGACACTTCTTAAAAGAAGACATTTATGCAGCCAACAGACACATGAAAAAATGCTCATCATCACTGGCCATCAGAGAAATGCAATTCAAAACCACAATGAGATACCATCTCACACCAGTTAGAATGGCAATCATTAAAAAGTCAGGAAACAACAGGTGCTGGAGAGGATGTGGAGAAATAGGAACACTTTTACACTGTTGGTGGGACTGTAAACTAGTTCAACCATTGTGGAAGACAGTGTGGCAATTCCTCAAGGATCTAGAACTAGAAATACCATTTAACCCAGCCATCCCATTACTGGGTATATACCCAAAGGATTATAAATCATGCTGCTATAAAGACACATGCACACGTATGTTTATTGCAGCATTATTCACAATATCAAAGACTTGGAGCCAACCCAAATGTCCATCAATGATAGACTGGATTCAGAAAATGTGACACATATACACCATGGACTACTATGCAGCCATAAAAAAGGATGAGTTCATGTCCTTTGCAGGGACATGGATGAATCTGGAAACCATCATTCTCAGCAAACTATGGCAAGGACAGAAAACCAAACAGTGCATGTTCTCACTCATAGGTGGGAATTGAACAATGAGAACACTTGGACACAGGGTGGGGAACATCACACACCAGGGCCTGTAGTGGGGTTGGGGGAGGAGGGAGGGATAGCATTAGGAGATATACCTAATGTAAATGACGAATTAACAGGTGCAGCACACCAACATGGCACATGTATACATACGTAACAAAACTGCACATTGTGCACATGTACCCTAGAACTTAAAGTATAAAAAAAACACTAAACAGACTAGTAATAGAATATAACCACCTCAACATAATAAGTCATATATGAAAAACTGAGATAGCATTATACTAAATAGTGAAAGGCTGAAAGCTTTTTCCCTAAGATCACAAGACAAAGATGCCTACTTTCACCACTTCTATTCAACATAGTACTGGAAGTTCTAGCCATATTAGCTGGGACTCCACACACACACATGCACACAGACACACACACATAACTGTTAGAGCTAATACATTTAGCAAAGTAGCAGGATACAATAATCAGCATGCAAAAATTAGTTTCATTCTTATACGCTAATGAAGAACAATCCAAAAAGGAAGTCAAGAAAATAGTTACATTTACAATTGCATCAAAAAGAATAAAATACCAATGCATTAACTTACCAATGAGGCAAATGTCTTGTACACTGAAAACTACAAAGCATGCTAAAAGGAATTAAAGAATAGTTCAATAAAAAGGCATCACATGTTAATGGATTGAAAGGCTTAAAATTGTTAAAATGACAATACTACCCAAAGCCATCTACAGATTCTAAGCAATCTTTATCAAAATCCCAATGACGTTGTGTGCAGAAATATAAAAGTTCATTCTAAAATTTGTATGACATCACAAGAATCTCCAATTCTGCGAAGAAAGTCATTGGAAGTCAATGCCTGCTTCCTTCTAACTTACCAATTCTGTGAAGAAAGTCATTGGTAGCTTGATGGGGATGGCATTGAATCTATAAATTACCTTGGGCAGTATAGCCATTTTCACAATATTGATTCTTCCTATGGATGAGCATGGAATGTTCTTCCATTTGTTTGTATCCTCTTTTATTTCATTGAGCAGTGGTTTGTAGTTCTCCTTGAAGAGGTCCTTCACGTCCCCTGTAAGTTGGATTCCTAGGTATTTTATTCTCTTTGAAGCCCAAGTTTCTTTTTTTAATCTTTTTTCTCTCTTCATCAACTAGGCTAATTTATATTCATTTGTCTTCAAGTTCACTGACCCTTTTCTATCTGCAATATCTAATCTTCAATGAATATTTTATTTCAGATATTTTACTTTATAGTTATAGACTTTTCACTTGAGTATTAAAAAAGCTCTGTTGATATTCCCCAATCTGTTTGCTTATTCTATTCATATTTTCTCTTCAATACTTGACTAAATTGATGATAGCTATTTTAAAGTGCTGTTTGCTAATTCCAAAATTTGTGTCAACTGAAGGTATGTTTCTATTGATTGCTTTTTCTTTTAATATGAGTCATATTATTCTGCCTCTTTGTATGTTTAGTAATTTTTTATTGTATGCTGGGCATTGTTAATGCTATTTTGTAGGGCATTTTGGATTATGTTGTCTTCTGTTTTAGGTTCTAACAGACAGTTAAATTACTAGTGGATCCTCTGGATATTGTCAGGCTTGTTATTATGCTTTTCAGGATGAGTTTATTTTGATTTCCACTTTAGTCTAGGATATAGTTCTTACTCTAGGGCATGGTCCTTATTCCTAAGATATAACCCAATATTCTCAGTGAGGTGTCTTCACTTTGGTTAAAATGGAGTTTCAAGATCTCTCAGCATTGCATAACCTCATGAACCTCCATTAAGCTTTCAACCCTTCAGCAGCCACTTCCTAGGCTATGGTACAGCATCCCAACCTGTATATATGCAGCACAGACCTCAGCCAAGAACCTGAGAGAAACCCTCATGTAGACTTTGCCCTTAGAAGGTCCCTCCCCTCTGGTACCCTGCCTTTCAAATTTCAGATACTTTCGTGACCCCAAACTTTAATTTCTGCCTCCTCAGTTCAATGAAACCACTGCTTTTACTCTTTTCATGGGCTTCATTTCACTGTAACAAGGTTAGAAAAAGGATCCTAGGCAGAAAGTCAGGGCAAGTCATGGGACACATCTTTTGTGTTTTCCTTCTCTCAAGAATCAAAATCCTATGCTTCCTGTTGTCCAATGCTTGACATTGGACGTTGCATTTTGTGGGAAGGTAAATCCAAAACCAGATACTTAAACAGCTAGAACTATTTCTGGAAGTAGAAGTCTGGGAAATACATTTGAAAATGAAAAGGAAAAGAGAAAGAACAGGGCTACAAGGCTACAGTTAAAACATTGTTTGGGGCCTTTGTGGAAATTAGAAAAAAGTTCTTCCCTGCGTGATTGGAATACAAATGGGCTCCTCTTCTGGGCACAGAAATTAACAATACATTTCTTTTTCTTAGGACTAACTCCCCATAAGGGTTGACACAGGGATATTTCTGCCTCCTTTGAGACAATGAGACATGTCTTATAAGCAAGGCTTTCATGGTCTCAGCCACTTCACATTCAAGCTTCCCAATTTTATGGTAAAAGGTGTCCTCACTTCTGAAGACAATATTATGACATGATTTTACCTCATTATGGAAAGAACACAGGCCTTAGAGACTGAATAAATGGGTTCCTTGCTCTACCACTCACTAGCTGCGTGGTCTTGCATAAGTTATTTAACCTCCCCCAGCCCCAGCTTTATATTTGCAAAGTTGGGGATTAATGATGCCTACTTCTCAGGGTCTTTATGAGGATTACACAAGACATTGTGAAAAGGCACTTGGCACCATGTCAAGCACGCATAAATGTTCCATAAATGCTCTCTGGTTCTTGATAGTAGAATTAGTTGCAGCTAGTTTAAAAGAAGTGAGGACTTGGGTGATACCATGCACCCTCCTCACCTCAGACTCACAGGGACAAACTTTAGATAAAGAAGTATCAATGCTTCCCCTGTCCTTCCTCCAGAGGGCAGGCCTTCAAGTTATCAGATGACCAAACAGGGTCTGCAAAAATCCATCTGATACGGTTTGGATTTGTGTCTCTACCCAAATGTCATGTCAAATTGTAATCCCAAATATTGGGGGAGGAGTCTGGTGGGAGCTGATTGAATCATGGGGGAGGATTTCCCCCTTGTTATTCTTGTGATAGTGAGTGAGTTCTCAGGAGATCTGGTCGTTTAAGTGTGTAGCTCCCCCTTTACTCTCTTCCTCCTTCTGTGGCCATGTAAGATGTGCCTGTTTCCCCTTCACTTTTCACCATGAGTGTAAGTTCCCTGAGGCCTCCCCAGTCATGCTTTCTGACAGTCTGTGGAACTGTGAGTCAATTAAACCTCTTTTCTTTATAAATTACCCAGTCTTAGGTAGCTCTTTATAGCAATGCCATCTCACTAGCTTCCTGACATTTCCGTAAAAGGACAATGCTTTTCATTTCACAATTATAGGCAAGGCTCAGAGGGTGATGGCAGATAGCAGCTCTTTTCAGGAGGGCAGCAATCCCTCCTGATTGTTCTTCTCCACTCAGCCATGCCTACTCTTTTCTGCCCATGTGGTGGAAAAAGGGTGCAAAAGAGTGGGCATGGCTGAGTGGACAAGAGTGTGTCTGACCAAAGAAAGGAAAACTCAGGGATCCTTAAAATTTGCAAGATTTCATGATTCTATAGTAGACTGGCAGAGTTTCCCACCCTTCTCCCTGAATTTGCTGGACCTCCAGACCTGAGGAAGGAGAGAGCAATTGCTTTTGCTCTCTCCTTCCTTCAGGAAGGGGCAATTTTCTAGCTCCATCTGGGAGACATGTGTTGTAAGCTCACTGCTTAACAGAACTTGAGACTTATTTGACAGCTCCTCCTTCCCAGTTCTCTCCCTGCCTCTCTCCACATCATCACATGTCTCTTCTCAGTTTTCACATTCTCTTCTCCTCTCATATACTCTTTCCATTTACTCATTTACTCATATCTGTTGACCCCTTGCCTCGTTTTTTTTTTCCTTCCATCTTCTATGCCTGCTTCCTTCTAACTTATTTTTCCCTCCTCACTCCTCACTCATTCTCTTCCCATCTCTCTTCTTCTGCCCCCTCTTTACTCCTGGTGTACTGTCACTGGAATACATGACCATCTCTCAGGCTCTTGTCTCTCTCTCTCTCTCTCTCTCTCTCTCTCTCTCTCTTGCTCACTCTCCTATTCCTCCCTCTCTCCTGAGACCTCTTCTAATCTCAGCCTTTCTTTCTCTTTCCTACTCAATTCACTCTTTTTTCTTTTCCTCCTTCACCCCCAACTGTGAGGGAAAGGTGGGAGAATAGATGAGGGGAGGGAAATATGTGAGGAGAGGGGCCTGGGGTGGGGGATTTTGGAGAAAGAAGAGAACCAGGCACATAAATGCTGGGTGTGGCCATAACAAAAACAGAATACTACTTGGCTGAGGCCCTGCCCTCAGAACCAAACAAAGTAAAGGGGATCCCTGGAGAAAGAGCTGTGAGGAAACGAAAAGGACAGTCCTGCCAGTCCCACCTGTCCCACCTCAAAGAACATGGGCATCCTGAAGACCTGACAATGCATAGCCTAGTGGCAATAGAGTATGGGCTATGGAGCCAATCTGTCAGAGATCAAATCTTGCCTCCATCATTTACTACCTCCGTGACCTTGGACAATTAATTATCTGCGGTGCCTTGGTTCCTTCATATGTTAAAATGAGGAAAAAAGCAATATTTTCTCTGTAGATTTGTTGTGAGAATTAACTAAGCTAATATATATATAACGTTTCTGGCAAAGAAATTCTATGTAACTGTTATCTCCTATGATTTTTCTGATTTAGAAGGAACAGCCAACTTGCCCCTTTGGCGCTGTCCGTGGTGCTGAAGGCCTGAGCCTGCTCCTTCTGGCCCAGGAGTCCGAAAGGTTTGGTATTGGGAAATGGCAGCTCAAATCCATTAGCTCTCACTGTGTACCAAGGACTGTGCTAAGTGCAGTGCCTGCATTATCTTGCTTTTCTTCACTGCCTGGAAAATAGGTATTGTTATCTCCATTGTAAAGGTGAGGGAACTGCTGTTTACTTGAGGTGACACAGCTATTACAGTAATGGATGGAGCTGGAGTTTAAACCCAAGTCTTGCTTATTCCAAAGCCCATACTCTTTCTATAACACTGTTCTGTCTCTTGTGTCCTCATCCTGCCTCTGACTTTCTAATTCCCTGACAGCAGCCACTTGCTTCTGATAGTGACTTCTTTGACCCCAATCAACAACCAAAGCAGGTCAACGGAAGATCACTTATTATTTCTTTGCTGTTTGATGCTCCTGTAGCCCTAGGTCATGTTATCACGGCATCACAGTGTGTTGTATTTGGCTGAATATGGGTTTCTCACTTTAGCTAAACTTTGAGTTCCTTTGGGGCAGGGGATTTATGCTGATTATATAGTAGATGCTCATTAAGGGCCTACTGAACGAAACTAATTTCTCTTCTCCATTTAATGGTATTCTAATAGTGGAAGCTTGTCTCATCTTGCTGTTGTTTGACTTCCATAGGTGTTCTCTTTCCCTCACTGGGTCTCTGTCATCCCTACATGCCACTTGCAGCACTGGCCCCTCTGACTGATATTATTGGTCTGTTAAAAGGGATTTATTATTCAACCAACTAACTCATTGAGCCTCCTTTATGCACAGCTTTATGCTGACAGCATATGCACATATGACTAGCTTGTTCCTGTACTCAAGGCACACAACGTCTGCTGTGAAAACATAATGAGCACATGTGACACAGAGAGTGAGCAAGTGATACCAAACTGCATGAGGGGTCAGGGCAAGTATAGTAGATGTTTGTTATGGGAGGGAGGAAAGTGAGCCTTGAAGAATGAACAGGATTTAGATAAAAAGATGGTAATGTAAACATTCTAGGTAGGGCAATAATGTGCTTTACCCCTAGATGTGGGCTTGTGTGTGTGTGTGTGTGTGTGTGTGTGTGTGTGTGTTTGAAGGTGGGGGAAGTAGAGGGGAGAAATGAGGGCACTGGCAGTCTGAAACAGGGATACATTTTTCAATTAGTTGGGGCTAAAATTTTAAGGGGCTAGGGACAATGGAGGATGATGGAAAGTTTTGGAAGCAGACAGTAGTTTGGACCTGACTTGGTAGGAAGTGGGAAATTACCAAAATGCTCTGACTTGGAAAGTGACAAGATCAAATTGTGCTTTAGAAACATCCTGTCAGCAGCATATGGGGGCAATGAAAGGGCTGATCCCAGGGGCAGTTACACAGTCAGAAAGCTATTTGCAGGAGTCAGAGCTGAGGAGGTAAGGCCCTGGATTCAGAAAGTGGCAGTGGAGAAAGGACAAGAAACATCCATGGTGAACACCCATATGCCATGGTCCAGTTAACTTGGGCCTAATTGGAAATAACAAATACCAAGCAACCAAAAGCCACCCTGAGGAAGGATGCATTTTTTTTGTCCTGTTTCCCATACTACTCTGTGGTGTCAGTGGAGCATCCTAGCTGCAAGGGAGGTTAAAGGCTTTGAAAAATGAAGAGGAATGAAAGCTTGCCTTGCAGTCACCTGCATGCCGTCTCACACAGGCAGCTGAGGCCAAGGACCACCTGCAATGTCAGCTGGAAATCCAGGCTCTGCAGCCCCAGCTGGCCCAGATACGAGCTGAAGGTTGTTGGAGGTCCCCAGCAGCTGGCAGGTTGGTGGCCCACACCTCTCCCTGCTGCTCCTCCAGGATCATTCTGCATACCTCTTCCAGAAGAGCTGTGTCATCCTGAGGGTTGTGATAAATGAAGGTTCTATATAAAACCAACCCCATTGAAAACCACACTCCACTAAGTGCCTGTGTGGGTGTTGGGGGCCATGGAGAGCATTAGGGTTAAAATCAGGGCTCCTGACAAAAACCCAAAGCAATCCAGAAAAACGCTGGTGGCTGAGGTCTTGTTGACATGCCTGC
Source organism: Homo sapiens (assembly GCF_000001405.40). NCBI lineage: Eukaryota > Metazoa > Chordata > Mammalia > Primates > Hominidae > Homo > Homo sapiens. Next base: position 119,108,572 of record NC_000002.12, read on the forward strand.
CTGTCAGGTGGATCAGTTCTGTCCTATTAGACACACACTCTGAGCTTCCATGTGTGACATTCCTTCAGACCTTTATACAATTTTGCACAGCCTCCCAAAACTCATTATCCCATGTGACAGTCATTTTATCCTGTGAAGTAGAAAGGGAAAGCCTCATTATCTTTATCCATCTCATCAGTGAGGAATCCAGAGCATTGTCCTATACTTTCCCTATCATACCATTTATCATGCTCTATGATAATTACTACTGTTATTGTGTGAATTCACTACTACCCAGGGAGCCCCATGAAAGTAGGGATCAGGTCTGTCTTCTTCAATGCTGTCTCCCCAGACCCCACAGAATACTTGACAGCAAACAAATAAGTGAATGAATGAATGAATGAATGAATGAACTGCCAAAGGGCATATAGATGCTTCCCATCAGAACAAGAACTGGATCCCAGGTCTCCCATCCTCCAGTACAATCATGGTTTTCTTAGAGTATTAGAACTAGAAGAACAATTAGTGGTTCTGAGTCAAGCAGGTTTCCTCCCCTGAAATGCCCTTGTCCCACTTCCAGAAGTGCCATCCCTTCCAAGACACCCATCTTTCCACACAGCTAGAAGGGCATACTTCATTCACATTGGAATTACTTGGGAGCTTTTAAAAATACTGATGCCTAGGTTTCCAATTCCAGAGATTCTGAACTTAATTGGTCTGGAGATCAGCCCGGAAGTTGGAACACAAATGTACAACCAGGGTTAGCAACAGCTGCTTGAGAACATGGCATACTCAAAGCATGGTTCACAACCAGCAGCAAGAGCATTAGCTGGGCTCTTGTTAGAAATGTAGGTCTTGGCCAGGCTCGGTGGCTCACACCTGTAATCCCAACACTTTGGGAGGCCAAGGTGGGTGGATCACTTGAGGCTAGGAGTTCAAGACTAGCCTGCCCAATGTGGTGAAATCCCGTCTGTACTAAAAATACAAAAATTAGCTGGGCATTGTGGTGTGGGCCTGTAATCCCAGCTACTCGGGTGGCTGAGGCATGAGAATTGCTTGAACCTGGGAGGCAGAGGTTGCAGTGAGCCGAGATCGTGCCATTGCACTCCAGCCTTGGTGACACAGCCAAACTCTGTCTCAAAAAAAAAATGTAGATCTTAAATGTTCTTGCCACACACAGAAAAAATAATAACTATGTGAGGTAATGGATATGTTAATTAGCTTGATTATGGTCATCATTTGACAATGTGTATATATATCAAAACATGATATTGTATACCTTAAATATGAACAATTTTTATCTGTCAAGCATACTGCAATAAAGCTGGGGGAAAAAACGGGAAAAAAATGTCAAGCCTTAGGCCCCACCCAGACATGCTGAGTCAGAATTTGCATTTCCCCAGGAAAGGAGTTCCCTGAGGAATTTGCAAGTTCCCCAGGAGAGTCATTGACTTGAGCAATATTTCAGGGGTGGTTCTTGACCCTGGCTAGCAGTAGAATCACTCTGAGGGCTTTCTAATTACCAGTTGCTGAACTCCACGTGAGACCAAATAAACCAGACTCTCTGAGGATAGCGCTCAGGCATAGTGTTTAAAAATCTCCCCAGGTGACTCTCATTTGCAGTCAAGGCTCAGAAGCACCAAACAGAATAATCTGTACCTCTGCTGGCATATAGTGCTTTCTGCCTTGCATTGTCATTATAATTATCTGTGTACATGACTTATTTCCTCCATTGACCATCAGTTCCCTGAGGGCAGAGACTGTGTTTCATTTATTCATGATGCATAAAAAAGTTAAGCTCCTACTATGTGAAAAACAATGGGCTAGGCACTGGGGATACATGTGCAGCCTCTGCTGTCAAAAACAGTCCTGTGGTCATGGAGTTCACAATTTAGAAGGAGAAACAGACATACAAATTAAGTGATTAAAATGTGAGAATAGGAGTCTACCTGGAAATATGAACAGGGAACCACCAGGCTCTGGAGGAGAGCAACGTGACCCTCCTGGGAAATTCAGGGAGGGTTTCACAGGAAGGCAGCCTTGGAGCTGCCCTTGCAGGGTAAGTAAGATGCCTGCACAGGTAGAGAAGACAAGGAGAGGAAACTCCTAAGGAAAGGAGCAGGTTGCACATAAGCAGATACATATGGGTAAAATGATGAATATACAAAACTGTTATCCCAGAATTATTTATCATCACAACATATTGTAAACAACTTAAATGTCCATCTGAAGAAGACTGCTAAATAAATCATGGTCCATTCTTGCAAAAGAATATCGGGCAAACAAGAATATGTTGAAGAGCCTCTTTTAGGTACTCATATAGAATCATCCAGGACAGAGTGCTAATCCTCCATGAAAAAGCAAGGCCATTGTAAAGCACAATTTAAAATATGTTGTTATACACACTCAATCTGCCTAAACACCCTATGAGGCATCATCATACCCTTTTTGAAGATAAGGAAACCGCATCTCAGAGAGATGAAGTACCTTGCCCAATTTCGCGATGTAAACCAGAGAACCAGGCTTCCAACTCACGTGGGTCTGACTGAAAAGCCTGCAATGGTTCTGCCAGCCCAGGCTGGCCATGGGCTTTGTCTGATGAGACCATTTATGGAGTAGATAGATTTGTGGGCATCAAGGCCTGAGGCAGGGGGAATGGGCTTCAGGGACAGAGCCAGAATCCCAAGGGAGGGGCAGGAAGACAAGGCCAGGAAGAGAGAAGGAACAGGCTCAAAGGACACAGCCCTCTGACTCTGCCATTGCCACCAGCTGTTGACAACTTCCTAAGCTGTGGGGCCTATACCCAAATGGGTGGTCCTGCAAGCAGGGAGTCCTAATGTGGTCACAGCCACTGCTGCAATGTTTGAACCAGCCAGGCATTTGCAAAGGAGTCCTGCCACCCCAGTAGACAGCAACAGGCACAGATGATCCCTAATTTGTCTTCTAAGCCCTCTGTTGGAAGTAAGTGCTCGGTGCCACCAAGTGAAAATAGCACTTAGGCAAAAGTTTTCTCAGCAAGGCAATTTACTTCTATAGAAGGGTGTGTCTTGCGGATGGAGCAGTGGCGAGAGCACACCGGAAAAGGGAGGGGAAGGGCTTCTTACCCTAACGCAGCTAGTCCCTACTGCTGTGTCTTTCCCCTATTGGCTAGGATTGGACCACACATTCCAAGCTAATTCTGACTGGCTATTTTAAAGAGAGCAGGAATATGAGCCAGAGTGGCAGGGTGAGTAGTTCGGCAGGAAGGGCGGTTACAGAGCAGGTGACTCAGGATGACTAAGAACAGAGCAGGTGACCAAGGATGACTAAGTTCAGAGCAGGTGATAGAGGCTAGGAGGGGGTTGTTTACTGAGGCTAGGGGCAAGGAGACACAAAGAATGAGGAAGTTAAACTTTAAAATGGAGAACAAAGAACGGGGAAGCTGAACATATTGACACATTGGTTCTTTGGAGAGGAACTCAGAACTCACGGTACTTCACAATTTTCTCCCTCTTGAATTTTAAAGAAAGTTAACAGGCTAAACTTTGAAGGGGAAACTGATCTATTCTACACCTCCATCCAGAAAGAGGCCAAGGAGCACACTGAATGGCAGCCCCACTTTATAGAAGCCCTTGGAGCACAAATCCCTGGATTCAGAATTCCCTACTAAAGCCTAAGAAAAACTGAGGCCCTGTCTTCTCCTCCATCACATGAGGAGCTCATATCTGACAATGCCACCCATCTGAGGGTACTCCCCAAACAGCCACATCACCCAGGAAGCCCCCACTGTAAGACGACCCATAGTAAGGCTTGAGTCGTCATCTCAGGAGAGGTGCTGAAGCCACATGTGAAGAGGAAAGAGTGTGGGCATTAGGGTTCCATTCAGACCCTGGCTCCACCCCTACCAGCCAATGACTTAACGAGTCACCTAACTGCTCTGAGCCTCTGTCCCCACCCCTTCTACATGGGGATGTCCTCCTTGCTGTGGGCAAATGACATGAGTCTACCTATGTCAGGTTCCCAGCCCAGCTTTGAGGTTGGCAGACAGAAAATAGAGTGGAGCTGTCATCCCATTCATTTCTGCATCCATGCACAGCTCACAGCCCCCAAACCTTTCCTAGCTGCCCCTGGTCCCCATGACAACCTCGTGAAAGCAGGGGGTCTCATAATCAAACACTCCTAGGGCAGAGGGTAAAGTACACACACAAGGCAGGGGTTGTATAAGACAAGAGAAAGTGGGGGCGGCGTGCTGAGCAGGAGAGTGTGGCCCCACCTGAAGGGACTTGCAGGCCCAATTTTTATAAAAAAGAAAAAGAAAAAGAGGGGACAATTTATCCCTTGAGCCACCCCTTTGAGAGTCTTAACACTGAAGCCAGCTGGGGCCCAACAAGTACCCCCACAGCCTGCTTGGGGACACACAGAGTTAGAGGAAAACTGAGCCCAGCCCAGAACTGCATTCTCTCCCAGCAGCTGCTGCCAGGCTGGCCTCATCCTGAGCAGAGGAGGTAGGCGGCTGGGGGTGTACTCTGTGGAACATCGGGAAAGGCCCCCCAAGAGCTCTCCCCGCCAGAACCTGAAATGCCGGCATTAAATATTCATTCCTTTGGGTTAAGTGTTTCCTCTCCAGGGTCCTCTTTTAAAATTCAAATGCTTCTTTGGAGAGGAACAAGCCACTTGTGGCTCAGAATCAAATGTACTGGAATTGAGTGGATGGAATGGCAGCCCTGCTCAGGGAGGAGAGAGGACCTCCTCCCCCATCACCACCCACTGCTCCTCACCATCCCTTTTGCACTGCTGTGCTCCTCCGCCCTCAGTCCATTTGAGGACCACGTATGTTGAGGGGCTGGAATAGAATCTGCTCTAAGTTTCTGTTCCGGGAGATCAAACAAGAGATTCACTCAGAAGAGCCCTTGGCCACTGCAGACACCTTGGTCTCCCCTTCGGGTCCCAAACATTCTTGCTGGAAGTTAGGGGGCTAGGCAAGCACGTGGAGCTGAGCTTTTCCAGTGCAAAGAAAGCCAGCAGCAGCCCAGCTCTGAGCAGTGAGAACAACTTCTGCCCCAGGTAGCTAGGAGAGCTGGCAGACCAGCTCCCCAAGGAGGCTCAGAGCCACAGCGACTGCATCGCTTCCTCAGAAGCCTGCATTGTCATTCCACGCAGGTTTCCATTTGATTGGGATGCAGAGAACAAGTCAGCATGTACATCCCCACTAATGAGAGTGGCCCTAATGAATGCATTAACAAGAAAGTACGGTTGGGGACCCACTGTGTGCCCAGCCCATGCTAGGCATAGCCTTTGAAATGAGGTTTCTCTTGAACCTCACTTCTTTTACCCACTCGTTCAGGACCCGTGACCTAGCCCTCAAGTCTCCCTGATTATTTCTGGAAGTCCTCAGAAGGTTCTCAAGTTTGTCCCCACAAGTTCTCTTAGCTTCCCTGTGTGTCCAGCATTTGTCTCCCCTCCAGGTCTGGCTTCCTTTGGAGAAGCCCATAAAAAAGGCAAAAAAAAAAAAAAAAAAAAAAAGCTCTGTCCCGTAGCCCCTGCTGCTGGTGCAACTTTTATTGTTGCTTTTGCTTCCTGTCCCCTAGGGTGACATGATGTGTGCCCCAGTCAAAGTGAACCTTCTGAGTTGAGAAGAATGCTGCCCGCCCTTGGGCAACTGTCACCCCTCCTCTCATAGGACCTTAAGGTGGAAACCATCCTATGCTCTTCTGTTAGTGGGGGCCAGACACAAGTCCAGGAGAGGGATGGTGGACCGCTGTCTCCCAGATGCTCCCCGTCACCCACACCAGGGCCTCTGCCATCCACATCTGTACCCCAAGAGCACTGGCCTCAGACATCAGACCCAAGGGTTGAGTTCCTGGATGAGTGACCTCTACAAAGTCACAGCCAGCCAGGCCCACATCTAGACTGCCAGGCTGCTGGGCTGAGAACCTTCCCCAGGAAAGGGCCAACAAGGTATATTCCCAGTCACCAGACACTCTTCCACTGTCAGAGACTGACTACCAGGCCAGAGAGCCCCTTTCAGGAAGAAGAGTGAACAGTTCTGGCCTGATAGCCCTCTTCTGTTTGCAAGAAGCCCAGGGACCCCCAATAAGCCTCATAATGCCGCTGAGCCTCAGTCTTTCTCATCTGTAGTTAAAAATGCCTTTTTGGCCTGGCGCAGTGGCTCATGCCTGTAATCCCAGAACTTTGGGAGGCCGAGGCATGCAGATCACCAGAGGTCAGGGGTTCGAGACCAGCCTGTGAAACCCCATCTCTACTAAAAAATACCAAAAAAAAAAAAATTAGCTGAGCATGGTGGCACGCACCTGTAATCCTGGCTACTCAGGAGGCTGAGGCAGGAGAATCTCTTGAATCCAGGAGGTGGAGGTTGCAGTGAGCAGAGATGGTGCCACTGCACTCCAGCCTGGGTGACAGAGCAAGACTTGGTCTCAAAAAAACAAAAAAAAAAAGCCTTTGTATGGGGTCATTATAATGATCAGCCATAGCATCTACCACCCACCCACCCAGTGAGCACTGCTTAGATGCCAAATGATTTCCAAACCATACTAATCCTCCATGAAAATCTAGCTCTTATGAGCACTCTCATTTTACAGAGGAAAAGAAAATTAGGCTTGGAATAAAACACTGGGCACAGTGTTTGGTGCATGGACAGAATTCACTAAATGCTGCTGAGTTTTTGTACAAAAATGCTTATCAAGAAGTTTTTATGCCAGTTAGAGAGATGAGATGGAGCAACATACAATTATCACATCCTTTACCCTGCTTGCAGGCTCAGGGAAGGGCTGTCTTCCCTGATCTCCCAGCCCATGGTTGTCTGTGCTTCTCCATCTGAGCTCTGTAACTTGGATTGTGTTCACCACTTACCTGACACTGAGTGACCTTCAAGGCCCAGCCCAAGAGCTCCCAGTTCAAAGTCATTGTCTTTCTCCTGTTCATTCTCTGCAATCTGAGCAACAGATCTCTGAATGCCTGCCCTTCTTCGCTTCTACACTGTGCCCTTTAAGGTCAGGGACTACATCTTATTTTAATTCCTTTGCTTTTGCAGAAACACCCCACAATTTGTATGTAGCAGACACCCAATGATGTTTGCTAAGTTGCATACAGTAGCCATGTTCCCATCTAGGAGTGTATTCCAGGTCCCAGCAGTGAAGGCTGCCCCTTTAAGAATGGGAACCATGCCTCGTGGATGTAGCCATCTAGGGAGGAACACAGGAAGGAGCTGCTTCTACCACTCCAGACCTCTGTGACTTTGGGAAGGTCAGTTAAGTTCCCAAAACTTCAGTTTCCATGGCCACAAAATGACAATACTAATACTCCTTCCTTGCGAGTTATGAGAATTAAATGAGAAGGTTTGCATAAGGCACTTATTACAAAGATGTCTGATGTGTAGAGAAAGAATTATCCACCACTTCACTTCTACCTTGCTGTACTCTCTCATCCAGAATATTGCCCTGAAGAAATGTGGGTCTTCAATGTTGAGAAGGGAATAAATGAATAAACTTGTATGTGTCAACCGTAGGGTTTCTGTGAATACAGAAACCCTGCAACCTGAAGAGCAAGGAATGAACGTCTTCCAGCAGGGCGCTGTGTGAGCAAAGAAAGTAGTGAAAATGAAATGGGAGGTTTGGGGGCAGTGAGCAGCCTACATGAGGGTCACTGGAGATGCCAAAAACACTCACATTATCCGGGACTCAATTGCTTGCAAGTTTCAGAAACACATCTTCTTCTACCACGTGAGGAAGTGAGGGAACTTGTTGGCTTACATAGCTGAGAAAGATGGTGGTGCATCTGGTGTCAAACACAACTGCATCTTAAAGCTTGAGATCTGCCACTATGGGGTTTCTCTGTGCCGCCTTCTGTGTTGGTAGCGATTCTAGGTTGCAGTTGACAGAATCTCTTTTAGTTGGGTCAAGCATTAAAAAGTTCGATAACATGCATTAAGCAGCTCCCAGGATTTCAGAATGGAACTTATATGCTGCTAAGCCAAGAACAGAGGGGGTAGTGCAAACATCCATCCATACCACAAGACTGTTCTAGGGCACAAGCACCTGTAGCTGTTGGTCACTCAGCACCATGGCACTGGAACAGGTGGCCAGGACACTGCCATAGCTGCCCAGAAGAGCAGATGCCTTTGCCATGCCTTCCTCCTCCCCAAGGCCACAATTCCAAGGGAAGGCTCTGACCAGCCCACCCCTTGAGTCCAGCACCCATGGCAAGAGGAACAGGTTGCTAGGATAGGATGGAACTAGGACACAGTTCCCCAGAAATGGAGAGACGAAGTGCCCGGGGAAGATCTGCTGCTGACATCAGAAGAGGTGGAAAGGTGCCCAGCTGAGGCAAACTACGGTCTTCCAGTGAGCTTCAGGAAGGTCACTCTGGGAGAAGGAGGGTTACAGGATGAAAGTGTAGGGTGGAGAGGTGAGTCCGGTTATGAGGTCACTGCAGAAATCCAGCAGGGAGGACGAGGGGGCAGCCAAGGTTATGCTTGGAGCTAAAAAGGAAAGGGTGGATACAACGGACACATTGGAGAGAAAAATAAACAGCCCCTTGTGCCGGTGAGCCTGGTGTCACTGGAGGGGAGAAAACGCAAACTGTCCCTGGGCACGCTTATCAAAGATGCTTCTTCTGGCAGGAAGAAATTGACTAAGTAAGGGTTAATTGTCCCCTTTTGGCCTGACAGCCAGAACCCTCTTTTCTCAATGTTATCCTTCTCTGTATGTGCCCTTGCTGTGATGGAGGGGAAGAAAACATTTGTCAACTTAAGCAGAGGAGAGCATAGTTATGATTTGAAATCTTTTTAAAGTTCCTTCCCAGGGAGGCCTCACTGAACTAGAAAGCAGGTGGCCCTACTGGCAGTTTGACTAAAATGCTGGGGCAGGCAAGTTCCTATAACAGTGTCAGGGGCCTCCCTCAGGCACCTGCAGGCTGGTCTTTCATGTCGGCCAGTGGGAGGGTCACCTGGCCATGTAATTCATGGGGCCCCACAGGGAAAGGATGCGTCCACCCAGAGCCCACTGCTGAAATTGAACCCCACTATAGGCCTGACCAGGAGTCCCGGGTGCAGAGCCTTAGCTGCGGCCTCATGAAGTGAGCCTGGGGCTGGGATCTGCCCTCTAGCTCACCTGGCCAAGGTTCTCCCTCTCCCTGCATGAGGCAGGGCGCTCACCTGGTCAGCTGGGCCATGCTGGGCTTCGGCCAGCTCCTGCCTGCACTCACTCCCTGCCCCACCCCTCTGCATCTCGGCCTTGTCTCCCAGGGCAGTGTCTGCCTCAGTTTCCTCATCCTCCCTCTCCTGGTGACCTGGAGCCAGGCATCAAGAGCCCCAGGTGCTCTTTGGAGGCCTGATGCTCCCCTTGCTAGGTGTGTGATCTTGGACAAGCAACTGCACCCCCAGGAGACCTTGCTCACTCATCTATAAATATCAGCACATGCCTCCGAGGGCTGTTGTGCTGCCTGTGGAGTTAACACATGAAAAATCCTTAGACCAGTGCCTGGCACGTCTTAGGTGTTCAATAAGGGGAAAGGTTTATCCCATCCCTTGCGGGAGCCCTAAAACTCTCCCTTGCTCCAGCCAGCTCCTGCTCTGGGGCCAGCCCCACCCCCAGCCCCTTTGCTACTGAACATCCAGATCATGGACAGGCCTCCCAAACAGCTTCACTTGCCACCCCACCCATGGCTCCTGCTGCTGTCCTGCCCCCTCCCCTAGATAAGACCCTCCCCACAAAATCAGCACCCAAGATGGAGAAGCCAGTCCACGTTCTCCGCTTGAAGCACAGATACGTGAATTTTGTTTCTTCCACCTTCACTAGTCCCATATCAGTTTCTGAGTCCTAGATCCTTACCTGCCTGAGGTCCCAGCATGTCTCAGCTGCGTGGATGAGTCAGGGTAAAAGTGGCTGTGAGGCCTTGGAGATTTACTTCCTAACCCTGAGCCTCACCTTGCTTGGCTACAAAATGAGGGTGGGGTAGCTCACAGGAAGACTGCTTCTCTTCCACATAATGCACACCTAAATACTCCTGAAATGGTGGATGGGGTGGGGGGCCCTAGCCAAGATCATAGTCAAGTGGGTTTTAAATGAGGACACTTCCAAAGGAGGGCAGACCAGAGAAGAAATTCTTAGTAAAAACGTAGTACAACTGAGAAGCAGCCCGAAGCTGCCTGGAGCAGTGGTTGCCAAAAAGAGAGAGAGGGCCTCTGAAAGGGGAGCCTTTGGGTGCTGGGTGCAAATTATGGCTGCTTCACACAGGGGCAGCAGGGGTACCTCCCCAGCCCCAGCAGCAAGGGAGCAAGCCTGCCACCTTCCCCCAGTGGCACTTTCTTTGTAAGTCATACTTGGGTGACTTTCATTCTGACCGCCAGCAAAGACTCCATTTATTCAACAAGGGAAAAATGAGGCGATTTAGAATGTGGAGCCGTCATTCCTAAACCTTACCTGGGTGTGAGCACTGGAAGTCTGCTCACAGCATCAATTATTTACAGTGTAAGTTATTGTTGTTCGGCAAAACTAACTTAACAGCCTCTATTCTTTTTTAAATGAAGCACCTCTGGTGACATTGGCAGCTCAGCATTCCTCGGCAAGAAGTCATTTATCCATAATGATAAGAAAACCCATCATTTGCTGCACACCTGCTAGATCCCACAGAAGCATATTTTGTCTTCAACACTCTTGTCAAACTCTGTAAGGTTGGTGTTAATGGCCCCCATTTCCAGATGAGAAAACTGAGGCTCAGAAAAGTCAAGCAACTTGCTCTAGAAGACGCTGCTAGTTAGAGGCCATGTAAAGCTTGTTTCCCCCAGGCCGGATGTGATTATGCTGCACTGAGTCTCCCAAATGTGGCCCAGGCACATCCTAGGGGACTTAAGATCTAAAGTCGGCAAGGCTATTGAGAATCATTTAGAACCACAATTTCCCATGAAAATAAACACCTTGGGAAAGACACAGACAGACACATAGCACTTTCCTGGAAGCCTGATCTGTCCATTTTTCTTTCAGCACTCGTCTTTGGCTGAGTGCCATATCAGTAATTAGCATGTGTTTAGGGGCTCATTGTACAAAGAATATAAGTCTCTGAACCCTAGAATCTGCATCAGCAAAGGGAGATGCTAGCGCTGGGGAGGCGTGCAGGAGCCAGGACCTAGGGAGCAGCCAGCACACACCTCCCAACTCACCCTCACTCTGGGCTGGTGTGAGGGGAGGTCCATGGGCAGAATCGCCATACTATATATAGCCAATCTCCCTTTGTACTTATTGATTGATTGGTTGACTGATTGCTGGAGACATATAGTTAACTTTGCACATTAAACACACCTAATTATGATGCAACTTCACTGTACAGGCACTTCAAGCCCCAGTCCAGCCCCTCCCACCCTCACCAATCCCTTAAACATCCCTGAGGGAAACATACTAGCAGGGCTTCGATTGGAGGAGACAAATTAATTATAGTGTGATAGTGCCAGGATGAAATGGGCAGGCTGTTTTTCCTGTTTCTTCCTTTCAGACCATGCATCCCTCCCTGTGCCTGAGAGTTTAACAAAGGAACGGGGCTTGCACTGCAGTTCATAGCAGGAAATGTGTCAGGGGAGAGCAGAAGGCAGGAGAAGACCAACATTGAAGGAGAGGTTTTAAAACACATAATGATTTCATGTCAAAACACAATTTCCTAGTGTCAGTGCACTGTTCTGCAAGCACGAAGGAAAAGGGAAGTGACTGAAAACTCCTGGAATGAGAACGTGGCTGTGGATTCTGCAACATTGATTGATGGTCTTGAAAGGAGAGATTGATGGATTATGATTTTCGGGAGGGATCATTAAACGCTGAGTCCATGAACAGAGCTGCCTGGCATTTGGACATTTTGGTGCAAGAGAAAACCATTTGGATGATCTTAATTCATCTGCCCATTCTCCAAAACCAATCCGTGCAGGCGCAGCAAGTCAGATCCAAGGCCATGAGATAGGACACGGTCCAGATTTGGTGCTCAGCGCGAATTTGTCAGATGAATGAGAAAGAACAGCTGGGCCGGGGCTGGCGGTCTCTGGATCTGAAAAGCTGTCAGATGCCTGCAATAGATCACTTTCCCTTCCTGTGTCACTCTGGCTAAAGCCATTAGAGAGGAGACGTGGAGTCAGGTGTTCTCACTCAATGAGGAGTTCGAGACAAGCTAGAGGGGCTGGCAGCCACGAGGGTTGCACCAAGGTCTATTCTGAGCTGGGGAGGGTGGCAGCTTAGAGCTATGGGCAGGGAGGGGGGCACTGAGTGTAAATCATAAAGGAGGTCTGGTGTGGGTCTCTGGGAGAAGAGGGAAATTGGAAATACATTCCACAGAGGCTAGGAGGATCAGGAAGAGTTTGGGGAAAGTGGTTGTCAGAGCAGGTCAGCAGAAAGACTGGGAAAGGTGTGAGGGTATTGGAGAACTGCTCCTATGTGGTGCCAGCTGTATACTTCAGAGAATGGTCTCACCACTCACAGCAGCCAGGCAAGAGTTGATGCCCCCTGCCTAGCCTGCCTGCCTGCCTGCCAGCCGCCAAGGCCAGAAGCTGAACTCCTAATGCTGCCCTGTCTGCTGGGCTTCTAACAGAAGCTGAAATCCTAAGAGACCGCAATATGAAGTGAGCAGAACCCCACTTTGCATGTCTTCTGGAGCCTCAGCTGTCATATTCCCCTTTCACTAGCTGGCACCATGCACCAGGACCCCACAGTGCATGGAGGCTGAGGCGAGGCCCACCTTCAGGTGGACATGGCATTCTGCCCCCTCCATTCTCTCTCTCTCAGAGGTCCTTTCTGTGGCCCACCTCTGGGGTCCTCATGGTCCCCCACAAGCCCTGGTGTCCTCACCTGCCCCTACCATGCTCTTCTTTCCTCACTTAAGTGGAGCTTCGTGCCCCACCTTCACTTATCATAATTGAGCCACTGTCTGACCCATTCCCTCCTGGCCATGCTTTTCTATGAACAAATATGACTAAATCAATATATATTAAGGCACTCATGCCAGATGGCAGGTGGCAGCATAAACCTTCCCTGGCAACACTACATTTATTTGAGGCAATGGTGGCATAGATGTCTTGGCAGTAAGGATGGGATGATGGTGGGAATCTCCGGACTCACAATTACCAGGTGGAGAGATTTTCCCGCACCATCAAGTTACTCAGGCCATGCTTTCCCCATGGACAGGTGAGCTGATAGAGGGAATATCAGGCACAGGATAGGCAAAACAGAAATATGGGACAGGCTTTCTGTCCCCAAGGGACACTCAGTCTATTAGGCCAACATAAATGGCATTGCCCAGGGCTGGACACTCACTAACCGGGGAATACAACAGCAGCATCAGAGAGAAGCCTGGTTTGGCGCTACCTGTGTACCCTACAAGCCGTGTGGTCTAGGCCAGCCTGAGGATTAGAATACTTGATCAGAGGGCTCTAGAGGGCATCAGAAGACACACCAATCACAGTACTTCATCCATCCTAAAGCACTAACACAGGCATGGCCATATTATTCTGTCAAGAGGAGGATGTTGATTTGAAATAGCTTCACGCATTGCTGGCTTTCTGCAGAGTGCCCACCTTGTGCAGGGCACATGTGTTGAACATGGGAAAGATGCCGGTCCCACCAGACTTTGAAGACGAAATAACAAAGATGGATGCAAAAATACTAATTAGGCCAGGCGCGGTGGCTCATGCCTGTAATCTCAGCACTTTGGGAGGCCGAGGCGGGCCGATCACGAGGTCAGGAGTTCGAGACCAGCCTGACCAACATGGCGAAACCCCGTCTCTACTAAAAATATAAAAATTAGCTGGGCATGGTGGTATGCGCTTGTAATCCCAGCTACTCAGGAGGCTGAGACAGGAGAATTGCTTGAACCCGGGAGGCGGAGGTTGCAGTGAGCCGAGATCGTGCCATTGGACTCCAGCCTGGGCAACAAGAGCGAAACTCTGTCTCAGAAAAAAAAAACTCCGTCAAAAAAAAAAAAACACTAATTTTCTTCATATCGATTTCATGCTGAAATGACACCCCTTTGGCTCTAGAGGATTAAATAAGATATATTAAAATTAATTTCACCTGTTTCCTTTTACTTACTAAACGTAGTAATTAGAGAAATTCTAGTTGCCTGTATGGCTTGCATTCTACTGCCATTGGCCAGTTCTGGTCTTACAGCACTCTCCAAAAGAACTTCCTGCCAGGATGGAAATGTCCAATACAGTAGGACTAGCCACCTGCAGCTGCTAAGCCCTCGAAAAGCGGTTAGTGTGGTCTGAGAAAATGAACTTTTAGTTTTATGTCATTTCAATGAATTTGAATGTCAGTAGTCACGTGGGGCTAGTAGCTACCGTATTGCGCAATACAGGTCAGGAGCTGTGGGATCTGGTTAGATCTGGAGTTCTGTGCCTTGGCTGCATCTTACAATCACCTGGGGGAGATTTTTTAAAGCACAAAAGCAAACTCCACCTTCAGAGCTCCTCTGTCATTAGTCTGGGCTGGAGTCTGGGCTGAGTAGCCAGGATGGAGCACCACTAGGTTATGAAGAAGACAAAAAAGGATGAGAGCTGCTACTTATTAAGAATTTGCTGGTGCCAGGGGATCTGCAAGAGGTTCATGTTGTTCCCCCCAACCTGCACAATAACCCAGTGGAGTTGGTATTATTTTTACATCATCATCCCCATTTTACAGACGACGAGACTGAGACATGCCCGGAGACACCCAGCTACAGAATGGCAGAGCTGGGATTAGAACTAGGATGTGCAAAGGCCTTGGAGGCAAAATTCACCCCACACCCACACCCTGGTGTCCAGCGATCAGAGGGCTGAGCAGCCTGGGTGGGATAGAGGGCTCAGACCCTGTGACAGGGACCTCTTGGGGCAGCCTTGAGCGAAGGAGGGTGCTCGCTTCCTGGGGAAGACCCAAACCCTGTCCTTGCCTCACATACACAGCTGGGCTGGGCTGGCCCAGGACTCCGCGCTTCCCCAAGAAAGCCAGGCAGCAGCGGCTCTGACAACAAAGACACCCACGTGGAGCTGAAACGAAGCACTTCAGACAGCCAGAAGTGCTGGCAGGCGGGCAGCTGCCCCTCCCGGCGTGTCTTCAGGGAGCTATCATCTCCATGCAGCAGCCTCCGAAGCCACCGTGATGCCTGGCTTTGTCACTTAGGACATCAAAGGATTCCTTTGAGCTAAAGACACTAGAGGGTCTTTGGAGGATTGGAAGAGCTGGAGGAGCCCCACATGCCTGGAATAGAGATGGCAGTGACTGACAGAGCATGACACAGGGCCCTGAGGCTTCCTTCCCAAAGGGGACCAGTGGAGGACACCATTTCTCCAAAGCCCCTGCATGCACCCAGGGGCTCAATAATCCTCATTGTCTTTGTGTATGAGTGGCTGGTGCATGGAGGGAGGTGTCCCTGGGTTGGAGGTGGGAAGAAGAATGAATGGGTGAGTGATGGACATTGGCTGGAGGGGTTAGAGGTCCTCTCTTAACCTTAGCTTGCTTCTCAAACAGGAATCCTTGCATCCGAAAGTTAGATCTTTGGGTCTGTGGGCCCTCAACCTGTATCTGCTTTAGTAAATGCTGCAAGAGGGGAACTGCTGGAGAACCCCAGCACAGAATTCCTGCTGCATTGGGTGTGTGTCGTCTGCACACCTGCTGAGTTCCTCTTGGAGCTGGGAAGCCCCGGATGCACAGACATCAGAGAACACAGGAGAAAAGGTGGAGGAAACCTTCTCCAGTGGCTCCAGGCCACTAATGCTGCCTGTGCACTGGGTGCCTGCTCTGTCCCCACCAATGGCAGTGCTTGGGCTCTGGGGAGCAAAGACTGAGCCACAAGCCCTGCCCTCAGGGGTCCCAAAGTAGCAGAGAAAGCCAAGTACACAGATGACAGTCGATGCAGGGACTCTGATGAAGCACGTGGGAAGGACAGGGGCGGCAGGGACAGAAGACACCTCTGAGGAGACTGCAATGTAGGCAGAGGCTCACCAGAGTGGGGGAGCCAAGAGGGGTGTGAGCAAAGCCTGTAGGAGCTCCACAACCCAGCCCAGGTGGAACTGTTTTCCAGGTAATTCTAACTTCTATCAGAAGGGAGCCAAGCTGGGAAGGAGCCCATGGATACAAAAATGGCCCTTCATAAGCCACTTCATTTCTCTCTGAGCAAGGTCCTCCACTCCAAACCAAGTCTACGTTCATGTGGGCAGCTTCGGGGCAGGATTTCTGAGGATATGCGAGCCTTCTGTGGGCATCCATTTCACAGATGAGCAAATGGATGTCAGGAGACATGGAATGAGTTTCCCCTTTAAGGGACCAGAGCTCAGCTTGAGGCCAGGGCCAGGTGGGGAGTTGTGGAAAATAAAGATGGAGGAGCGGCTGGTGGCCCTCTCCTGAGGTGCCCTGGGGTAATCTCTGTGGGCTAGCATGTCCCCACTGAGGCTCCTCCAAATGGGGAGGATGGGGAGGCAGAGGGGAAAGCTCATATCTAGCACATGTAGAAAATTGGCCATAGGTAAGAGGAAGCTGGTCAAGGCGTGTGAGCAGAGGCAGGAGCTGGCGGACACCCTGCTGCATGTCTCTGCCCAGCCACATGCACCTGTGGGAGCTGGGAGTGTGCTCAGTACCCACATCTCACCTGCCCCCAGCCCCAGCTGAACCCATGAAGGCAGGAGGTTGTCTAAGGGAGGAGGGAGGAGGCGGCCTCTCAGTGAGGTGGTGACTCGGTGGTTCAACAGCTTTGGTGAGTGACAGCCTTCACACGTGCTGGGGGTTGGGCAGAGAGGGGCTGCTTTTAACAGTGATGCTTGCTCAGGTGCTGAGAAGCTTTGCTGTCACTACTGAGCTGTGGGTTATGGCTGCCAGTCTCCTGGCTGGAGGCAGGAAGGGCATTGCTTCCAAGTGCCCAGCCAGGCCCCAGCTCTGCCAGCCCCTCCAATGGGACCTGGGTTGGGGTCCCTCTCTCCCGGCCTCCCTTTCCTTCTTTGCACAGGATGAGGGTGGGCTGGATGGACTCTGTACTCCTCACCTTTACTGTGGCTCCCCTCCTGGAAAGGAATCTTTTTGGAGGGTGTGCCTGAGCCAGAGCCTTTACCAACGTTTGTCATCCCATTCAGATCTCACCTGGAGCCCGTGAGGTGGGCATTGCTTTCCCGGCATCTCAAAAAATCTTGGCTCAGAGAGGGTAAGAGATTCACCTTGGCTACAAAGCCAGACCGCAGCCAAGATTCTAAGTCTGTCTGAAACCACAGTTGAAGCCCTTTCTCCCAGGAAACACCTCCAGCTAGGCTGGGAACTGAGGGAGGAGAAGGCTAGACCAGTGGCTCTCAAAGTATGGTTTCCAGGCCTTCTGTTTCAGAACTCTGGGGGTGAGGCCCAAGAATCTGTGTTTTAGCCAGTCCTCAGGTTGGAGGAGTGCTGAGCTGGACCACATTGTCTTTGAGGAAGGAACTAAAATGAGCATATGAGCATGAGAGGGCATATAGGAGACCAGGTTAGACCACTTCAGCTCTTATGGGCAGAATGGGGGTGACAAAGACTCACCAGGCCCCATGGAGCACTCTTTTCAGTGAGGCTTTGTCCTTGGGCACTGTATTTGGCCTGCCTCATCCAATTTTAGCAAGAATCCTGCTAAGTCCATTTGGAGAGACTCCCCCAGCCTCAATACTTGACCACCCCCAATATCTGATCAAACTCCCCCACCCACCCTTGATATCTGACCACACTTGCTAAGTTGGGTTGGCGAGAATCCCCCTACCCTTGATGTCTCCTCTTAGTGATTTTCCATCCCCTGGCCCCTGACTGCTGCTGGGCTGGAAATCCTCATTGTCCTTGCTGTACTCAGAGTTAAGCCCCATTTCTCTCCCCTGTTGCAGTAGTCTTGACACTTATCAAAATGGTCCCGAATAAAGTCTTTCTTGCATTTTAACAAGTGTCAGAATAATTTTTGCTTTAGCAGAGGGAAAGGGAGGAGTCTCATTCTCCCCTCCCCCAGTTCCAAATACGGCATCTCAAACCAAAACGACTCAGAGGATAATTTTACCAAAATCACCCCACAGGGCTCTGCAGGCCTGGAGTTTGGTTGTTATGAAATGCCCCAACCTACAAAAGCGGATTGGGGTAGCAGCTGGAATTCGTCAGAGGCACACACGGTGAGCACCCTGGGCATGGGCTTTGACCCTGCCTCCACCCCCAATCCCAGCCCCCACCACCTGCTTCTCATCCCAACTTTGTGACCCAGGTCGCAGGCCACGCCCCCTGCTGGCCAGGGCCGACACACGCCTCCACAGGACAGACTTCCTGGGGTTCCCGAGGCAATTTGCTGTGAGCTTTCGCTAAAAACCGACCTCCCTCAGACTCTAAGCGGGTGGCCCATCAGCACATGACAACAGGCAAGCTAGGGCTGGAGGTGTGGCCCAAGCCATGGTCCTTCAGGGGAACAGGCAGCCCAGCCAGAGGCCGGACCTACCGCTTACCGAGCCTGGAAAAGTCCCGCTGAGTCAGTTAGGTCTCATCCAGAGAGAGCAAGAGGAGGCTCCTTTCTTTTTTTCTTTTTCCAGAGAGAGCAAGAGGAGGCTCCTTTCTTTTTTTCTTTTTCCAGAGAGAGCAAGAGGAGCCTCCTTTCTTTTTTTCTTTTGTTTTTTTCTTTTCTTTTTTTTTTTTTTTTGAGACGGAGTCTTGCTGTGTCACCCAAACTGGAGTGCAATGGCAAGATCTCAGCTCACTGCAACCTCCGCCTCCCAGATTCAAGCGTTTCTCCTGCCTCGCCTCCCCAGTAGCTAGGATTACAGACACCTGTCACTACGCCCATCTAATTTTTGTATTTTTTGTAGAGACGGGGTTTAACCATGTTGGCCAGGCTGGTCTGGAACTCCTGACCTCAGGCGATCCACCCGCCTCAGCCTCCCAAAGTGCTGGGATTACAGGCCTGAGCCACCGCACCTGGCCAGAGGCTCCTTTCAAAGCAGGCACTGGTCTTCTCACAGAAGCTCGTTTTCTGCCTAGCCTGGAGCTTTGGAGAGGCCTCCATGATCTTGGACTGTATTTTGTGTTTCCCATTGCAAGTTTTCTAGCAAATGAACTAGGATTTGGGTCACTTGCCCACCTACCGGGTGAACAACCTTGGTCAAGTCAAGGCTTTCCCAGCCTCAATGATCCCATCTGTACAATGGAACTAGTAGTGGTCCTCTTTGTCTCAGAACCTGCTACCATCAGAGTCGATAGGAACCTGGCCCACTCAGTTTTCAGATGAGGAAATGGGTCTAGAGTGGGAAAGGGACTCGGATACGAGGCAGGGGTGGAGGCAGTGCAGTGAGATGTGAGTCTGCATGAACTCACAAAAGCACCTGACACTTTATGACACCAGAAAGGTGGGAGGACCAGTCCTGGTCCTCAAGGAGCTCTCCAGCTGCTGCGGAGGGCACTCATGGTCACCTAATCCACCTTGGACATGTGTGCTGAGGACAAAGGCAGCACAATGGATATTTGGAACCCATGAGCTGGGCAATCTTGGTCAGCTTGGGAGAGGAGGGAACGGGCCAGGGCAAACACCTGACTGGCAGGGCCATGGCAAAGGCCTCAGCATGTGGCCTGTGCCATTCAGAGAGAGAAAGGTGCAGGCTGCGAGCAGGGAGATGTTTGTTTCCACAGCCTGGACACTGACTCTCTGTGAAGGAAGCATTTTCTGTGCACAGAGCACTGAAGGCTGCCTCCTGCCCATCCTGTGCCTCGTCCCCAGAACCCTCCATCTTCCCAGAGGCTGCTGGCAGAGCTCTCAGCAGTGTTTTTTGCTTGCCCAGCACTCTGTAGCAGCTGGGAAACTATCTCTGGCTGCTCATCTTTCCCTTCTTTCTCCAGAGTCCCAAACTCTGACCCACGTGGCCAGGGCAAGTCAGTCCGGAGCTGTGCTGACTTTAATATCACCCACTCCTCTCCCGAGGAAAGAGCTCCTGTCCCTGGCTGCACATCAGAATCACTGGGACAGACCTGCAGAGGACAGATGCCCAGACCCACTGAATCAGGCGCTCTGGGGGTTGGGCCCCAGCACCTGTATTTTTAAAGGTCCTTAGGAGATTCCAATGTAGTCAGGGATGAGAATAGCTGATGTAGAAGCCCAGAATGTCAGGGTCAGAGGGACCCTTAGAAATTATCACATGAGGGCCGGGCACAGTGGCCCATGCCTATAATCCCAGCACTTTGGGAGGCCGAGGTGGGGGGATCACCTGAGGTCAGGAGTTTGAGACCAGCCTTGTCAACATGGGAAAACCCCGTCTGAACCAAAAATACAAAAAAAAAAAATTAGCCGGGCGTGGTGGTGGGCGCCTGTAATCTCAGCTACTGGGGAGGCGCCTGGGGCAGGAGAATCAGTTGAACCCAACAGGTGGAGGTTGCAGTGAGCCGAGATTGCACCACTGCACTCCAGCATGGGTGACACCGCAAGACTCTGTCTCAAAAAAAAAAAAAAAGAAAGGAAGAAATGATCACGTGAGTGCACACACACACACACACACGTAGAGAAGCATGTTCTTTTCAGATGGGGAAACTGAGTCTTAGAGTTTTGCTCAAGGGCACAAAAGTCAATCATGTGTAAGCTTGAACTCCTTGCTTAGGGCTGTGTCATTTATTCCTGAAATATTCTTGTGCCTTACTATTATGTACCAGACTTTCCAGTTTCTGTCTATTTCAGTGACCCACTGAAATCTCACCAACTTCACCTTCCTAACACACCCACAGCCCTCATCTGAACTCTCCCCTCCTCCAACTTGACAGGGTCTGAACTGCGGCTTGTCCCTCAAGACCAGGATGCATGTCTTTTCACACACATCCTAGATCCAACAGTGCATCCTTATAGGAAGAGGGAAAGAAAGAGAGCACCTTTAAAAGAAAATGGGACAGAAAAGGAAAAGAAAATGAGAATGTCCCAGGACAAGCTCTTCTCAGGACCAGACTGCTTTCATTGCACCGGGAGACGCCACTTGGGCATGGGACCATGGGCGGGGTACAGCATTTGTTCTCTCCCTGGACAGGACACTTGCCTTCCACAATGCTCCCCATAGGGTAGAAGGCTGTTAGAACCCCATAGGCCATTACAAGGGTTCTGCTACCACCAGATCCTTGTTAGCCTGGAATCAGGCCACCCTCACCGCCCGCTGCCACCCTTCATCCTGCTTCATCCTGCTGTGTCAGCGCTCTAGCACTGCACTCCAGCTCCAGTGTGGAGAGAATCCTCAATGCCCTGTGGCCCCCCGCCAGGAAGGTGTGCACGGAACGGGCTCCGGGTTACAGATGCAGCTTGCCTCCTGGAAATGTTCCCTGCTCTAATCACTTTGTTAAACTCCACAAACACAATCTCTGCACCGTGATCAATTATTTAGCAGAAAACAATGCATCGTGTTAACAACTAGATGGCATTTAATACGCCCCCAGAATTCTAATGATGCTCCATCACCGTAGGCCTAATGCAAAGTTTCCCTTGCCTGTGCTTTTGAAGTCTTCCCAGAGTGGAGAAGAGCCAAGATCTATATGCTTTCGGGTGATGTCGGACTTAGCTAGCCCCCAGAATGTAATCAGCTTGGCCGCTGCGCTGCCGTGAGGTGTCCTTGCGACTTATTTGTTTTCTTTCTGCCTTGCAAATTACTCCTCTTGCAAGGTTGTTTGTTTAGTGTCAGGAGGTTATTAAACAAACTTAAAGCTTGGGCTGTTAGTCAAATCAGGCAGGAGTGGGGCTGGGGAGGGGTGATTCAATATTTAAGAGGCTGCTCCTTCTGCCACGCTGCCCCCAAAGCTAGGCGACCCACAGCTTGAAGGCCGGAGCCTGAGGGCACAGTTGGCTGTGATCAGAAAGTCCTTACTGTCTCATGTTTCAAGAGCTGAGTCCTGGGATGCTGCCTAACAAAGGTATTAGAGGTGATCAAGGAGGAACAACACCAAGATATCTGCATCTAGGTCTCTTGGCTCCTGCCATCCTCAGTCTTGCTCTCCTGGTCAAGTGCAGGGCCCTCTGGAAAACACTGGCCAGGGCATCTGCCCTAAAGACCTTCAGCATCCCTGGGACTCAGACTCCAGAACAAACTCCAGCTATCTCCATTCGATCCAATTGTGTTACCATTTCCTGTGAATTTGCTGTGCACCAGCCTCTCTGCTCACAGTTCACAATGGTGCCCACCGTGTGTTGAGCCCCTCCTGTGAGTCTGTTGCTATGCTAAGCACTTTGCATGTGGTATGTCTGATCCCCACGCAGCCCTTCACGGCTCATAGCACCATGTCCATTTTCAAGAAGAAAATTCAGAGGCTCAGGGAGGCTCAGATGCCTGCCCGTGTCTCTCAGCTTGTATGTGGCAGAGGCAGAGTTCAAGCCAGGGCGTGTTTGGCTCACACCAGGTTGACAGTATTTGAGCTCAGAGAAGTCCCCAGAAATGAAGAGGGTGTTATGCGTAGAGGAGGGTGCTGAGGATAATGCTAATTTCCCAGATGAGGAAGCTGAGACCTACAAACACTGCACTGCCCAGGGTCAGGTGACTTACCTTGATCTGTGTCCTGACCGTGGTAGGAACAGTGGTCACACAAATCTACACACATATTAAAATTCACAGAACTGCACCCCAAAGAAAGTCCACTTGACTGTATGATCATGTAAAAATATAATTAGTTTTTTAAAAAGCAATATGTCTGGCATGAGAAACATTTTAAGTAAAACACTAAACTAGGTCTCAGAAAATATTCTCATTTACCTTTCTAGAAAACTTTCACATGTATAAGTTTCCATATGTTATAGAGATCATTTGTAATATGTAGAGAAAAAAGCTGGGGAAATAAAAGACGTATTTATTAACTGTGGTCATCTCTGGGGCTAGGAATGAACTGGGAAGGGGTAAAGAAGGGTGTTTGTCTTTCATTCTGTATACATCTGTATTTGAATTTGTTCATATTGACTCAGGCGATACTCTCATTTAAAAAACAAAATAAAATAAAGGCCAGGCACGGTGGCTCACGCCTGTAATCCCAGCACTTTAGGAGACCAAGGTGGGCAGATCACAAGGTCAAGAGATCAAGACCATCTTGGCCAACATGGTGAAACCCCGTCTCTACTAAAAATACAAAAATTAGCTGGGCGTGGTGGTGCATGCCTTTAGTCCCAGCTACTCAGGAGGCTGAGGCAGGGGAATCGCTTGAACCTGGGAGGTGGAGGTTGCAGTGAGCCAAGATTGTGCCACTGCAACCCAGCCTGGTGACAGAGCAAGATTCTGTTTAAAAAAAAAAGAAAAAAAAAAAACTAAAGAAAAGTACAAGTAAGCACTCTCATTTGTCGTTTAATGTTTTAAAAATAAATGCTCTAGAGCTAGGATACATAGTGTTTGTCAATACCAGGGTGACTGCTGAGGCACCTGGAGAAGGGACTTCATGGATTGGGAAGAACGAGAATGAGGCTCGTGGGCAGTCAGGTATCCCAAGAGTCCCACTGTGCCAGTACCAAGAAAAGGGGCAAATCAACATTTACTGTCCACAGGCCTGTGTGCTGGGCAACATGAGAGTTTACAGGAGGCCCACGGAACCACTCATACCCGCGAGGAGGACCTGAGACTCTATTTGGGAGGACAAGGTGAACGTATAAAGAATGAGTAACAGGAGACTGAAGAGCAGGAATGGCAAGAGCCCTGCAGTTGTCTGGTCAGCATTTGTCCATGCCCACTGAGACAGGTGCCTCTGTGCCATTTCATCTACTCTAACAGTCCCACAAGGCAGCTGATATTCGTTCCATTTTATACACAGGAAGTGGAGGCCCTCTAAGGTTTAATATCCTGCCCACAGCCACACAGCCATGCAGTAGTGGGATCTGCATTCAAACCCTCTCTGAGGCCAAAGTCCATTCTCTTCACAGCGATTATTCTGGTCCACACAGTGACTCTTATCAAGTATCTCGTCCACGACACAGCCTGGAAGACTAGAGCTGTGCCTGCCCAGTGGATGAAACGTAGTTGTCCTTAGGATAATTAAAAGAAAAATAACAAAGTCCCATATCTTCCCCAAAGACCAATTAATAATTGGTTAGTATGTATAGAAAATACAAATACCCACTTCAAAGAACATAATTTAAGAAAAAGTATGCTGTAAAACTCCATACAGCATAATCACATTAAATATTAGTGAGTCAGGGAAACACAGATCTTCCAAGATATCTTAGAGATATCTAATTCCCCTTCAGGTGAGGAGATTGGGCTCAGAGAGGGCAACTGTTTAGTCTAAGTTGCACAGCAAGCAAGTTCCAGACCTAGCACTAGAGGCCAGCCTCCAGACCACTCAGAGTTTGCTTCACAACACGAGACCACCTGGAAGCAGTCAGGGGGCTGCCATCTCCCAGGCCCAAAACTTCCTCATCAGCCAAATCCAAATCCCCTACTTGCCTAGTATCATCATCTCAGTTCCTGACATTTGCTTAATCACCCTCATAGTGTTGAGCGGATGCCCAGCCGAGGCTTCTGATCTCAAACATGGCTCCCAGAAAAGATGACATGTTGCATTAATGTAAACTTCTTTAGACACTCTATCAAGAAAAAAAAAATGATGGCGTTGTGCTATACATATACTGGCATGAACCCCAGGACCACTGGGACGCATTTCCATTCACTTTGGTCTCCTCACAGCCCATCCCTCAGTCGGAGTGAGATGCTCATCTCTGGGACACGGATGAGCCCTGTTGTCTCAGCCGGGTGTCTGTGGAATCATGGGAAAGGCTCCATGTGGCCGCCCTGTGCACAGGAAGGCAGCCAGGCTGAGCGGACACAAACCCGCATGGGGAGGGCATTTTCTAGGCTGGTTGGCTGGAGGGTCTGCAGGCCACCTCAGAGCCTGGCTAGAGCAGAGTTCAGGATGCACGGCATCTTGGGTCCCCCACTGTGTGTCTGCATCCTCTTCCTCCAGGATCAAATCATAGACATTGATTCCAGGGCTTGAGAGAGAACAAGGAAGCTGGGTGGTGCCTGGGTGAGTCCCGGCTGAAGGGTGGATTATCCCCCTTAGAACGCCTAGGGAAGTGCCTCCCATGAATGCTTTGGAAGCTTTGTTGAGCCTGTTTTGTTCTTGACCCTTGGTTACCTTCTTATTCAGTCGCCAGCTCCATTTTGTTCTATCAGGTTGCATGGGAATTTTGCCACCAGCATGACCATCAGCAGCATCTTCAGCAGCAGCATGTTGTTCAGGCACT
The DNA here is from genome assembly GCF_000001405.40 of Homo sapiens. Classification (NCBI taxonomy): domain Eukaryota; kingdom Metazoa; phylum Chordata; class Mammalia; order Primates; family Hominidae; genus Homo; species Homo sapiens. The sequence continues at coordinate 119,133,703 of NC_000002.12, forward strand.
GCCTTGGAAATGGCAAGACTTGCCTGGGCTCCGGTCCTGTCCCTGCCACTTCCTGCTGTGCATGCCCGGCCAGTGCACATCATTGCTCAGCCTCCTCCCAGTGCTATAGGAAAAAGGGTGCTTAGGAAGTGGAAGCTCGTGGCACTGTGAAAAATGCCACTGATTGGCTTAGTCAGTTCTGGCTACCATAACAAAATGCCACAGACTGGGTGACTTACACAGCAGACATTTATTTTCCCACAGCTCTGGAGGCTGGAAAGTCCAAACTGAGGTGCCGGCTGATTCTGTTTCTGGCCAGGGTCTGGCGAGGGTCCTGGCGTGCAGATGACAGTCTTCTCACTGTGTTCTCACATGGCAGAGAGAGTGTGAGAGAGACTAGTGACTCTTAACCAGTATGACACTCTTTTCCTATAAGGGCACTAATCCTATAGGATCATGACCCCACCATTCTGACATCATTGAAACTTAATTACCCCTTTATAACCCTTATCTCCAACTACAGTCACATTGGGGGAATTACGAACTTAAGACCTCGGGGAGGAACATGATTCAGTCCATAGCACTGATGAAAGAACACACGGGACTTCTCTGACATCTCAGTTTCCAAGAGGAGGAGGAGGATCAATGTCTTCCTCTGGAGATAGCCAGTGGTCTCCTGTATTCTCCTGTTGTTCTTTTCTGCTCCTTTGTGGGACTGGGTAGGGCTGTTGGTTCGCTGGCTAGGATTTGCTGAAAAGCAGTTGCCTCATGGCCAAAGGCCACCAACAGCGGTCAAGACTGGCACACCAGTTTCCTTCTCCCCATCAGTCTCCCTCCCAGCATAGACTCTGGGAAGATCTGGGTAAAAGCAGCCAGAGTCCTTCCCAGAACACTATTTCCTGGGTCAGGGTCTCTCTGTGACCAAGGGCTGTGGAGCCCAAACCACAGCCCTCATTCCAGCTCCTCAGCTCCACTCCCCCTCTCCACCTGCACCCCAATTTCACAAACACCAGCTCAGCCCCTACTGTGTGCACGAGCCCGTTGTGGGCTCCATGATTCCTGGTCTCTCCCATGGTTTGAGCCGACGCCCCCTAGCCTGAGCCCGGAGGGACTCTATTGCATCAGGCAGTGGAGGAGAGGAGGCAGATGCCTCAGGGAGCACCCGCCTCACCCCCAGAAGCCTCTGGCTGTGCCTCCTGCCAGGGCTTGGAGCATCAGTTCAATCCATGGGCGGGGTGAGGGCGGGGGCCTGCAGGGCCTGACTCCATATTGAAGTGCACTCCCTGCCGCGCGCCGTCGCTGGACAGCTCCCATTCAGCATCTGGGGCAGGAGTCCTTGTGCTGCCAGCTCCTAACAAGGGCACTAATTTCTGAATGCTTACTTGATGACTTTAATTGAAAAATAAAACCACCCAAAGCTGAGTAATTAAAATCTCCCTGTCCGGATTTACAGCATTAAGATAGAGGTTAAATAGCTCCTCCTCCCCTTCTCTCCCCAAATCTTGGCATCGGCCGTGTTCCTCTGGGCAGGAAGCACACAGGCTCCACAGACGACCAGTGGCTTTTCTCACCCCCTCCCTACTTCCTTTCCAGATTCTGGAACGTGCAGCTGAGGGGACACTCACTCATTCAATCCCTTCATTAATTCATTCTCTCTGTGAATACTTACTCTGTGCTGGGGGCTGTCCAGGCTCAGTGGAGGCAGCAGGAACTGACAGATGCATCTCCTTGCTGTGCCATGGGACTGCGGCTGCCTCACAATCCGGGGACCTTGGCTGTCAGAAGTGGGTGGACCCTTCCAGCTCACCTGGTCCAACTCCTCATTATACAGAGCTCATGGGGCAGGGGTGCCCCTCACCCCCATTCATCCCTGAGCAGCTGATCCGTGGCTAGCGACCACCACCCCCCATCCCTTCTCCCCAGCCTCACAGAGGTAGTGGCAGCTTCAAGTCCCCCTGACACCCAACCTGAGGTCTCCCCCTTGCCCTTCCCACCCCCTCTCCCTCACTCAAAGCGGTTTCTCTGTGATCCTGGATAAAATTATCAGCATCTTCCATGCCCCCAGGTGTAAGTTCCCTGCAGTCAGCTCTACTCCCTGAGCTGGCCACACTCACTGGCTGTCTTGAGGGTGACAGACACAGCCCCGCCAGGGATTTCATGACAGGAGCACCCAGGGCCTGTTCCTGGATCCATCATCCCATCCTGAGGCCTCAGCCCTTGCCTTTCTGTGGGGTGGGAGAAAGGCATGGGCTTGAACTTCGGTTCTGCGGTTATTTGCTTTGGGCCTTTAGACAGATCACAACCTTGCTGTGCCTTGGTTTGTTCACATGTAATATGGAGATCATAATGGGGTCATTTCGAGCATTGAATAGTGGAATACATGTGAGCTCTTTTCTCCATCTCCTGTAGGTAGCCTACAAGCCCTAGCAGGGGCTCGGGTCACAGCAGGTACTCAGGACTGGGGACTGAATGACCAAGCTGGGCTAGGATGAGGCTGCACAAGCCCAGCAGGCTGGCTGCGGAGCATTCGGCAGACTGCAGGCAGGTGCTTCTTGGGCACGCCCTCTCTGGCCCACTCCCTCTCCAGGACACTTCCTGTCCCTGGCACAGACAGTGAGAGCATCACTCCTTCCTGGCCAGCCGGGTGGTGACTGTGCTCTCCTCTCTGGTGACTCATCAGTCTCTGGCCTGCTGGGGTCAGCTCTGTCCCTGCCCATGGCCCCTCAGGTTGTACAAATCGTCAGGAGATTGGGGAGCCTTCGACCTTCTCTGTCAAGGCCTGTCCCACATCCCAGGCCCTCCTCCTTCCAGGATTTCTTACCTCCATCCCCCCCGCCCTTCCCCTGTTTACCCATCATGAGGCAACCTCCACTTCTAGCTGTGTGTCACCAGAAGTGGGGTGAATGCTGCTTCTTAAATCCAGAAGTCACCCCAGGGCAGTAAAGTTCAGTATCACAAAGCCCAGGGAGTCCACCTGAGAGACCCAGGGAAAGCCAGTACGGGTGGAGAGGGGGTAATGTCGGGGAGAGTGGTGGGTGGAGAGGGGGTAATGTCGGGGAGAGTGGTGGGTGGAGAGGGGGTAATGTCGGGGAGAGTGGTGGGTGGAGAGGGGGTAATGTCGGGGAGAGTGGTGGGTGGAGAGGGGGTAATGTCGGGGAGAGTGGTGGGTGGAGAGGGGGTAATGTCGGGGAGAGTGGTGAGGCAGTCTGGGCAGGTCGGGGAGAGGCTGGTGTCCTAGAGACAGAGCTGGTGGATATGCCTCTGTGGGGCAGCAGATGGGGGGCCCTTGGAGGAAAGGGAGGGGCAGTGCCAAGGTAGTGCCAGGTGCTGTGAGCCAGACAGGTTGCGGTAGTGGGGAACTAGAGGAGCAGAAAAGAAAGTGGGAGCTACTGCAGACATCGGAGTGAGTGAAAACTGGAGGCCTGGCAGAGGGCGATGGCTGTGGGGATGGAAAGAACAAGATAGGTGTGAGGGTGTCTACGAGAAGGGCCGTGTAATCCAGGACACTGAAGACTCGGAGCTGCAGGGGCCAAACACTGTGGGGTGCATGGGGGTCCCGAAGGAGGGGCTGCTTTGGAGAAAGGAGAGAGGAAGAAGCAGGTTGTGCTGGTGCCCTTTCCTCCTTCAAAGCAGTGTCATTCCCACGGTGTCCAAACTCACCAGTAAACATTCAGGACTTTTATGAGCCAGAAAACCAATCACAAAAGCTATTTCCAATAAAGAAAAATAAAAGGAACATTCCCCTCCCCCCATTTGCTTATAGATATTAGCTTCGGAAAGTCTGATACTTTAAAAAAATCTCCATGGAATTATGGAAGAAACAGGCAAAATGAAAAATGTGTCCTATCCAGTTTGTAACTAAAATGTCAGCACCCTGGCAGAGGGGACAAGCAGAGCTGGGAGAGCCAGGCCTTTCTCTTCCCGCCACACAGGGGGACCCCCAGCAGGGCGGGACAGACCTGAAGGTTCCATACCTGCTGCACTGCCGTGGATGGAAGCCACCTCGCCACGACTCATGGAGCACGAGTCACAAGTCCCACGTGGGTGTAAGCATCTCCTCCTCCTCGGGTCAGAGCTGCTCAGGTCAGCCACAGTGGCCAGAGAGGGCAGGTGGAAGGCCGCCACCACCCACGCAGGCCTCAGTCTTCCTCAACACTGGGGAGCTCTGGCCTCCAGAAGGTGGGAGACACAGACTGAGTGGACGCAGTGTGATCAGCACTGACGTTGAGGGTCTGTGGGAGCTAGAATGGAATCCAGCCCTGTGGCTAGCAGGGAGGGTTTCCTGGAGGAGGGGAAGTTTGAAGGACAAGTAGAGGGGCCAGTTTGAAGGAAAAGTAGAAGGTGAGCAAGTGAGTAGGGTGAGGCTTTCCAAGCAGTAGTGGCTGGCTTGGGACAAAAGCACTGAGGAGTTACGGTGTGGCATGAAAGTCAGGAAAATGGAAATGTCATTGGTTTGGCCTGACTGGCACATGGGAGTATCAGGGGATGGGGAAAAGGATGGAAGGGCCCTAGTGCAGTGGCTCATGCCTATAATCCTAGCACTTTGGGAGGCCGAGGTTAGAGGATTGCTTGAGCCCAGGAGTTCAAGGCCAGCCTGGGCAACATAGCGAAACCCTCTCTCTACAAAAAATACAAAAATTAGCCAGGTGTGGTGGCATGCACCTGTAGTCCCAGCTACTTGCAGGCTGAGGCCAAAGGATCTATTGAGCCCAGGAGTTCAAGGCTGCAGTGAGCTGTAATCACACCACTGCGCTTTAGCCTGGGTGACAAAACAAGATCCTATCTCAAAAATTTTGTAGAAAAAAGTTTAAAAAAGGATGGAAGGGTCAGTAGGGGCAGGTCACAAGGACCTATGTGCCAGCTAAAAGACTTGGACCTTCACCTTGGAGGTGATAGGGAGTTCTTGGTGACTCTTAAAGGACAGTGAGGGGGTGGAAATAACACAGCTAGTTCTGCACTACCCAGAGGCCATGGGCTGCTGTCCTGAGCCGTTTTCTTAGCCACAGTGTCAGGAACTGCCAGGACCTACTGGATGATTGAGATGAGGTGTGTGTGTGTGTGTGTGTGTGTGTGTGTGTGTGTGTGTGTGTGTGTGTGCTTATTTTCTATTGCTGTGCTCACTAACTTGGTGGCTTAAAAGAATAGACATTTATTCTTATAGTTCTGGAGGCCAGAAGTCTGAACTGAGTTTTATGGAGCTAAAATCCAGGTGTGGGCAGTGCTGCTTTCTTCACAGGAGCATCTGCTCTGAATGTCCCAGCTCGTAGCTGCCTCACTCTCATCTCTGCTTCCATGGTCACATGGCTTTCTCTTCTGTGCCAAATCTCCCGCTGCCTCCTTCTTATAAGGATTCTAGTGATGGTATTGTACCCACTTGGATGCCCAAGATAATCTCCTCAACTCAAATTCTTAGCTTAGTTACACCTACAAAGTCCTTTTTTTCCGATAAAGTGACATTTACAGGCTCTGGTTTTCCAGGAATGAGAACATGGACATCTTTGGGAGAATTATTCACCTACTAGAGTGTGTCATTTATTAGGCACCCACTGAGTGCCAGGCTGTGGGCTGTGGATTCTGCCATGGGCGGGTAAAAAAGCAAGCATGGTGTTTGCCTTTGTGGAGTCTTGGAGCTGACGTGGGGGACTGGGTCTGTCATGAGTGAGGAAGGAGGGACATGATCATGCCGTTCCCCTGGGCACCTGGGTGGCATGCCATCATGTGCACTGGAGAGGAGGAGCAGGTTGTGGGTGTGAGTGAGGAATTAGGAGAAGAGGGATAGTCAACGTACTTAGAAAACTGAGGCCATTGCACTGGCCAATCAGAAGAGACTCAGAGCAGGAGCATGGATCTCAAGGACCCCGATTGTGCCAGTGGTTAACCCTTTAGCTGCTGCAGCACAGGGAGGTCCAGGAGTCCTGGGGGAGAGGCCAAGGCAGCTTTGGGGTGACTCAGGGCAGTGGCAATTCACTAATCAGTATGGAAGTATTTAAATAAAATACATAAATATCTTAACTGAACAATATGGCCAACTGACTATCATCGCTGGGTGAGGGGGATCCAGGCGTTTGTTTTGAGCTTGTTGACAGTGGAGTGGCAGTTGAAATGCTGAATGGAGCTGCGCAGAGGACTGGGAACAGAGGTTTCTAGCATGAGGGTGGGCGCAGTGTGTATGGTGGAGAGGCTGGCATCCCCCCTCCAAACCCGCCATCCGAATACCTGGAAGAGTGCGTCATTGAAACCGGCTCTTCTTCTGAGGCATTGATGGAGTGTGAACAATTCTGTCGCCTTCCTTTCTTTCTCCTTAACTTTCTCCTAAGCATTTCTGTATTTTTCTTAAAAGCCCTTTTATTAGAGAATAGAATGCAACCGTCATGTAACTGCATTTACTGGAGCCAGCTCTCAGGACTGCAAATCTGCCTGTGCCTGGGCTGGCTCATTTGCCCCTCTACTGTGACTCTGGGGCCAGAAGGGGGCCTCAAGCCCCAGGTCTTAGCTACTCTGGAAGCATGGAGGGGGATTCCAGTATCACTCATTCCAACAGAGAACTAGAGCTCTCCGTGCAGATAATGATACAGGAAAAAGAAAGAAATTGAAATTCCAGACAATTTGACTTCCTTTCAAAGTGATGACAGAAACAAGCTTCCTGATCTAAACCAAACTGGGAAGTTCCCACCCACTTTGTTGCTGGCTAAACTGAGACCCAGAACTGTACACTTGAACCGATTTTACAGTGTTTGCAATGAAGGTTGATCTTCTGGTCTCTTAGGTGCAATCTGTGAATCCTGTCTGCGTTTGTTTAGGCCATGCATTCACGCTAAAACATATCTGAGCATACCACGTGTGAGTCAAGCTGTCATAGTTAATTCTCCATAAATTTCTCTTCCTTTACTTCCAGCTACTGTGGCATTGAAATCACTCCAGAGTGTTCACAATCTCTGAGTAAAGCCCTTACGTACTATACGATGATCTGACTTTTGTCATATTGGCATGGGGGGGAGGGCCAACAAGCCTGAGTCTCCAGCATATTGGAAACCAGCTCCTGGTGTCTACAGCTCCTCTTATATCCCAGAACAGTGTCATGCCTCTAAGGGCACTCCACATGCATTCCCTCCACAAGCGTTTATAAAGTGTCTCCTCTACAAGTGGGCAGGAAATAAAATGCCAAATGTAGATGCAAACTCCCTGCCCTCCAGGAACTTACTCTCAAGTGAGGAAGATGGACATTAAGCAAATGAAGAAACAGCAGTGCAGGAGTAAGAGCTGTAAAGAAAACTGAAGCTAGGGAAGGGGATGGAGCAATAGAATGTGCTATGAGAGATGAGAAGGTGAGAGCAGGCCTCTTTGAGGGGATGCCATGTCAGCAGAGACCTGAGTAAAATAAGCAGCGTATGCGGGGAGCGGTGGCAATACTTGGGGAAAGAGTATTCCAGAGAGAGCAGCAGCAAGAGCAGGCCCTGAGCAGGAGAGCACTTGCTTAGCTGTGAAATATCAGGAAGGCCAGTGCCCCCAGAGCAGTGGAGAAAAGAGGCTATACTGGTGGGTAGTGCTGGACAGCAGAGATAATGCCATGAATGAATGAACGAGTAGGACTCAGGACAATGGAATTGAACTCAGGCTTCGCCAGCTACATGATCTTGAGCAAGTCACTCTAACCTTCTGTCTCCCATTCCTCGTGTGTAAAATGGGAATCATCATAGGTACTGAACTCATTGAAATGAGAATTATGCCCCCAAAGAGTCTAGACTAGAAATCAAGACTTGATTTGGAGAACCTATTCTGCCATTTGCTGGCTTGAGCAGCTCACATCACCTCTCTGAGCCTCTGTTTTCTCATCTATAAAATGGGAATTATGGGGCCCACCCTGCCAATCTCAGAGGGCTGGTTAAAATCACATGGTCCCTGTGGGAAAGGCTCGTAACCTGCATATGTCAAACATATACTGGGGCTTGTTGAATACCTATGGGTGAGTGAGGCCTGAAGTTCCCACCCAGTGGGCCCAGGTAGGAGGCTCCCACTTCCCTGTCAGCTCTTTCTGGGGCAGCTCCTCCTCCCCAGTTCCTCCCCTCAGTGTGTTTTGGTTCCTGTTTGTTTCTTGGCCCCTGTGTCCTGCAGCACTCACACAGAATCCCACTTGCCCTGTAGGAAACGTGGTGCTCATTCCTTAGCGGGGAAGGGAACCATCCTGCCCTCCTCCACGGATGCTCCATACCATGTCCTGAAGATCTTTCAGCAAGGACATCCAGCCTCGCCTCTCCCCTGCTTCCAGCCCTTCGGTGGTTCCCCATCCCTTCAGATGAACATCTCAGCTCTCTCACAGGTCACACAAGGTCATATGGCCCCCACTGGACTTTCCAGTCTCCCACTTGCTAGTCTTTGGCTACAAAAAAAAAAATGTAACTTCTCTGCATGGTACTAAGTCTTATGCCTCCACACCTTTGTATATACCATTTCTTTTGCCTGAAATGCCCTGTCCTGTGCCCCTAACTGCTACTCAATTACCCAGAGGACTCCTATTTATCCTACAAAACCCAGTATAGATTTCACTTTTGGGAACAAGCCTTCCTGGATTGTGTGTTCTCTCCTTCACAATGATGTTGGCCCTTTCTTCTGCTATGCTTCCCTAGATCTTGTATGTGCATGTCCCTTTGTCTTCACACCATGATGCCCCTTGATGCGACTGTCCCTCCACCAGACCATGCATGAGCTCCTTAAACGCAGTATCTAAATCATCTCTGCTTCCCCAGAACTTACTACAGGGCCTGGCACACTGTAGATGGCCATGAAAGTTTTATTAAGAAGAAATAAAAGACATACTGGAGGAGACAGCCTTTCTGCCCCCAAACTCAAAGCGATTTACAGCCATCTCCCTAAACTGGACAGGTGTGTGTTTGGTGTCTTCTCCAACCTGCTATATGTGACAGCTTTGAAGTGAGAGAACTTCCAGTTGCCTACATTTTGAACTTAGTGAATATTACAAATGATCACATTAGTGAGATAAGCATTTTGGAGGCACTTTTATTGACCCACCTAAGAAAGGCTCTAAATGTATGCCCCAAAAACGGAGACTAGTGATTTTGCAGCCTCACAAATGGCCCACATTAGGTAGGAAGTTAATTTGATTTGCATGTCAAAGGAGCGTTATCTGGTACCTGATGTAAGACTAATTTTATTATTAAATTATCAACACTGATTTACTGAGAAATACGGTACTGCCGGGAGCTATTTTTAACCTCCCACCTCAGCCCCACTCAGCAAACAAATCATTCTTTGAAGGACACTGCATTTGCAAAAGCGAATTAGGTGAATAAATATCCATCTATTCATGAAGTTTCTTTATTGAGAAATAAATAAATAACAGCCCCTGAATGCCTTCATTGTCCGCCTGGCAGGTTTCCACGACGTTGACAGTGGGCACGGCGGAAAGGGCCACTGTTTGAAGTGCCAGTCCAAGAGTGAGTGGAGAGGCGCTGGCTTGGGTTCCCACCTGGGAACTGTGTGAGGCCCCGGGGCCTGGGCCAGGGCGGGGGGATTGGTAATGTCTCACCCACCCCAGGCACGAGGGCAATGGATAGGCCTGGTCCAGCTCACTGCCTGGAACATCCCACGCTCAGCGCAGAGGACACAAGCTCAACTGAAACCCGGGTGTCTTCGTTCTCCCACTTACTATTGCTGGGACCTTGACCGAGTTACTTAACCTTTTCGTGTCTCAGTTTTCTCATATACAAAATGGGGATAATTTCTATCATTTTGTGGTGGTTGGGAGGATTAAATGAGATACATAACACATATAAAGCACCTGGAAAAGTTCCTGCCACATAGCAAGAACCCAGTGTGTGTTTCTTATTGTTCTAGTCTGCATCGTTATTGGGATAGGGAGAAAGGTAAGAACAGAAGTGTCCCTCAGGGGCAGCCATAAAATATCTTGGAGGAGCATGGGCCTTACAGTCAGACCTAGGTTCCATTCCAGCTCCACCTGGCAGAGCTGTGTGTCTCTGGGCAAACTACTCAACCTTTCTGTTCTTCAGATTCCAAATCAATGAGACAAGCATAATCACACCTACCACTGCAGGAGAAAATGAGATCATGAGCGTAAGCTCTGTAACATGGTGCCCGGCACTGAGTAAATGATCAATACACAATGGATGTTTAGTAACAGGAGAGTTACTCTTATCAAGATTAATACAGTCAATTATTCCATTCCTTGAACACATTCTTAGTGCTTCCTAGTCCCTCTTTCTTCCTTTTTCTCTCAAAACCTGGTGATCGTCTGTGATAAAATGAGAAGAATCACAACTCAATAAAGTGGTTTAAAAAAATCAGAAAAAGAAAAAGAATCCTCTCTAAAGGATCCTGACTGATGCCATTGTTATTTAAACATTGATATTCCCTGAAGTAACCCAGGAATGGAAAACTAAATGCCTCCTGTTCTCACCTATAAGTGGGAGCTAAGCTATGGGTGCGCAAAGGCATACAGACATACGTATAACTGACATTGGAGACTCAGAAGGGGGAGCGAGGGATGGAGAGAGGATAAAAAATCTACATATGGGGTACAATGTATACTACTAGGGTGATGGGTGCATGCAAATCTCAGACTCCACTCCTATACAATTCATCTGTGCAACCAAAATCCACTTGTACCCCCAAAGCTACTGAAATTTTAAAAATATATTAAATATTGATATTTTGTTCTGTCATGGGTTACAATAATCTTGATGTTTTAAATATTGCATTAAAATTATTTCTCTTAATTGGAGAGTTTTTTTGCACTCTCTTAAATTCTGCATCTTACCCTAGTCCAGGCTCTGCATAGAGACTAGAAGGAACCTCCTTGTGGGAAGAAAAGAATCTCCATTTACCTGCGGAAGTGGATGGAGGGAGACAGTGGGCAGGGAAGAAACAAGGCCAGATCATGAAAGGCCAGTCCACCAGGTTTGGGACTTGGAGGTGATTGTGTAAGTGCCGGGAGACATGGAGGTTTACTAAGCAAGCAGCTAAGAGTGATGACTATGATTTGATGGCAATCGGACTTCCTTTGCCCCATCCCTCCCGGAATGGGAACACGGGAGAGTTAATCAGGAAAACCCTAACTGAGCCCCTGGTCCCCTGCAGCTGCTGGCAAACCCCCATTAACCACTGGCTTCTCACACAGTGGAAACAATTACTTGCTGTTTGAGGGTTTGGACCATGGGGTCCCTAACTTGGCAGCCCCATTAGTCCAGGGATATGAAAGAAGGTAGCTGGCAGTAATGACTAGTTAGCCAGCTTCACAAACACAAATCCCACAGGCAACCTCCCACGGCTGGCCCTCCGGTCCTGCAGCTCGGCGTGGAAAGCACCTACTCCTCTCTGCCAGCCTCCTCACATGCACCAGGCTGGGCAGTGGCCTTGCTTGTTCATTTCCGCAAGAAGCCCCCATCATGAGTTACTGAGCAGCAGAAACAGAGTAAGACACAGGCCCTCTGCTGTGATGCAAGTTCCTCCTTCTACATCCAGACCTCCCAACATGGGTGATGACTATAGTGCAGAAGCTGTGAAGTGTCCCTCGAAAAATGGGGGTACATAGGCAAGGTACAGCCCACAGGGTGGCCAGCCAAGCAAAGGGTGCAACTTGTGGCCAGGGGCCAAGCAAGGGCTCAGGCAAACACCACACATGGCACATGGTGCCACCAACTCAAGGCATGAGGACATGAGGCATGCGCAGTGCCAGACCTGCCATCCTGCAGGAGTTGCAGGAAGCACCTCGAGAGAGAAGCCAGGCCCCTCATGTATTTGTAGGAAAGCTCTTGAGCTTGACTCGGGATTTCTGCCACACCACTAGGGAGCTTCTTGTTCTCTGATGCCAGTCACCTGGGCCTGTCAGAGGCTGTCATGCTAGCTGCTGGGCTAGCTCACTCACGGGGAGCCAGGCGAGAGCCCTATGCCTGCCTCTCTTAGAAAGTGGCTGTTTGGAGAAAGCGAAGAAGGGATGGGCAGTGGCTTCTAGAAGCTCTGCCGCCGGACTGGGAGATTTTTTGGATAGAGAGCATCTCATTCCCAGCACCTACATAGGGTTAGCATACAGCTGTGCACTGACTACATGGATGATGGATGAGTAGGTGTATGTATGTATGTATGTATGTATGTATGGATGGATGGATGGATGGATGGATAGATAGATGGATGGATAGATAGATGAATAGATGGATAGATGGATGGATGAGTAGATGCTCTAGCTAATGTATCCAGGATGCTATGGGAGATAGCATTTCCAGGGCTGGGATACAGCCCTGGAAAGTGATCTGCTCTAACTGCCTGACAGAGAGGTGGGAATCTATATGCTTGCTCTGTCTCCCATCATGTTTACCATGTTCAGACCCCTCACTTTGAACTATCAGAAGCCCTGAGAAGCAGAGAAGACTGACTGGGAGGCTATTCTCAGTAGAGTTGTTAACCAGCCATGAGACCCTGGACTGGTCACTTCATTTGTCTTAGCCTCAGTCTCCTCTACTGAGGGGAGATGGGGATGTTATAATTGTATGTCCAGTGACCACAGTCCTTGCAGAAATCCACTGGGAAGGAGCACAGGAGCTATCTGTAATTCCACATGCTGGTGAGTGTGGGGGCTGGCATGTCACTACAAATGAGGGAATGAATGGCTGCCAATGCCCTTCAGAAAGAATCGAGTGGTATTACAATGTTAAGTTGTTGCTGCTGCATGTGCAGTTATCTGCATCTGTGATTCCAGAACACCATTATTTGGGGTCTTTTAGGCAACTCAGGGACCCTTCTAACTTCCAGCTCCTGCCCTGAGATGTTTCTTCTCCCCAGTCCCTCCCTCCCCCATCATTCAACACTCAGCCCTGGACACCTCCTATCCCCATGTGACCCCACCCCAAATACAAACTCCAAACACACTTCAAAGAGAGTCAGCAATGAAGTTTATTATGTGTGTTGGAGGCAGGGAGTTGGGAAAAGCGGAACCAATCAATGGCATAAAGCTCTTCTATCTTTCTACTGAGAGGCAAGAAGGGCTCAAACACCCCCAAGAGTGTTCTGAGCCAGATACACAACCATTGCAATTGACACTGTTGTGTCCCCATAGGTACAGCACACCACACACACACACACACACTCCATCCCACACACAAACATCCCTCCCACAATACATCCCTCCTGTCACACACATAAGTCACATCTCCCTCCATGTATGTGCATGCCATATGCACACCAATGCACACAGCCCAACACACGTGTAGAGAGAAAGGCTCCAGAAAACCCTTCCCCGAGGCAAGCTCACCTCCAGGACTGTGATTGTGTTTCCCTCCCTGCCAGAATGGCCTCCTCCTGGTCCCCTCCAAAGAGCTGGAGGCATCTGCACCGCTTTGTTTCTCCTCTCCTGGCTTTACCCTGGGCTCAGTGGCTCTCTGGAGTGATGTCGGCTCCCTGTTCTGGGTGGGATATCCCCTGCCCTGGGCCCTGGTCTGGCTCCTGTCTTTTACAGAGTTCATGTGGGACTGGGCCTTATCTCAGGACATTTTGTACCCCAGGGCCCGGCACTGCGTTCAGTGTAGATGTAGGCACTTAATAATTGTTTGGAGAATGAATATGGAACCAAGGGATTTCCAAAGTGTGTGAGTTTTTTCTGCTCAGCCTCATTGCCAGCTCCCTAAGGAGCTTAATGACCACACTTACATGACAAACCCCAACTGATGGGCCACCACCTCCTGGAAGCCCTCCTGACCACCCCAGCCCTTCTCAGGACCTCTCATTTCCACATAGAGGTTCCCTGTGCCCAGATCAGCCATCGGGTCAGCCCTTCCCCAAGTATCCGTAGAGTGGATCAAGACACACTGCAGCACCTCTGTCGTGCAAAAAGGAAGGGCTTTATGGCCACACAAACCTGGGCTGCAACTCAGCCTCCACCACCTCTTAGCTGTGGAGCTGGAGCACAGCTGAGTTAACTTCTCAAGTCTCGGGGCCCTCGCCTGTGAGATGGGAAGAATAACACCCATTTTGCAGGACTTCAGGGAGTTTTAAATGAGGGCATGCAAGTCACAGGCACCTCTCAGTAGGTACCTGACAAACAGGAGTGAGTACTATTGTTGTTATCATTGACAATTACTATTCTTGTTACCAACCAGACTGAAAGAGAGTGACAACCATTCCCCCCACCACGGTGCTGGGCACACAGTGGACACCCAGTAATCAGGTTTTATGTGAAACATGTGGCAAAGCTGGCTTTCACAATCTGCAGGCCACCAGACAGCTCCCACTGGACTCCATGCCCTTGAGCAGCATCTGGGTTTCCCACGTATGCCTCATGGAGCTGGGAAAGAAAACAGAAACCAGCCTTCCAAGGCTTGTAAGCTCCATATTGATCCCGTGGAGGCAGGGCAGGTCTTGAAAGAGGGCCGCAGCTTGGACTGCATGCTCTCAATGTACCCTCCTGAATGGGCTCTGCTGAGCACACCCCCTACCCAACCCTGACCTCAGAGCTTTAGTGGGATTAGCAGGCATTCTTACTATGCATAGCAAGAGGCCCTGAACCACTGGGCTGTGTATGCCAATTTGAAATCAGGCTGCGATGGAGTTGGGCCGTCAATGGGAGTTTGCATATTCATGTGGCAGAGCCCTGAGACTTAGTCACAGCTCCAGGCCCAATTACGCAGGGGCTTATTAGCCTGGGATTTAACAAGGGAGCCCCAACAGGATCTGCACAGTCATCAGTCTTAAGTTGCACAAGCATTCCCAGCACGTACTGGGACCTGCGAGGGCCAGTGCTAAAGTAGGTGAGAGACCAAGGCATGAACAGTGGAAAGGGCACTGGGTTGAATTCTGGCTGTGACATATATAACCACCATTGAAAACGGCCTCTCGCTTCCTCATCTGTGAAATGGGTACAATTATCACTCATCTTCACCTCACAGGGTTACTGAAAGGACTGTAGACATGTTTGAAAAATGCCCTTGGTGTCTCCTAACACACAGGCATGCTCATAAATGCCAGCTACTGACACTAAAATCCTGCCCTTTCTCACTCCAAGAAGTCTCAGTTTGATGATTCCTGAAATGTATCGGCTCAGGAGAAAATGAAGAGATCCCTAATCATTATCTCAATACCACCACCACATACTAACCCCAGGTCTCAAGCACTTATTCTGTATCCCATACTGTTACGACATCTCATTAATTCTCCCAATTACCCATGTGGTAGGAGGACTGGTCCCATTTTATAGATGGGGAAAAGAGAGGTTCAGCAAGTTAAATAATCTGTTAAATTATTGCGGAGCTAGTTCATGGTAAAGGTGGATTTGAATCCACCAAGTTCAAAGACCACAGTTGAGTTCCTCCAACCATCAGTAGCTTGGACAAGTAGCCAGGTGGTGTAGTTGGCAAAGTGACTCTTTCAAAATAAATGTTTAAGTGCTGATGACAACTAACTTTTATGGAACACTTCCCGGTGACATCGCTGACATCCATTAGCTCATTCACTCTTCACATTAGTCTTGTAGAATAGGCAGCATTTTACAGAAAAGGAAACCCTGTACCAGGTGCAGTTGTTCGTGCCTGTAATCCCAACAACTTAGGAGACCAAGGTGGGAGGATTGCTCAAGGCTAGGAGTTCAAGGCCAGCTTAGGCAACATAGCAAGATTTCATCTCTACAAAAAGAAGAAGAGGAAACCATGGCTCAGAGAGGTTCTATGACAAGCCTCAGATAACCAGCAGGCTGGTAGGGAAGACAGAGAATTGGATTACTAAAAGCAGGACCTTTGACGTCAGATAGACCTGGGCTTCAATCTTCAGGCTCTCCTTTGCTGTGTGACCTTCAGCAAATCACTAGCCCTCCCTGTGCCTCAGTTTTGATCCTCTCACAGCGTGACCGAGAGAACTGTTGAGATATTTAACTTGCTGCATCTCACTTTACTCCATTGTTGAGATTAAGCAAGATAACACAGATAAAGGACTCAACTCAAATTTTTTAAATGGTTAAAATCACTTTTTGTCTCCTCTCTTTACTCTGCATTGTGACCTGGTTGATTTTAAAGGGCTGGGCTATTTTGGTGCACTCCGCTGCTGCCCACTGCTCAGTCTGGTTGCAGGGCACACGTCAGATGACCAGTGTGGCCTGGCATCCTGGTGTCTGCGTCAGTCTCTTCAGCTGGCCTGGAGTTACCAGGCATTGGAGCAGAACATCCCGCCCTTCCCTGTCTCCTTCCCCCACCATCAGGCACAGTGCAGCAGGGAAGAGGCGTCAGAGCCCTGCCCCGGACACAGGAACTGGAAGTAAAGAGAGAAAAGAAGAGGGAAACAGAGCCATTCTGCAAAACTCAGGCCTGGGGACCTGGGGACACAGCTGAGGAGCCAAGTGGGAGCTGAGTTCCTGGGCAAGCAGACACACACCATCAAGAAGCACAGCTCTACCAATCCCAGTCACCCAAGAGCCAAATCAAGGGTAGCACTCTTCCTAGGAAATCCTGGGGATGGTCAGGGTGCCTGCGTCTGGCTGCCTCCACCCTCCCTCGGATATAATTGCATCTTTAACAAGGCTTCAACATAGGCAGCAGCCAGGTGTGTAGTGTGGGGTGGCGGGTAGATACCTCATTCTCCAAGCATACTGGGCTCCTCCCTAACTGGAGCCACCCCACACACACCACACACATACAACCCCAAGGAGTGCCCTTCCTTCTCCCTGTGCCAACAGAGGCAACACTGGACCGGCTGGAGTCAATCTTTCTTTAATTTACTCAGTTCTAGAAGAGGGGCTACTGAGTATAGGAAATATACCACAAGGTAGAAATCAAGGGCAGAATCATTTGTACATTGGATAAAGACCTTGTTTATACTGATTTGGAAATAAAGTAGTACTTTCCCACATGAAGGCAGAACACATAAGTGAAAGAGGAAGCTATCAGCAGACTCTTCCTCCACTAGACCAGGGAATGCTGGAAGCAGCTCACAGACCCAGTGGTGGAAGATTTGTTCCTCCTATTAAAGGTCATCATCAACAGTACAATGAATGCACCTCGGTCAAAAGAAACAGGGGCTCTATGTGCACCGCTGAGTTGTCCGAGAGTAAGCATGAAGGGGGACCCAGGTGTGGAGCAGTGTTTAGAATTTTACACTCTGCGTGTTCAGAGCCACACATATGGGCATTCTAAAAGTCTGAAAGAATACAAGTCAAGCTGTTAACAAATTGTCTCTGGGGAAGGACATTGCAGTAAGGGAGAGGGAATTTTTGCTCTTTTATATTTCTCTGTGTTGTTTGGATTTTTTGCTACTGCATATTATGTCAACAATTTTTCAAAAGATGTTTTTCGTTTCAAGAAAATGAAAGAATCCTCACAGCAAAAGCACCAACCAAGGGACCCTACTGGAAATGAGGCTACTGCCCAAGAAGCTCCAGAATACAGAGGGTCATCCCCAAGGCCCCAAGGGGGAGGCTAAAGCAGCCCAGAAGCTGCAGTATGGCAGTGGTCATAAGCTTGTGTCAGCTAGAAGGTTTTGGTCATTCCTAAAGATGTAACCAGGGACCCAAAGATTGTAATAAATGCACCTTTACATATATCTGCCCCCTTTCACCCCAACCTTAAAAACTCGGGGCTAGGGGTGACAGTGGGGGATAGATGGAGACTCATTGGTTAGAAAGCAGTGATTCAGCTTGCTGGGACAACCCCCTATGATCCCATTGTGAAGTCAAAATGTTTTCAAGATTTACCTTCTCAAGATCCCCCAGGATGCCTCCATCCCTCTATCCATCCATTCTGAAACTATTTATTGAGCACCTACTGTGTGCCAGGCACCATTAGAAGTGCTGGGGGCAGAGAATATTCTCTGGTGGCCCACACAGACACCAGGTAGCGCCCTTGTGAAGTCTACAGTCCATGGGGAAGACAGACCACCTGACACAGGATTACAACAGTGTCATAACTGCCATGCAGAGAGGCTCTCAGCAGGGTTCTCTGGCCCCCAGGGTGGGGAGAAGAGAAGCCATGGAGCACCAGGGCTGTGGGGGGACTACTGGAAATCATGTGCCAGCTGAGCCCTGAAAGAGTGAGAGCTAACCTGGAGAAGAGGGTTCCAGGTAGAGGAAAGAGCATGACTGGCACACAGAACAGTAAGAAAGGGAGAGCAAGAAGCCAGGGACCAATGGATTGCAATGTTAGGAAAGGGGGGCACTTCCTTTCAAGGCCTCCAGAAAAACCCTTGGGCACTGGCTGCACCCACAGAGTGCTTGATGGGGAATCCTGTTTCTAGAAACGCACCCACATTGTGGTTTGTCTTTTAAGGTCTCGCCTCCCTGCTCCACCCATATTCCCTAAAGGGCCTGGGCTCTGGGGTCACACAGACCTTGGCACCAGTCCCGGCCCTTACTTTGGGGAAGTCACTTCACCTCTCTGAATCTCAGTTTCCTCATCTGTAAAATGGGACTAATAGTTAGACCGACTTCATAGGGGTGTTGGGAGGACACAATGTGCCCTATCACCAATTCCTAACACATCATGAGGTCTTTAAAAATCAAAATTCAGCTTTTTATGCTTTGCCAGGAGAGGTAAGTATTGAGCAGATGACAGGCCCATGTGGCTCATAACACTATTCAATGTACTGGTGTGTATTTTTGAAATTAGTAGGATAAAATGCTTTAAACTACTTCTCATATTTTGTGCTGCAACTGCTGCTATGCTCTATGCTCCTTCATGGAGGGGAATTCGAATATAGCAATAACAAGAGACCAAAACATTCCCCCAAAATTCCTCTTTTCCATCTGCCGAGTCTGTCCCCCCTGATACTCAGAGGGGCCCCAGAGAGACCCCGCCCCGCCGGGCCCATCCTGATACTGAGTTGGCACCAATGCCAACATCAGTCTCCAAAATCAGGTGTAAGAAGAAAACCTGGGAACTTCAGCTTTATTTATTTTCAGTCTGAAAAAGGTAAGAGGAATCATGCATTATAAATTCTTAAAACGTAAACTGAAACTGTGCACTCCAAGAATTAAAGTACTCAGGCTCACCTGTGACTCAGAAAAGAATATCTCTTCAGGCCTAAGATTCTGGGAAATGGCAAGCTGAAGGGAAACGGCCCTTGAATTAACCCTAGTCTCTTTTTGCTCCAGTGAAAAGAAACTGGTTTCCAAACTTGGTTAGCCAGCTGGAACATAGATACTGACTTGAATGTGCAGGTCCTTTGATGAACGTAAATACAAAAAGATGGAACAATGTAAAAGTGTAGACTGACAATGGTATACAGAAATTATTTGTAAGTTAAGTAAATATATTGGTTGTGAGTGCTCAAAAACTGTTTAACCAGTAGAACTGTATGATCAGAGAAGTCTGGAGCAACGAGTCTGTGCAGTGGCCCCTCTGGTGGCATCACAGCCTGATGCAGAGGGGGACCTGGATGTTTTGTCTGGGGTGCCCAAAAGAGCCATCTGCTCACACAGATAGGAGAGAAAGGTAGCAGAAGGCATAACTTCTATCAGGATTTCTGGGGCCAGGTGTGTATCTCATGCACTTAGGCAGTCCTGAATGATAGTCGCAGAGATGCTGGCTTTGAGAATGGGGAAGTGCTCTCCCACCAATCAGAGGTAGCCAATGCTCACTTCACTAAACTACACTTGCAGGATGGCCCCCTCCTCAGTGCTACCTAGAGGAGAAAAGGGAGAGCTGTTCTAAGAGAAAGTGGTCAGCAGGCCCTGAGGAGAGGAGACTGGAGGGGAGGGGAGTTGCTGGTCAAGACAGACAGGTCCCAATGGAGCATTTGGAGTTGGTGACGTAAGGCCCCAATGGGCCATCAGCACTGGCTAGGCTTTTCAGCCAAATTCCTCAGGAGTGGGAACCTCTGTCTGGGGTGCTCTCTGGGGGGGCTGCCTGGGCCAAAGAAGCTGGCTGTTCTCATCTGACCCTCTGGAGGATGCTGCCATGTCCTATATCAGAGGAAGGGGTGGGAAGTGTGCCCCACCTATGTGCTCTCCTCTCAAAGGCCTGAGAACCCTGGGAGTTGGACCTGCCCCTTCTGTGCAGGCAAACAGGGGCAAAATCTGTAGGTCTGAGTTCAAGTTGCAGCTCAGACTCTTATAAGCTTTGTGCACTTGGGCAAGTCATGGACCTCTCTAAGCCCCAATTTCTCTGCCTCCCAAATGGACAGAATAATATCTCTCCAACTTCTGGGATGATGCCAGTATGATAATCCCAAACCAAGAACGTAATTAGAAAAGGGACCCAAAAGCAATTAGGAAATTAAACTAATATGTTATGATTATAATTGATAGTAAGTCCCTACTCAACTGGAGACAAGGGTAAGTGTCTGGCGCAAAGGGTTTCTTGCATTCCACATGCACCCCAAGACTGATGGCACCATGACGGTGACAATGGTGGGAAGCCTGCCTCCCCACTCCACCCTGCCCCCTTCCAATAGAGTCCTCTGGACAGATGATGGTGTCATGGACCTCGGTGGGCCATGAGGGGCCTGCCTGGGACCTGGAAGGTGTGCATACGCAGAGAGATTGTTCCTGAGCTTGCTAGCTCCTGCCACGCCGTACCTCCCATCCGCCGCCTCATCAATCCATCATCCTCTTAGCAGCTGACACCTCTGGCAGCACCTCCGGCAGCCCGGGCATTAGAATTGCAAGAAGCCCCGGCTGCACCAGGGAATACAGATGGAGGAATCTCAGATTCAAATTTGTCTAAGTATTGTGAGCAGTCAGACCCAGGCAAGGCATCTCCACTGCCCTTCTGCCAAAGGGGAGTGACAGGGGTTTTGTTAGAAGTACAAATTGCTTCTTAATGCAGAGGATAAAGCTGGGTTCAGGCACCTCCTTAGAAATTCCTCCTGCTCCCAGGAAAGCCACCACTGCATGTCAATTTTAATTTTTGAAATTTAAACCAAGGGCTTTGTGTCTAAGCTCCATCTCATCGGAGGAAGGGGAGGAATAAGTCAAAAAGGATTAGGTGCCCGCTGGGGATTGCAGATCCATAGCAATTAGACTTCATTTGGGTCTCAGACATTTGGTTTTAATCACATTTCTGGATGACACAATCAACAAAGCATCAGAAATTGATACCTATGCAACTGTAGATGGGCCTGACTCTGCCCTTCCCAGTTCCTGGGCTCAGCTGGGTTAGGGATCCACAATCAGCAGGAGTGGGGTGGGGTGGGGAATTGGGGTTGGGATTACTAGGTCTGGAACTGGGGGAGGGGATGGCAGTATGTATATATGTGTTTCCTCCCATTCTCTTTGAGTACTTTATCCCTGGACTCAAAGCAGACATAATCATTGCTCATATTGAAAAGAATGACAATAAAACATTATTCAAACAAAATAAGAGCAAAAAGGAATAGCGACAGCAACAGGACTCAAGGCAGGGGGTATAGTTGTCTTTTAAATGGGAATCACAGCTTTCAGCATTCTCCAGGAACTAAAGTCGAGCACAAAGCAATTTGGGGCCAGAAATGCAGCATGAACATTGTCACACACCACACTGACATGGACTTATGAATATAAGTGTGTGTACATGTGTAATGTGGATTACGTGAGGACAATCACAACATCACATCCACATAGGAGATACACACACACACACACAATCTCCAGCTTTACACAGATACACACACCCTGGGGTTGCCTTTTTGTGTATACTCACACATTTCTTTTCACACAACCCGTAAAAGTGACCTCAGTAAGCACTAACAGGTTGCTGGGAGCTGACTGGTTATTTTGTACATAACTTTGTTGTAACTCAGTGATCTGACAACAAAAAAAAAGTAAAAAGAAAAAAATCAAAACCATGCGGGGTGTTTTCCTAACTTGTGTGTGTGTAGAATGCTGATGGGACACCAAACACACACACTCAGGTTCAGAGCAGGCACCCCAAATCGCATGCATAAGGGAAGGGAAGCCCGCAGGAAAGAGGCGTCCCTCCCCAAGGAATGGTGTCCACCTCAACACACAGCCCTGAGGAAGTTCAGCAAGCTGGATGATCCGCGGAATTGCCTCAGTTTACCAGCTCTCCGGAGAGCGGTGGCCCTGGCGGCTGTGAGTAAACAGGCCTGTGCTTAGTGAACCATCCGCTCGAGCGGGTGTGTGTCTGCTAGGGACTTCTGCACTTCCTTTTAGGAGCCAAACATCCTACAGATCCCTCCCCGGCAAGTGTCACTCACGCCTCCCATTTCCCATAGATGCCTTCTCTTCCCCTTCCTTCCCCAGAAGCCCCTCCCCTCTGACCTCCACCCACAACTCCGGGAGGACTAAGTTGCCCAAGTTGCCCAAGACTGGAGACCCAATCATTCCTCTCCTGCTTTCCTCTAACTCTCCCTGATGCCTTTCCCCGCCTCCTCCCCTCCTCCCAACCCCACCTCCGGCCTCTCCAGCTCAGGGCTGCAGCCTGGGGAGAGCTTCTGGGAAGGGTGGGATGCAGCTCCCATTTACCCCATGTCTTTTCGGCAACTTCTGGTGGCAGGGACATAGCAGCGGCTGGGGAGCAGGTCATAGATGGGCCTATCCTGGGCCCAGGTAAGGTCTTTATGCCAAGGCGGACATCTGGAGCCCTGGTCCAGGATGTGTCGACATACAGACAACAGAACGCATAGTCTAAAAACATAATTTAATGCATCGCGGTGAGTCTGAGTCAGGAGGGAATGCGGTGTGGAGAGGTGAATTTTCTGTTTGCTGGAATTCTGCTGTGGGTGGGGTTTTGGCTGATGGACAGGGAAATCTGCACAAGTATTTCGGGTCACAAAGAAGGACGCCCCAGGAAGCCCGCGCTCCCTCTGGCCTACCTCCCTGGCCAGGGCCCGGAGCCCTCCGCTTCTAGGCACTGGGAGGAGGCTGTCTGAGGAGGGCAGGCTCCCGGCCCTGCCTGTCCAGTCTAATCAGGTTTGCAAAGTCTGTGCCGCCGCCTCAAGGGCTCGGGCGTCCCTTCCTCCCTTGCCGGGATGGGGATGGAGACCAGGAGCACAGCCCTGAGCGTGGTGGGTCGCAGACGCACTGAGGCCAGGAGCGGGGCAGGGAGGACGCAGGGATTTGTCTTTTCCAAAGGAGATGTCAGGAAGTGTTATGAATCGAGAGTGGCCTTTGCCAAGGAGCCGCGCCCGGGCGGAGACCGGGCGGCCTGCAGCCACCCCGCCTCGCACCCCCCGCGCCCCTAATCCGGGTACAGAAGAAAGCCCGAGAACGTGCTGTACTTGTTATTATTGCCTCCGTGAGCCTTCCCGCCATCCAGCTTCACATACACTTCGTCCCCTGAATCCAAGTGCAGCACCACGCTGTTACTGGCGTAGTCGTAGTTCTGGTCGGCGTCCTGTGCAATGGCGCTGGCCCGGACCTGGGGACAAGCGGTGGGAGCAGGTGAGCCGGGGCACCTCTTCCCGCGCCTTTGCTCAGCCCACACCAGGCGCGCCACTCACGGGCCTCCCGCCTGCTGCTTCAGGGTCCACACTCCCACCCCAGCTCCATGTTCTCTCTCCAACTTAGTCAACTCCTTCCAGGTCCCCCCTCCTCCTCGCGCCGACGAGTCTGGGAAATAGGGAGAGGGGAAGCTTCATGAACACTGACCCAGAGTGGAAGGGTGGGAGCCAGGGGCCAGGGCCAAGAGGAAAGGAGGCTGCAGGGCAAGGGGGCGACCTGGAGAGAACTAAAGAACTGAGGTTTCCGAGAAGCCCACGGAGAGGCAGGCAGGGACGCAAGTGGCCAAGGAGTGTAGTTTAGGTATGGGGGTCTCTGGGCTCTCAAGGCCCAACATTTGGCTCTACGTCCCGGTGAGCGCGGCCTCGGCGCATCGGGAAGCGGAGATACTGTGGCACCGAGGCGCGTTCATTCCCGGGGCTCGCAGGGTAGCCCGCGGGTGGAGAGAAAGGAGGCTGGTTCCCTGGGAGGTTCAGGGCGCGGGCGAGGGTTTACGGGGGCCGGTGAGTGTAGGGGTCACTGACCTGCCCGTTCTTGCAGAGGTCCGCCCACATGCTGGTGCCGTCGCCGCCGCGCATGAGGATGTGGTAGGTGAAGAAGTAGATGCCGCGTACCTGGCAGCTGAACTTGCCCGTGGTGGGGTCATAGTGATTGCCGAGGTTGGTGACCACGTCATCGAACTTCAGCACCTCATAGCCTTCGTGGGGGCTCTTGAGACCCACATAGAAGGCGATCTTGGGGCCGCTGAAGGTGGCGCTCAGCGCACTGGTCACTTCACCCTCGGAATCGCCACCTACCCCGGCCCCGCCGCCCACCACCCCGACGCCGCTGGCCGTGCCCGCCGTCAGTTGCAGCCCTGGCAGCCCGGGCCGCCCCGAGTCGCCCTTCTCTCCCGGAGGGCCCCTGGGTCCAGGCGGGCCCGGCTCTCCAGGGGGCCCCCGCGGCCCTGGCTTGCCCGGTCGCCCCGGGTCGCCCTTGGGTCCCTGGATGAAAGGAGGAGGAGGGTTGGCGCTGAGGTCCTGCATGACTTCCAGGGCGGCGGTGCTGGGTCCGGGTGGCTGCGCCTTTGCACCCGGGGGCTCCCCGCCGGGCGCGGCAGTGTAAGGGTCGCAGATCATGCGGCAGGTGCCCATCATCTCATAGTGCGCGGCGCCTCGGGGCGCCGCCTGCAGCAGCAGCGGCACGGCGATGAGCAGCCCGAGCGCCATGGCCAAGAGTACGCCGACGGCCGCCAGGCAGGCACGCCGCCGCCGCTGCCACAGCCGGGAGGCGACCGCCACCAGCTCCTCCTTGCCGCCCGGGGAGGTAATGGTGGGGCGGCGCGGGCGGCCCCGCTCCCCGCGCTCGGGGACCGGCTCCGCGGGTCCTGGCCGCGCCCCCGACGTGGCGACCCCCAGCCCCGGCTACCCAACTACTTCAGCGAGAGGCGCCGGGACCTCTGAGCCTGGGCCCACCGCGCTGGGGCTGGTCGGGAGAGCCGCGGACGCCCGCGCGCATGACGTGGGGCACACAAGACGAATCCGGCGCCCCGAGGGTCCGGCGCCGGCCAGGGAGTGCTTGCGCTGGCCGGGGAGTCTGCTTGCGGCGTCCGGCGCTGGCTCCGCGGCGCTGCCTCCCGCCAGGCTCCGCTCCGCTGGGTTTAGTGGGGCTCCTAGCGCAGTGAGGGCGCCCCGGCTCCGCGGCGCGCTCTGCTGTGCTCTCTCGCTGTTCGCTGGCTCCCGCGCGGAGGGGGGACCCCGCTACCCTGACGTAAGGAGTCCGGGGCTGAGCGGCGGAGGCGGCGAAGCAGCGCGCGCTGCCATCACTCGGGAGACGGAGCCCTCATGTCATCAGCCTCCTATCTGGCGGCGTCCTCGGCAGAGGCGGTGAAGGCGCGGTTCCCCCTGGCGGCTCCCAGGAGCCACAAGTGGGCGCAGCGGGCGCGGTCCCAAGCCGGGGCACATCGGACACACCCACCCGCGGCCACACTCACGCGCCCCCCACCGATAACACACACAGACACCCACGCACGCAGTGGCGGGGCACGCACAGCCACCCCCACATGGCCACGAAAGCAGCTGGAATCCAGGTGTCAGCAGGGCTCCTCTGGGGTCACCTAATCCATCCCCTGGCCTGCAAAGAGGATCAAACCTCAACCCACCGAGTCCAGGAGAGTCCCGTGAGGTCCAGCGGGAAGGAGTTTCTGAAAGACCTCCTGAGTTATTTCTTCAGAATTGAATAGATCTCGCTTCTGGAAGATCTTTCGCAAACCTAGACTAAGGACTCCAGACTCTTAAACAGGCTCCCGTAGAGCACCCCACTAACCTCTGAGGTGACTCTAAAAAGCCCAAGGCTCCCAATACAAGAATATTTGCGGCCGGGCGCAGTGGCTCACGCCTGTGATCCCAACACTTTGGGAGGCCGAAGCGGGCAGATCACCTGAGGTTGGGAGTTTGAGACCAGCCTGACCAACATGATGAAACCCCGTCTGTACTAAAAACACAAAATTAACTGGGCATGGTGGTGCATGCCCGTAATCCCAGCTACGCGGAAGGCTGAGGCAGGAGAGTCGCTTGAACCAGAGAGGCAGAGGTTGCGGTGAGGCGGGATCGTGCCATTGCACTCCAGCCTGGGCAACAAAAGCAAAAGTCCATCTCAAAAAAAAAAAAAAAAAAAAGGAATATTCGCCTCAGACCTTTTCTTCCACCAGAAAATGGCTGGCCCTTGTCCTCTGCGTGAAGCTGGTGTAGAAACCAAATGCTTGATGCCGGCACTTGGCAGTGATCATGGTGCACTCAGCTTCTACTCCAAGCCCGGCCACTGCCAGGCAGATGCATGGGCACATTCCCTTGGACATCCCCAGCTTCCTCCTCCTGAGATGGGTTTAGTTATTTTAGAAAATAGTCCAAATAGTCCAAAGCCATTCTGAGCCAGTCTTGAATAAACCATGGCCTCAGATGAGAGCAGAATAGTCTATCTCCAATGTAGCATGTGAGGCTAAGGAAGGATGAGAGGCCCGCCGGTGTGGGAGAGACTTCCAGCGGAGAAATCAAAGCCCCAGCTTCTGCTCTTGCCCTGAGTAGCTGTGTGATTTTGCCAGGTGGTTCCTGTCCCTGAGACTCAGTTTCCTTAAAAGGCCGCCTCCTGCCCTAGCACCCCCAACATGGGAATCACACCAGGCCTGTCCTGGGGGGAGAATCTAAGGGCTGGTGTCAGTGTTTGGTGTAGCATCAGCATCTCTGGAACAACAGTGCACCCACCTAAGGCTATTGCTTTGAAGCTAACTCTCATTTGTCCTGCACTAGGTTCTTACGGGTTAATTAAAATCTATTTTTGTCCTCTGATCACCCTGGGTCATTTCCCCACTCCCAACCTCGTTGCTCTAGCCTGTTCTCTCCACATATATTTGTGGAAAGGATGACTGAGCCTAGCCGGAAGCCAACTTTACCAAGGAGAGAAGGAGCACATTTATTGGCACCTACTACGTATGCATCAGGCACTTTGCACGTGCTCCTTCATTCATTCCTCATGTTACTGTGGATTAGTGATCATTTTCCCACCGCACCAATGAGGAAAAAAAAAAGGTTTTGCAAGTGTAGGGTGTTTGCCAAGTGCATTTTACCCACATGACAGAGCCAGGATCCTCCCGGCACCCAGATCAGGGGCTATCTGAACCTGTCAGTGAACACAGCTTCAACAGCTACTTCTTGGCCACAGTCTTCACTGGTTTCCTCAGACTTGGGAGTCTTTCTCCACTCTCTGCCTCAGAGTCATCCCAAGAGCACGTGATTTCAGGAGCCACATGGCCTACTTCCAATCCTGGGTCTGAGACTTCCTGTCTGTGTGACCTTGAGCAAGTTGCTTCATCTCTCTGAGCTCGGATCTCCATGTGTAGAATGGGAATGGAAAAAGAACCTACCTCTAAGTTATTGAGAAGACTGAACGAGCCAATTAATGTAAAGGCTT
Source organism: Homo sapiens (assembly GCF_000001405.40). NCBI lineage: Eukaryota > Metazoa > Chordata > Mammalia > Primates > Hominidae > Homo > Homo sapiens. The sequence goes on from NC_000002.12 coordinate 119,161,007, forward strand.
TAGAACAATAGCTAGCTCAGTAGAAGCTTAGCTATTTTTATTAGCTATTGATGCTTTCAACCTCCCCTGCCATGGTTATGACCACTAGGATGCGACATGAAGGCAATATGCAGGGTGGCATGGGGAGGGTTAGGGTTTTAAAAAAAGAGAAGCTCAAAGATAATTCACATCCTTTGTCCTTCTCCAGAGCGCAGAAGGGGGATGTCCCATGCCTCCCACATTCCCCAAGCCTGCCCTGCTCTGTCTTTTTGTCTTTCAAAACTACCCAGAGTGTTTGTTCCCAGTCACCAGTTCCACCTGGACAAACATTTTCCAGGCAGACACTCACTCCGTTTGAATTCCCCAGCCTTTCAGACTGCTGGAGACTGCCAAGTCCCAGTGATTTTGTCCTTGCAGTATCTGGGCAAAGATGAAGCAAGGAGGGTCAGATGTTTGAGACCCAGGCTTTCACCTTGGCAGACCACAAGCAAAGCTACCTTCCCTGGGGATCAGCATTCCTGGGAGCGCCTCTCAAGACCAGCCCTCCACCAGGAGGCAGGGGCAGCAGGCTCCAGGGCAGGCAGAGCCCAGGCAGCCTCCACATAGCAGCCAAATAAGTCAAGAGGTGTCTTTCCCCTTGCTTCTCCTTCCTCCCACCCATCATGGCAGGGCCAGAAGGCATGGCCTGCTGGAGTGTTGAACATACCTATTTTTTTTTCTTTTTTTTTTTTTTTTTTTTGAGACAGAGTCTCACTCTGTCGCCCAGGCTGCAGTGCAATGGTACAATCTTGGGTTACTGCAACCTCTCCCTCCCAGGTTCAAGCAATTCTCCTGCCTCAGCTTCCTAAGTAGCTGGGATTACAGGTGCCCGCCACCATGCCCGGTTAATTTTTGTATTTTTAGTAGAGGTGGGGTTTTGGCATGTTGGCCAGGCTGGTCTCGAACTCCTGGCCTCAAGCAATCCACCTGCCTCAGCCTCCCAAATTGCTGAGATTACAGGCGTGAGCTACTGCACCCAGCTGACATACCTGTTTATCCACCTGGCTTCTGCTCCTCCTGAGCGATCCATATCATTGGTGACTATCTTCTCTTCAATACTAATTATGACCTATATTAACATATTGCCTTCCATTTAGACTGTGGTTTTTACATTTCGAGACCCACTCAAATCTGTTCTAAATTGCCTTTAGTAATCCAGCAGGCATTCCTTCTGCCAACATACACTGACAACCTACTATGTGCCAACCAGTGCTCTCTATCTTATCCTTTCATAGAGCCCTGTGCTCTGTGACACATAGTTTGATGCTTGGTTCCACACTGTCATGTCCGGTTCTTTAGTGGCCTCCACCAGCAGTGGGCCCCATGCTTCATCTACCTGCACCATGGCCTGTCTCCTGCATCTCATCTGGACTCCTCTCTAATTATCCTTTCAGTCTCAGCTAAGTGTCACTTCCTTGTCTGAAGTCTTCCGTGACCCTTCTCTAAGCTGAGTTGATAGTTCCTACCCATGTACGCTTTAGAGTACGTTGAATGTACCCTGCCATCCTATGTCTTACCATCATGCATTTCTTTATTAGTTAGCCTCCCCCACCTGGCTATGGGCTCCAGTAGGGCAGGAATCGTATCATTCATTCATCTTCATCTTTTGTGTATGTCATTCATTTGCTCAATATGTGTTTATTGACCCCTGTCATATGCCAGCCATCATGCCACGTGCTGAGTACACAGTGGTACACAACAGTCTTGGTTCCTTCTACTCTAGCTGTTCTACAAGACACCCTCAGCTCCCCCATTTCTTTCTACCCGTAGCACATGAGTTTGTACCTGAACAGCTGCAGCATGGGTGTTTATTGACATGCTGTCTCTAAATCAGACCTGTGTCCCAATTAGAGTGTAAGCTCTTTAGAGACATCATGTGGAATACATTGGCCAATCTTCTGCCTGCATCCCCAAAGGGAAGGACAGCAGGAGATGTGTCAGGGAGATAGACAGGAGGGAGATCACCCAAGGCCTTGGAGCCCATGTTGAAAGAGGTGAATTGTCTCCTGTGTGTAATTGAGAACTGCTGAAGGAGTTTAAGCAGGGAAGTGATGTGATCCATCTATGTTTTGCAAAGACCACGCTGGCTGCTGTGTGGTGAATGGATGTGGTGGTGGAGTGGGGGTGGGTTTTGGAAATGAAACCAGTTTGAAGGCTATTGCATGATCTAAGCAAAAGATAACGATGGCTTGGTCTGAGATAGTAGAAGAGAAGTAGGTGAATTCCAGGTATATTTTGAACTTGGGGCCCATGGGTCTTGCTGATGGATTTGAGATAGAAGTTAAGGAAGGAGAAGGAAAAGAAAAAAAAAATCAAGATTAACTTCTAAGATTTGGGTCGAACAACTGGGTGAGTGAGCATGAGAAGGTGGGGATATTTGGGGAAGAGCAATATGTTGTCACTGCTGGGAGGTGGAAGGAATTATGAACTCAGTTTGGGAAATGTTCATTTTGAGTGAAATATATGAATGAAGACATCCTGTGGGCAATGAACATAAGTCTAGTACTCAGCAGTGAGGTTTAAAAATAGAGCTATTGGCCAGGCACGGTGGTTCATGCCTGTAATCCCAGCACTTTGGGAGGCCAAGGCGAGTGGATCGCTTGAACCCAAGAGTTTGAGACCAGCCTGGGCAACATGGTGAAACCCCATTTCTATTTAAAAAATTATTTTAAAAAATTGATAATGGAGCTATACACAAGCAAGTTTTCATGGAGATTGAAGTGTGAGAGAGAGAGAGAGCACAAGCTCATTATAACAATCCCCCCATGCTCACCCCAGCCATTTAAAAGATGGATAGAGGAGAAAAGAAACAGAAGCAGTCAAAGTAGGAAAGAAAGCCAGGAAAATGGCCTCACAGAGGGGAGCAGCTCAGAAGGGAGGATTGTGATCTGTAATTTGGAAAGTCCACAAGAGATAGAGTAAGATGAGGATAAAAAGGTATCCATTGCGTATGGCAAGATGGAAGTCATTGTGGATGATGGCAGAGAGAACACTGTGAGGTCACAAAATCATTTCCTTTTCTTCTTGGGCAGGGCCCAGCTATATTTTCCAGCCTCTCCTTCAGACTGGTGAGGACATGTGACAGAACAATGGCCAATAGAATGTGAGCTGAGTGATTGATGTAAGCCATTTCAGGCCTGTACCCTAAAAGCTCTGTTGCAATATTCCAAGCTCTTCCTTTATCTGCTGGCAATAGCAATAATAGGTAATATTTACTGAGCACTAACTGTATCCCTATGCCAAGCATTTTAGATATATTAATTATTTTAATGCTCACAGCACTATGAGATATGCATCCCTGTTTTACAGATGGGGAAACTAAGATAAAGCTATATATTTATAAATGTCACTGTCATATGTAATCACTCCAATAATTGCTCCAGATTATGCTGGGATCCTGGACATGTGTCCCCCCAGATCTGGAGCTCCCAGATGCCAGGTCAGTCTGGCTGAAGGCTTCTTGCATATATTGCTGATCTCTCCCAGCCAGACGGTAAGCCTCCAAAGGGCAGGAACTGTCATGAGGACATGGCAAGTGTCAAATAAATATTTTTAAATTATTGATTATTTTATAGTGCCTGAAAATTTTACATATATGATCTCATGTCATAGTTTGCTCAAAAAGTGAAAAAATTTAAAAGATACTCTTTATGCTGGAAAATTAGGAAAGGAGGGCAAAGAAGGAAATTGATTGGCCATGCAGGTTCCTGTTAGCCTTTGCAAAAAACAGAGAAGTCTTCCTTCTTTCCTTCCTTTCTTCCTTCTCTATTTTCTCCCTTCCTTCCTTCCCTCTTTTCTCCTTTCCTTCCCTCCTTCCTTTCTTCTTCCCTCCCTCCCTCTCTCATTCCCTCCCTCCTTCTCTCCCTCTTTTTCTTCTTCTCTGCTTTCTTTCCTTATTTATTCATTTATCTGCTCATTCATCCTCCATATAGCATGTGCACCTACCATATGCAGAATTCTGTGCTGGGGTGGGTAGGGTGGGAGGCATGAATATGATGTTCTTGCTAAAGAGCTTGCAGCTTGGATGGAGGAACAAGACTAACAAACAGAAAGCACCTAAGCAGCCATCTGTATTTAGGTGGTATAGACAAGGAGTACAGGCAGGAAGAGGTTGCCAAATGCAAGTCACTGTGGCCACACAAGGCACTTGAAGTCTATCCCAGGATGAAGAGACAGAGCAGGACCTTCAAGGACAAGTGAGACTTGAACCTGTGAGAGGTCTGGGTGGATAGTGCAGTGGAGCTGCCCAACTGGTGTCTGGGGCACAGCAAAGAGGCTGGTCTGTACAGAGCCAAGGGTTTGTGCAGGGCTGGTGTGGACAGTATGTTACATGTGCCACTTTTCCCATCAAGCATTCTCCCAGGACCCTGCTTCTGCAAGTATTGATTACTCTGTCTTCCAGCTCCATTTTGTTTATGCACTATCTTTGGCCTTTTTGGAGACACTGTAGTAAGCCTGGCCCTGTACCTCTCTTTGCATACCCCACCTCCAGCCCCTTAGTCTTCCTCATGTGTCTAGTGAGTGATTGCTCTGAAAGAAAGAGAAGGAAAATCATATTTTCTACCTCTGCTGGGCACTCAGCTAGAGCTAGTGGCGCATAGGAGCCATAGGCTCTTCCAGTCCTTTCAGGCAGGAACTAGTGCCCTACAGTGTAGGGCAGAACGGGGGCGAGGTGGAGTGCACAGGCTCCTGCTGTTCTGAGAGGTTGGGCCACAGTGACCCACAGGCCTGTTTCCATTTTCAGCCCTAGCTCCTGAGATGCTCACAGCTAAAGGGGGTGGAGAAAGAATGCTCCAGTCTTAGCCCCTGAAGACATCAGACAGCCCTGCTCAGTGACCAGTGAGAAAGCACCCACCAGGCCCATTAACCCAGAAGCAGCAGCAACACGTTTGAGTCAAGAGGGTCAGCCAGCCCCAGAAAGCCCTCACTTGGCCCTCTCAGAGACTGCTACTGGGGCCCTAATTATCTCACCTCTAAGGGGCTGGCCCTGGCTGGATCTTCATGGAGCTGTGAGCTTGTTGCAGTGTCTGGGCTTGCTTTCTCCAGAGCCCAAGTCCCCTGCAAAAAAAAAAAAGAGAGAGAGAGAGAGAGAGAGACAGCTCTCAGAAACCCAAAATGAGGATGATTTAAGCAGGTCCTCCTGCACTGAGCTCGGCTTATTCCCACACTAGGCCAGCCAAAGAACCAATCATTCAAGCCACCCTTCCCCTGCCAGCTTTTTTCTGTCCTGTATCTGGGTGGTGCAGTTTAATTATTCATCCATGCAGGAACTATTTATCCAGTGCCTACTATGTGCAAGATACGAGATCCAGCAGAAAGCAGAAACACTCTATCCCTCACTAGCTGAGAAGCCTGTGGGGGTTACTTTACCAACTTCCTTCTCTGCCTTCATGATAATATCTGCCAACATGGACCTTTCCTCCCCAAACCACCTATGTCCCAGAGCTGGGGTGACACACGTGACAAGTGGCAATCCTCAGATGGCCCTTGCCACATCCTATCTCCCCTGAGCGGCTTTTCTCTCTATGAATCTGCAGGTTCTTTAGGCAAAGATTCTGTCATTTGGTCTCCTCATCACTACAGGGCGGGTCTGAGATGGCACTCAACATGCATTTGTGGGATGGAATAGAATAAGACAGGAGAGCCCAGCATAGGCTGTTTTTCCCTGGGTGGCACAGCAAGCCACCAACAGCCCCAGGGGTCACTAGAGGGGTGTGGCTATTTGTTTCTTCTTGGCAGTCATGTTAATAAAGCTATGGATTGCTGGGGGAAGCAAGCTTGTGATTCAGAGAAGTTCATTGAGACCATATGGACTTCCCCTAGAGGAGACTCAGCCCTTAGTCCATGCAGATGTAGAACTTAGCCACGGAGTAGAGCTCACCTTCCCAATGCACCAACATTAACTGGGAAGTTGCCATGTGCTGGGCACTGAAGACACAGGTACGGCAGGGGATTCAAGCAGTCCAGTGCCACAGTGTTGCTGAGCCTCAATTGTCTCTTCTGCACACCCCTGGAGGGCATGGATATACCATTGTCCTCACCTTGTCACCACCCTCTGTGACCTTGTATTCATTAGGTGGGATACGGGAGAAGTAAAAGACAGTGAGTCCAGCTAAGCCCCAGTGCAGTGCAAAAATATCCCATTGATCTATCAAAACTCAGTCCCACCAATGCCTGCCTGCTCCTTGAGCAGCTGAAGTCCAGGCCTTTCCCGGGGCGCACCTGCAGGCCTGCCGCTGTCCGTGGTGCTAATGGCTGTGGCTGCCGGACTTCCCTTGGCAGGAAGGAATCAGGTTTCAGAAATCCAGGAATTAGCTTATGTTCCAGGCTTTGATGTGCGGCCATAGCTCTGTGTGGAGATCTCAGACACTCCATATATGCCCTCCCCTCCCTGCTCATGCCTACACAAGAGACTTCCTCCCTGCCTGGGCCGGAGGCTGGGTGGCTGAGAGGAACAGTTCTTGCCTTTCGGACTCCCTATTTCCTGCCTCTCAGCTACTTGCTCTATATACCCACTCTGACACACACACACACACACACACACACACACACACACACACACACACTTCCCATGAAACACAGCTGTAATGAGGCAACCACCAGCCCTCTCCAACAGGCAGAAGAGAGAGAATTCAAGCACGAGGCTAAAAATGCAGCTTTGACAACATCAAAAGGGCTTCCTCCCAACTGATTGTATCCTGCATGTTCATGTTTTGTAAAGTATTTGGAAGGAACACATGATCCTGTAAGATTCATTTAGGGAGGGCCTGCAACTCTGTAGAAGGCAGCCAGGCAGTGGGTGGAATTTTGGGGTCACTGGGAACCAGAAAAATCCTCCAGCCCCCACCACTCTACCAAAGGGTCTGGGCTTCACTGGAGTCACTTTGGGGACAAGGCAGCAATTCTCAAAGAATTTTTCCATCAGTGAAAGAAAAAAAAAAGCATCCCTGGGTAAAATTGGTTTCAAAAACTGTGTCAAAAAACTTTTGTAAAGACCTTCTCTCTACAAAAAAAAAAAAAAATTAATTAGCAATGCATGGTAGTGTGTGCCTGTAGTCACAACTACACGGGAGGCTGAGGTGGGAGAATCACCTGAGCCTGGGAGACGAAGGCTGTTTTGAGCCAAGATTGGACCACCGCATTGCAGCTTGGGTGACAGAAGACCTTGTCTCAAAAAAAAAAATACATTTTTTTTGTTTGATGAACTTTTCAGAACCTTTACCACACCAACAGTCATTGTGTTATTTTTCCCTGATATATTTGGCCAGATTTTATTTACTAGTAGAGCTTGGGTTCTAGAATATTCTAGCTTGAGTTGCACACTTAGCTCTGGCACTGACTAGCTGTGTTGCCTTGATCAAGTGTCTTACACTCTCTGTGCACTGTTTCCTCGTCTGTGAAATGGGAATGAAGGTAGCACCTTTCTCATAGGGCTGTCATGGAAGTTAAATGAGTCGATGCATGGAGAGCTCTCAGAAGGGAGCCTGGCATGTAGAAAACCCTAGAAAACTGTTATGTTGTATTATTCACAGGGACACTAATATTTGTGATACTCATTCTCAGAAATTCTGGGTTGAGGCATTGTCTCCCAAAGGCCCCCACAGTAATGCTTTCTGGGACATGATTTGAGAAGAGGAAATCCTTTAGAAGCTTGCATTTCTCAAAATGGGGGCAAAGATTTAACATCACAGAAGGAAGTGTGTTTCCACTGTCCTCCCTCCTGCAAGCCCAGGCCCTATTGTGGTTCTACAGTCCCTTCCCCTCTCCAAACCTCAGTTTCCCCCTCTGCCAGATGGGTGTAACCACTCAAGCCTTCCTTAACTTGGAGAGTTGGGGTTGGGGGAGATACGGAATGAGAATCTCCCTGTTCCACATTTAATTCCAAAGAAGAAGAGGAAGAGGAAGGGGAGGAAGAAGAAGAAGAAGAAGGAGGAGGAGGAGGAGGAGGAGGAGAAGGAGAGAAACATCTCCCTGGACAGGCTCTGGAGGCAGAGAAGGAAGGGAGACCCTGTCTTTCTCCTGGGCGGTGGACCGAAGAGGTCTTAGTCGGCTCCAGCCCCCCAGCCACTCAGCCAATCCCCAAGTCCTGAGTGGAGGCGCCTCCACTGCTCTCTCCTCCCACTCCTTACAATGAAAGTTAACACGGAGTCATAGTTCTAGGCTGTGGGTTCGGGGGCACTCTCAGGAAAGGAGGATTCCCCCAGGGGCCAGAGTAGTTCACTCACCAGGAGGGTGGGACCAGTAGGGGCAGTTTAGGCAAAGCAGCACTTCAAGTGGCATTAGTCATTGCAGCTTCCTCTGCCCACCTGCCCACACACCAAGCTCTCAGCTCCATGCTGCCTTAACCCAGGCCTCACACACCTTTCTCATCTTCTGAAACCTCAAACAATTGCATTCAGCCCATGTGCCATGCAACAGAGCCATTCTCTGAGAGTTGAGTGCAGCTATCTCCCTGAAGCCCTCTTAAAACGCAAATATCCCAGGGAAGAGCAACTTATCCAGCGACTAACACCTCAGTCTGAACCGATACAGGCTTTCTAAATGATAGAAGATGCTCTGTGCAGCCTGGGAGCTGAGAGCCAGGGATTTGTAAAAGCCGACCAGAGGAAGGCAGTGCACGAAGTGGAAAGAGACTGGATCTTGGCACCAGAGCTCGGTTCAGATTCTGGCCTCTTATTGTTGGGTGATGCCCTCTCTGAGCCTGAGCTTCCTCACCTGTCTAATTGGTGTGATAGTAACAACTCCCAGGTGCTGATGAGGAGTACACAAGATCATGTATTCAAAGTGCCTGGCACAAGCCGGGCGCAGTGGCGTGCACCTCAGCTACTCAGAAAGCTGCGGTGACATCATTTGCACCCAGGAGTTCTGGGCTGTAGTGCACCCGGAGTGCCCATTGGGGGCCCATACAATGTTCAGCATCAATACAGTAACCTCCTGGAAGCAGGGGATCGCCAGGTTGCCTCAGGGAGGGGTGAACCAGCCAAGGTTGAAAATAGAACAGGTCAAAACTCCCTTGCAGATCAGTCATGGGATCGTGCCTGTGAATAGCCACTGCACTCCAGCCTGGGCAACTTAGCGCGACCTCGTCTCTAAAAATGTATTTATTTTTTAAAGTGCCTGTCACACAATGAGCACTGAAACATTTTGTTTCCTCATCCCTTTCTTCTCACAGTGGGAGAAGCAACATGAAGATGAGGAGGGGGTGAGGCTGAGGCCCAAATCAGGCTGTCACGCTGGGAGATTTATTTTCATCATGGCTGGCCTGGTTGTTTTGGGGGGGAAGGAGGAAGATGTGGGGGTGCCTCTCCAGCTGCTGCACTTGAAGGCCCCCACAGCCCCTACTCCCACCTCCAGTACTGATGGCAGGCACTGGGGGGGTGGGCGGGGAGGTGGGCGAGCAAAGCCCTGAGGCAGCCTGGCTGTCACCCTTGCCCCTTCTCACTCTGCACCAGAGACCTCTGCCTCATCCTCAGGCTGCCAGTCGGCAAAGCCACTCTACATGCAGGAGGGTGAGCCAGCTGGCTGAGCTCAGCCCCGGGTTGACACAAACACGGGAAGATTCTGCAGGAAACACAAGGCAGCCACGGCCTCTGTCCCTGAGAGGAGCAGTGAGGGAGCCGCAGGGCTGGGCTGCGGCGTGACACTAGGGACGTGGGGGGAATGCAAGTGGGTCCAGACCTGGGGGCCACCAGTGCAGGAGCAAGGGCAGGCCGGCCATCAGAGCTGGGCGGGGAGGGGGGCGCTGAGCTTGGCGTGGGAGTTTCCCCAACGGACTGTGTCTTCCAGGGACCCTCGCCCCTCATGCCCCTCTGCGTCCTGAAGGGAGGAGGCACCACCCCTCTGTGGCATCTGCTTTTTAGGGCTGACGATGGAACAAGCTCATGGACAGGAGTGAAGCCCCTGGCACATAGCAGGTGCCACAGAAGGGTGGTGAAGTCTGCCCTAGATCAGAGATCATTCAGGGGGTCTGTTAACTTGGATGAAGAAGAAATACACTCTTATCACTAACATCAGGAAGGTAAGCAAGGAACCACACATAGAATTGACAATAAGTGTGACTTTGCCACCAAGAAGAATCACAAAGTTTTATTTTATTTTATTTTATTTTATTTTACTTTAAGTTCTGGGATACATGTGCAGAATGTGCAGGTTTGTTACATAGGTATACTTGTGCCATGGTGGTTTGCTGCACCCATCAACCCGTTATCTAGGTTTTAAGCCCCGCACGCATTAGGTATTTGTCCTAATGCTCTCCTTCCCCTCGCTCCCCACCCCCAAACAGGCCCCGGTGTGTGATGTTCCCCTCCCTGTGTCCATGTGTTCTCATTGTTCAACTCCCACTTATGAGTGAGAACATGTGGTGTTTAGTTTTCTGTTCCTGAGAATCATAGAGTTTTCATAGCCCAGTACAATAATCACAGATACATGACATAGAGTTGTGTGACATGTAGACCCCAATAGTCCGGTTAATGGGATGCTTTAGTTAAAAAGTACATAGATTACTGTATTATAAGTTTATGTTTTAGGATATTTTGATGATTACTTTTTAGAAATAGTTTCCTTTGTAACCTTTATTTTACTTAATGCATATGAAAGAATCATTCAGAGGAGGGGTCCATGGCTTCACCAAGATGAAACAGGTCATTGGCATGAAAAAGGTTAAAACGCTGTGCCCTGGAACCAGGAGTTTATGATCCAGGCCTGCAGCATGCTGTATGACCTTGGCCACATAACTTCATTGTGCCTCAGTTGCCTCAACTATAAAATGGGGATAATAAACCTGTGACATATGATGCTTGGGGGGTTAAATGTGACAAAAGTCTTAGCACTCTGTGTGCCATACAGTGAGGGCCCCAGCATGGGCATTGATGCACCGTCTTGATTCCTCCTGCCTTTCCCAGGTACAGGGAGCTTCCCCAGCCTGCCTGCATCTGAGAAGATTCCACCAGAGAAACAGAACCAATAGGAGACATATATTAAGAGTTGTGTTGCGGCCAGGCCTGGTGGCCCATGCCTGTAATCCCTTTGGGATTACACTTTGGGATTACAGCACTTTGGGAGGCCAAAGCGGGCCTATCACCTGAGTTCAGGAGTTCGAGACCAGCCTGACCAACGTGGAGAAACCCCGTCCCTACTAAAAATACAAAATTAGCCAGGCGTGGTGGCAGGCATCTGTAATCCCAGCTACTCGGGAGGCTGAGGCAGGAGAATCACTTGAACTTGGGAGGCGGAGGTTGCAGTGAGCTGAGATGGTGCCATTGCACTCCAGTCTGGGCAACAAGAGCAAAACTCCATCTCAAAAAAAAAAAAGAGAGAGATGTGTTGCAAGAAATCGGCTTACGTGACCGTGGGGGCTGGATCCATAGCGCAGGCTCTCAGGAGGGGCAGTCCAGAACTCTCAGGCTGATGCTGCAGGCCACAGGTGGGATTTCTTCTCAAGAAAGCCTCAGCTCTGCTCCTAAGGCCTTTCAACTGATTGACTCATGCCCACTCAGATTATTGAGGGCTATCTCCTTTATTTAAGGTTAACCGGCCCAGTGCAGTGGCTCACGCCTATAATCCCAGTATTTTGGCAGGAAGATTGCTTGAGGCCAGGAGTTTGAGACAGGACTGGACAACAGAGCAAGAGCCTCATCTCTACAAAACATAAAAAAATTAGCCCGGTGTGGTGGCACACTCCTATACTCCTAGCTACTCTGGAGGCCAAGCCGGGAGGATCACTTGAGCCCAAAAGTTCAAGGCTATACTCCTAGCTACTCTGGAGGCCAAGCGGGGAGGATCACTTGAGCCCAAAAGTTCAAGGCTGCAGTCAGCTATGATCAAGCCACTTATACTCCAGCCCAGAAAACAGAGTGAGACCCTGTCTCTAAAACAACAACAACAAAAAACCCCAACCAATTGTAGATATCAACTACATTGCTGTGGCTTGAATGTCTCCTCCAAAACTCAATCTGAAACTTAATCCCTAATTTAATAGTATTGGCAGGTGACAGGGCCTTTCAGAGGTAGTTGGGTCATGTGGGCATTCATGGATTAATGGGTTAATAGATTAATGGGTTATCATGGGAGTAGATTAGCTATCACAAGAGTGAGTCTGTTACAAAAATCCAGCTTGGCTCTCTCTTGTGAGCCCCTCCCCATACGATGCCCTGCACTGACCATTAGCAAGAAAGCCTTCATCAGATGGACCCCCTCAACCTTGGACATCTCAATCTTCAGAACTCTAAGAAATAAATTTCTTTTCTTTATAAATTGCCCAGTCTCTGGTATTCAGTTATAGCAACAGAAAATGGACTAAGATACACATCTACGAGATACCTCCACAGCAACTCCTAGATTAGTGTTGATGGAATAACTGGGGATTGTAGCCTAGCCAAGTCGACACCTAAGACCGGCCCTCATGTCACCCAAGGACAAGACAGCGAGGTCCTGAAGAGTTTCATGAAGAGGAGGGGAAGGAGAGAGTGGGGAGCTCAATGTGGACCCCTCAATTAATTTCCCAAGTGCTCAATGAGGCCTGCCCCACCTCTCATCCAGCTCCTTGGCCAGGCCCTGCCCCCACTCACCTCTCTTATGTGGGACACGTGAGCCCCTCCAGTGTGCCAGGAGCACATGGGTACAGGCACACATAGAGAATGCCGTGTCCACAGGAAACCCAGTGAGCCTGAAGGGCCTTGGCGTGCCATTTACAGGTCACTCACTTGGGCCAGGCCTCACTAGGGATGCCAGGGTGAACAAGACGTGGCCAGTGCTCTTGAAGGGCTCCCACCTGGTGGAGGTAGCAGACAAGTAAGGGGACAAAGGCCCCTCAGAAGTACACATCTGGTGGGCCGGGCGCGGTGGCTCACATCTGTAATCCCAGCACTTTGGGAGGCCGAAGCAGGCATCACTTGAGGTCAGGAGTTCGTGACCAGCCTGGCCAACAGGTGAAACCCAGTCTCTACTAAAAATACAAAAATTAGCCAGACGTGGTGGCGCGTGGCTGTAATCCCAGCTACTCGGGAAGCTGAGGCAGGAGAATCACTTGAACCCGGGAGGCGGAATTTGCAGTGAGCCGAGATCACGCCATTGCACTCCAGCCTGGACACAGAGCGAGACTCCATCTCAAAAAACTAAAAAAATAAATAATAAAAAGTACAAATTAGGTGTGGTTATCGCCTGGAGAGCCAGGAGCATCCTTGGGAGGGGACTTGGGGAGGGGTCCGCTGGGCTGCTCTAGCCCACTCTGGGCCAGAATCGTGATTCTAATTGCAGGTAGGCTTTACCCTATCAAAGCCCCCTGGGCTGGGGACTCTGTGAAGAAGCAAGATGTGCTTGAAACCTCCCTCTCTGCTGAAAAATCTAGACAAGCTCCTGACCGGCTGCATTGCTGCTTCAGCCCCTCCTCAGGGAAGCGGGAGGCCCTGGGTCTCTACGGGTGCTCTGTGAAAGACTGCAGAGGCTGGTGGGGCTGCATTCCTGTCTGTCTGCCTAGGACAGTGCCTACTGACTTCTGACTGCTGCCCCATGGTCCAGGGCTCCAGGTACACCACTGCAATGTCACTTTGTGCTTGGGGTTCCAACTAGACAAAAGCCCCACGTTGCACAGCCCTTGAGCCGTCCCGGGTAGCATGCCCCCTGGTGGCCGTGGGCAGTTATTACCGTTAATCCTTTCTTGCCCAGATGCCTCTAGCGTAGGCCACAGCAGCCGGCCGGGTTCGTTGTGTCTGGAAAGACCAGAGAAGGGTTCCCGGAGAAAGAGGCCGTCTGATCGGAGTTTTATGAACCAGAGGATAAAGAAAGGAAGGGATTTCTGGGCCTCAGAAAACCACATGCCAACGCATGGGGGTATTAAGGATAGGGGCTCTTGAACGCCCAGGCTGGTAAAATCTAGAACGGCAGAGGGAGGAGGGGTAATTTTTCTGGTTGGTAGAAATAAAGTGGGGATGAGGAAGAGCACGAAAGTCTGTCGGCAAACCTGAAAGTGGGAGCGAGCTTTTGTCAAATCCAGGGTCAACCTGAGCTCTCATTAATTGGGAAACTGGAGAGTCAGATCCTCTAAAGAAAGTGGAAATATTTGTTCTAAAGAACCCCTGCCAGGTCCCCGTTTACGTGACTCATAAAGAGGCCTTCAGGCAGAAAGGATCCCAGTGCACCAGTAACAGAAGGGCTCCAGGACCAGAGGGAATGGACAGGGAACCACCACCCACACCAAGCACAGGCCCATTGTCGGCATGAGGAGCCTCGCCCCTGCAGATCACCTCCCAGAGGGGAGCGGATCAGAGATTAAATTCCACACCTTTCTACAAAATCATAGCAGTTTGAAAGTGCCAAGGGGAGTAGGTGAGGAGGTTTCGAGGCATGTATGCAGCCGTTTGGAGACACCAGCCATGTCGCCTGAGTTTTCTGATGTAATCCTCATAACAACCATTCCAGATTTAAGTGATTAGTCCTGTTTTACAGATGGGGAAACTGAAGCTCAGAGAGGTTAAGCAACTTCCCCAAGGTCATACAGTAGCCAAGTAGCATAAGTGGTATTCGAACCCAGTTCTATTTGGAGCCTTCACAGGCTTTTTGCTGCATTCCACAAGAGTCTGTATATTCAGAAGCAAGTCTTCCACAGCCATCATAAGTCATCCTCACAGCCGGCTGGCAGGGAGGGAACATTGCCACTGTAGCTGGGATCATAGATATCGTGGTCTCCATTTGACGGATAAGACTGAGGTCTGGAAGAGAGTCAGTCAGTCTGTGTGATAAGCCTGAACCACCCTCTCCTTCAGTTCCTCCCCTAACCCAACATCCTCCGGGTCTGGAAGGACAGTGTCTTGAGCAACTTCTTGCAGCTATACTTCTCCAGCTAATAGTCTAGAAAACCGAGCCTGGTCCCGAGTCTCCTCCTCGGGGTACGAGCCGAGGGCACTGATGGGGGTCAGGAGGTGCTGGCTAAAAGACGGTGGTGCAGGTGCCCCTGGCTTTAAGCGCGCCCAGGTTATAAAAAGCTTGGTTCCCATGCTGGCCCTAATTCTCCATGCACTGAGTACCTTAGGTCCCTTCTCTGGGTCTGTTGCTCCCCTGTAAAACAAGGGGGTGGGAGAAATGACCTTCAAGCTCAAACACCATATGTCCACCTGGGTTGGTATAGCAGATTGCATTAGTTTGTTAGGACTGTTTTAACAAATGCCACAGACTGAGTGGCTTAAACAACAGACATTTATTCTCTCACAGCTCTGGAGGCTGGAAGTCTGAGATCAAGGCAGTGGCTGGCAGGGTTGTTTCTCCTGAGGCCTCTCTCCTTGTAGCCACCCCTCTTCTCCCTGTGTCTTCACATGGTTGTCCCTGTGTGTGTGTGTCTGTGTCCTAATCACCTCTTCTTATAAGGACACCAGTCACAGAGGATTACCGGCCACCCATAGGACTTCATTTTACCTTAATTATCTCTTTAAAGTCTCCATCTCCAAATTAGTCACATTCTGAGGTACTGGGAGTGAGGACTTAAACATACGAATTTGGAGGATAGGACACAATTCAGCCTATAACACAGATAGAAGACACTGCTCATTTTAAAAAAGAAGTAGCAGGCTGGGCGCAGTGGCCCATACCTGTAATCGCAGCACTTTGGGAGGCCGAGGCGGGAGGATCACCTGAGGTCAGGAGTTCGAGACCAGCCTGGCCAACATGGTGAAACCCCGCGTCTACTAAAAATACAAAAATTAGCCGAGCATGGTGGCATGCTCCTGTAATCCCAGCTACTCGGGAGGCTGAGGCAGGAGAATCACTTGAACCTGGGAGGTGGAGGTTGCAGTGAGCTGAGATCGCACTGCTGCACTCCAGCCTGGGTGACAGAGCAAGACTCCGTCTCAAAAAAAAAAAAAAAAAAAGAAGTAGCAGTCCCAGCCCTTTAACAGCGAACTTCTGATACATTTAAAACAGAATCTGATTCTCACTTTTTCTTCCAGGCCCACTTCAATGCCACTAATGAGGCCTATCTGTCTGCAATCTGATATTAGAGGCCAAAAATAATCTTTCTATTTGCCACTTACTGGGCACCAATGTCCTACCTGACACATGCTGGCTCAGGTGGGGGAGGAGGTACGGTCCCTGGCCCTAGGAACGCTCCATCTTAGAAAGAGACAGAATGTGCTGGGGTCAGAGTAAAAAGTGCATGGGCTTCAGCAGCAGATCCCAGCATGGCTACCACCAGCTGGGGGACCTTGGGCAAGAGCCCCCTGTGAGCCTCAGTTTTCTCACCTGGTCAATGGGACTCACACTACTGCGGCACACATTGTGCGCCCACATTGTCTCGGTGCACAGGGGCCACCCTTCAAACTGCCAGGGTCTGCACCTCTGTGCCCAAGGTGCAGAAAGGGCTGGCTGCCAGAACCCACTCTGCATTTTGCCTCTTTGCACCCGAGGCTGGAAGAGCCCTGGAATCACTGACTCGCTGGAGCATCCATTCACCAGTGGCCATGGGAGCTGATGCATAAATATTCCAGCGCTCTGGTCCTTCGAGAGGGACACTCTGTGACATGCGTTGCTCACCTGTGACATGCCCCTCCCAGCGTCTCCTGACCTCCCCTCCCAAATGCACTACTTGCACTTGCTCTCATTCCCATTCTGCTTGCTCACAGGCTGGATCACACAAGACCACACATGCGTGTACACTCGTGCCTGCCCATGGCAAGTATTCAAAAACTGCTTGCTATTTTGTGGGTGGTGGTGAAGGGAATAGTATATTTATAATACTTCAGGCCAGGAATATACATCTCCTCTGTTTTCTGACCCTTCCAGGAGTAGGGTGGATTCCACCCGCTTTTTTGTAAGCCCTCAGAAGTGCTCCAGGCTCTCTGCACACCCCCAGATCTCCCCTGAGCTTCAGCCCTCACCCAGCTCCCCAGTCAATTTGGCCCCTGTGACGATGTTGGTGGGGGGGGCGGGGGCAGGGGAAACAGCTGGCCCTGGCTCCTGACAGGCACTCTGTTCCCATCTCAGCTGCCTGGCCCTGCCTGTGGCATCCTCAGAGACCCAGTGGTGAGTACTTCCTTGGCCCTTTAGGCCCCTTTCCCCAATCCAGTAGTGAGACACGGGGAGGGGCTGGCAGAGACACAAGTCTGCCACCCTTTCCTGGACAGCCTTCTCCTCTCTGGCAGCAGGAAACCACCCCCTACTCCCACTCCAGACCTACGCTCACACTCCCCGTCAACCCCAAGTGCCACTCCAGTCTGGGGTCCCTCCCTGAGCTTTCATAAGCATTGCAAATGCCCAATTCCTTCATTGGCTGGGGAGGGCAAAGCCTAAATGGGCAGTGGGCTATAGATGGTGGCCTTCCAGGCACTGGCAGCAGGACACTTCAGGGCATCATTCAAATGCAGAGGGGAGAGCATTCTGCCCAAGGGCAGGCCTATTTGGGGTGGGCAGGGCAGACTTACAATGGAGACTACCATACTTACGTGGCTCTCTGCAGGCCACGTGACCCCTTCCCTCTGCTCCATGTGCCCAGGATTCAAACTCAGGCTAGTCTGATTCCCAAAACTGTGGGCCTCAGTTTTGGGAAAACTGAGAAAATTGGGCCTCAGAATAGGGATAGGGATGGAGATGGAGATGGAAGAAAATAAACCAGGCCCTCTGCCTGATCCCCTCCCTACTTTGGCTCTGGGGTTGGGAGATGCTGCAGAGGCTTCATCCACTCTCTGCCCCGACCCCCTAACTCCCTCTCCTGCTCTGTCCACTGGGCTGGACCCTGTCTGCTGGGCCTATCAGGGCTCCCCGTGTGTCCTCCACCAGCCAGCAATGGCCAGAGAGCCCAGCTGGCCCCAGCCTATCCCCTGCCCACCCTGGGCCCTGCTCAGAGGACAAGGCTGAACTGATTCTGTCAGGAAGGGTTAGTCTTGTCTCAGGCCTGGCTGAATGCAAAAGGACGAGACAAATGCATGTGGACAGCCTCGATCCGGAGTGCTCTGTCAAACATGCTGGCCACCTCTCCGGGAAGATCACTCAGACTCCTTGCATCCCATCTTGGGAAGGCTGGCCTGAGGCTCCAGAGAGATGTTGGGAGATGCCAGGTGCCTGCAAGCCAAGGGCCCTCCGGGGAAGGGTGTCAGGACCCGCTGCTTCTTGCCTCTTGCAGAGAGGGCAACAGCTGGCTCCTTCTCCTGCCCCAGGTGAAGACTGATCAGATACTGATTCCAGGATGAATCCAGCAACATTAGGCCCTGCCTGGTCCCATGGTAGCATCTGGCTGGGCTTTTGGCCTATAGTCGAGTAGATAGAGGGAGGGCTGATAACTAAGTGACTACAACAGGACCTCCCTGTGTAAGGGTTCTAGCTTATTTCCACACTCTTCTGGCACAGACAGGTTGGCAGGGCAGCTGGTAGCAGGCACAGCAGATGGAATGTCAGGAATGAAATCCACAAGACTCCAAGCCCCTCCCAGGGTGAGCTTGCCACAGGCCACACCAGGAAGCTGAGCTCCTCACCCAAAGCCTGCCAGTGCCTACGTGGCAGTCATTCCCTTGTCAACAGACTTCCCACTGGCTTCTCTTGCTCCATTATTAAAAGCAAGAACCAAAAACTTCACTGAGGGGATAGAATCCCACTAATAAGCATGTCCACGCTTTGGGTCATCTTAGGGGCACAGAAAATCTGAGTATCCCCCATAGCATCAGGCAGAGCAGATTTCTTGTCAATTAGCTCAGTTGGTTGGAGGCTGCAGCCATGAACATGCTGGCCTCAGGGCCCTCACAACACAGGTGGGTTAGGGAATGAATGAAAGTTCAGCTATTATTCCTGCCAGAGACTCCAGGCCCAACCTGGCCTCTAATGAGCTATGTGACTTTGGGCAGGCAGAAAAGTGTCTCTGCTATGGTTTGAAGGCATCCCCCAAAGGCCTCCAATGCAACAGTGTTGAGAAGGGGGACCTTTAAGAGGTACGTGGGTCACGAGGGCTCTGCCCTCACGAATGGATTTGTCCTCATCGCAGGAGCGGGCTCATTATCATGAGAGTGGGTTGGTTATAAAATTGAATGTGGCCCCATTCCTTCTCTCCCTTTCCCCCATGTAAGGCCCCACCAGACATGGCCCTCCAGTGGTGGAGTTCCCAACCTCCAGAACCACGAGACAAATGAACTGTTATTTTTTCATAAATGACTCAGCCTGCAGTACTCTGTTACAGCATCACAAAATATGCTAAGACACCCCTGAGACTCATCGGCCACCTGTCTGTCAGCTTTGCCGCAAAAATGATTTGGGAGCAGCTATAGTCAACTTTCCTCAGACTACCTCCTGCTGGCACATTACGGCCACCTGCTGTGTGCCTGGTGTTTTTCTAGGTTCTTGGAATAAAGTGAACAGGCCGGGTACGGTGGCTCACGCCTGTAATCCCAGCACTTTAAGAGGCTGAGGTGGGCAGATCACCTGAGGTCAGGAGTTCGAGACCAGCCTGGCCAACATGGTGAAACCCCGTCTCTGCTAAAAATACAAAAATGTGCTGGGCATGGTGGCAGGTGCCTGTAATCCCAGCTACTCGGGAGGCTAAGGCAGGAGAATCGCTTGAATCCGGGAGGCAGAGGTTGCAGTGAACCGAGGTCTCGTCAGTATACTCCAGCCTGGGCAATAAGAGCAAAACTCCAAGTCAAAAAGAAAAAAGAAAAAAGAAAAAAAAAACAGAAAGAAAGAATAAAGTGAACAAAGCAGGCAAAAATACCTGCCCCCAGAAAGATCACATTCAGTGGATGTGCCCATGTTCCTTCCTCTTCCTAAAGCACTCACAAATATCAACATTCCCCTGAACTCACCACTGAGAGTCACTTCTCAGCGTGACAATGTTGACCAGTCTTCACCTGCTGTGTAAAGCAGGCCTGCCCTATAGTGACCCCCCAAACAGGTGCAGAAGGCAGGTCCACCATCAGCCCATGGCCAGCACACCAGTTAGATACCTGCTGTTGCCAGGCAGCTGTCTGCCAGCCCGTAGGCACTAGAGAGCCTTGGGGCCTTTCCTGAGCCCTTTTAAAGAAGTGCTTCCTTTAGACATGGACTCTCAGGCCTGCTCAGAGCGGGGAGGGTGCTGCTCCGCCCCAAGGCCTTCCCTCCATCCTTTCCTCTGGCAATCACCGTGATAGCAGCAACGCCCAGCCTGAGGCCTTGGGTGCTGCTTCCCTCAGGAAAACTGGCCAAAGAGTAGACAGCAGATACTTTCTCCATATTCCCACCCCCACAACACAGGCCAGCAGCACAGCAGCTGTAGACAAGATTTCATAAAGAACTGGAGGACAAGAAAGGGGAGATTAAGGAGCCCTAGGCTCTAGGGCCTGGCTCACACAAGAATGGTCTTCCTCCTGCCAACTTCTTGGCCTTTACAAAGGCCCCACCTGACCCAGCCCAGCCTCCTGGGCACTGGCCAAGTTCCACACCAAGACTACCAGACCCCGCCAAGTCCAGGCTCAAGAGAGAAAGCCAGACCCTCTCTCCTTCCACCTACCTGAGAGAGGCCTGTCCTCAGGTGTCTGGCTCACAGATGGGGGACCCAACTGGGAGTCACTCCCTTCTGGAAGCCCCAGGCCCTATAAACAGGTCCCCGGCCTCACTGCTGGGCCTCGGCCTGGAGACAGCGGCTCAGTGCAACACAACCACGCCAGAGCTGATCAGGGGAAACCCACGCAGCAGTTGAGGGGGCTGGGGCTTTGCGGGTGCAGTGAGGGGACTGCTTCCCTTCAGTGGAGTTGCTGCCGCAGGTGAGGGGAGGAAGATGAATCTGAAGGTTCTAACGTCAGCCCACAGGCTGAAGCGAAGGCTGGCCTGAAGTGTTCCACCTGGGCCCCCACCTGAGCGGCTGAAGAGTTCTGTTTCCTCAAGGCCCACAGAGCTCCTCAGAGGGAAGCTTTAGTAGCTATTTCCTTAGGAAGGCAAGTATGTGTGCAACATTTCCTAATAAAATGCAAAGGCTGTTGGAGGCACTCCAGCCCCCTCATTTAGCTCTGAGGTGTAATTAATACATAAATTAAGCTCCTGCAGACTCACAAATGTCCAAGAAAAAAAATGAAAAATATAATTAGTTTGCCCATCTGACTCCATCTGTCAGCTCTGAGCTCAATGCTCAACGTAGCAAATCCTGAGGGCTTTGGTCTCGCATTGGCTGGGCCCGGCGCTGCTCCTGCCCTGCTCCAGGGAAGTGGGCCCTCCGCAGCAGCTGCCCAGAGCCCGGGCTCTGGACTCAGCCTCCAGGGCAGCAAGGACTCTGGAGTACACAGACTGCAGGCTGGGAGCCGGGGCACTCGGCAGAGCAGCCAGGACCTTCTCTGTGGCCCTGAGCGCTGGCTAGGGGTGGCAAGGGCACCCCGGGGAATTTGCATGTGCCTCTTGCTGCCATGTTCCTATTTGTGCAGACCTGGAAGTGGGCGGCAGAGCCCTGAATGGGCTAAGACTCGCCCTCCTCCTCCAACCTGTCACCTCTGTCGCTTACTATCTGTAAGAAGAGAAAGGCTGCAAAGGGGAAAGGGAACTCGAGAGGAAGGCACCGAGGAGAAGAGAGGAGACAAGAGGGCATTGGGGGAGCAAAGGAGGCCACTCACACAGGAGGATTAGAATTAACAACTACCCCCACCCCAGCTCCCCCCAACACACACTTACACACGCTTGTATTACACCGGGGATCTCACACACATCCGGTCACTCAGTATTCAGCACTCTAGGAAAAGAACAAACAAATGGCTTGTCTTTCATCCCCCAAAATTACTTATGTCATAAAATTAATCCATATTTGTTTCAGAAACATTTAAATAAGACATAAGGGGTATGGCATTAAACGTACCCCCAAATGCCTCTTCCCCTTACAAGTGGGGATCATCATTAAAAACTTTTGTCCCAGAAGTGGTGACTCAGGCCTGTAATCCCAGCACTTAGGGAGGCTAAGGTGGGAGGATCACTTGAGGCCAGGAGGTCAAGACCAGCCTGGGCAACACTGTGAGGTCCTGTCTCTAACAGAAAAAAGAACAGGAAAATTTAAAAGGAGGAATGAAAACAATTGTTTAAATAATAATTTGGTGTGTATTATTTAAAGTACATTAATATTTGGTGCAATCGTTTTTGAAAGGGAGATTGTACTATACATGTTGTTTGGCAACTTAGGTGCTCGCTCAGGCACCAGGCCACACACATCTTGGGCATTCCACATCTGGGTTTTGAAAGTAAAATTATAATAAGAAAATAAGCAAAGGTCAAAATGGGTTGGAAAAAAATTATTTACACAGTGAGTTTTCTACTTTATCATACCAAGAAGATGACTTCTCTAATTATTATTATTTTTTTTTAAGATGGAGTTTCACTCTGTCACCCAGGCTGGAGTGCAGTGGCGCAATCTCAGCTCACTGCAACCTCCACCTCCTGGGTTCAAGCGATTCTCCTGCCTCAGCCTTCCAAGTAGCTGGGATGACAGGCTCCCACCACCACATCAGGCTAATTTTTGTATTTTTAGTAGACATGGGGTTTCATCAGGTTGGCCAGGGTGGTTGCGAACTCCTGACTTCAGGTGATCCACCTGCCTCGGCCTCCCAGAGTGCTGGGATTACAGGCGTGAGCCACCGTGCACCCGGCCCCTAATTATTATTTACGTAGAACAATATCAAAGATATTTTTCTTCCTAACTCTATACTCCTTGACAAGAAAAAAAAAGAAAAGAAAGGAAGAGCCCGCGATATATAATGGTACATTTGAAAATGAAGCATTTGTATGTGCGCTCACATGAGTACATATATATGTATTACATCCATATGCATGTATGTGCATAGACTGTTTCTAGAAGAATTCACAAGAAACTGGTAACATTTGTTGCCTCTGGGAAACAGATTGGCAACTGGTAGAAGGTGACTGACTTCATTATAAACATATTTTGTAATGTTTTAATTTTCTGTCACATGCATTATTACTTTTTTCCTTAGAAAGGATTTTGGTTTTGTCTATTTTATCGGAAGAGGCAAATTTTAACAATAAAAACAAAATGACTGACATTCAGCCATAGTCCCACCTCTCTGAATTACTCAGATCTACTGATTTACATGTAGATTAAATGCAAATGAGGGTGGCACTATGGTTGATTATTTAGCAGCTCAGCAATATGACCAATGCCCTGTTCCCTTCTACCCTTCTGCTCTGCCCCCTCGGCTTGTAGACTTTGTCCTTGGGCTTCCTAACCTCATTGCTACAAGAGTCAGGCACATGATCAAAACAAGACACTGCCCCAAGGTAGGAAAGAAGCCACCTCTTCCTTCCTATTTTTAGGAGAAAAATCTTTCCCCCAAAGCCCTCCTGCAGACTTAGCCCACATATCCCACTGGCCATATTTATTTCCCATGTCTATGCCTGAGCCCATCTCTGGCAAGGGAAAGGGACCCCTTTGGACATCCCAGGGCAAGCAGGCCTCCTCAGTGTTATCAGACCAACTACCCCTCTTGAAAACAATGACTGTATTCTTGTAACCACCCAACCTCAATCCAGAAACAAAATTCACAGATCACAGAATGTACCTACAAAAACATATTTCAAAAAAGAATCAAAACGAAGCCCTAGCTGTCACGTAAAGGAGAAAGTAAAAGTAATTCAAGACAAAAGAGTATGTTTTATAATAAGCAAAGGCTCAGGCAGCAGACTCTACAGAACATAATGAAGTGGTGAGATGCTTGCAGCTGCACACGGAAATGCCAAGGTTGCCCCATCATACATATAGACAGATGCGGGAGATGACTCACCCAGCACGAGGCCATTGCCACTGGCGGCATGATTTTCCAAAATGGCGAACAACTGTTGGTAAAGCTTCAAACAAAACACAGTGCAACCTCCCCTTGATTTATACAGTAGGATACTTCCTAGGAAATTTAGGGCATATTTAAAAACATGCAAAAAGATACTTGGAGCTCATACATCAAATGGAATGAAGTTTTAGGCTTAAAAAGGACTTTCAGCTACATAAAAGTCTCATGAGACATCAGAAAGTCACGTGGGACATGGAGCCATTTCCTCTTAGAAAGGACTGTCTCACACATTGTAAGGTATTTAGCCTTCCTAGACCCCGTTTATTGAAAGATGATAGCAAGGGCCCTCCCCACAAAATGTCAAAGCCCCCACCAATTTCCAGAACACACTTAGGGAATGGTTCTGTCCCTTTCGAGAACTCCTGGCTTAGGCCAACCTGCCTCTCCCAGCCCAGGTGACCTCAGAGCTGGGTGGTTGTCTGAACAACATTCAGGTTCTTGCAGGAAGCATAGAAGGCGATTAGAGGTTGGATAGATAGTCAACCGTCTGTTCATCACAGAAGCATTTGCACATATTTGTCTCTAGCTTTGCCTTTGTATAC
The DNA here is from genome assembly GCF_000001405.40 of Homo sapiens. NCBI lineage: Eukaryota > Metazoa > Chordata > Mammalia > Primates > Hominidae > Homo > Homo sapiens. Next base: position 119,185,344 of record NC_000002.12, read on the forward strand.
ATATTTTTAAATACAAATAAAATACGTATTTAAAATATGGCCAGGTGTGTTGACTCATATCTGCAATCCCAGCACTTTGAGAGGCTGAGGTGGGAGGATCAACTTGAGCACATGAGTTTGACACCAGCTGGGCAACATAGTGAGATCCCATCTCTATAAAAAATTAGCCAGGTGTGGTGGCATGTGCCTGTGGTCCCAGCTACTCAAGAGGCTGATGTGGGAGGATCACTTGAGCCCTGGAGGTTGAGGCTGCAGGGAGCACTCCAGCCTGGGCAACAGTGAAACTGTTTCAAAAAAAAAAAAAAAAAAAGACAAACAACTGATTTACCGAATGGGCAGAACTTCATGGCACATACTTGGCTTTCTTTTTCTTTTTCCCCCATCACTGTTTTTCAGTGCTGGCTGGTCAGCTCTCCTCTTTCAGCCCTTGGATGACAGCTGGGGCTGTCCCATAGCTTTTCAGTCACTTTGAGCTATGTCATAACTGTGGTCATATTTTCAAGCATGAAAAGTACAGATTTGTCTCAATCAAAACTCAGTCTCACAAAAGCCACTTTCCTCCCCAGCTCAGTGCCCACCCAGTGGGCAGGAGGAGGGGCAGGTCTGTTCCTTTTCTCCCTCGCTGCCACCCTCAGTCCAAGTTCGGGTGGGGAAGAGTTGATTAGAGGATGGGGCAAAGTCTTAGAGGGCCGGACGTGGGTGATCCATCACACATACCCATTCTATCTTGGCCTCTAGGGTGGATTTTGAGGAGCCCCCTCCCCATGATGATCTCTGCACTCCACAAGGAGTTCCTCGATGTGACGGTGCACTCTCTAGCTGGTCTTCTGTGGCATGCCCCCTCTGGTACCCAGTGGTTCACCCCTCCCAACCAGCCTTTCCCTGGGGGACCTCTCCTACCCAGCAGGTGAGTCTCCTGAGTGGGCTTCTTTCAAGATACCTGAAAACCCAACTCCTGGGAGGTTCACTTGCTCCAAGGAAACTTGTACATCTTTGCCTTGCCTAAGAGTGGAGGAGCAGCTTCCCCACAACTGACCCTGTAATAGAAAAAAACAAGGTGTTTTGCCTATTCTCACACACAGAACTCCCAACACCAGATGTGTGGAGCATTTCCCACATACCAGGCAATTCTCCCTTGGACACCAGCTGGGTGTCCTCTAATTCAGTTCAGTTTTGATCCTATCTACCTGGAGATAGCATCAGATCCCACAGGTCGATGGCTCAGTCCTGCGAGACTGCCCCTCTAGAGATGCCAATCTCAAGTGCAGGTTGTGACCTGTGCTTTGAACCATTGACTATATATTGGGGCTCCCTCGACTCCCTCGTTGGGTGAGATTAATCTGCTAGAGCAGCTCATAAAACTCAGGGAAATGCTCTATTTATGTTTACTGGTTTATTAATAAAAGATGTAATAAAGAATACAGATAAGCACCAGATGAGGAGATACATAGGGTAAGGTCTAGAGGGCCAGCAGCTTCTGTCTCTGTGGAGTTGGAGTGTACCACCCTCCCAGCAAGCAGATGTGTTCTCCAACATGGAAGTTCTCTGAACCTCATACTTAGCTGAGGGATTTTTTTTTTTTTTTTTTGAGACAGGGTCTCACTCCGTCACCCAGGCTGGAGTGCAGTGGTGCCATCTCGGCTCACTGCAACCTCCACCTCCCGGGTACAAGTGATTCTCGTGCCTCAGCCTCTTGAGTCGCTGGGATTACAGGCGCTTGCCGCCACACCCAACTAATTTTTGTATTTTTGGTAGAGACAGAGTTTCACCGTGTTGGCCAGGCTGGTCTCAAACTCCTGATGTTAGGTGATCCCCCCACCTCGGCCTCCCAAAGAGCTGGGATTACAGATGTGTAGCTCAGGGATTTTTATGGAGTCTTCATCACATAGGCATGATTGATTTTCAAGTCCATTTCCAGCCCCTTTCTCCTCTCCAGAAAATGGGTCATGGGGCTGAAAGCTCCAAGCTTCCAATCATGGCTTGGTCTTTCTGCTGACAAGCCCCCATCCAGAAGCCCACCAAGAGTTGCCTCAATAGAACAAAAGATCCTCCTTTTACCCAGGAAGTTCCAGGGACTTTAGGAGCTCTGTGTCAGGAGCTAGGGTCAAAAACCAGATATTAGAACAAAAGATTCTCCTAGCACCTGTATCTACAAGGATATTAGGAGTGCTGTCTCGGGAATAAGGACAGAGACCAAACATTGGAACAAAAGATTATCCTGACACTTCTATCACTTAGAAAATCACAGCTGACCCTTCAACAATGCAAGGGTTAGGAGTGCTGACAACTGCCCAACTCCTGCCTCGCACACGGTTGAAAATTTGTGTATAACTTTTGACTCCCCCAAAGACTTAACTACAAGCCTACTGTTGACTGGAATCCTTATGGGTAACATAAACAGTCAATTAACAGATATATCGTATATATTTTATATACTGTATTCTTACAATAAAGTAAGCTAGAGAAAAGAAAACATTATTAAGAAAATCATAAGAGAAAATATATTTATGGTGCTCTACGGTATTTATTGATACCATAGGTCTGCACCATGTGTTTACAACATGTATCATCTGTCTGAAACGTCAGGCAACCTCAGCTGCTGACCTTAGTCTATGGTACATATCGAGCAATTCAACTTGTTCCTGTGAGGTCATGACCTTACTTCTTAGGAGCTCTTCCAGCATCACTAGTGGCACTTCGTATGGGTCCCATGATGCTATTCAAGGTTTACAGTATTGCACTAACCATGAAAATAAATGAGAACTGAGAGAGATCATGGTTTTCACTGCAATATGCAATTTACTGGAGATTGCAATAGTAAATTGTAAATTGCTATATGCAATCTACTGCTCACGTGGAGATGGTCAGTATTTCATAGTGTTTTAAGCAGACACTCGCAACACGAGCTCACCGCAATAGCAACAGGAGGTAGCTACAAAAATATTACAGTAGTACAGTGCTTACTACAGTGAATTTTATGTAGTTATGATTGAATACTTCATCTTTACATTTGTTTACATTTCCCTCAACTACAAATGGTGCCATGTATGATCTGTGTTTTTTGCATGTTTTCATAAATTTTAACTTTTTATAATAGATTTGTGTAATTTTATAGTAGTAACTTATAAAATAGACTAGTACTCGCATATACTTTATGCATTCATGACATACCTAACTTTTTGTTGTTCTTTTTTGATATTTCTGGGCTACACAAGGGCAGTGACATGATCGTAGCGCACTGTAACCTGTAACTGTAAGTTTTTTCAAACTGTCACAAATCTCAAAAAAAAAATCTAATATATTTAATGAAAACTATCCAAGTATAAGTTGACCCTTGCAGTTCAAACCTGTGTTGTTCAAGGGTCAACCTTACAAGGATTTTAGGAACTCTGCTGGGAACTGGGGACAGAGAGCAATGTGTATATTTTGTGTTATTTCAGGTGCGTTTGCTCATGCCTATAATCTCAGCACTTTGGGAGGCTGAAGGGGGAGAATTGCTTGAGGCCAGCAGTTTGAGACCAGCTTGGGCAACACAGAGAGATCATGTCTCTACCAAAAAGATCCCAAAAATTCATATTCTCCCTCCTCACTTTACCTCACACGATGCTCCAAATCAGTCTCCCACCTTAAGAATTCTCCATAAGCAAAAGCCCATCTTGAATCCCACACTCTCAGGGACCCTTGCCACACTATCCCCCCAATTTTCTTTTCTTTCTTTATTTATTTATTTATCTTTAAGACAGAGTCTTGCTCTGTCGCCCAAGCTGGAGTGCAGAGGTGCGATCTCGGCTCAGTGCAACCTCCACCTTCTGGATTCAAGCAATTCTCCTGTCTCAGCCTCCTGAGTAACTGGGACTACAGGTACATGCCACCACAGCTGGCTAATTTATATATATATATATTTAGTAGAGATGGAGTCTCACCATATTGGTCAGTCTGGTCTTGAACTCCTGACCTCAGATGACCCACCCGCCTCAGCCTCCCAAAATGCTGAGATTACAGGTGTGAGCCCCCGTGCCCGGCCTCCCAATTTTCTCATTGGCCAGTCACTCTGGTGCCCTGGGGACTAGCATCCAGCTAAGGGATAGATGCCAGCTGCTCTCTCAGTGCTATGGTTTGAATGTTTGTGCGCCCTCCACAATTCATGTTGAAAATCCCCAGCACAACAGTATCGAGGGGTGGGGTCCTTAGGAGGTGATGAGGACATGAGGCCTCTGCAGTCATGAATGGATTAGTGCCCTATAGAAGGGCTTTAGAGGCTGAGTCCCACCTTCCATCCCTCCACCATGTGAGGACACAGCATTTGTCCCCTCCAGAGGATACAGCACAGGTGCCATCTTTTAAGCAGTGAGCAGCCCTCACCAGACACCAAACCTGCCAGTGCCTTGAACTTGGACTTCCGTCCTCTAGAACTGTGAGAAATAACTTTCCATTATTTATAAACTACCCAGGCTCAAGTGTTTTGTTACAGTGGCACAGACGTACTAAGACTTGTGGGTACCCACAATTCCATAAGCCATTTTCTTTGCTTGGCCTGGGCATGACCCCCTGTGCTGTCCCCGTGAAGAAAAAGGATAAACCAACAAACTCTATGAATTAACTTCAGTGAATCTCGTATGTTTCTAATCTTCTGCTTTGGAGCTTTGGCGATAAAGAAAGATTAGGAAATTAGATTAAAAAAAACTAACATTATCTTAAATGACCCATATTCCCAATCAATATCTCTTCCCTTGAAACTTGGTGTGTATAAATCCAATACTTTTTAATGTATTTGTATATACATATGTAAACATATACAAATATATACATCATATATATGTATGTATCTGCCTAAATAACCACCTGGAGTTAGCAGGTTCCATACCTGCAGGATGCAAGCAGGGATGGGCAGAGGCAGGCTGGTCAGCTTCCAGGTATATATATATATATATACTCGGAAAATACTTGCTATTAGTTTGGTGGTTTTATTATTAACGTAAATGATGTCTTGCTGCACATATTATTCTGCAAGTTGGTTTTCCCACATAATGTGTTGGACATCTTTTAGCCCCATTTCACACTCTTAGCCTGCCTTTTGCACAAGAGTTGCTGTGGCAACAAGCTGCCCCCAGGTGTAACCTGACAGCTTCACTTCAGCTGCACCAGGTATGTCTTTCTTTCTGCCCCAGGCATCACGGTATACAGGCAAATCTTGAAGTGCCAGGGAGTCAACCCTCCCTGGAGCAATCCTTGCCCAATAGGAGAAGGAAGCCAATGAATAAATATGCCAGGCCTCGAGGTCTTAGGCCCTCAGTCTAAGGCATAGTCTACATGGTTTCTCTGGGAGTCCTCAGTTAAACTGAGCCCCGACTGCCCACAGCAATGGCCAGTGTTAAAAGAACAACCTTAACCAGATTAAATTTAACACAGTTTAACTGAGCAAAGGACAATTCGTGACTAGGGCAGTCTGCTGAGCCAGAGTAGGTTTAGACAGACTCTGGTGGAAGATTTATGGACAGAAAAAGGAAAGTGAAGCACAGAAAACAGAAGTGAGGTTCAGAAACAGCTGAATGGGTCGCAGCTCGTCGTTTGCCTTATTTGAACACAGTTTGAAAAGTTGGCCACCTTTGATTGGCCAAAACTCAGTGATTGACACAAGAGTACGTTACAGCCTGTTTACATTTCCCTGTAGGCTATAGTTTACTATGCACAGAGAAACCTTTAGGCTGAACTTAAAATATGTAAGGAGGAAGCTTTAAGCTAAATTTGATTTTTGTTGTTGTTGTTGTTTTGTTTTGTTTTGTTTTTTGTTTTTTGAGATGGAGTTTCACTCTTGTTGCCCAGGCTGGAATGCAGTGGCATGATCTCGGCTCACTGCAACCTCCGCCTCCCAGGTTCAAGTGATTCTCCTGCCTCAGCCTCCCGAGTAGCTGGGATTACAAGTGTGCACCATCATGCCCAATTAATTTTTGTATATTTAGTAGAGGGGGTGGTTTCACCATGTTGGCCAGGCTGGTCTCTAACTCCTGACCTCAGGTGATCCATCTGCCTCAGCCTCCCAAAGTGCTGGGATTACAGGCGTGAGCCACCGCGCCAGGCCACTAAACCTCAGCCTCCCAAAGTGCTGGGATTACAGGCGTGAGCCACCGCACCAGGCCACTAAACCTCAGCCTCCCAAAGTGCTGGGATTACAGGCGTGAGCCACTGCGCCAGGCCACTAAATTTAATTTAACAGTAGCTTAACACATGGCTGGATGGGCTTTTCCTACTTCCTTGTTTCATTCTTCCCAGTCCTCCAACTCTTGACTCCTAGATTTATGGACCCAAATAAATGACTCAAATGCAGTCCCTTTGTCTCAGGTTTTTGGTGGAATCCAAGCTAAAACACTAAATAAAAAATGTTGTTAAAAATAAGTTTATTTTGGTCATTATTGATCCACTTGGAGTGGTCCTCAAAATGGGATCTAGGGAATCGGTCCCTGAGGCTGGTTTCTGGGAATCCACAAATGCAAAACTATTTCCATAGTCACACTAAGGAGGTGTGGCCTTTTCAAGAAATTACATTACCCGTAAAGTGCAATAGACGGAAAACAGAAGCCCATATGAGAATCCAGCTATCTTCTAGCAAGCCAGAAGTAAAAGATGCCAGGTGCAGTGGATCACATCTATAATCCCAGCACTGAGGATTGCTTGAGCCTGGGAATTTGTGACCAGCCTGGGCACCATAGTGAGACCCCCATCTCTACAGATAATTTTTAAAATTAGCCAGATGTGGTGGTGTGTGCCCATGATCCCAACTACTCGGGAGGCTAGGAAGGAGGATCACCTGAGTCAGGAGGTCAAGGCTGCAGTGAGCTGTGATTGCACTACCACACTCCAGCCTGAATGATAGAGTGAGACTCTGTCAAGAAAGAAAGAAAGAAAGAAAGAAAGAAAGAAAGAAAGAAAGAAAGAAAGAAAGAAAGAAAGAAAGAAAGAAAGAAGGAAGGAAGGAAGGAAGGAAGGAAGGAAGGAAGGAAGGAAGGAAGGAAGGAAGGAAAGAAAGAAAAAGAGATCTGCAAAAAAATGTAAAACAATACCACTCTTCTCACTAAATTTTTGTACTTGGAAAACATAGTCATTTTTCACAAAAATGCTATTTATATTAACATAAGTATTTTGATGTGCAATGGACTTATTTTTGTTATTTTCACATAAAGATTGTTTAAATTTCTTAGTTTTAATTTCTAATACTGTAAATATCAGTAGATATAACCCATGTAAACAAAAGCTTTTTGGGGTCCTCAATAATTTTCAAGAGAGAAAAAGATTGCCAAGACTAAAAAGTTTGATAGCTATTAATAGAGTTCATTGCTTTTAACTTCTGAGTCCCATGCATACTTCATTATTATTATTATTATTATTTGTAAAGACAGGGTCTTGCTGTGTTGCCCAGGCTGGTCTCAAACTCCCAGGCTCAAGTGATTCTCCCATCTTGGATTCCCAAAGTGCTGGGATTACAGGTATGAGCCACAGTGCCCTGCCTCTTCTTTTAAAATCTAATTATGTATTTGTTATCTCTTACATTTTTCCTATCTTTCTTTTTTCTGATTATGGCCCAAAAGGGGAAGATTTCTGCCCATGCTCATGTTACTATCTTGAAATTATTTCTTTTCAGACTCTCTAGTTCAGGAAAAAGGTCCCCTGCCACATCAAGTGGCCACGGAGGAGCTTGGGCCTGTGATGTCCCCTCCCTTCTGCCTAAATGACCACCTGGAGGCAGCAGGTTACATACGTGGAGGATGCAGGCGGGGATGGGCAGAGGCAGACTGGTCAGTTTCCAGGGCACACTTCGGGGGCATACAAGGGACAAAAATGTGACGGTGGCTCAGGAGGGCACCAAAGATGGCCAAAAGCTTCTGCTTTTAAGGTGGCAGTAGGAGGCAGTTAATGGAAAAATAGAAACCAATCAAGCTACGTCTGCCACCAATGAAAATGAATTATTATTTATTCAACAAAATATAAGCTTTTTAAGAAAAAAAAAATAGCAAACGCTCAACCCACTTGCTAAGTTCCGTTGGGGTATAATGGCATCAGCTCTGAGTGCCAACTTACCTTGGCAAGGTGGTTGCACGCCCTGAGGATATGTACACCTTCTCCGCTGCTGGCCAGCTAGATGACCTTGAGCAAGCCACCCACCCTTCTGAACTTCGTCTATTTGGAAAATACAGACATTAATACCTCATAGTTTGTAATGAGGCCTTAGAGTCCACATATTAATCGTTCAGAACACAGCTCAAAAAAATCTAAAACTTCTGGTGGGGCACAGTGGCTCACACCTATGATCCCAGCACTTTGGGAGCCTGAGGTGGGAGGATAGCTTGAGCCTAGGAGTTTGAGACCAGCCTGGACAAGATAGAAAGGCCCCATCTCTATACAAAATATAAAAATTAGCCAGGGGTGGTGGCACATGCCTGTAGTCCCAGCTACTCAAGAGACTAAGGTAGGAGGATCGATTGAGCCCAGGAGTTTGAGGCTGCAGTGAGCTATGATCACACCACTGCACTCCAGCCTGAGTGACAGAGCAAGACCCTGTCACCAAGAAAAAAAAGAGAGAGAGAGAGAGAGAGAGGTGGCTTCAGTGGGCCGAATAGCAGAGATCCACTGGGAGCATTAGCAACATCAGGGCCATTGCTTCAGCAGCCTGGAACTAAAGAGGAAGAAAGCAAGAAGCTTCAGGAGATTGAACAGTAGGAAGGAAGGAAGGAAGGAAGGAAGGAAGGAAGGAAGGAAGGAAGGAAGGAAGGAAGGAAGGAAAGAAGGAAGGAAGGGAGGGAGGGAGGGAGGGAGGGAGGGAGGGAGGGGGAGAGGGAAGCATATGAGAAAGCGAGGCTAGGAGTCTTGGAGTCATCCTTGACTCATCTCTTATTGTAGTCATTGCCAGTACTCACAGCTCTCAGACAACAGTGAGGAAACAAGTTATTTTCAACATTTCAGGAAGCTAAATGGAAACCATGCACACAACAAGGTTTCAAAGTTAATTGAGGATCAAGATTTTCTGCTGTTGTCTGGTAAGTTATCAATTCTGATTTTTTTAAACCTGATTACAGGCATCCACAAAAAAATATGCAACTAACATCATGTTTAATGTTGAAAGACTAAATGCTATCCTCTGGGATTGGGAGCAAGGAAAGGGTATCCACTCTCATCACTCCTGTGTACTTAAAAAAAAAAAAGAAATAAAACATATGTTCACACAAAAGTCTGTATGCAAATGTTTATAGTGGCTTTATTTATAATTCACCCCAACTGGAAACAACCTAACATGACCTTCAGCTGGTGAATGAATAAGCAAACCATGGTACATCCATACAATGAATTACTAGACAGCAAAAAAAGAAACTGGTGATATAGGCAACAACCTGATGAATCTCAAATGCACTGTGCTTAGTGAAAGAAGCCAGGCCCAAAGGACTACATACTGTATGATTCAATGTTGTGACATACTGGAAAAGGTAAAATTATAGGAACAAATCAGTAGTTGTCAGGGTCTAGTGGCTAGGGAAATAATTGACTACAAAAGGACAGCAAGGGGGAATTTTGGGGGGAATTGGAACTGTTCTGTATCTCAAAGATGGGCATGATTGATTACATGATTATGCCAAAATTCATTCATCAAAAATGTAAATTTTTATGTATGTAGATAGATTTTATTTTAAGTGAATAAAAGGAACAGGCAACTTGGAAGCAAAAGAGCAGGAGCCGGGCCAGGCCTGCGGCTAGATTCAGAAATAGGGTTAGAGGGAATGATCGAGGGGAATGACCCAGGCAGCCACAGCTCTGGAGAGACGGCTGCAGGTGGACAAAAAGCAGGTGGAAGCGCCCAGCAGGACCTTGACCAGACAGGCAATGGGAACATAAAAGACAGCAACAGATTGCAACATCATGTCCATGGGCTCCCAAACCTGATATCTCAGAATCACTTCCAGAGCTGATTGGAAAGACAGATTCCATTGCTAAGCATAGTGGCCTGCACCTGTAGTTCCAGCTACTCCAGAGGGCTTGAACCCAGGAGGTTGAGGCTGCAGTGAGCTATGATCGCACCACAGCGCTCCAGACTGGGTGACAGAATGAGACAAGTCAGAATGAAAGAAAGGAAGAAACAAAGAAAGAGAGAGGGGGAAAGAAAGAAAGAAAGAGAGAGAGAAAGAAAGAGAGAGAGAGAAAGAAATAGAGGGGGGAAAGAAAGAAAGAGAGAAAGAAAGAGAGAGAAAGAAAGAAAAGAAAGAAAGAAAGAAAGAGAGAGAGAGAGAAAGAAAGAAAGAGAGAAAGAAAGAAAGAGAGAGAGAAAGAAAGAAAGAGAGAGAGAAAGAAAAGGAAGGAAGGAAGGAGAAAGAGCAAAAGAGACAGAGGGAAGGAAGGAAGGAAGGAAGGGAGGGAGGGAGGGAGGGAAGAGGGAGAGAAGGTGAGAAGGAGGGAGAGAGGGAGGGAAGAGGGAGAGAAGGTGAGAAGGAAGGAGGGAGGGAGGAAAGAAGGAAGGAGGGGAGGGAGGAAGGAAGGAAGGAGGGGAGGGAGGAAGGAAGGAAGGAAAGAAGGAAAGAAGGAAGGAAGGAGGGAGGGAGGGAGGGAAGAAGGGAAAGAAAGAAAGGAAGGCAGATTTCTACTGAGGCTGCCTCTTTATTCCCCTCTTTATTCCCCTCAGAGAGGTCATTTAACCTCTCTGATCTCTGTGGTTGCTGTAGGGACTAAAGGACACAATCCTTGGGAAAGTGCTTGGCACAGAACTTTTCAGCTTGCTATGGGGAGTGCCAGCCACCGGCAACAGGTGTGACTGCAGGGGAAAGCCCCGTGCAGGTGAGAGAAAGGGGCCAGAATGAGAAGGGCTTTGTAAGGCTGGGACCACTATGTTGGGTCTGCTATGGAGGGGGGAGCTCAGGAGTAGGCAGGGCAGATTTGAACATGGGAAGGGGAAAGCTGCTGCTGGAAGCAGTGGCCCATGCCCAGGTGCATGGAGAAGAGAGCCTGGAAGCCTCTCTTGGTCCCTCTAGGCTGGCAGAGGCAGGGCCCCACATTGGCAGTGGTGTGAACAATTTCCCCTCATCATGGGGCTGCTCATGGCTGTGAAACATGGGATGGCACTAGATTTGGTCATTAAGTAAATAGGATAAAGAAATAATTGGAAAATGGATCCCTGCCTGGAAGGAGTGGAATTGTTCCTGGGGCTATTGTTGTCCGGCATCCTGCTTTCTGAGTAATCTCCCGAGCCAGGCAAGGAAGGATGTCAGGCTTAGGGCTGATGAGAAACTTACACTTGAAAAGAGCTCAAAATTACCCATGACAATGGAAAAGCCTTTGTATCCTGAACAGAGAGAGGAAAAAGACTCTGAATCTTCTCTGGGGCGGGAGGAGAGGGAAGATAGGAGGGCAGTCTCGAGTCACAGAATGTCAAACCCAGGACCCCTGTGTCTTTCCAAGTTGGGGGCACTGGCCAGGGAAGGATCCTGGTTCTTCCGGTGTCTGGGATGATGAGGCTGGTCCTCAGGCAGTGGGAGGCTGGAGGAGGGGGAATGTGTGAAGACCACATGCTTTCGCCTGCAAGAGCATCCATCCATGTCTTGGTCACTGCAATTTACATCCTCCCATTCAACCCTCAGCACACCCACCAAACCAAGCTCCTCCTTGCACCTTGATGGGCAGAAAGTTGGAGTGATGATTATCTAAGACAGAGCCCTGAGGTGAAGAACTGGTTTTCTGGTGGAGGGGGTGAGGGGAGGATGGAGGGAGCTATCCCTTCCCTGTCCCCGCAAATCCTTCAGCAAAAAATCCATAGTGTTGAGTCAAAATGCCAATCAGATGTGCCTCTCAGCAGCTTTAGGCCTGGACTTTGACCTCAGCCCCAACCCCCACCCCCACAGGCACTCAGCCTAAGCTCCCATTCTGCACCCTCCCCACCCTGGTTTGCAAAATGCATCAAAGCAGAAGCTGTGCTTTTGCCTTTCCTTGTAACTTCTTGTCTGCAAGCTGTATTAGATGCTTGCTGGTGTTTAAAACATTTTCTATTTCTCTAAAAAAACAAGTTGGGGCACCCCAAAATGAAGCCTCCCAAGTTCGGTCAAACATGCAAGATTGCCACTCAATTTCTCCATTCTAGATGAGAATAGCGAGTCCCAAAGGCTCGTGGGTGTCTGCGGCGTTGCACTCACTTAACTCACTTGTTCAAAATACAGGTGCCAGGGCCTCCCCCCCGAGCCACAGAACCTAAATCCCCAGAATCAATAACTTTCTTTAAATAACTAGATGCTTGATTTAAAGGGAAAACTCTATTTAAAGTGCTGTATCCCTCCTTAAAGACAGATTGTCCTACACGAAGCAGCTACATGCAAAATGAATTATAGGAGTGTCCTTGGTTTTACAAAAAATGAAAAGCATTGCAATTCTCCAAACATGATAAGAAAGGAATTTTTTTGTTAAACTCTGAGAGCAAAACAATTTACTAGAAGATACAGATGCAAGTTGAGTAAGCAAGCCAATAATGGAGAAAGGAGGAATTTTTACAGAAGCAGTTTTTCCTCACCCCATCTGCATTTCATGTCTATTAAAACACATGTCATGCAACGAAAAAATCAAAGCAGTATGGTTGGGTACACACATTAGTGGCTTTCTGTATGGTTAGTGAGATGAAAGGACAGAGAAAGCTATGCTGGAGTCATCAGGACATGGTAGAGCCCTCTTGTGAGCTGCTGGAACACATCAGTTGCACGTACGTTCTCTTGCTGGTGCAGCCCATCCGGTCAGAATCTGTCGCTCACAGTAGCTGTTACTGAATACTGTCTGCTTCTTAGCTGAAACCTTACCGTAGGACCATCCGGCCCTGCTCCTTTCCCGTTAACATGTAAGTTGTTCTCAGACCCTACCTTTTCCCTTGGTTTCTCATGGACCGTGGCCAGGACTTGGGTGTCCACAGCCACACCCACAAAAGAAGTGCCTGTTCCACCCAGGACCTCTGGGTTAAATGACCTCTCTGAGGCCACACAGGATCTACAGCACAAACTCAGCTCAGATTATAAAACTTGCACTCTGAACGACTGCCCTAGCCAGCCCCACCAAGGCCATGAGGGGCCTCCCAGAGCCAAGTGCGACGGCTTCTCTTGGCCTCTGCCTCCTTGACCTGCAAGCAATATTTGACCCCACTTCCCTTCCCGTCTCACACCCTCCTGACCTCCTCAGCTCTCCTTTCTGGTCTCTCTTCCCCTCTCCTCACACCTCCAATTGGATCTTCAGCCTTCCTCTCCTCTCACTCCACATTTTTCAGCTGGATTCCTGTGGTTTTCACTCTTATCTCTCCCTATGCCTGCCAAATCTGTGTGTTCAGCTGTCCGAACTTCTCAGCTCTACATGTGTGTTTGCAAAGGCTTCACCATCCTCCCCACACTTCCTCTACCAGAGGCTGCACCATGGGTCACTGGGCCTCAATCTTCCTGCCCACTCAGGTAGAGGCTCTAGGGTCAGCTTTGCCTCCTGCCGGATGCTGCACTGCTGGAATCAGCTGCCCACACTTCTCTCCTTTTGTATGGTGTCCTCACTGAAACTTGGGCGGTGTCCCTTGGAGTGCCTTGAGAGCTGATGATTGCCACCCTCTCTAAGAGCCTACAGACCCCTGATGGATATGTGTCCTGGAGCCCCTCACACAAGCCCAGCCCTCTGTGTTAGCTAGACAGTCAAGTGGGTGCACACAGGGCTAGCACCACCGCGGCTCAGAAGCCACCTTCCCCTGGAAGCCACTCCTTATATCTGGGCACTTTCTCCTCTGGACTACCCTTGCATTGTGTTGTTCTATAGGAGGTGCTGGAGACAGTGATAAGAACCCATGGCCCCTGCCCTCAAGAAGTTCTCCAGTTTTATTGGTGGGAGCAAACAAATAAACAGACAGACATGGAGAAAATGCATCAGGTCGGGTTTGCATGCAGGAAGTTGTCACTTGCGAGGGAATGACAGAAGCAAAAGTGGGCAGAGGGAGAAGTTAAACCAAGGTGCAGTCCCACCAGAGGCCTCAGAAGAACCCATGAGAAGCTCTGAAACTGGATGGGCTTTCAGAGTTGTACCAAATGGAGGCAAGAGGGCTGGCCTCTACCCCTGTCTCATCCACTAGAATGTGGGCTGCTCCCAGAGAGGGTGTGAGTGAGTTGGGGCAATACATCTGCCTTCAGTGGAAAGCAATTAATTCCCAGAGAGGGTTGCAGCCATTGCTCCTCCAGCAGCCAGGGATATGAGTACCTGTGTGCAGATGGGGACCTGGGCAACATGCCACAGCATCCATGACACGGCACAGACAGGGATGCCCAAAGTGGGGGCTGGCCAAGTCAAAGATGGGGGAAGTAATGAGGTGATCATCAGATCTTCCCATTTCACCTGGGCATTGACCTACATGTAGGTGTTTTTCAAGTGGACAATCTTTAGTTCCCTCTGCTCCTCATCATACAAGTATACCAGCAATGGCTAATGTTATCTTTGCACTTGCTACATGCCCAGCTGTGTCTTAGCTCTTCACATGCATAGCTTATTTAATATTCACAAGAACCCTACGAATTAAGTAATACTGGCTAGGCACAGTGGGTCCTGCCTGTAATCCCAGCACTTTAGAAGGTCAAGTTTGGAGAATTGCTAGAGCCCAGGAGTTCAAGACCAGCCTGGGCAACATGGTGAAACCTCATCTCTACAAAAAATACAAACAATTTGCTGAGCATGATGGCAGACACCTATAGTACCTGCTACTCAGGACCCTGAGGTGGGAAGATCACTTAAGCCTGGGAGGCAGAGGCTGCAGTGAGCCAGGATCGCACCACTGCACTCCAGCCTGGATAACAGAATGAGACCCTGTCTCAAAATAATAAATAAATAAGTGGGCCAGGCACGGTGGCTCTTGCCTATAATCCCAGCACTTTGGGAGGCCAAGGCGGGTGGATCACTTGAAGTCGGGAGTTCAAGACCAGCCTGGCCAACATAGTGAAACCCCATCTCAACTAAAAAGACAAAAATTAGCCGGGCATGGTGGCACACTCCTGGAATCCCAACTACTTGGGAGGCTGAGACAGGAGAATCACTTGAACCTGGGAGGCGGAGGTTGCAGTGAGCTGAGATCATGCCACTGCACTCCAGCCTGGGCAACAGAGCAAGACTCCATCTAAATAAATAAGTAAATAAATAAATAAATACATAATAAAACTATTGCCCCTGTCTTAATGTAAATGGAACATGAGGCTTAGAGAGGTAAAATGACTCAAGGTCACACAGTAAGTCAAAGGCTGAGCTATCTCTGCCCTTTCTTCTTCCTGGTGTACACCTTTCACCCTGCAAAGCTCAGTGCCTACCTTACTTGCTCTATCAAACCTTCCCCATTTCCCTCAGAAAGACCAAGTCCCCCTCCTGGTCTCTAGAGAACAAGCTGCCCTGGACCACACACCTTGGCTTCCAGCCCCTTCACCATCCTAGACGAGGTCACCTAGAAGGTTCCATCCAGACTGTGAATGTCCCTCTTTAACTACAGTCTCCAGTGAACCCACAACCTCAGGGACATATGACCTTGGAGGGTTAAGTGGGATTTCATTTCCCTGACTCTGGACCTGGGCTTTGCTAGCACACCTCTCCCACTATGATAGCATTCGCTTAAGGCAGCTGAGCCCCGTCAGGGGCTCCCTGAGCTTGTGGTCAGCTCAAGCCATCACATCTTTCTCATCTGTGCTCTGGGAAGCTGCCTCTGCTTGGTCTACACAGCTGAGACAATGGAGCCTGGGTGGGCTCAGGGGCCCCTTCTGCTGGGAACCTGCTTTGAAACAACATATCCATTGCATTCACTGGAGGAGCATCAGAAGTAGACGGTAATTTGTGTTTTTTCTTCACTGGATGCCCTAGGGTGGGTTCCCCCGAAGCAGACCCTGAGATGAGCATTTATGCAACTGATCGAGGATGTGCCCAGGAGAACCGGATAAGGGACTCAGAGTTGGAGGGAAGATACTAAGAAAATCATGCTCCAGGCAAAGTCCCAGCCTCGGCTTGATATAAATTACACTGACTTGAGGCAAGGGAGCTGGGCTCTCACACCCCGGCTCCAGTCAGCCACTGTTTCAGGGCTGCCCCAGGAGGACACCAGCTCCCAGCACTCTTGCCGTCTGTGCATGCATTCAGCACACTGGCACCCCCTCAAAGGCCAGCCATTTAAGAGGGGCACAGGTGCTGGGGCCACAAAGCACCCAGAGCCCAGTGATGGGTGCACAGGCACTGTAAAAGTGATATGAGGGCCGGGTGCAGTGGCTCATGCCTGTAATCCTAGCACTTTGGGAGGCTGAGGTGGGCGGATCACCAGGTCAGGAGATTGAGACCATCCTGGTTAACACGGTGAAACCCTGTCTCTACTAAAAATACAATAAATTAGCTGGGTGTGGTGGCACACGCCTGTAGTCCCAGCTACTCGGGAGGCTGAGGCAGGAGAATCACTTGAACCCAGGAGGCAGAGGTTGCAATGAGCTGAGATTGCACCACCGCACTCCAGCCTGGGCGACAGAGTGAGACTCACCTCAAAACAAAACAAAACAAAACAAAACAAAAAAAGGGATATGAGAGGATCAGAGCAGCGTCCCCTTGCCTCCTGTTACCAAGAAGGTACCAAGCCGTTGTTCCCTCAGGTTGTTCCTCATTCCATGTTGCTCAGCCAGCCAAAATCAGAAGCTGCCAAGCCACCTGGGGAAACAAGGCACCCACCGAAGCTCTTGTTTTCAAAAGTTTGAGCTAATTAAAGTTGATGGAGCTGGATTTCCCCTGAAGGAAAGGATACCAATGTTTGGGAAGGTTAGGATTCAGAGAAAGAAGCATTTGAAGTCTTCCCCAGGGCCTAGAAATTAAAGTCTAGAGATTTGGGAGGGTCTCTAGAAGGGCAGGAACGCAGGCCTTCACCTGAACCACTTCCTAAGCAGATAGCCAACCTCATATGGGAGATTCCTAAAGGGGCTGACATCAAATCCTGAGACTCCATAGTGAAGACCCCAAGCTGCAGCCTCGCCTGGAAGTATAGGAACTTACCAGAGTATCCAATGACAGGAGAAGTCCAGAGGGCTCTACCCTGAATGTTCACCATGGATAAGTCCTGCCCCAAACCTGACAGATACAGATTTCTCATCTATCTTGACAAATGGGAACTTGCAGCCAGTTTAATTTGCCTCAAAGAAAATAAAATAATGTGACATTCCTTCACCCCCAGCAAGAACTAATCCCTTTCTCCAGTGCTCCTACAGCAGGGAGGACATTTCCCTGATATTGATTTTTCATGACTGTCCTTCCTCCCTAGGAGACCCTGATCTCCTTAGGGAAGAGGTGGTGCTTTTTAAACCATTTCTGCAGCCCAGGTGCCTATCAAGGCCCCAGCATCCAGTGGGTCTCAATAAATGAGACCTATCATAATTAACATTCCCCTACCTCAGCACATGACTCATCAAAGTATTACATGTTGTTTGCACTTCTCTACCCCCTCCCCCTTCCCATCACCTCAAAGCTCTCCAAGCACACATGAGCCACTGCTCATAAATGTTGCATGAAAGAAGGGATGGATGGATGGATGGATGGATGGATGGATGGATGGATGGATGGATGAATGGATGGATGGATAGACAGACAGATGGCCTGATGGATGAGGCTGGTGAGCAAGTGAAAGAGTGCTTGTTTTAGAATAAGCTATTTAGGCCACTGCCATTTCCTGTTGGCTGAGCAATGAGCATGCCACAGGGCCAATCAGCTCTAAATGCAAGGCGGTGCATGGCCAGAGGAAAGTTCCTGCTGTCTCTCCTTCACCCTGACAGCCATGGCCCCAAGGGCTAACAGAGGCCCTTGAGACCAATTCTGCCATCAGGAAGGAAAAGCCCTGCCAAAATATTTGCATTCAGAAAGTTAGCATTTATAACACAGTCAGAGAACTATGAAATATCTTCCAGGCCAAGCACTGGGCAATGCCATGTTGGTGGGTTCTGATGAGCCCTGGGAAACTTACTTGCACCTTTTCAGCCCCTAACCCTATTACACAGGCCCCTGCATGGAACAAATGCCTTCATCCTCACATGTTGCTGTTGGGAGTGTACTTTGATACAGCCTCTACTCAAGAACAATTTGGGAATACCTATAGACATTTTACTAACAAATGTGCACGCCATTTGACCCAGGAATTCTACTCCTAGGAATTAATCCTGCACATATACTCACGTATATGTACAAAATCCCCATATACAATGTTTGTAAAAAGCACGGTGTGAAAGCCATCTAACTCTTCATCAGAGGGACTGGGTAAATAAAGGATGTTCTGCAGCCATCAAAAAGAATGAAAGTTCTACATGTTCTGATATGGAACAATCCCCAAAATATATTGCTAAGAAGGAAAAAACAAGGTGCAGATCAGTGTGCATCATTTACTACCATTTGTGATGGTCTTATATAGCACAGACCAGTTCTGGAAGGATCCATAAGAATGGGTCCCAAGGGCTAGGTGCGGTGGCTCATGCCTGTAATCCCAGCACTTTGGGAGGCCGTGGCGGGCAGATCACCTGGGGCTGGGAGATTGAGACCAGCCTGATCAACATGGAGATATCTCATCTCTACTAAAAACACAAAATTAGCCAGGCCTGGTGGCACATGCTTATAGTCCCAGCTACTCAGGAGGCTGAGGCAGGAGAATTGCTTGAACCTGGGAGGCGGAGGTTGCAGTGAGCCAGGATCGAGCCATTGCACCCCAGCCTGGGCAACAAGAGTGAAACTCGGTCACAAAAAAAAAAAAAAGAAGAATGGGTCCCAGGAGTTGCCTCCAAGGAAGGGACCATGGGGACTGGGGACTGAGGACTGGGAGACAAGAGTAGAGAAATGCTTCTCATATTGCACAATTTTGAATTTTTTTGTATCATGTGTATGTATTACTTATGCTTAATCAAATACTCAATTTTAATATTAATTTAAAAAAATAATAATATCCCCATCCACCCAGCCAGGTGCCATAGTATCTGACATTCTGCCAATAGGGAGTCACAAGGTTGAAGTCTTAGATTGAACATTGTTTCAACATCATTTCTCACTGGAAGCTCTTTATAATGCAAGCCTTACTAGAACTGGTTTAAGTGTGATCCAACCTATCAGACCAACTTTCCTCTTTCGGGCATACAAAAAACTTCACTGGGCATTGACTTTGTCCTACACACTTGCCCAGGCACTGGAGAGACAGGGAGAACAGGGCTGACCTCACAGTCAGCCAGGTGGACAGCTGCACGCACAGAGTGGTGGCAGTGCACAGGGAGTGGTGGCTCTGCACATGGACTGTGGGCCCTGCATGGGACTAGTGGCACTGTGTACAGAATGATGGCCCTGTACAAGGAGTGGCAGCCCTGCATAGGGACCTATGGCCCTGCACAGGGAGTCGTGGCCTTGCATGAGGCCGGTGGCGGCCTGCACGGGACTGATGGCACTGCACAGAGAGTGTGGCCCTGCACAAGGAGTGGTGGCCCTGCATAGGGACTTATGGCCCTGCACAGGGAGTTGTGGCCCTGCAAAAGGAGTGGTGGCCCTGCACAGGGACGGGGCAGATATACCCTGACATTTGAGGAGACTGAGGCAAGGATATAAGTGGGAGAGAGTTAGAATTTCGAATTCTCAGACTCCTTGGGTTTCATGCTGGAACACGCTGGCATGAGAGAACCAGGCCTTGGCCTGTGGCCCAGCTCCCTCCTCTTCCCACCTCCTGCCCTGTCCCACCCCATCAGGGGCTTGCACACACACACACACAGACCCTTCAGCCCTCAGAGCCAAGCTCCTTGCACACAGACTCTTTCCACAGTCAGCGCCCTTAGCTCCTGTCAAGCCTCCAGGTACACACAAACCTGCGTCTCTGCTCGCCTGCACAAGGAAGGACCCAGCCAAGTGTCCCAATAGGGCCTGGAAGCGATCTTGATGCCATCCGGGCAGAAAATCCCAGGTGGAGTACAGCCGGATAAAGACAGCCCAGGTTTCAGGTTGGCATGTTCCTCCGGTTCTGCAGATCCCTCGGGCCCTGGAGAAGGAGATGGCCAGAGGAGGATAGCAAGGCCTTCCAAAGTGCAGTCCCGGGTCACAGCCCACCTGCCTGGATCTAAGGACGGTGTCGCTGAGGCTGTGGCAGTGGGAGGTTCCAAGACACGGTGAAGGCCTGAAGGAGGGGGTGGCCCTTGCTAAGACCTGTGGCCAGCTGACAGGGCTCCCCAGCACTCTGTCAGTAAGGCCCTTCCAGGAAGAGGGAGTGGCTGGACAAGAGGCTGTGTGTGGAAGGCAAAGGGGAGAAGGGAGAGAGAGGGCTGGTAACCCAATTCCTCTTCCTGCCTCCCTACACTTCAGCATCACCCTGTTCACGCCCCTTGCAGATCTCCCACAGCACTCCCTGTGTACACCTTTGCTGCTCAAAGGGTCTACACAAGCCAAGCACAGTGGCTCTTGCAAAGGTGGGAAGATGTCTTGAGGCCAGGAGTTTGAGACCACCCTAGGCAACATAGTAAGACTCTGTCTCTATTAAAAATAATAATAATTTTTTTTTTTTTTGGAGACAGAGTCTTGCTGTGTTACCCAGGCTGGAGTGCAGTGGCGTGATCTCGGCTCACTGCAACCTCCCCTTCCCCAGTTCAAGCTATTCCCGTGCCTCAGCCTCCCAAGTAGCTGGGATTACCGGCACCTCCCATCACACCCAGCTAATTTTTGTATTTTTAGTGGAGACAGGGTTTCACCATGTTGCCCAGGCTGGTCTCCAACTCCTGACCCCAAGCAATTCGCCCACCTCGGCCTCCCAAAGTGCTGGGATTAGAGGCGTGAGCCACCACAACCAGCCAATAATAAAAATTTTTTAAAGGGTGATCTAAGATCAGCAGCATGGCCTCGGAAATTGGAAATGCAGACCCTCTGGCCCCACCTCAGAACCACTGAATTAGAATTTGTATTTGGATAAAAGTCTCAGGTGAGTTCTGCAAACTTTGTAATTTGAGAAGCACTGGTCTACACCACACTCCAGCACCTTAACGCAGCTCCATTTAGCAGTGGTGGACATTGCATCATGCAGTGCATGGTTCCTTCTTGAGTGCAGCTTATGGAAGGAGGGGGAGTGACAGGACTGAACTTATTGTTCAAATCCCCTTGTGGTCTTGGGGTTCTTGGTTGCTCACTGCAGAGTTTATAGGTGAAATGAGCAGCTGTCCTCACCTCTCCAGCACCCTTGGAATGGAAGAGGCTGCCCTGAGCTGGGCTGCCATCTCCTGGGTCCTCAGTCTCAAGCCGCTTTCTGATGTCAGTGAGCTCTTTGAAGTCAGGTCCGCATCCTACACAGGGTAGGTACAGGGGGCCGGGAAGGCATAGAATACACATTAGGTTGGATCTAGCATCTGATCCACCTCCCCATGTTTCACGAATGGGCCAGTGGGTGAGTCTTAGGGAGGGCTAGGCCCTGCCTCTTAGAGGAAGGCTTAAAAGGCCCCAACCTACTCTTCTTGGCCTGGTCAGCTGGAGGCAGGCAGATGCCCCAAGTTCAGACAGTCAGATACTCCCACCAGGGATTTGGGTCTATGGTGAGTGACATCTAGAAGCAGGGCCAGCCAGAAGTCCTTCTTGGGGCTGGGCACAGTGACTCGTGCCTGTAATCCCAGCACTTTGAGGGGCTAAGGCAGGAGGATTGCTTGAAGCTAGGAGTTTGAGACCAGCCTGGACAACATAGCAAGACCCTCATCTCCACAAAAGTAAAAATAATAATAATAATAACCAGCCATATTAGAGCATTCCTATAGTTCCAGCAACTCAAGAGGCTGAGGTGGGAGGATCACTGGAGCCCACGAGGTCAAGGCTGCAGTGAGCTACGATTGCCCTCCTACAGCCCAGCAATTGCACACCTAACCCCACATACACATAATCAAATAGAGATTATACATTCACGATTGAAGCCAAAGTGTTATGACACAAAACTTACCCTTAGGACATGTCATAAGATCTGATGTTTTATATTTTTATTCTTTTTTGTTAAAGAAAGAGCTTGTTGATCCAACCCTCTAATAAAGCTGAAAGCCAACATTTGCAAACACTGGCAGGTGGCTGCGTGTCAGGGTGAGGTGTCACTGAACAGGGTGATAAAGCAAGATCTTGTCTCTAAAATAAATAATATAATATAATAAATATAATATAATTAAGTAGAATAATGAAATATCCTGCTGGCCAAGGTGGCATCCCCGCCCCCAGCAGCAAAGTCAGCAGGGCCAGTGGTGGCAAGCTGGTGTCCACACCAGTGGCCACAGTGTCATGTCCAGGCAATCTCTGCCCTATGACCTCAGCTGCCTTTCCAGCTGTCTTTGGTTTCTGCCTGTTTCCCTTCAGCCTCCCTAGATTCTGGGAGGGGCCGGTGTCCTGCTCCAGGTAGGCAGAGTCCAAGTCTGTTGTGGGCAGAACTCTGATGATCATTGCAGGGGTGGGAGGAGGGATGGAGGGAGCATGATGCTGGCAGAACCTCCATGGCATCTGGGGAATTGAAGGCTGTTTTTTGCTCAGTTCTCACCATCCAAAGCAGCATGAACAGTTTTCACCACGCCTCTCTTGTGGATGCCTGTGTTCCTGGTACACACCTCTGCTATGACACTTATCACCTGGTATTAGTTAAGCATCTGCCTCCTTCATTTGCTGTGGGTATTTAGAAAGCAATCCATATTTCCTCTCTGTATGCCTCAATTTCTCCACCTTTATTAGAGGACCCAGGATAAGATTATTTCTGAGGCTGCTTCCATCAGTGGTTCTGTGAGCTGGCCCATGTATTCAGCCAGTCAGTAGGCCATCAAGCATGCATCTACGCAAGGCACTAGAAGGGTTACATACAATGGGAAACTGAGGCCCAGAAGGAGGAAAGATGAAGTGCCCAAAGTTAAGGAGATAAAAGCAGAAGTGCAGGTAAGAGAAGGAGTATTCATATTACTGCAGGAATCCAAATTCTACAAGAACATACGCTTGTTCTTTAAAGGGAGCCCTCGCTTTA
This sequence comes from Homo sapiens, assembly GCF_000001405.40. Classification (NCBI taxonomy): domain Eukaryota; kingdom Metazoa; phylum Chordata; class Mammalia; order Primates; family Hominidae; genus Homo; species Homo sapiens. The sequence continues at coordinate 119,208,352 of NC_000002.12, forward strand.
AGCATTATTTGCCGATCAATACCCATTAATAATTACAGGACATGGGCAAATATTCTAGCAAAGGTCCTGAGGTCTTCCTAGATGTGCCCAAAATAACAAGGACTCCCCCCGCAGGTGGCACCAAAAGTCGGAGGATGTGTTGGAAGCTGACCTTCCCCACCTGTCCCTGCCTCACCCACAGTCACCCACCCCTCTAGGATGTAATGGTGAATCATTCAACACATGGGCCACCTTGGGAAGTCGCTTAACCTCTCTCCCTTTTCACGTTATAAAATGGGCATAGTCATTACACAAATGCATAAATCAACCTCAATTTTCTCATCTCTAAGTGAGAAGGTTGGACTGGAATTAACAAGAGGATCCTTGAAGTTCTTTCGAGCTCTGACATCCTCATCCATTGCAAAGCGGCTGTGAAACTGGATTATGTAAGGTCCTGTGGCCCCACCAATTGTTTGGCACATCCTGTCTTTTTCCCTAGCTAGATAATGATGTGGCTGAGGGCAGGGACTGTGCCCACACTCACCAGGTGCATGTGAGTCAGCGTCTGGATTGTGTGGCCCCGCTGGGGCTGCCCTGGCTGTATCACATGCCTCTTGTGCCCATCTCATACCCCTCAGCCACCCTCTGACCACAGCATTGCCCGGCGTGCCCCCTGCAGGCTTTTATTCTCCTGCAGCCCCAGGGCCTCCTCAACACTATGATGTGAGTCACCTGAGAAGCCCAGTCCCACAGGCATGCACAGCTCAGGAGTGCAGGACTGTCAAGGACTCTTGCAGCAACCCTCAGCCATGTGGTAGGTATGTGGGGTGCAGGGTGGGGAGGCAGTGGCATACACACTCCCCAGAAGCTTCAGTGGGATGGAGATCAGCTCAACAACACACCTTTGACTTGACTTCCCCTCCTTCTCCACTTCACTCCCCCAGCCCCTCACCCTGCTCCCTGAGCTCTCCTCCCAAATAAACTGCATGCATGCAGGCACACATGACCAGGCTGAGGCTCTGCTCTTAGTGGGATACCAGGCAAAGACACCTGCCCTAGGGATTGGAGCCTAAGCCAGAGGAGGCAGGAGGGTTTAGGGCACCAGCCAAGAAGTGCTTTCCAGATGCTGAGTGGGATCCCGAATAAGGGAAAGGGCATCTAACATAGAATGAGGAGGAGATAACACAAGGGTAGAAATAACCAAGAAAGGGGATTTCTCTCAGATGGCTTTAGAGGTGCTCCCAGCCATTGCTGGGCTCACATGGCTCACATGTCATAATTTTTGCCAAGGCGGTTTCACTGCCACCACCACCCCGCTCAGCCTCCAGTGGCTTGTCCACCCATGGCTGTGGCCTCTAACTGGGCAGGATTTTATAGGCTAGGAAGAAAAGTAGGGAATGTTAAGGGAGACGGAAGTCAAGTTCAACTTGGAACCATCCCAGAATGTCCAGCAGGAAAGGCCCATGGATGTTATAGGCTACAACCCTCTCAGTGCTCAGCGGAGGAACTAGGAGCAGAGAGGGTGAGTAAGTCAAAGGCACCCAGACCTTGTAGGGAATCCTGTGTCCCTGCAGGATGCAGAATGGATGCTTCTGAACCCTGCCACACCCTCAGGGTACATGTCAGAGCACGTGTGTGGCTGGGACAATCCTCCATCTATGTTCCTCACTTACACCGGCTCCAGTTTAGGAAACCCAAAAGGCTACAACCAACCCACCACCACAGTGACCACAATGTACTTGGTGACACCTCACCTTGACACGCAGCCACCTGCCAGTGTTCACAAATGTTGGTTTTCAGCTTTATGCGAGGGTAGGATCCAACAAGCTCATTCTTTAATGAAAAAGAATGAAATTGTAAAATATCAGATCTTATTACATGTCCTAAGGGTAACTTTTATCTCATAACACTTTTGCTTCAATCATGAGTGTATAATTTCTATTTGATTTTGTGTCTATGGGGTTAGGTGTGCAATGTAGAAAAGCTTGAAAACCATTGCCTTATACCCATTTGAAAAATGAACCACCAAACAAAGGCTTAAAAACATGAATATTTGTCAACCAAAAGGAGAACTCCTGGGCCTGGAAGAAACATCACGATTCAAGTGCTGCAGCACGAAAGAAGTTGAGGCTGGATTTGTATTCAGCTTGACTGTTTGTAAAGCACCATGCACCATGCAACTGCCTTCAGTTCCTTTTTTTTTTCTTTCTTTTTTTTTTTTTTTTTTTTTGAGATGGAGTTTCGTTCTTGTCGCCCAGGCTGGAGTGCAATGGCACAATCTCGGCTCACTGCAATCTCCGCCTCCCAGGTTCAAGAGATTCTGCTGCCTTAGCTTCCTGAGTAGCTGGGATTGCAGGTGCCTGCCACCAAGCCTGGCTAATTTTTGTATTTTTAGTAGAGATGGGGTTTTGCCATGTTGGCCAGGCTGGTCTCAAACTCCTGACCTCAGGTACTTGGCCTCCAAAGTGCTGGGATTACAGGCATGAGCCACCATGCCCAGCCTGCCTTCAGTTCTAACCACTAAAGGATTCGTGTTCTCAACTGAGAAACAGCCATATGGAGGGGCTTCCTGCAAGGGCACTGAAGATGTCAGAGATGATGCCTGTGGAGCACCTGGCACAGAGGAGCTGCCCTGCTGACTGCAGCACAGCCAGTTCACAGGGGTGAGCCCCGGCATCAGCTTAGGGAGCATCCCTTCTTGCAGCTCCTCCCCCTAGCACACTCTCCCACCTCTGCTCGCACAGGACCTCTGTCCAGGAGTGCTTACGGCAAGGTTTCTGCCTCAAAAACAGGGCTTTTGGGGCTAACTGGGAGTGTAAGGGTAAAAGGAAAGCTTCCACTAGGCCCCCCCGATTGTTCACTGGAAATGAAGGGACAATAGGAGATTAATAGGAGAAGAAGGCATACAAATGTATTAACATACATAAACACAGGAGCCATGAAAATATGAGGCTCAAAGAAGAGCCAGATGACTGAAGTTTAAATAGCACCCTCTTCATAGGAGAGAGGGAAATGGGGGTAGGTAATTTTCAAGGTTAGTAAATAATTTTGAGGGAAATCAAATGGACCCAGAAGGCAGACATTTTCCTGTAAATGTCCTCTTAGGAAGCTGAATGGGACTGCAATTTAAGGGAAAGTGAGGGGCAAAACTGCATTGTGAACAAAGGTTGTCTTATTACATAGGTAAAGTCTCCCTAGTCATCCCTCAAAGCTGCCCTCAGAAGAATAGATGAAAAGCCTGGGCTTAGTGACAGCTTTTACTCTTTTCTCCTTGCAGGTGGGTGGTTAATCTTTCCTGGTTATTTGATGAGATTTCTAGGGAGGGGGCCTTAAGACAGTTGCATTTCTTTTGGAAAGAAGTGTCCATAGTCAGATATGGAAATTCTAGACAGCCTCTTTTTCCTGCACTTGGGGAGGGGGCAGAGGAGAAACAAGAGAAGATTGGAAAATTCTTGGTTCTGAGGCAGCTTCTAAGGACTTGCATTTTCCTTTAATTCAAAGTGCTCAGCCTGCCAACACTTCCTACTTTGGGGTATCATTCTCTGTGACCCCACAGGGGAATGGGGTCTGTCCTCAGAGAATGGGGGAGGACCTCAAGGCAGCAGGGCAGAACTCCAGGGTGAGAGTCAAAGATGGTTTCCTGGACCTGAGACTCCAGTGGGGTTCATGCTAGAGTCACCCCAGTCTTCAGGCTCACTGCCCAAACACGCACTTGAGGAAGTCTGTGGGGGCAGCTCCTTGTTTTGTTCCTCACTGTCATTTTCCAAAAGGCAGACAAGCCCTGGCCGCCTTATGCCCAGGGCTGAGTCCACACCATGCTACACGAGCACCTGAGGGGAGGCTCCTCTCCAAAGTGCATTACCAGGGCCTGTGCTAAATTTTTCAGCAGCCTCTTGTCTCACTAATGGTCCCGGGAAATAGACTAAGCCTCCATCCCCAACTAAGTGCTCAGGCCTCCCCCACCTCTGTCCTGCCTGGGCAAGAAGCCCAGCGCCGCCCCACAGCCCAGCTCTCCATGCAGCCTCAGCTCCCAGTGGCCCTCTGCCAAGGACTTGCGCCTCTGCAGTGGGATGCAGTGCCTCATTTTATCCATAATTGTACGTGGTCCCTGTGTGATGTCCGGGGACGTGAAAAGTTGTGTCTCATTTCATTTGGGATCCAGTTAAATTCCCAAATGCTGCAACTGAGCAGGAATCTCAGTGCTCAGAGGCCAGCAGTAGGAGGAGTCTGGCTGCTGGGCCCGGACACCTGGCCTCTCCGGCCTCTGACCAGCTCTGGCCATTGGTCACCACCCTGGCTTTGTTGGGTATTAATCCACCACACTCTGCCTGGCTGATCCCTGAGTCAGAGCCAGGCTGGGATTTGTGGGTCTCTGAGCCCACCAGCCTGTGACTCCCAAAAAGAGAGCACCCTTGCTACTTGGAAGGCTTGCCACCATGCCTAGCCAGCACTCTTGCTTTCTAAGCTGAAATCATTATAAGATAGTCCCCTACTACCTTCTACCCAGAAATGTATCCCCTCACAAAGTATATGTTCCCACCCTATCCCAATCCTACCATCGTGATTTCTGAGTACTTTCCAGAAAACTGTCTCCACTGGCTCCCAAGGGCAGAGCACTTCCTCCAGCCTCTGGAATGTCCACCATGTTGATGGTGCATGGATGATAATGACCCCACGGATGAGCTCTCTCCAGTGGGATCACGAAGGGAGAATGGGATCCCTGACTCCCCACAGAACAGCTCGGCCCAGCTGTGAGGTTGAGCAAATACACTCAAAGCTCAGCGTTAACCCAAGTCCAGCGCTCTCAGCTTACACAGGTGGCAGCCCAATCTTAGTGCTCCACTCAATCCATGTCTATGTATACTTAATTCTCTGGAACTAAAATGGGGAATAGGGCCAGGCACCATGACTCAAGCCTGTAATCCCAGCACTTTGGGAGGCCGAGGTAAGTGGATCACCTAAGGTCAGGAGTTCGAGACCAGCCTGGCCAACATGGTGAAACCCCATCTTTACTAAAGATACAAAATTAGCCAGGTGTGGTGGCGGGCGCCTGTAATCCCAGCTACTTGGGAGGCTAAGGGAGGAGAATCACTTGAACCCAGGAGGTGGAAATTGCAGTGAGCCGAGATCGAGCCATTGCGCTCCAGCCTAGGTGACAAGAGTGAAACTCTATCTTAAAAAATAAAAATAAAATAAAATAAATTTTTTTAAAGGCCGGAGGGACTAAGATGGGAGTGGGAAGGAGGGAGGTTCCAGCTCAATCCTCACCAGCAGATATTCCTGCATCCTCCATACCTGAGCCTTCAGACCAATGCTCCCCAGGCCCAAAGGGGACCTCCCTTTCAAGTATAAGGCTCCCCTAATTCCTCACCTTAGGATCTTTAAGGCAGATGACTGCCTTAAAGAACATATATTCCTTGCAGCAAGAAAACCCAACTCCCAACACCCCACAGAGTGTGGTCTGGCCTGGACAAGTCTGCCCTAAGAAAAAAGCGACAAAGACCCTTAGTAATTGAAACAGACTTTAAGTACCATAAAGATGAGCTTTCAATCATTAAAAAAAAAAACGTTTACTGAGCCAGGCACCAGGCCTAGGAACAGAGAGGTGCATCCAGGCTGCCATGTTAGGTGGGCCTGGGCCCCACTGCTGGGGTCAGAAGGTATTAGAAAGGGTCTGGTCTGCTGGGCGCGGTGGCTCTCACCTGTAATCCCAGCACTTAGGGAGGCCGAGGCAGGCAGATCACCTGAGGTCTGCAGCTCGAGACCAGCCTGGCCAACATGGTGAAACCCCGTCTCTACTAAAAATACAAAAATTAGTTGGGCATAGTGATGGGCACCTGTAATCCCAGCCAGCTACTCAGGAGGCTGAGGCAAGAGAATTGCCTGAACCCAGGAGGCGGAGGTTGCAGTGAGCCAAGAAAGCGCCACTGCACTCCAGCCTGGATGACAGAGTAAGAGTCCATCTCAAAAAAAAAATAAAATAAAGAAAGGGTCTGGAAGCTCTAGGTGACCTCATGCTCACATCTATACGCACACCTTGATACATTATTTATGGATCAGGTGGCACAGCATTGCAGGCAGCAGCAGGGCAAAGACAGTGTGGAATCAGAGTCGGGCAGCGTTGGATGGGATTCCGGTTCTGCCACCACTGGCTATGTGATGGAAATCTACCACATCTCTCCAAGCCTTGCTGTCCTGTTTTATCAAATGAGGACATTGTACTGAATCACAAGGTCTGTACAATGCCCGTGCATGTGCCTGGAATCTTCCCCTCTGGTGTCCCCTCAATGCCCATGGTGCTTCCTGCACAGGGTGTACCATAGTTGCTTGCTGTCTCCTGCTGAAGCCTGCTGTGAAGAGGGACTGTGTGGAGGTAAGGCAGTGGGCCTCTCCCTGTGAGGTCCTCAGGGGGCTGAAGGCAAAGTCAGAAGTAAAAAAAGAGAGGGGGGACCCATCCCCAACCAGCTGCCATCCCAGGGCACTCAGCCTAAGGCCACTGCATTTGCATGCTATTTACATAAATCTGCATATACACTGTATTCCCACTCTATCTTGTAGGCAATTATTGCATTTAGGCAGCTCTGCATTCCAGGAAGGGGCACAAGCAGAGATGTGATCCCCTGAACTTCATGACAAGAAGGTACCCGAAGCTCCTCTCCCACCTCCAGCAGCAAATGTCTCCCCTGGGGCTGTCCTGTGTTGTGTTTGAACCCTGCTCTGGGGCTCCTGCCCGCCACCTGTAGTGGCTACCATCAGAAGTTCCTGTTAATTGGGGATGGCAGGGTCACCACATCTCTACTCTTCTCCCACTTCTCAGCAGTTCTAATTTAAACCAGGTTAGAATCTTCCCACTTGGTAGTCTGGTAGGGAAATTATAGTTAACAATAATTTATTAATAAGTTAAAATAGCCAGAAGAGAAGAACTGTAATGTTCCCAACACACACAAAAAAGATAAATGTTTGAAGTGAAGCATTGAAGTGATGCTCCAATTATCCTGACTTGATCATTACATATTGCATGCAAGTACCAAAAGATCACATGTACCCAAAAATATATACAACTATGATATATCAATTAATTTTTTAATTGATTTTTTTTCTTATTTTCCTGTGTAGTGGCAGAATCACAGTTCACTGCAGCCTCAACCTCCTGGGGTTCAAACAATCCTCCCAACTCAACCTCCTGAGTAGCTGGGACTATAGGCCCTCACAACCATGCCCAGCTAATTTTTTGTGTGTTTTTGTAGAGATGGGGGTCTCATTTTGTTACCCAGCTGGCCTGTAACTCCCGGGCTCAAGGGATTCTCTTGCCTCAGCCTTCCAAAATGATGAGATTACAAGTGTGAGCCACCGACTCTGGCTGATATATCAATTTTTTAAAAAAAAGGTTCTTCTCCAGGCTTCAATGCGACTTCACCTATACCAGGTGTGAGCGGCCCTCATGTCCAGGTGGGTGGGGCCAGGCATCTGCAGGGACCTCAGGCTTCTTGGATTGTTTGGGATGGAGGCCCAAGGAGGCGGAAGGTCTGGGGTCTCACCCAAGCTGGCTCTCCCCAAGGAATAAGAGTAATCACATGGGCCTGGAGCAGAAAAGGGAAGAGAAGGGTCCCCAGGAATGATGATTTCTGGGGCTTCAGGAAAGAGTGTGGAACTGAATGGCAGAGCTAAGGGAAGACTAGGACTTACAACCACCAAAATCAGGCCCTCCAGCTGGGTTCGGGGCCAAGGGAGAGTGCAGCCTGGCTTCTGCCATTCTCCTTTCATCCCCCTGGAGCTTCTGAAATCCACAGAATTGTGGTGAAGGACAAGGAGCCAAGGGCTCACAGGCGAGGGGAGGCGGGGAATTCAATGTGTTCAAGGCCTACATTGCACATCTGCCCTTGGTTTACTCTATCTAATGTTCCCATTTGACCGGTAAGAAAACTGAGGCTCAAGATTCAAACCCAGGTCCTTGTAACTTCAAAAACCTTGTTCTTTCTAGGTGTCAAAGTCAATAGATGGGCCACGGGGCTAGCAGTCACTTCTCTTCCTGGACTTGGCAGTCAAGGGATAGGACCTGAACTAAATTGCCTTTCTACAGACTTTTCAGCCCCAACCAGAGGCCTGCTGCAGGCAGTTGTTTGAACTCCTTGATTAAATGTTCAGCCCCTGGCCTGGGCGGCAGACTCCCAACACACAAGACTTACTGAGTCCCCCAAATAGACTTCAAAACACAGTCCTGAGACTCTGCCTGCCAGTTGCCCATTAAGCTCATCCCAGCCTGGCATCTTCCTTTGTTGGTCCACTCTCCCTATGGCTACCAGGGAGAAAGTCTTTTCAGAGATGAATAAGGGCGTCCAGACAACAGAGATGTAGTAGTAGGAGGTGGAACCAAAACAGAACCAGGGGTCTGAATCCTGGCTCTGCCACTTTCTGAGATATGTCACATCAGACAGGTGACTTAACCTCCTGTGTCTCAGTTTCCAAATTCAAAAACGGAAAATGTATTATGACGATCAGATGAGTTAATACAGTCAAAATGCTTCTTAGAACAGCATCTGGGATGTAGCAAGCACTCAAAAACATATTAGCTATTATGATCACACAGAGATGCATACCTCCTAAAATCTTTCTGGGCTCCCACCGCCAGCATGATAAAGCCTCACTTCTCACCAAAGGCAAATCAGGCCTCTCATCATCTGCCTCCTCCCTCCCCAGCCCCATCTCCCGAAGCGCCTCTCAGGGCACCTCTGCCCTTGCACAAGGCAGGGCCTGTTCCTAGCAACTCTCAGAGTAGCAGTGGAAGTTTCCAACACCAAGATCTCAGATACCTCAAGCTGGCAGGAGTGCGAGGTCCAACAAGAAGAGATTTTATGAATCAGCCAGCCATGGGGGTGGGGCATGGCCAGGTTTCCTGATTCCCAGACCAGGGTGCCAACAACACCTACTGTTCATGTGAGAAAAGGAGAAAGAGGAGGAGGGGCCACTGGCGTCTTTTGCCCACCTGGGGTTCCTCGCTGTGGGAGAGGGGGAGGCCAGAGGACAGCAAGTTCCCTGAGAGCCTCTCAGAGAAAAGGAGGGTTTAGATCATCACACAGGATAAGGAAGAAGACCTTTTCCAAGGGGGTGGAGCAGAGCCTGCCTGGAGGTAAATTTCCTTTGGGAACTGTCTTCTTCAGTATTTCCCTTCCTCTCTGAACACCGTTTCTTTTCCTTTCAGATTATCTGACAGCCTTTTAATGAACACCTACTAAGTGCCCAGCACTTTCCTGGGAACTTAATTCTTACAACCTGTTAAGAGGTCTATACACTCATTTTACAGTGGAGGAAATGGAGACTTAGCGGAGATGTGAAATTTGAACCAGGTCCGTGTGGTTTCAAAGCCTGCGCATGTTCCTTTACCCTATGGAAGCCTCCAGAAGCCAAGGTCTCATCTCCCCTCTTCCCTGGAGGCCCCAAACCTGGGTAGCTGTGCCCCTAGACCTTTGAGGGAGGGTCTCGAGCCATTATCTCCCTTACCTTTTCTTGCAGTGACTTGGCTTCTCCCAGGCTGCCGTAACCAGCAAACGCCTAAAGATGGCTCTGAGACGATGGCCTTCTGTGTGTGTGTCCATGAAATCAGGTAGTACACCACACAGAACCAGACTCTCAGTGACATGCCTGATATTCCACAGACCTGCATCCGAGCTGTGCAGATCTCAGGTAGACACAACCAGTGATTGGGGATGGCTGGTAGGATCTTGCCTAGGCAGGCCAGGGAGCTCTGTGAGGAGTGTTTGGGAGAAAATCCCCCAGGTTCATCTCCCTGCATGGACTGCCCCTGCTGGGCCCTCACACTAAGCTGGTCCTGGTCCTCAGTACTGAGGGATCACCACAGGTGTGTAGGCCACAGCTCACAGGAGCCCTCCACCTAGCGGGTCAAAGGTAGTGGAAGATCTGAGAGTCAGGCAGACCTGGTCCAAATCCCGGATCTGCCATTTCCTCACTGCATGATACTAAAAAAGTCACTTCTTCATCTGAAAAATGGGGCTGATCCCACCCATTCTGCAGGGTCTCAGTGGGGATTGAAGGGGGCTGACCTCAATGTAGCACGATGCCTGCCCCAGGTGGGACTTCAGCAAACTCTCTTTCCTTTCCCTTCCCTCCCCTTGAAGGCCAAGACCAAGGAAACAGAATTGGGCATGCCAGAACATATCCCAGCCCTGTGGGGTGTATTTACCTCCACTTCTGATCACAGTGTGTTTGCGTATGACCTTGAGGCCAGTGACTTTTACACCTTGCCTATGCTGGGCTGGGCTGTGACTTGGCTGTGACTTGCCTGCCCTGAAGCCAAGCCTCAGCTGACATGTGTCTTTCCACCACCCCTGCTGTGCTGAGTGAGCACCAGCCACCTGTCCCATTGTTCCTGCCCCAGGCTGTGTGTGGAGAGTGGTCTGACAGGGCAGACAACACCCTACACTCCAGATGTGTTGAGGTGAGCTCTGGGGGTCAGGAAAGAAGCAGGGAGGGGCACAGTGTGAACATCCTGTGCAGATTTCCCCCCAACTGGCCCCCCAGCTGGTTGGGTTTTCTTTTCTCAGTAACTCCTGGCAGAAGTCCAAGGAGGCCTCCTTCTCCCAAACCCTCTGTCCTTGGCTCAAAAATCCAGCAGAGGACGTGCCACGACCACGAAAGGTGACAGCAGTCAAGGGGAAAGAGGACTCCCTTACTGGAGTGCACAGAAGTTTCCTATTTATTTTGCTTACGCGGTTGACTTTTTCCAAAGGCTGCTTGGGACGGCTTACCTCGAAAAGCTTAGCAATAAGGCTAGTAGTAAATCAGACAAAAAAATCATGGACTGGGGGAAAGAAAGTAGCATTTAAATATATTTAATAAGGACGATATAGTCGTGAACATGTGCCTGAGTATCCTGGCTACCACAGTAAAAGGGGAAATATGATCAGTTATGGGAAAAGAGTAAAAATATTAATCATGATTTTTTTTTTCTTGGAGCTTTGTGTAATAGGCACTGATGTTGAAAAGGGTAGAGTTATTTTTCCATATTTGTAGAAATTCAGAAGATTATCAGACTATTTGCCTCACAAGGACTTTTTAGCAAGCAAAAAGTATGATATTGTCATGCACCCTGGTGAGGGGAAGTGTCATCCAGTTCTAGGTTTCTGTGAATCTACCTTGATGCAGGTGTTCAGGGAGTAGTGAGTTTCCTCAGTTGTAATGTAGACCAGCGCTTCTCAAACTTAAACACGTATACAACCTCCTAGGGGGTCTTGTTAAAATGCCATTCTAATTTGGGAGCTTTGGGGTGGCCTGACACTCTGCCATTCTAAAACCCTCCCAGGCCATCATGATCACCACCTTCCGAGCAGCAAGGGGTTAAAACCCAGGCATCTCCCATGATCTAGTAGTGAGTGCCTTTCTAATCGCCCCCAGCTGAAAGGCAATGCAATGTTATCATAGACGGGCAAGAAGAATCTCTTCCTTGGCTCTGTAAATGCTTCCGGGATGTGCTGGGTCAGCCTCCCTCCATTCTGGTTGGCGATCTTGGTCTAGTCACAAGCCAAGACCGTTGATCATACACAAAAGTTTAAGTACCTACTACGCGCCAGGAAGCTCCCTCAGAAAGATGGTTGGTCCTGCTCCCCCACCCACCCTCCACCCTGGCATCTTTTATCCACTCTTCCTTCAGCAACTGCCTTTATCAATGCTCCCTTGAGCCAAAATAAACAAATAAAAAGCAACTTCCTTTGGAAGCTACTCCATACTCTTGCGCTGGCCACAGTTACATCTCCCTGCAGATACACAGATTCTCATGACACAGAGCTCAGACAGTGCTTCCTCTCTGGAGGGCTCATGTTTCGAGAGAAGACTGGAAGGAGGACAACCTTATGCTCCAGTAGAATTCCAAATTCTGGGGTGCAGGGACATTTCGTGTGTGTATGTGGAGGGGGGGGTGTCCTAATGCCCTGTAAGCCACACTTTATAATGCTGTACAATATTGGGTCACCATCATGGGCCATGGAAAGCAGAATCTGTGAGGTTCAGTCCCAGGCTCCAGCACCCCTTTGTCAGCTGGCCTCCCCGCTCAGTGCCCTCTCCCACTACCTGCCCTGCCTCAGCTCTGACTGCTGCTGATGTGCCTCCACCCATCAGGTCATTGTGATGGCAAAGACAATGCCTCCATTTGCCCTGAATGCAGCCTTACATAGGAAAGAGCTTCCTGTGCTCCAGAACTTGGAGGAGTCCTGCAGCACCTGGTCTAGTGGGGAGAGCATCAGTGGGGAGCGGCACCTTTCCTGCAGCCACGGCCCACTGGGCAGGACCAGATCCAAGTGGCCTGGCTTCTGGCTAGGGTGTCAGAGTACATTGGGGCATACAGCTTCCCGTGGCCATCTCGTTTTCATGGAGGATTTATTTTGTGAAGTGGACCTGCTCTGTCCCATCCTATAAATGCTGGATTAATCCAAGAAGCTGAGGGTGAGCAACATCCCTCTCCTTCCTGATCAAATAAGAAATAAATCTAGATTTTCTCCTGGATGCTATTCTCTTCTTAGCCAAACAGCTAACCTTGTCTTCAAGGAAAAAGGGCAATCCCAGGGGCTCTGTAAATTGAATATTCAGCAACTCCAGGGGCAGACATCCCTAAGTGCATAAGTGGAGCACCCCTCTGAATCAGCATCACACCAGCTGGGGGCATAAAAAGGAGAGCAGAGTAGGCAGGAGCTGTGGGGACATTTCTGAGATGCTAAAAGAGGCAAGGAAGTGTGAGGACGGGTGTGCATTCATGCAACAGGTATTTACTGAGCACCTACTATGAGCCAGGCAGTGCTCTATCCATTAGAGATACGGAATTGAATAAAACATAAAAATCCCTGCCCAGGAGGAGCTCACATTTCTATGGGAGAAGACAGTTACTGAAAAACAGTCCAAAAAACTCTATTTTATAGTGTGTTCAGAGGTAATACAGGCTATGGGGAAAAAAAGAAAGCAAGCAGGTACATGGATGAGGAATGGGGGCGATCAGCGTGGGCCTCACAGAAATGATGACCTTTCAGCCAAGACTTGGAGGAGGTAGGGAGGGTACCTGGGGATGCCTAGGGTCCAGGCAAGGGGAACGGCAGGGGTCAGGATCCTGTCAGATTCATCTGAGGTGGGACTGAATGTGAGCAGAGAGAGGGAGACAGAGGATGAGGGCAGAGAGAAGGCCAATCACACTGGGCCACGGCTATTGCAAGGACTTTACTTTTGCTGGGGGAGGGGGTAGAGTTTTGAGCAGAGGAGAAATGCGATCTGGCAAACATCTTGCAAGGATGGCTCTGACTGTTCTATCCTTGGCAGAGGACACCAGAGTCTGGCCCATAGAAGGTGCTCAACAAAGCTCAGCACATTGCACTCCTCCCTGGAGTAGGAAAGGGCTCGTCTGCTTTGGGAAATTTGGCTCTCAAGCTTCTGGAAACACCTGACCCCATGCCAGGTGAGACAAGCTCACACTCAAGGCCCCCTTAGTCCAACGGTCAGTGGACAGAACAAGCACCAAAGGTCAACGGCGTGGGCGGTGGCCTCTCTGCCAAAGTGTGTGGGCCCAAGTAGGGTATTCACCTCCCTCCCTGTCTGTGAGAAATTTCAGACCCCTCTACTTTTTCCAGCAGGAGTTCATGTTCCTTTTAAGATAATCCTCTATAGACCTCTGGCAGCCCAGCCTTCAAAATGTCTCCCCCTGTCTCTCTTACTCATGGAGAGCCCCGCTTCCCCGCCTCAAAAAAAAGTCTTCCTCTCTCTTACTCATGCATGGAGAGCCCCACAAAAAGACACTGGTTCCCAGGGATTCTTCCAAAGATGCTGGAAGACCTCTCAGTGTTTGCATTTCCCAAGCTCGGTTTCCTTGTGCTGTCCTTGGGCATTAAAGGAAGGCTATTCAGCCATCCCCATCAGCAGGAGCAGGCATCAAAAGAACAGCTACTGCAGGGGGAGCATATTAGGGGCACCAGAGGGGGCTAGGAACTGGGTCTTGTCTTCTCAAAGTTTACAACCCACTGCAGGGGCCACTCACCAGCCCTGGCACCCTAAGGGCAGGAACCTCCATTGGGCACGTGTGTCTCCAGCACTGGGAGCACTGTCTGGCACCTGGGGCACTGTGAGTGTTGAATGGATAAAGGACCTGTAAGAATTGCCATAAGAGGTGTTGCCCTGGGGCAAGGTGGGACAGGAAAGTTCTTGCAAGAGAAGAGAGGCTCTGGCCTTGGGCCCTGGCTGAGCAGAGAGCTGGGAGGTGGGTATTCGGGTAGGAGGAAAGCTGTGGAGGGGGAAAGCAAACTGCCTGCGGGGGTGGGGGGGTTCTCGGCGGGAGTTGGGGGTGGAGGGAAAGGCGCTTTACAGCAGCACTCCCTCCACAGGGAGACCAGAGCTCTGCCTCTTCCTCCCCACCGTGCCCTTTGGGGTCCAGTTGTGGGGCCTTCCTTGAGGCCCAGCTCCTGCCTCTGGCCTCCGGAGGCTTATCTCCCCAACAGAGGCTGGCTCCCCAGAAAACAGGATTCTTAGACTTCCTAAAAATAACCTGAAGCTCCTTATCAGAGGCTAATAGTGTATGTCTCCCAGGAATACTCTAGAAAGAGTACCAGGGGTCAGGAACCCCCACTCAGCCTCCACGAATCTGAGCGGAAAAGCCCGGGTCTCCTCACCTGTAAAGAAAATAACTGCAGCCGGCAAATGTGACCACAGGTGAGAAGGGGCTTCGGACCAGGGCGCACACCTCTAGAGAGGTGCCCACAGACAGCCTCCCCTTACTTACGCCCTGCTTCGCTGCAGTGCTGTGAAGCCATCGGCATTGGAAGTGCGGAGGGCAGCGGGCAGTGCCCCAGGGGGAAGGGGGGACGGGTAGGGTTTCAGAGCCCAGAAGGCCTAGACAGGGAGGCAGCTCCGGGAGAAAGGTACCCGCCATCCCACCGGTCTTGGAACCTGAGGACTGCTGGGAAGGGTCAAAAGTCTGCCCTAAGGGTGGACAAGGGACAGAGATTGGGGGGGGACCACAAAGGCCTGGGCGCAACCTTGTTGAGAGGGAAGGGATCCGGACCCAATCTGGAGCCCTGGTCTCTTCCCACCTGCAACCGTGGCTGCCACTTGGCCTCGGTTATAAAATGGACAAGGATTCGAGGTGCTCCTCAGGTTAAGAGAGGGGGGCCTAGAGGTCACCCTGGCCTCGGTGCCCTCCGTGGCCGGGTTAAGAGGAGGTCCCGGAGTTCTGCTCACTTCAGCCGTGTGCCGGGCACTGCAAATCAGGAAGTGTTGGCGCCGGCTGGCGACCTCCCGCCTGGGGCCAGGGGAGGAGGGTGGTTGGACGCTGCCACCGCTGCCGGGGCTGTGCAGGGCTGGGCGGGGAGCGAGGACCCGGCGGCTCCTGATTGCGGCCCCGGGGGAGGTGGCCGAGCCGGATAAGCTGCGGCGGGCTGGAGGGCGGCCACCTCCCCTGCAGGTCCGGCCCTCCCGGGCGGGTGGGGCGCGGGGGAGGAGGAGCCTCGGGCCGAGCCACCGCCTTCGCCGCGGACCTTCAGCTGCCGCGGTCGCTCCGAGCGGCGGGCCGCAGAGGTGAGTGTACCCTCCCCCGGTCTCCGCGGGGCTGCGTGCTGCGCCCGGTCCCCGAGACGCCCGCCCGGTTGCACCCTGCGCCGTCGCTGCGCGGACCTCGGGTGCCGCCACACGTCTGGAGGCGACTTCTGTCCCCTGGGACCGAGCCACGTGCGCCCGGCGGCAGAGAAACCGGGTTCCGGGGCCCCCACCCCGTGTGCCTTCCTTCCCTAGGCGTGGAAGCCGCTTGCGCCGCGCAGGTTAGGCAGGGCCGGCGGCGACAGTGGCGGGGAGCAGGCTCCGGAGCCCCGGGTGCAGATGTGGGCGCCCCTCCGGATGACCCCGGCTGAGTCCACAGGTCCCGTGTGCCCCACGGCTGGGGCTCTGGCCAGCGGTCCCAAAGGAGGGCTGGTAGCTGTGGGCGGGGATCTTCCAGGCTCTTCCTCGCCAGACCTCCCAGTCCCTTCGCAGCCGAACAGGGCAGGGACAGGGGCAGGTGCAGGGGCTGGGCAGGGGCGCCCGACCTTGGTCCCCAGGAGGAGGCTGGCCTCACCAGTGCCCGCCTCTGCCCGCGGAGCCCTTGCCTGGCAAAGTTCCCCCTCCTGCCCGGCAAAGCTCCCCCTCCTGCCCACTTCCCCGAAATTTGGGGACAGGCTGCCCGGAGAGGTGTGGTTGGAACTTTGGTCACTCTGGGTAAATGAAGGGGAGGGTGTGCCCAGATAATATGCGGTTTGGGGACCAGAAAGCCGGATCCGTGGGGAGAAGCAGGAAGGTCCCGCTGGAGCCCTGGCAGAGGGCACAGAGAGGCCTCCCAAATATCCAGGGCCACCTCAGAGATGGGCTCCAGAAGTGGGGATTCTGGAAATGCCCCCAGGGAGGTATTTCTGTCCATCAGAGTGCAGCCATAATATAATTAACAGCAGATATTCCCATTTATGTGTGCCAGGCATCTTGCTAAGGGCTTTGAGCACAATATCCCAGTTAATCCTCACAACAGGAAGGCACCATTATCTCTTGTTAAAAATGGGGAAACAGCCTCAGAGAGTCCACGTATTTTGCAAGGATACACAGCTAGGAAGTTGCAGAAGTAGAATTTGAACCCAGAGTTATCTGACTTGGAGCCCAGAGGAACCTACCACTGGGGCGAAACAGGCTGTGTCCTCACGGGGATTCTGGCAGCCCCAAGAATACAGTGCTGAGAGCCAGAAGGTCCACAAAACCAAAGGGTCTCACCTGGGTGTGTCCTCTCAGTCACCTGCAAGGCTTGTTAAAAATATAGATCCCCAAGTCCCATCCGAAGCTGACTGAATCAGCTAGGGGCACCTGGAGGACCCAGACTATGTCTTACTCATCTCTGTCCCTGGTGGCCTGCAGAGGGGCTGGCAAGGAGCAGGTGCTTAGTGAATGTCTAATGGGTAAGTGGGCGGGGTGGGGTAGATGGTGTCACTAGTGTCCTGAAGGGGGCTTAAATGGAGCAGGTGGCCTCAGCCAGGCAATCCGGCAGCAGGTATGGAAGTGACACAGTCTAATGCTGGCCTCAGAGCCAGCAGGGAGCTCAGGCTGGGCCACTTGTCCACCTGGGGGTTGAACAGCCTGCCCCAGGTTTGCTGAGGTCCCCAGGACCAGGCCAGGTCAAGCTGGGATCACACATGTTCCCTCTCCAGCCTAGAGATGTCAAACAGGTAGATTCCTCTCCCATTCATATCTCCTATCCTTGGCCCACAGCCCTTCCCTTCTTGGACTTATCAGAGACCAAGGTGCTGGGCAGGGCTTCAGGTGGTTAAAAAGTGAAAGTTCTTGAGTGAAGTCCAAAGGCGCACACCTGAGAGCTGAGTGGGCAAAAGGTCGCTGGCTGAGTGCTGGGGATAGTCTGGCTTTGGAGTCAGATGGACGAGTCCAAATCTCAGCTCCTTACCCCGTAACATGAAGCCCTCAGCTCTCTGAACCTCTGTTTATTTGCAAAACCTTGCCAAGGGCTTCAAACAGGATATCCTCATAAAACAAGTATGCCTATTTGGGGGACTAAGTGTGTGAAGTGCTGAGTTTTAGGAGTGCAGTAAATATCGGATCCCTCCTTCTTCACCTCAGGTTTGCGAGTTAACCAGTGAGGGGCCTTCCAGGCCTAGTGCTCTTGTAGACCGAACCACTAGCTTTCCTAGAGAAGGCAACTGAGGCCTAGAGAGTGGCCTCCAGGTTCCGTGCTCTGTGGCAGAGCTGGCCTTGGCTCCAAGTCCCAGGGTTCCCAGCTCAGTCTCAGCTGATGCCTCCCAGCCTGGCGGTCTACGCTGCCTGCTACATTCCCTGTCCAGCTACAAATGAACAACTGAGAGGGCTGGGGTGAGATTCAGGCAGGCTGGGGCAAGGGAAGGAAGCAGGTCATTTGGGGAGTCGGGCTCTCTGGTCTTCCAGCTGAGGCTGGATCCACTCTTTCCTGTCCACCCACGGTGCGTAGTGGCCAGGTCTTCCTGAGCTGAGCAGGTTGAGCACTATGAAACTGCTTTCTAGCATCTAGACCAGGGAGTTGCCTCTTGATTTAAAATGAGGATGTTTACCAGTTTAAGTAGTTATTAAAACCTAAGGCCAAGTTGGTGCCTTTCCTCCCTCTAGGAGTTGGAAGGGTGTGTGCTTTTTTCTGCTCCTACCCCACCCCTGCCAAACCATCCCAATTTGAGAGGCTGTGGAGATTACAGAACTTGGAGAGGAGAGGGGCAGGGATCGGGGTTGGAGACTAGATGGTTTTCAAACATTGGGCTACAGAAGTCCCTCTTCCTCCCATCTGTCTCCTGCAGCTGGGTCCACCCACCTGTCCAACACAGCCTCCCACAGGTCCCGGGCCTCTTTGTGCTCCAACCGTCACATCCTTGGCATGCCACACACCCTCACCATCCTGCCTGAAATGCCAGTCCTCATCACTGACATTCAGCCTCCCATGTGCCAGCATCCGGGCCAAACACTTTATCTACAGGAGCTCATTTGTACCTGGAGACTCTTAGGAGGTCGATAATGTTATTCTCCCAACCATGTGACTTTCCAACTCCATATGGACCCCAACCTCTTTTTTTCCACCCCTAACCTGAGACTCCTAGCCACTAACTAACTGCCACATTCTCCTGTCCAAATTCTGCCTCATCGGTTATTCATTCAACAAACACTTACCGAGCACTAACTTTGAGCCAGGCACTCTAAGACCAGCTGAGTCCCACTTCTGGCAGGATGAGTGTTGTTGTCATCAACCACCCCACAAACACCCGTGCCCTCTGCGTACTTGCGAATCTGAGTGAGGAGACACGGTGGCAGTAAGGCTCAGGACCTATAGCTCATGTGAGTGAGCAAGGATGCAAAACCAAAGACACCCGCTCCCCTCACCCACTGAGCTGGAGGGATCAACCACTGTGCCTGCCATCAGGGCTGATGGGCGACTGCTTGTGGATCACAAACTCTTGCGTTGTCACTTCAACCCAGGGGCAGAGTGTGTTCCTCTTCAGGTGTGGCCTGGTCTCGTGAGCCCTGCACTGAATGGGCCAGGCGTTCATTGCTTCAGCACCGTAAGAACACTGTCACCGGAGAATTGTTCGATACTCAACTCTTCCCAGTCAGTCTGTCTTCTGCATGCCCACAGTTACCGGGCAGCGTGGGCAACAAGTGAGCACTGATTGTTCCGCAATCAGGCTGTGACTTACTCCATCTCTGCCTTCTGCTTAATGAGAGCCAGGTGGGAGTTCAGCAAAGATCACATGTTTAAGCCTTGTTATTAAACACGTTAAAAAAATACTGCCCCAAGATTATAAAGCCGACTTCGGTACATATAAAGAGATTTGGGGTCGGTGAATGGGCCCACTAAGCTTTATTTTGTGGTGTCAGCTGTCTTGGTTCATGTGTAGACAGCAGGGCTCCCAAAGCCAGCATGCTGGGGTCTGTGAGGGAACAAGCTTCCCATTTCTTGTATTTATTTATTTATTTATTTATTTATTTATTTTTTGGAGACAGAATCTCGCTCTGTCACCTAGGTTGGAGTGCAGTGGTGCCATCTTGGCTCACTGCAACCTCTGCCTCCCGATTTCAAGCAATTCTCCTGCTTCAGCCTCCTGAGCAGCTGGGATTACAGGTGTGCTCCACCACACCCAGCTAATTTTTGTATTATTAGTAGAGATGGGGTTTTGCCATGTTGGCCAGGCTGGTTTTGAACTCCTGACCTCAGGTGATCCACCTGCCTCGGCCTCCCAAAGTGCTGGGATTACAGGTGTGAGTCACCACAGCCGGCTGCTTCCCATTTCTATAAGCATCCGACTGGTGGGGTGGCCAGTAGGCTGTGGGGAGTGGTGCGTGATTTTCCTGGTGGGCTTGAGAGAGTAACAGTATACCCCCAGTCAGGGCAAGTGTCTCTCTGAAGGTGAACTCTGGGTGCACAGCTAGAGGATACAGTGGCTGTGAGCTGGGCCCTCCAGGTGAGGTCTGGCCTGCCCATTGCCACAGTGGGCTTGCTGGCATCCAGGGGGGCTTTCTGGGTGACTGCCCAGGCCTGCACATGAGTCAGTAGCACGCTGAATGCAGTGGAGTTTGAGGGGACCCACCACTGTCCATCAAATCGCCCCAACCTGGGTGAAAGGCCAGAGCAGCTGCGGGAAGTGACACCAGGCCCTCTGGAGATGACCCTCTGGCCCTTGGAGATGTCTCTGGACTGGCCAGAAAGAAGGTGGTGCCTGGAACTGGAAGGGAAGGAAGCAAGACAGTGCTGGGCCCAGCAGCCAGAAATCAGGGTGATGGGTGGGTGGAGGGGCAGGCATCTGGGAAAGCCCTGCCCTCCTGGTGTTCCCAGATCTGAAGGCTGGAGGCTGGAAACCTTGTGTCACCTGTGCTGGTGTGAGTTCCATTGGGGCTGCCGCTTACCCTCCCATGACCTTTAACATCTGGCATGGCTTGTGGGGGGTGCTGAGAGGAGGAGAAGTCTCAAGGCTGAGGGAGCTCAGGGTAGAGCCAAGGTCTCAGTGAGAACCCCAGGGGGCAGCTGTCACAGCTGACCTGGAGCCCTCCAGGAACGCGTACTCTCCAGCTCCTGTACTCTCAAAAGCAACAGAAAGGTTTGCTTTCCTCAGGTGCGGTTTCCTCACAGTGCAGCTTCTCCAAAGAGATCTGGAGACCCCCCAGCAGCTTTGACAGGAAAATAGAGTCCTATCCACCCCACACCAACACACTGAAGTAGAGACTCTGGGCCTGGGGCTGCCCAGAAACCCACCCACTTAAACTGCCCGGGCGATTCTGGTGTTCACAAATATTTGAAAGCACTGCCTGACACCTGCTGGCTCAACAGGTGTCCACCTAGGCTGGAGTACAGTGGTGCCATCTCGGCTCACTGCAACCTCTGCCTCCCAATTTCAAGCAATTCTCGTGCCTCAGCCTCCCGAGCAGCTGGGATTACAGGTGTGCTCCACCACACCCAGCTAATTTTTGTATTATTAGTTCACCTAAGCAGAGAGCGATGTGAGGGGCTGTGAGGATGTGCAGGGGTGGAGGGCACTTAGGTCCCTCCCTCAGCTGACCATAGAGCACCCAGAGTGGCAGAGGGGCCACGTGCAGTGAGTGGCCACAGCAGAGCAAGGAAAGGTGCACACAAGAACAGTCCTAAGGAAGACATGTGTTTAGGGGTTTCATATTCACTGTTTAATCATCAGGACAGAGAGGGAAAGCAACCTACCCAACGTCACACAGCTAGCACATGGCTGGACCGGAATTCACACACATCTCTGTCCAGCTAGGTCCCCCAACTAACACAGCTGCCTGTCTGAATTCAAAGCCGGGAGAGATTGTCAGGGGTGGGCGTTGGGGGAGATGGCAGGTGCCTTAAGTGCCCAAGGCCTTGGGCTGGATCTTTAAGGAAGGGGGATTGGGATGGGCCAGGAGGTTGTCAAGATTGGAGATGGAAAGAATGCCATTGGCTGTGGTGGGGGGTGGAGTGGGCAGGGACTGGAAGGAGGGGTAGTGGAAGTCAGTCCCTGCCTACAGGCCTGTGTTAGACTCCGCGGAGATTCAGGAATCTAGCCCTGCCCACAGGGGCTTTCACTCCAGTAGAAGAGAGGAGACCCAGGGGGCCACAGCAGTCAGAGAACAATGAGGCCTTGGCTTGGTGTTTGGTGATGATAGGGGAAACCTGCCCAGAACCTGTTTATCAGATGCTCAGGGATCTGAAAAACAGGTTCTGCATGTGGGCTTGAGATAAAGATGCCCGGGATACTTAGATGTGCCCTATTCCAAGATCGCTAGGTTCCAAACAAGTTGAAAACAATAGAATACACTTATCCCTAAGAATGGGCTTGCACATAATTCACTTCAACAATGCAAAAGCTTCCAAACCTCCAGCCTCCTTTGGGCTGCCGGTGTGGCCTCCAAGGTCCACTGAAAAGCCATCCCCAGCCAGCAGAAACATGCCTGTGTCTTCTTCAGCCCCCGTCCATGCTTTGCCCTGGAGACAAGTGCTGTCATCTGTTTGTGGGTCTGTCTGTCTGTCTGTCTGTCCGTCTTTCTCCCCACTGTGAGCACTGACAAGCAAGTAAAGATGACAATGAAGCCTTTGTGGGCACCAAATGCTGACAGCATTATCACTAAGCCAGTGGCAGCCATGGTGACTGCAATAAATTTCCCCCACAGAAATTGATAAATTGCCACTTTCTGCAGCCATTATGTTTGCCTTTGTATCCCGAAGAGTAAACGCCTCTCTCCCTTTCTCTCTCTCGCTCACGTGTGTGTGCGCGCGTTAGATGACATTTATTCATTTTATGCATCCTGGGTTCTACTGGTCGTCCCACCTCAGTTCCTGTAGCAAAGAGACTTGAGTCTGAGCCACTAATTATCACCCGTGAGGTTTCCTCCCCGAGCAGGAAGCAGCAGGCCAGAGCTGCGCTCTCTCAGTGCACTCTCCAACCAAGCATCAGTCACCACTCCCGGTCCAGCCCCTGTGGCCAAGAGCTGGCGTGCAGGCTGCGGGAGGCAGCTGGCTGTGCAAGACCCTGGCAGGGCCCTCGCCTCCTGAGAAACCGAGAGTCAGAACCAAAGCCAGGCTGTCCTGGTTGGAGACTGAGCCAGAAAGGGTGGCTCACCTCACGGTGAGGCTGTCGAGTGACCTGAGAGCCTCAGACCCTCACGTCAGCCGGATGTCGCACCAGCCTGCTGTTGGTAAGTCTGGCTAGGACGCAGATCCAAGGGGGCATGGGTCGTGTGCAAACCCCTCCCACCAGCTCCCTCACCACCTGACCCCTGCCCTGCTGGAGGGTGCCCCTTGAATCTCCAGGAGGTCCGAGGAACTCGACACCTCCCAGAGATCTGTACTGCCTTGGAACAGGCTGCAAAAAGTGCAGTATGAAATGGGAAATATGTATCAGCTGCACGTTTTCATGGCCCCCTTTGGAGGAAAGGGAGTCCAGGTTATTAAGTCAGGAGGCTTTTAAATTTCAGGGGTTCAAGGATTTATCACACACAGTTGCGTGTGTGTGTGTGTGTGTGTGTGTGTGTGTGTGTGTGTGTGTTTAAGGATGTTAATGTTTATGATGCATTTCTGTGGAATGCAGGCCCATTGGGAATTGTAAATTTTTCTTATTGGTAACCATTTCTGCATTGGTTTAGCACGGAACTGCTGCTGCAAGTAAATGAACCAGATTTTTCTGGAATGATTCGAAAATCTAGCTGTTTGTAAAAAGCTCTCTAAATTATTCATTCACTTTTATTTTGCACAGTTGTGTGACGGTAAACTCTTTTCCATCAGACGAAACTTGCGCGCACGTGTATTTCTGCGGGGATTGGCTCGAGTGTGCTTGAGTTTTCTGTATTCTCTTTTGTAGGAACTTCTCAGCCTTCCTTTTAAAAAGATAATAATTTTTTAATGATGTCTAAATAATGATTCCAGGCAGTATTACAAGAAATATAACAGTAAAACGTTTGTAAGAGTCCATCAGAAAGGGAAAATGCCCACAGAGAAAAATAGAAATCTACCAATTAGATGTGTGTGGCTATAAGTGAGCTTTTAAACCATGATTTGAGACTGGCATCCTCTGGCCTCTCTGCCCTCAGGTCAGCTGTGGGAGGCTAGGGGTGGGATAGCAAAAGGGACCTGGGATCAGGTGGGGCTTCCTGGACCCCAGGCCCAGTAAGAATGAAGCCTAGGGGTTCTAGGATAGGGGGCAGCCCTGGATTTGCAGAAACAGCCTGAGAATGAGGGGCTGGAAAGTATGAGTTGGAGCAGCTCAGTGAGGAGACAGAAAACTGAAGCAGAAGAAAGCAGAAGACACCAGAGTCTGGTGCTGACTGGGTGACTGGCTGTTACTCACATCCTGAGCAATGAGCCACAGACCCTCCCCACCCCAGAGGCAGCTTGAATGCAGGGACTGGATGGGCCCAGGGCACAGTGGATCCGGGGCAGGCAAGAGCCAACTCGGGGCCCAGAGGAGGACCTTTAACCTGACTGGGCCTCAGTTTTCTCTTCTGCAAAGTAGAAGGAATTATAGCCTTCTGCAGGTCAAACCCTGTGCCCACATCCACAGGCACGATCCCCGACTTCGCCTCGCTGGCACTTCTCTGCATTTGACTCCTGGTTATTGCAGCTGTGCCCATGCCAGGCATTTGTTAGGTGCTGGGATGTGCCTGCCCCGCTCCTCTCTGTTGGGGAAGACGGAATTCATGCTGTAGGGGAGGCCCGGAGTTTCTACATGGGGCAGTCACAGGGTGGGGGACTTCCCTGAAAACTTCTTATTTGCATAAAATGTGCGCTGCTTTTGACTTATATTGTAAATTTCAGATCCATAAAATGGGAAAGACTTTGCAGAAGCTGTTATTCACTTTACCTGACTGGGAGATGTAGATTGTTCATATCCAAGGGTGTTAGTTTTAATACTAACATTAGCATGTGGGGAAGGGTGATCGAGATGGTGGGGAGTAGGGCCCCCCACCACCTACCCCTGGGACCTCTAAGGGAAAGTACACACCACCGTATGCTAGTTGCATCCTGTTACCTGTGCTGCAGAGCCAAGGGGCCAGAGGCAGGGAAATTAATTCTGCCTTGTAAAGGCACTGGGCCTTCCTGTTGAATTTTGCTACTTGCGGGGAAGGCACTTCCCAGGCAAAAAGATTAAGCCTATAACCTAAGCAGAAAGCAAGCAAGAGCTTTGGGTGGGAAGTGGCCAGAGACATAGATCAGGCAGACCCAGGTTTGGAAGGGCCAAGGAGACAGCACATCTGCCAATGGCAGCAGCTGGGCCTCACCTGCCCTGACACCCCCACCTAATGGGGACTGGGCAGAACCCTCCAAATGGTTGCCATGCCCTGGCCCAGGAGCCTCCAAAAACCCTGAAGCCATTGACTCAGCATCCCTGAAGCCTCCTTCCATGAGTACCCCCATACCAGGCTGCACCTCAATGCACCTTAGATCTGGTGTTTGATTTTCACTTTGACCAGATCTGCAGCAGTCTCTTTGTTAATATTTATTTCCAGTGTTTACATTCATCTTTGCATAAGTCCTCAGTGTTACTAAGTTTATCAAATAGCGAAATGCTTGGCCAGGTCTAACAATGTCACCAAGCTGCAGAAGGGATTAGAAACTCATAGTATTATTATTTCATCACCACTGAGTACAAGAGAGCCCCAGCTAGGTTCTGGGGAGAACAGCTATGACTCACAAATACTCCCCTCCCAACTCACAAATACTCCCCTTAGAATCTAGTCCTTAAATCATTCAAACCACAAAAATGTATTGAGCACTTACTGTGTGCTAGGCCCCGGTAGGTGTTAGAGGCACAGAAATGAGTTTTTTATTGGCCCCCATCCAATGAGGTGACAGACAAGAGAACCAGTGTGTGCAGCCAATGTTAATGTGACAAAAAGTGCAGAGTTAGTCCCAGAGCGTGAAGTCCTCCCTGTCCTAGGCCCAGGTGGAGGCCAGGAGCTGCTCCCCGGGCTGCCTGGACCAGACTTTTGAGCTCTTGGGACCCTGGCGAACATCAAAGCTGTTGCAAAAGTCAGAGCTCTTGCAAAAGTTGGAGCTGGCCCATGGCAGGTGGTTGAGAAGTGGCTACATGACTCTTCCCATGCAGAGCGGTTAGAGGGTGGAGGCCGATTTCCAGTATCCCTGGGAATCCAAAGAAAGAGGCCACTGAGGGGCAGGGGAGGGCCCCTCCGAGGCTTCCAGAAAAAGGCAGTGCAGCAGCTGGGCAAACCAGGATAAGGCATGCATCCCTAAGCCCAAAAATCAGGTGATGTGAGGCAGGCCGAGCTCCATGGCAGACATGCTGAGCTGCCTCTGTGTGTCTTGGCTAACTCTGCCCTTTCCTAACCCCACGGCTCACCCTGCCCAGGAGCAGGGATGAGGCCCATCCCTGATTCAGCAAATCCTGTGCCATAACAAGGGGAGGGGTGGGGGCAGCCACAGCCCACAAGACCCACCAGTCCCAGGGTTTGTGCAGCTCCAGGTCTCCCTGGAAAGCAAGAAACCACCCAGCTCCAGACGCTGAGGCTGCAGATTCAGCTGCCACTGCCTGATGGCCTCCAACCTGGCTGGATTAACTGGCCCATAGGGAGCTGGCTGCCCCCACAAGCCAGCTCCCTGGCCTCCCTGGGCAAACTAAAGCCCTCCTCCCTGGCTCCATAGCGCCCGGTCATCCCCTCATTCCAGCACTTTGCTTCTTCCTGCATTGTGTAGCTGGCCTTTCTCCTAAGAGCCTTAAAAGGGCAGGTCATCTTTGGCCACCTGCATGGCCCCGGCGCCTTGCTTCATGCTGGGTACACAGCAGGTACTCTGGGAATAACAAATAAGAGAATTTGTCAGAGGAGGTTTGGCAGGATGGACTATTGCATAGAACTGCACAGACTGTGCACTGCACGCCTCCAGAGGGCACTCTCCACAGGGATTACTATGTAAATGGCACCTCCTAAAGTTGTGCAGCATAGGGACCCTAGGGCTTGAGCATGCCCCACCCGCCTCCGCTGCTTCAAGCCCCTGGCCTTGGTGCTGACTGTTGGGCTTTCCTCTTCCCCTTCCCAACCAGCACTGACCATCATCCTTCCCATACGCTGGCGATGGGTAGTAATGAACTGTCCCAGTGAGCAGTTCTCCCAGACTGGGCTGTCAAAGCATGCTAGTGAGAGATTCCTGGATGGCAGGCAGGCCATCTGGATTCTTGCTCAGCCAGGAAACTCTGTCCTCTGGGAATATCCTCCCAGTCAGGGTGTTAGGGGGCTCCTGGATCCCCAAGATCTTCATGGTCCCCTAGAACTGCTCCTCTCCCCAGCCTGCAGTGGGCCTAATGACCCACATGTAGCCAGGGAGTGGTCCCCATGGGGTTTGTTTTATTGACTCAGCTAACAATGCCACAATGACTCTGATTGCCTTCTTCTCACCTGAGAGACCCAGCTCTGGGCAGCCAAGGGGTACGTAGGGACAGAGCATATGCATGTGACCCTCAAGATCTAGAGGAGCTCAGAGACAGCATGGATACTCGAAGCCCCCGTGAGCAGGGAGGACTTTCTGGACCAAGTGGGCTGGGAGCTGGGCCAACTGTAAAGACCCAGGGAAAAAAAAAGTCAAAACTGAGTTGCTCTTGCATGCAAGTGAGTGGTTAGTTCATTGACTCCGTCCACAGCCCTTTCCTGAGCAGCTACTGCAGTGGTTTTCAAAGTGTGGTCCCCACACCAGCAGCACCAGCAATTCTGGATGTGGAGCCCAGCAATATGTTTTCATCAGTCCTCCAGGTGACCCTGATGCAGCTCAAGTTTGACCTGATGTGTCCTAAGTGCTGGGGTTTGCAAAAGTGAGTTTTACTTAGTTCTCACCTTGAGGAGCTTGGAGTGGGGGAGAAGATAGACAGGAAAGAAAACAGTACTGTCCAGTGAGACGTATTGCTCTGGAGGGCCATGGAGGCAGAGGAGCAGTTGGTATAGGCTTGATCCTTGCAAGGGTAAGTGGCCTGGAGACCCCAGTGGCATGACTGTCCTCGGCAGGGAACCAGATGTTGGGACCAGCATCCCCTAGAGGGCTCAAGGAGCCCAGTGCCGACCCCAGTGCCCCAGTGCCCAGCCACCAGGGCTGTGGCCCTGAGCAGCAGGTCCTCCTACTCTTCCCTCCACCCCAGATCTTCTGCTCTGCTCTTCCCCCTTCTTCTTCCCACTCCCAAGTCCCAAATAGTAGCAGGTCTTTTCCTCCGATTGTCTTGGGGAGAAATGGGCATGTACCTCCAGGCCATTATCTTAGAGCACATTTTTAGAAGATTTTAAAGTAAATTTTTCCATTAGGCAGAGAACACCGTGTATTGATTTGGGTGCATCTATTTCTGCTTTACCCAGACAAAAAGATTTACAAAATATCCTAGAGAGGAATAGAATTAAAAATGAGTAAATTTAACAGGCTCAGAGCGTAGCACTTTATTTGTCTCATATAATCCTTGCCACACCTCATTAAGGTGAGGAACATCAGCCCATAGTGCAGATGAGGAAATGGGGCTCAGGAAGGTGAAGTGACTTGGCCGGGCCGCCAGCTAGCAAGTGGTCTGGTGGGATATGAAATTCCATCCCTCTGCTGGGCCCTTGCTGGCTGACCTTGCAGTTTACTAAGGTGACTGATCCTGAATAAATCCAGAGTGTTCTAACGTTTTGCTGAGCCCGTGTCCTGTTGGCTGCATTGTGGGGAGTGGCCTGGCCTGGCTAGGGAAGCTCTCAGTGACCAATTGTGGCTTCAGCTGTGTTATTTAGAGAATCCCAGGGGCTGAAATGATCCTCTGCCTGGTTAGGGAAGGGATGACTTTAGGAGGAAGAGGGACCTAATGCCCCACTTAGCAGATCTGCAGCTGTGTGCATGTTTCCACCTGCACATCCTTCTATAAACCCTCAGCCATGTGGGTGAGCAGCAGACGGTGCCTCCCCCACTCCCCCTGGAACACATCTGCCCTGTTCACTGACCTGGGAGCTGGTGGGGTGGACCTCAGACCCCAGCACTTGGCACACACACATCATCCCCTGGGCCCTGGAATGGCTTGCATGGATGGCAGAGAAATAGCTGTGTGAGCAAAGGCCAAGAGAACAGTTTAGCCCAAGGCACCATTTTTACAACAACAACAGGTAATGGTACTGATTATATAAGCCTCACTTGTCCAGAGGTCACGGGGCTTAGGAACCTCAATTATGTGGAAAACAAATAGGACATAACTTCAGAAGGTTGCAGAGCCACTGTGCTAGTGTGGTCTTTGTGTTGCTATAAAGGAATACCTGAAGCTGGGGAATTTGTAAAGAGAAAAGGTGTTTTTCAAAAGGAAGACAAACATTTGAATGCTCTGGATTTATTCAGGATCAGTCACCTTAGTAACCTGCAAGGTCAGCCAGCAAGGGCCCAGCAGAGGAGTGGATTCATATCCCACCTGACCACTTGCTAGCTGGTGGCCTGGGCAAGTCACTTCACCTTCCTGAGCCCCATTTCTTCATGTGCACCATGTGTGCAGAGATCACCTGGGGAGAGAGGAAGTAAGAGAGAGAGAGAGGGTAGGGAGGTGGCAGGCTCTTTTTAACAAGCTGCTCTCGAGGAAACTAATACAGTGAGAACTAACAGGGAACTTACTTGCTCCTCTGCCCTCCCCCCAGCCAGGGAGGGAATCCACCCCCATGACCCAAACACCTCTTATTAGGTGCACCTCCAGTATTGGAGATCAGAATTCAACATGAGGTTTTTGGGGGACAAACCTCCAAACCACAGCAGCCACCAACATTGGTGTTACAAAATCCATCCAATGACATAGGCTCATGGAGCGCGCTTAAGCTGTCATCCAAAACATGTTTACTCTTGGTTTACACACACTAGTAGCAGTCTGCCATACCTCAATTTCCTTTTTTATTTTAGGTAACAACTTTTTAAATAACCTTACTGAGCTATGCCTCACATCACCACGCAATTCACCCATTCAAATGGTGAGTTGCATGGTGTACCCGTGAGGATCACTCCCCATTTTCTCCAAATCCCCCATTCTGGCCACCACTAATCTACTTTCTGTCTCTATTGATTTGTTTATTCTAGACATTTATATAAGTGTAATTATGTAATGTCTGGCCTTTTGTAATTGGCTTCTTTCCCTTAATGCTTTCAAGGTTCACCCCTGTTGGATGCATACTTAGTTCTCTTTATGGCTGAATATTAATCCACCGGATGGATAGGCCACATTTTGTTTAACCATTCCTCAGTTGATGGACGTTTGAATTGTTTCCACTTTTTGGGTATTATGAATAATGGGTGAAAATGTTTTTGTGTGGATATACATTCTTCCTTCTCTTGGATATATAGCTAGGAGTGGAGTTGCTGGGTCATATAGAAACTGTTTAACGTTTTGAAGAATTCCCAGGCTGTTCTCCACGGTGCCTGCACCATTTTACAATCCCAGCAGCAGTGTAGGAGGGTTCTGATTTCTCCACATCCTCCCTGTCTTTTAAAAAAATATATCATTGTAGCCATCCTAGTGGGTGTGAAGTGGTATCTCATTGTGGTTTTCATTTGCATTTCCCTGAGGGCTAATGATGCTGAACATCTTTTCATGTGCATTTGTATATCTTTTTTGGAGAAGTGTCTTTTCCAGTCTTTTGCCCACTTTATGTAGGTTGTTTGTCTTTTTAATACCGAGGTGTAAGAGTTCTTCAGATATTTAGAAACAGGTCCCCTTATCAGTTATATGATTTCCTGAACTTTTCTCCATTCTGAGTTGGCTTTGCACTTTCTCGATGCTGTGCTCTTTCGATTTCGTCAGCAGCGAATTAGCAGGACCTGGGGGGCTTTAAGAGGTGAGCAGGCAGACAGACAGCGCCCACAAAGTCCTGAGGATGAGAGAAGAGGCAGAGCTTACACAAAGGCTCTGTGAAAACTGAAGATGGACCCCAGGCAGGTTGGGGTGATCCCTGGGGTGCTGGATGAGGATCTGATTTTGTACTGCATTTTGGAAGGATTTCTGCCCCCAGAGGCTACATAGGCTCCAGTGGTGTGTGCAGTCAGGCAGAGAGATGCACAGAACCTCTACAGTGTGCCAGGCATGGTGTGGGGTTCTGGGTGCATGTGGAACAACACACAGCAATCTTGCCCTCCCAAAGCTCAGGGAAGTGGGGGCGGGGGGTGGACAACGAGCACATGAGAAAAAGACCACAGGGGAAGAACTCCCAGAAACATCCCAGCCACAGCGCAATGCCCCAGGTGTATATGGCCCTTGGCTACTTCATGCCCTTGAGGGAAAATCGGTATTTTCATTTTACACTTGATGAAACAGGTTAGAGAAAGGACTGGCGTGTCCAGTACCTCCCAGTGAGAAGATACTCAGAGTAGACCCCAGATCCAGGTCCTTCCTCTTTCCCTCTCTACACGTTTTCAGTCTAGAAAAGAGTTCTGTGCGAGAATTTTTTTGTTTTTGTTTGTTTGTTTGAGACGGAGTCTCACTCTGTCGCCCAGGCTGGAGTGCAGTGGCGCGATCTCGGCTCACTGCAACCTCCGCCTCCCAGGTTCAAGCGATTCTCCTGCTTCAGCCTCCGGAGTAGCTGGGATTACAGGCACGTGCCAACACACCCAGGTAATTTTTGTATTTTTAGTAGAGATGGGGTATCACCATGTTGGCCAGGCTGTGTGCAAGAATTTATGTTTTCACTTGTGGCTTGCTGAGCCCTGGTGCTGGCTGTGGGCACATACTCGTTCACCCAGGGACATGCACTGTTGATGGGTCCTTGCACTCTGGGCTATCTTGGGCCCCGTTTGCTCAATGCAGGCCCCTCTTTCTGAAGCGCTTTTCTTGGGCTCACTCTCAATTCGTCAAAGTTCGGCTCAGGCCCACCTCCTGCAGGAATCCTCCCAGTCCCCGCTGTCCGAAGTCAGTACCCTTGTCAGGAGACCTTAAACACTTTAGTCCACTGCCTGGCCCTCCCATGGGGCAAAGGTCTCCAGGGTGTGTGTGCACTTCCTTGGGGCTTCTTAAGGCTCATTCCCTGGGATTAGGGAGGACATACAGAGCCTCCTTGCACCTACATTTGTTTACATATTACTTATACCACATACAACGTTATAGGGCACTGCTGCATAAGTGTACATTTTGAATGTATTTTACTTATAAAGAAATAGAGCAGTAATAGGAACATGTGCCCCTAAATGTAATTTTACTGACCAGACAAAAAAAATTTTTTTTAATTGAAAATAAGTAGCTGGACGTGATAGCATGCGCCTGTAGTCCCAGCTACTCAGACTCAGAAGTCTGAGACAAGAGAATTGCTTGAACCTGGGAGGCAGAGGTTGCAGTGAGTCGAGATCGCGCCACTGCACTCCAGGCTGGCGACACAGCGAGACTCCGTCTCAATAAATAAATAACTAATAAATAAACAAAAATTTAAAAAAATTGAAGATAACTGTGGGCTGCTTGAGGACAAGAACTGGGTTATTTTCTCTCTCTTTGCTCAGTCAGTCCCCACATGGGAGGCGTGCGAGGCACCCCGTTCTTGGCCTGCAGGCCGCCCCCACTCCATCTGGCTGCAGGGTGCCACAGCCAGCCTCTGATTGCCAGTGGCCCCAGCACCTCAATCCATACCGACCTCACAGCAAACCCTCCGTGGCCACAGCCTGCCCTGGCCACTCATGTCTGAAAGGTGATCGGTGTCCATGAAGAAGAGGCCATGGGGCTGTGGATGTCATGTGGCCAACTGTTAGTGGCCTGCGCAAGAGCAGACAGGAGCTGGCAGGCAGGCCCATGGGCCAGGCGTGGCTCCCAGCCATAAACACAGGCTGTAGCCCTGCCGGGAAGAAGGAGGGGACAGACAAGCCTGGGCAGAGACCCAGAGGGGACCAGGACACCCGATCCTCCATGGCAGTTCTGTCCACAGCTTGGGAGGAGAGGCAGGCAGGTCTGCAGGCAGGAGACAGGCCTCGGCCCACAGAGCTGCAATCTGATCCCATCTGCTCCCTCTCCAGTTCTATAAATAGAACCCCCAGGGAGCCAGGGCCCAGACAGGGTTAGTCACACCCTCACCTCAGGCCGCAGGGACAGGCCTCTGGGACTTCCAAGACATGTACCACCTGTCCTGCCCCCAACCCCTGCCAGCCTTCAGCAGGAGGGTTCATGCTGAGCATCAGGAGGGGGCAGAAGAATTGAACGTGGCCACTGTCCATGAAGAAGTTAGAGAAGAGTACACACAACACACATGCACACAAGAATAGGACACGTGCACACACACACACACATGCATACAAGATTAGGAAACACAAGTGCACACACAACCAGTCAGAAATGAGCTCTGAGCTTTTACACATATTAACTCATTTCATCCTCAAACAGTCTTTAGAGAGGTATAATTAGTGTTCCCGTTTTAAAGGTGAGGGAACTAAGGCACAGAGGAGCTATGTAACTCACCCAAAGGCACCCAGCTACTGGCATGTGAGGCCATGATTTCTCCCCAGCAGCCCCACCCACAGCCCGTGCCTTTAACCACCTGCCTGACCCCTCCCAGCCAAGTGGCTCCGTCCCTACATCAGAAAGGTCAAGGAAGAGGCCGCCTAGGGAGCAGTACAAGGCAGCATTACAACCTGGCATTTTCCTGTTGCAGACTGCATTTTGGTGGCAAGAGAAGCTTTGGAGGTGCTTAACGTTTAGTTTGCATTTATCCTACCGCTGAAAAGCAGGGACCCTTAGGACCATAAGTCTAGGACTTTTCATAGCACCCTAGACTGCTGGGGATGAAAGGGGCTTGGAGCTGAGCTGGTGCAGCAGCTCCTGTTAGAGAAGCCACCCAGAGAGGCCCAGGGACCTCCTATGTCCCAGCGCCAGTTAGGGGCAGACGTGGGACCAGCTCCCCTCGGCTGCAGCGGCCTCCATATCAGCTCCCTGGAAGGGAGCAGATGCCAAGTCAGGTTCTGAGCAACACCCTCAAGGCCCAGCCCTGGCAATCCCTTCCCACCTGTGATTAGGTCTGGGGTTCAACAAAAATAGGACTCAAAATCTGGATCTTCTCGCCTTGCTTCACTTTGGGCTGGTTCAGTTTTGTTTCGAGGTAAATCATTCGAGGTTTTTCAGGGATCCTCAGATGCATGTCTGCGTGAAGCCGTCCTGGCTTCCCCTTCGGCTGCCCCCTGGGCAAGAGCCTGGGCCATACCTGTGCCATTCCTGAGCTCTGTCTCTAGCTGCCCTATGTCCAGTCATTGGCGATGGGTCTTATTCAAGCCCCCTTTCCCCCAACCCACACTAGATTGTAAGCCCTCAGGGTGGGGACCGCTTCTCACTCATCCTTATATGCTTAGGAGTGTTCAGCACAAAGTCACTCAGGAGATGGCAGGCAGCGGGGAGAGGGCAGAGACAGAGGAGAGGCTTCTGTCCAGAGGGTTCCTACTTAGGATCATCCAAATCATCAGCAAATGTTGGAAAGATGGTCTGGGGGCCTCAGGCTGGCTACTCTTCCTCCCCATCAGGGCAAAACTCCCCGGGGGCTTGTGTCTCCCTGTGGTTGGGGACAGGCCTGGGTGTATCTGTCCCAGCCTTGACTGACCACAAGGGGAGACTTGGCCCTCCCGACCACAGGAGAAGAGGGATTTGAATTCACCTCGGCCCAAATTGCAGATGCTGGCCTGCGAGCCCTGAGGCCATCTGCAAGGCTCCTGGGCTGACATAACTGTCACCCAGCTCTTCATCCTCCTTCCCCGGGGCTGAAGGGGTGCCTGCAGGGTCTTCTGCCCTCCCTCCACCTGGGCCCTACTGCTGGCACGGAGCTTCATTTCTGTTGGCAGCCAGTGTTTGCTTAGTGATTACTGAATGCCGTTTGCTGGGTGCTTATGATGTGCTCAGCACTGTTCTAAGTGCTTTACACAATTGACTTATTTACTCCTACAACCTGCCCATAAGGGAAGTGCTGCCATGGTCTCCCTTTTATAGCTGAGAAAACTGAGGCACAGATAGGTCCATGGTCACACAGTTAACATAAGGCAGAGTCAGGACCAGAATCCAGGCGGACTGGCTCCAGAGCCCGGCTCCTGGACCGAGCAGCCTTGAGTAGGGACCTGGTGCAGACCCGCCTGCCGTGGACTCACTATAGGATGGGTCAGGAGGCCCGTTGTCACCTACAAAATGTAGCCCACCACCCAGGAAACGCTCCCAGAACCAGGCAGAAAATACTGTCTCCTATTCACAGGGTGGCTGTGCCTGGCGTGAGTGTCTTGGCGGGTGCCTGCATGTCTGTGCAGGAGTGCCACCCCCATCTGTGGACTCGGAAAGCATGATCCCCACAAAAGCAACCCCTCAGAGTCTCAGCTCAGCCAATCCCTGTTATCCTGTGACAGGCAGGGCCATGTTTCAAAACCATGTTAAAGATGAGCAAGAGGCTAAGGAAGTTTCCCATGCTGGCAGAGGCAGGACAGGAACACATGTCCCCTGACTCTTGACATTGAGAATGCACCCCCTTCCACCCACCTGGCCTCTTGTCCCAGCCAGTGTGGTCCCAGCTATGCAGCTCTCTGGGACATCTCTGGAAAGCTCATTGTTCTCTGTCTGGGCAGTAAGACGGAGTGAGGCTCTGACTGCCGAGGCAGACAGACCTGCCTCCTGCTCTTCCTCCCCTCAATTATTTGTGCTGCCTGAAACAAGTTCCTGAGCCTCCCTGAGCCTCAGTTCCCTCCTCTGTAAAGTGGGAATGATAACTGAATCTACTTCCTGGGGTTCTTGTGAGGACCAGAGGCCCATCACCCGAGGAAAGGCCTGACAGCAGCAATGGGTGTATGGTAGGCATCCATTAATAGGAACTGCTGCTGCTGCTGCTGCCTTATAAAAGGAAAAATCACAGTTTCAAAAACCTCTTAAGATTGCATGATTTGTCATCTGAGAGCAGAGATTGTGATCTCCATTGACAAAGATGGAAGCTGGGGCCCAGGGAGGCACACAGACTTGTCTGAAGACACACAGCTGCTTCATAGCAGAGCCGGGCCCAGCCTCCTGGTTCCCCTGCCCCATCTTTATGTCAGTCCCTGGATCCACTCCCTCACCTGGTCAGGTGTCCAGAGGTTCCAGGAGAGTGTTGTGGAAAAGTAGGAAGAGGCAGACGCCCATGGAGGGTGTTGAAAGCCACCCCAGCTGCTCTGCTGCTTCAGGGCAGGGGATCTTAAGCCCTGTGGAACTGTAGGCTGGTGAAGCTTGTGGACTTCTGCTCAGAATAATGTTCTTACATGCACCAGACAAAATAGCTTAGGGTTACAAATGAAATATATTATATGGAAACACAGCGAAAATATTTTTTAAAAAAGACTACAGTAGCATTAGGCATGCTTCTTTATTAGCACATTAAATGACAAGCTCTAGTGGCAGATCTAATGTCTACCATAATTTTATTTTTACTTTTATTATTATTATTATTATTATTATTATTATTATTATTATTATTTTGAGATAGTCTTGCTCTGTCACCCAAACTGGAGTTCAGTGGTGCGATCACTTCAGTCTTCAACTCCTGGGCTCAAGCGATCCTCCTGCCTCAATGTCCTGAGTAGCTGGGACGACAGGCGTGTGCCACTGTGCCTGGCTAATTTTTTTTTTATTTTTTTAGAGATGGGACCTCCCTGTGTGGCCCAGGCTGGTCTTGAACTCCTGACCTCAAGCGATTCTCCTGCCTTGACCTCCTGAAGTGCTAAGATTACAGGTGTGAGCCACTGCACCTGGCTAGCATGGTTTTAAATTTGTGCTCAATTTAAATGGTATTAGGATAAATTATTTACAGGTAAATTTATGATATGATCTTGGTCAGTATTAATGAAAAATTATGTTGCCTACCTTCATACTTAAAGGAAATAGCAAATTTTAGTTAGAAGTTGGTGACAATTAATATATAATAATTTTTCCATCCAAGTTTACTGTAGACCGATGGCCCGAGTTCAGGGTTTCCTCCACATCCACTCATATCTTGGGCTCAGCAAAGAAGATCACAGGGCACCCACTCTATCTTAGGGGCCCATTCACTTGTCTCTCAGTCCTGCCCTCAGAGATCAAGGTTTGGTGTTCATTCATTCATTCATTCAGCAAACACTGAGCACTGCCTCCGTGCCAGGCTATGATACACAGTGAGGTCCAAGGTCAGATGAGATGAGGTCCTGCCCTCAAGCTGTTCACCATGCTTCAGGGAGAGCATAAGAAGAACTGCTCCAAGATGCAAAATGTAGACAAGCATAGGGACATGCTCACCCTTCCTGGTCATCAAACACCCAGCGATGGTGAGGTTGGGGTTAGATGGTCACTCCTGGCTAGTGACACTGTCCATTGCCTAATCCTTTTGAAAAGAAGTATGGCACTGCATCACATTGGTCATGGAAATTCCAGAGTTCCCTTTCCCAGCACTCTCACTCTGCCAGTTTTTCCCGAGGAAATCATTCAGCAGGAGGGACAAAGGGTGGAGGGCAGAAGTCATCCCTGCTCTTCCTGAGTCTGTGCTCTCCCCAGGGAAGGGGCTGTGTTGTGTTCAGCTTGTTCCCCTGGTGCTGACACGTGGTAGCACTCGGTGAACACCTGCTGGGTGAATGTCTGACTGCCGTGTAGTTACGATGTATAAGAGGAGGGAGGTGGCAGAAGGGGCAGTCCAGGAGCCCTCCACTGACCAGGTTCCTGACTTCTCTTGCAGCCACCAAAATGCCAGAAGAGATGGACAAGCCACTGATCAGCCTCCACCTGGTGGACAGCGATAGTAGCCTTGCCAAGGTCCCCGATGAGGCCCCCAAAGTGGGCATCCTGGGTAGCGGGGACTTTGCCCGCTCCCTGGCCACACGCCTGGTGGGCTCTGGCTTCAAAGTGGTGGTGGGGAGCCGCAACCCCAAACGCACAGCCAGGCTGTTTCCCTCAGCGGCCCAAGTGACTTTCCAAGAGGAGGCAGTGAGCTCCCCGGAGGTCATCTTTGTGGCTGTGTTCCGGGAGCACTACTCTTCACTGTGCAGTCTCAGTGACCAGCTGGCGGGCAAGATCCTGGTGGATGTGAGCAACCCTACAGAGCAAGAGCACCTTCAGCATCGTGAGTCCAATGCTGAGTACCTGGCCTCCCTCTTCCCCACTTGCACAGTGGTCAAGGCCTTCAATGTCATCTCTGCCTGGACCCTGCAGGCTGGCCCAAGGGATGGTAACAGGCAGGTAGGTTCTGGGGGAATAATACCCATCGTAACAATAAATATAAATGGCTAATTTTCATCGAGTGCTGCCAGCATGCTCTTTTTGATATGTTATCATAACTAATCCTGCATCACTGCAAAATTCCATTTTACAGAACAGGAAATTGTGGCTCAAAGACATTAATGATCTTACTGAAAATTCCATAGCTGGTAAGTTGGGATTTGAACCCAGTTCCTATGGATCTGAAACCCATGTTCTTTCTGCTATGGTAACAGGGTTTCCTAGAGGGCAAGGAGGAAAAGGTTGATGGCTTTTTGCTATTTGGAGCCAAGAAGGAGAGAGACTTGGCTTTTAGAATTGGACTCAGAAGGAGGAAAGTAACACACTTATGTACCCGGCCCTGAGGAAGGCAGGCATGTCTCAAATTTTATCGTATTTATTCTAAGGGCTTCCAAGAACTGATTTCTCAGAAAAGTCAACAGCAGGTTTTTCTGGGGCTAGATAATGGCTCCACGGAACAGCTAGAGCTGCATACGTTTCTTGCCACGAGGAGCTCTTACCAAGACAAGGTGGTTTTTAATGCCACCTTGGTTTTTAATGCATTTTCTTGGCGAAAGAATGCCAGACTCCATGTGTGAGAACTTCCACCAGTGAGTCGAGCCCAGGTGCCAGGCTCTGTAGGACAGTTTAAAGGTGCCCAGCCATACCTGACTACAGCACCTTAAATGCAGGCTGCATCATGGGACTCCCAGGTATGGACCAGGAGGAACAGTGGAGAGTGTTGGATGCAGGGCCTGGAGGGAACGGAGCAAGCAAGCTGGCTGGAAAAGACTTGGAGGAGGGCTTTGACCTGGGCCCACCTCATGCTGTCAGGCTCAGGGAGCAGGGAGTGCATTCCAGTCTGAGGGAACAATCTGAAAAGGCACAGAGATAAGAAACAATGCTCCTAGACCTCAGTTTTCTCACCTGAAAAATGAAGACTATAGTACCTACCTGCGGGCTCATGGCAAGGCTGAGAGATCATATATGTAAAGCTCAGCATAGAGTAGGTGTTCAGTCTGTGTTTGGAGACTAAACTGACCAATGCAGTGTCAACAAGGCCCACGGGGTGCTTGGGGATCTGAGGACTGCAATGTGCCTGCAGGGGGACCTCGTGGGTCAGAGCAGCGGGCTTCAAGGCGGAGAGGGCAGGCTGGAGCTGGCTTGTAGAAGGCCTTATGTGCTGGCTGAGGGCTCTACTGAGCCGAGGGACATCATCAAGGGGGGTGATTCTGAACTGAGGGATGGAGCTGCAGCCACAGCTGCCCATTCTGCACCATACGCAAAACTCTTTTGCTGAGCGGCTCCCAGGGCAGGCCACGGCCTTGGAGACAGCCATGTCGGGGGCCCATGGGGACTACCTGGATGAGCATTTTGCTTGTGGTTGCTGATGTCCACGAGCTGGGCAAGATGCTTACTGTTTGCAGCTTCCCTCCTTGAGTAGTTGGCCTGGCTTGGCAGGTGGGCCAGAGGCTGGGAGGCCTGGGCAGCAGAGAAAAGACCCCTAGCCTGGGAGCTAGAACCCCATTGGCTCCCACCTGTACCATTGACTGGCAGCTCACTTGAACAAGTCCCTGCCCCTCTGGCCCTCGGTTTCCTCAGCTGCTCAGTGAGGCCCTGCCCACTCCTGTGGCCTGTGACGCCGTCTGACTGCCCCACTTTTCTCCCGCAGGTGCCCATCTGCGGTGACCAGCCAGAAGCCAAGCGTGCTGTCTCGGAGATGGCGCTCGCCATGGGCTTCATGCCCGTGGACATGGGATCCCTGGCGTCAGCCTGGGAGGTGGAGGCCATGCCCCTGCGCCTCCTCCCGGCCTGGAAGGTGCCCACCCTGCTGGCCCTGGGGCTCTTCGTCTGCTTCTATGCCTACAACTTCGTCCGGGACGTTCTGCAGCCCTATGTGCAGGAAAGCCAGAACAAGTTCTTCAAGCTGCCCGTGTCCGTGGTCAACACCACACTGCCGTGCGTGGCCTACGTGCTGCTGTCACTCGTGTACTTGCCCGGCGTGCTGGCGGCTGCCCTGCAGCTGCGGCGCGGCACCAAGTACCAGCGCTTCCCCGACTGGCTGGACCACTGGCTACAGCACCGCAAGCAGATCGGGCTGCTCAGCTTCTTCTGCGCCGCCCTGCACGCCCTCTACAGCTTCTGCTTGCCGCTGCGCCGCGCCCACCGCTACGACCTGGTCAACCTGGCAGTCAAGCAGGTACCCACCCCATGCCCTTCCTCCCTCTGGCAACTCAGCACATGCTTGTCCAGCACCTCCCCCCCCCACCAACCAGGTGCAGCCGATACCCACGGGTGCAGCCTTACCAGGTGCCAACTGCAGATTCTGTTCCAATGGGGCAGCACCCACATCCTCCTGCCCAAGATTTTGAGTATCAGTGAACAAAGCAGATGAAAATTCCTGCCCCCATGGGTACAGCCCAGTTGGGGCAGACTTAAACAAAATACAGCAGTGAGTCATAGTGGGCGTTGAGAGGATCAGGAGTGCTAAGGCGCAAAGGAAAGCAAGCGTGGGCGGTGGGGGTGCAGGTTTGAAGATGGTCCAGGAGGACTTGCAGAGTGAGTGCTATGTGAGCAGAGCTGGAAGGAGGGGAGAGGGGCCGGTGGCCTGCTGGGGTGATGTTGCAGGCCACGGGGCATAGTCCTTGGGCAGAAGTGTGCCTGGTACGTTGGAGGAGCAGCCAGGAGGCCCATGTGGCTAAAGCTGAACAAGGAGGGGGTGGCAGGCGAGGCCTGAGAGGAAGAGCTTCAGCCTTAGGCTCCGAGTGAAATAGGGAGCTGGTGAAGGTTTGAATTTAGGTGTTGATCGGCCTGACATTTTAAGTGGTTCTCTCTGGTTTTTGGCTGAGAACAGACTGTAGGAGGTCAAAGGCAGCTAGCTGCTGGGGCCAGCGAGGAAGCCGTGCATATGCCCAGATTTGAGGCAGTGGAGGCTGGAGGCAGTGGGAGCAGTGGAGGAGCAAGGAGATCCTGAAGGCACATGTGAAGCTGGAGTGCATGGAATTGCCGCTGGAATGGCCCCAGGGTTTTGTGGGTGATCAGGGATGACTCTGGGGTTTGGGTCTGAGCACCTGAAAGAGAGAGTTGCCATCAGCTGAGATGGGGAAGGCTGCAGGAGTGAGCATTCCAGGTTTAGGTTTGTTGTTGTTGTTGTTGTTCTTTGTTTGTTTTACTGGGGGTGGCACTAATCATTCATTTAGAAAATTCATATGGGGCTTGGTTGCCAGCAGGGTTCCTGGGAAGTGGAGGACCTTCAGGCCACACCAGGTGGGGACCCAGGCATCAGCTGGCACCTGTGCCCACAGAAACAGGCCCCTGATGCTCCCTCCTGGTCCACAAGCTCATGGGGCTTGATTCTTAGTCCCAAGCTCACATCTTCAGCAACACTGTCTTTATTTTCTCCAAATTAATTCCACCTCCAGTGCCCA
Organism: Homo sapiens; assembly: GCF_000001405.40. Classification (NCBI taxonomy): domain Eukaryota; kingdom Metazoa; phylum Chordata; class Mammalia; order Primates; family Hominidae; genus Homo; species Homo sapiens. The sequence continues at coordinate 119,249,435 of NC_000002.12, forward strand.
GCCCCGGGGCTGGTTGATGCATAGGTCCTGCCCACTCCAGGACGCTAGTCACCCAACAGGGTTCAGCCCAGGTGCTGGTGAGACACTTCTCATCCACCCCTCATTCCAGCCTGGCAGCCCCTGCAGCTCCTGCTCCTGCTCAGAATGCAGGGACCTTGGTGAGGCTGGGCCCTCCCCTAAACACCTAGCACAGGGCCATCCCCTCCGAGCATGGGGGATTGGCAGGACTGGGAAGCAGGGCTGGGCACCTCCTGAGAACCACAGACCTCAGCCCCTACTCACTGTCAGGGTTGCTGCTTCTCTGCCAGCAGCTACTCGACTGCCCTCGTCCTTTGCCACCCACAGATACCGGCATCATTGCATCTGTGGGCTCAGAATTTCCTAAGACAAAGGAAGAACCCCAGACTTCAGGCAGAAAAGCAAGATGCTTGATGGAAATGAGAGGAAGGGAAGAAATCAGTCATGAACCCTTAACAAGAGCTCGCTGTGTTCCAGGAACCATTCTAAGAGCTTCGTACACCACTGTGAATTCATTTAACCCCATCTCATCCCTGTAGGCCAGGTGCTATTATATCCTTATTTCATAGATGAGAAATCTGAGGCACAGAGGGGTCAAGTAACTTGGCCAAAGTCACACAGTCAGTAAGTAGCACAGCTGGGATTCAGATCCAGCTATTTTCCAGATCCATGCTTATACCCACGCTGCTTTCTACAGGCAAACCAAATTCACAATTGAGTAAATGATTTCAGAACTAGGTCATTCATTCACTCATTCACTGAGCACCTACTCTGCCAGGCCCTGGGGCCACAGAAAGGAGTAAGAAAGACACAGACCATCTGGCTCCTCGCCTCAGCTGGTGTGGGGCGGTGTGGAGGCCTGAAGGCTAGAGGCTGGACTCCTGCTCTCCAGCATCGCTGACTGGAACAAAGATCTTGACCTTGAGCAAGTCACAGCCCCTCTTTTGTCCTCGAGGCCCTGATGTGTAGATCAAGCTCTCTCCTAGTGCTAATGTTTTCAATGCTCTTTGACGATATTTTCTTACTGACTTCTACAAAGCACCAGCCCCTTGGCAGGAGGCTCTGCGGGGCTCCCTGGGGACTAGTACAATGTTGCTGCCCAGGACGGGGCAGATCTGCATGGAGGAGCCCACTCCCTCTCCCCTGAGCTGGCAGGTATTTCCAGCAGCAGTGGGAAAGACGGGGACGGTGCCCACTACCCCCCAGGGTAAAAGACACACCACTGCTCCCTCCCTCCCCTGCCACCCTTCAACTGCCTTTGTCTAAATTCTCTGCCCTGCCAAGGCTCTCCCTGATATTCTGTTAACCCAATTCTGCCCTGATGCAAATACCAGGGCACAGAGGGGCGCATGCAAGGTAATTTTCCCCGTGTCCCAAAAATCTTTAGGGCTGCAGGCCCTGGTGAGGTTGCCAGGCAACCATCCCTCCCGCAGGACGAGATCAGTCAGAGACACCGAAGGCCTCTCATGCAAAGGGGCTTAAACTTGTTCTGCAGAGTTCTTAAGGGCAAAACCAGGGCTGATGTGGTTATGTCGGGGTGGGTGGTCGGAGGGAGGCAGGGGCTTGACACACAGCAGCCCAGATACGGGGAGGTGCCCAAGCCTGGGCACATCCAAGCAGATTCTGGATGGTCCATGGTAAGCCATGCCCGCGGTTCTGGGCCTGGGCACCTGAGGCTGTTCTGCCTTCAGCCCCAAACAGCAGGGACTCCTGGGTGGCTCAGGCTTGATGTGTGGCTTCTGCTGCCAGCCCATGGGCACCTCACCACAGGGTCCCCACATGGCCACTCACCACCCCAACTGCCCACTAGGCCCTTGGGTCAAGGGAGCACATTAGTCTAGGCACAAGAAACTCCTCCAAGATTTCCTTACAGCCCTGAGTCTGCAGATTAGGAGGCAAAGGTGTATGCCAGCTGTAGAGAAAACCTTTGAGACCATGTTTACAGACAGTATTATTACCAACAATAACCGATATTTGTACAGGGCATTTGGATTTGCTTGTGTATTTCCCTGGAAATACACATTTCAACATCAAACTCAAAGATCAAGATCAAAGAAATGTTTAACCTGCACACTGTTCTCCTGTTACCTTCACCCCGTTCTCCTATTACCTTCACCCCAAGCTACATCTGCACATGGCTGGCACAGGATGGTCTGAAACTCTCATCTGACCATGTCACTGCTGAAAAGATCCAGTGACCCCAGTGTCCTTGGGATAATGGTAGAACCCTCACTATGCAGCTAGACTCCCTCCGCAGCCTCATCTCCCCTTCTCCTGTGACGTGTCAACACTTGGGTCCCATACTGTCCTCTAAATGGGCAGAGCTCATTCCTCTCGGCTTGGAACGCCCACCCCAGGACACCTTGACAGCTTGCAAACTCCTATTCCTCCTTCAAAACCCTACCTCTGTTAAGCTCCCCCAGACTATCCCCTTACTTCCCCATACCTGCCTCTGTAATCTGTTGCATTTTGTAAATACTTTTTTATTATTTTTCTTACACACTACTTCATACCCGACTCAGAGGTCCATGACTGGGTCTTCTACACCTTGGGGTCCATGGTTCCTAACACAGGTTCACAGTGCATGCTCACTGAGTGACTGATTTTTAAATTGGCCACCACAGAGCCAATATCAGGCATCTTAAGAGGAGTGCACGTAGAGCTTGGAGCAAGAACTAGTCTAACTGCCTTGCTGCCACTAAGAACAACAGCCATTTATTACATTAAGTGCCCACTGTGTGCCTGTTCCATGCTACTCATTCCACAAACGTAATGCTTTTAGTCCTGCAGTAACACAGCAAGATACAATGATGCTATGAGCCAGGAAAGGGACTGCCCAGGGTCTCATGACTGCCCACCAGTGGCAGAGTCAGCGTCAGAATCCAGGCCTATGGTCTCTATGCCCCAAGGTTGCCCTTCCACACCCTGCCACCCCCTCCTCCTCTGAGTCTGGCAGGCAGTGAGTTGGTACCACTCTCTTCCCATCCATCACCCACTATGAAGACATGGAGAGGGGCTAATGCTGCAGCCTCACTGGTCCTTCAGCGTCTGACCTGCAACCTAGAGGGAAATCCCACACCTGAATGCTGTCTTTCCATCTCTTGTTGATGAACACTCTCCTTGGCCTTCTCAAGGAGAAGGTGGTGAACTTGATCATCTCTAAACATAGAGACTTACTTACTAGGGGAGCTGTTACATCTGCGTTCCAGTTAGCCATGTGTGCCACTGGTCACCAGGGAGCTCTGAGCACAACACTGTGGTTTAATAGGCTGGCTGAGAATCTCATGGACTCCTAAGGCTGGCTTAGGTTCTGTCCTCATGCGGGTCTTTGCCATCCACTGCTCCCTAGCCCACCTCATCCCTCCCTTCCCAGCGTCACTGCAGACTGGAAATGTTAGAGGAAAAAAACAAGGCATTTTACAAGCCAATGTGGTATACGTGTGTGTAATCATCCAAACTCTGACTTGTGACATTAACTGCCTGATCTTCCCGAGGCGCAGAGAGGAATGACTAATGAAGCAGAGTTAAAGAACAAACAACTTCCAGCGAGGAGATGACTTACTCAATTCATGCTGTGAGGTGTGAGTAAGACTTCTCTGGGCAGAGGTACGGAGGAGACCTCTCTGCCCTCTGCACGCCTTTCCAGCTAATGGTGACTTCAACCACAGCAGGCACATAAGCAAAATCAAGAGAATTTCAGACATGACCTCATCCAAACCTCCTAGGTAGAGAAACTGAGGCCCAGAGACAGTCTTGCCAGAGTCACATGCCACTGGTGGTCAGGACAAGAGGCTGGGTCCCTAGACTCCTGGTCCCTTAGTGGCTTAAAGTCACCAAAGTGAGCCAGGCCTGCCCTAAAATAGAACAGAGCCAATCATTTTTCACAGATTGCAGGAAAAGCACTCAATGGATGGCATTTTCTCTGTTTCTTTAAACTTTCTCTTATAAGCTGTACAACCATTTTGCTCAGCCCAGTGGATTCACTTTTAATATTTTATGTGGTAACTGAGCTCGTGTTTTTTTTTTTCTGCTGAAATTGTTTCTCAAAAAACCTGTATGAGTCATTCTGTTTTGAGAGGCTGCCTATTAAAGTGTAGTCACATCTTCTAATGGAAATACTGTTCCTTGTTCTGCTGACATTATAGAATAAAAGTACCAGCATTTCACAGTGTTTCACAGAGAACACCTTGACTTCCAGGAACTCTGCTACCCGGTCTAGTTGCACCTTGATAAAAGTTCTTCCTCATGAGGGCACTATGCGAGTGAGTGTTGGCTGGGCTAGGAGGGGGCTCAGTGGCAAGGTGGGGAGAGAAGGGTCAGAAATCTCCAGGTTCATAGGGGCTCCCCAATTTATATGTCCTGGAACTTGGTGGGGGGGCCCAGATCTCTGTGAGGGCAGGGTAAGGGCAGGTATCTTTATTTTCTGTAGCCCAGGGCCTGGCACACAGTAGGTGCTTCGTAAGTGGTCACTGAACTGCTTGGTGAATGGCCGTCAGTCTCTCTTGCCTGGCAAAGTTGAGCCAAGGCTGTGTGCCTCAGGCAGAAGTAGAGAACTGGGTAGGAAGAGGGGAGGCTGAGAGCTTTGGGTCGGGGAGTGTTGGGGGCTCAGTGTCTGTATGTGTCTTTGTATGTCCTGAGTGTGAGCCAGTGATGGGGGCAGTGTGGGGCTCCAGGAAGACAGAGGGCTCAGGGTGAGACAGGCTGGGAAGGGAAGCAGCCAGTAAGGTGTGAGCTCATTGGCTGAGGGGATTCAGAGCTAGGAGAGCTCCTCTCTCCTGTCCTGGGATTCTGGGGCCGGAAAACCGTGAGACGGAGCCATGCTTAAGGGCTGTATTTCTGGTTGACTCCTTACTCTGCTGATGTGACTGTTCTGATTGGCTGCCCCGGGGCAGATATGTGAAAGCCCCAGGAGCCCCGGTCATTGGCACCAGGCTGAGTGGGTCCTGATCCCAGCTCTGCATCTGTTAGCTACATGTGACCTTGGGAAAGTGATTTGATCTTTGTGCCTCATTTCCTCCATCTCTAAAATGGGCTAATAGTGATCTCTACTTTGTGGGGTGGTTTTGAGGATTCGATGAGTTAATGCCTGAGAAACGCTTATCACAGAGCCAGGTAGCGTCAGGTGCAGTGTGAGCGCCCGCCGTCTTGTCTTTCTTGTGTCCTTCATCATTGCCCTCCCGGGGCACCAGCCTTTGCCACAGTGTTCATGGTTTTCCTTCCATCCATGTCAGGTCTTGGCCAACAAGAGCCACCTCTGGGTGGAGGAGGAGGTCTGGCGGATGGAGATCTACCTCTCCCTGGGAGTGCTGGCCCTCGGCACGTTGTCCCTGCTGGCCGTGACCTCACTGCCGTCCATTGCAAACTCGCTCAACTGGAGGGAGTTCAGCTTCGTTCAGGTAAAGTAGTCTCTAGTCTGCCAGCCAGCTTCAGCGTGGCCCTGGCCCACCTCTCATGAGTAAGTGCTCTGCCTTTGAGAACTGCCTGGGCTCTGATCATCTGCACAGCAGGACCACTCGGTGAGATGCCAGGCCTTCCTGACCCAGAGGGCCCATCCAAGCCTCTTGATAGGGGCTGCCTGCTACAAGCTTAACCTCCCAACACATGAGGAAGCCAGACACAGGCATGTGAAAAAATTACAGACCAGGACACTGAGCCCTGGGTCCACCATTCTCAAGCTTCTAGAATTCTTGAGCTTTCCAAACAAAATTGAATGACATGAAGTCATTGGACATTTTGCTGGTCTAGGTAGGAGTCATCATCTACCTAGACATCCATCTAGGTAGGAGTCTAGGGAGTGAGCGAGCCTAGCCCACCACCCTCCACCCCTCATCTCAACCTGGCTCTGTTGTTCCCCTTAACCCCTTGATTCATGCAGCGTGGATGAGACACAAGCATTAGGACCCCAGTTTATAGGGGATGCGACACAGCTTTTTCCCAAGGATGCCATTCCTATGAAAAAATCCAGAAAAAGGAGGTCTGTCATCAGATGAATTTGAGAAAAGATTTACTTCCCCCTAAGAGATCACAATGCACTTTGGCACATCAAAGATTCGAATAACATCTACAACAAACAAACCTTTGTTAATCAGACTTATTGGAGTGTTAGCACCCTCCCCCTCCTTTTTTCCAAATAACAGCTATCAGCACTCCACAAGCTGGGCGCTGTGGCATGTGGCTGGGATCCCAGCTACTAACAGAGGCTGAGGTGGGAGAATCACTTGAGCTTGAGCGATTCTTCCAGGAGTTAGAAGTTCAAGTGTCCAGCCTGGACATCATAGCAAGACCTTGCCTCTTAAAAAAAAAAAAATACTCCACAGAACATACTCTGGGAAATGCTGCTAGTGGCAAAAGTTTCTTTTTGCATTTGTTCATTCAACAAACATTTATTGAGCACTTACTGCAGGCCAGGCATCCTGCTAGGCCTGTGATGCAATAGAGAACAAGACAGGCAGAGCCATCTTTCCATGATAAAGGAAACGGAGGCAGGGACATTGTTTACATTTCTTTGGCATCTCCCACTGTTCTCCACACAGAATCTGCGGTCAGTGTTGGCGGATTAACTCCTCCCCTCCCATGAGTGGGAGCTGACTAATGCTGTATCCTGCCATTGTAACAGGGCAGAGAACAGCCATCCTATCCACCCCCACTATCAACAGAAATCTGTGCAGGGAGGACGTGGTACAGGACTCAGGGACAGTGACAGCGTAATGCTCTTACGTAATCCAAATTAATTGCTCCTGACCAGGGATGCTTCACATCCATTGGAACAACACAGAGTTGTAGCCGTGTGTTTTTTAAAGTGTGTCTGCCTCTGAATCTCCCTGGCTCTGCTCATCTCAGAAGGTCCCTGGAGGAGGGCTCATGGCTGACACATGTTAGCATACGAGAAGGGGAAGAATTTTATTTATCTGCCACTAATCCCCATGTGTCTCATACCCAAATCTAGGATTTTCCTCTTCCCACCTGGAGTATCCGGCGTGCATGGTTTATCCACAATTAAAGCAGACTGCAGGCTGCTCCCCTCACCAGAAAGCCGCTCCCTTAAGCAGCCATAGATTACATGCCCTGGCTCTGCCTGCCAGAGAAAGCCGGTGGATTTGATTTTGTTAGCAAGAGCTGACTGAGACCCTAGCAGCTGCATTCTACTTTACATATTAAAGAGTGGAAATACAAATAGGACAGTCCTTTTGCCACTGCAAGAGCAGGGGGGGTTAGGTGGGTAGAAAGGCAGGATTTTACTTGTGGAAATCAGTGCCTGCCTTCCATCCACAAAAACCAGATGTCAATATGGAGGAGGCACATGTCAGCGGCGCCTGGGAAGCCTGAGTTCCAGCTTTCCCTCCCCACAACCCTGCTCTGTAACTGTGGGCAGAGCATGTCTGCTCCAAGAGCCTCAGTTTACACCCCTGAAAAATGGAGTTAATGCCTTACAGGGATTTTATGAGCCACAGTAAGAGATTATGTGTGAAAGAAAAATAAAAAGCATTTTGCTATTATTCTTAGGGTATCTGGCCACATTTCCATTATCTCTGACTAAGGTACCAACCACCGATTTCTGAGTTCAGTAGGAGACAGTGAGACAGAGGCCAAGGAACCCCAACCCTGGGCCTAAAAGTGGTCCAGTCAGTGTTTGCAAACTGGCGGACACTCACTAGTGGGTCATGCAATTGATTCCATGGATCACAAGCAGCATTTTAAAAATGAAATAAAATAGAATGACAAAGAAAACAGTGGAGTGTTTTGCATGGTGTCGGGATACTTTTTCAGTTATATGGAATTGCTAGTTTTATTTGCAAATGTAGCATACCTCGTTGTCTACCGGACAGCAGAGTAAAACATGGTTCTTACTGTGAGTCCCTGTCAAATAGGCTGAAGCCAGAGCCCTCTTGGAGAAACAGAGATAACCCAGGCCTGCCTCCCATCCGTGGACTCAGATGCTGAGGGATGGCTCTGGCAATCTATTTTTGCAGCTCCCTAAGTGACTGATAGGTGCGCATGCCGCAGTGTGTGGCAACTTCCAGTGCAGGAAACACAGGCAGTGGAACCCGAAGACCTGAATCTCAGTCCCAAGACCCCCACTTACCTGCCCCGCATCATCAGACAAGTTTCCTAGGCCCTCGGAGCTTCTGCTGCTCACTTGTGCCTGTGTCCACCCCATATGGTCATCAAGAGGATTTGAGCTGGACACGTTAAATGCAGGATGCGTGCAGCCAACAGTGGCATGCTGGCTTTTGAGGTAAGCTGCAACCTTCTCCTTTAAAGTTAGCGTGGCTAGTGAGAAGTTACCTGAGCCCCATCACCCTCCCCTACACACATGTCCACAGCAGACACCAGGCTATGGGGACAGCCATGGTTCTTGAGGGGCCTTGGCTGACCCCTAGATCTGTAATGCTTTTGTTACCGGAAAAGGGTCCCGATCCAGACCCCAAGAGAGGGTTATTGGACCTCACGCGAGAAAGAATTCAGGACCTGTCCATAGAGTAAAGTGAAAGCAAGTTTATTAAGAAAGCAAAGGAATAAAAGAATGGCTACTCCATAGTCAGAGCAGCGGCATGGCTGCTCAGCTGCTTATACTTATTGTTACTTCTTGATTATATGCTGAACGAGGGGTGGATTATTCATGAGTTTTCCAGGAAAGGGATGGCAATTCCCAGAACTAAGGGTTCCTTACCTTTTTAGACCATATAGGGTAACTTCCTGACATTGCCATGGCATTTGTAAACTGACATGGCGCTAGTGGGAGTGTTTTTTAACATGCGAATGCATTATAATTAGTGTATAATGAGCAACGAGGTCACTCTCGTTGCCATGTTGGTTTTGGTGCTTTTGGCTGGCTTCTTTACTGCAAGCTGTTTTATCAGCAAGGTATTTATGACCTGTATCCTGAGCCGACCTCCTATGTCATCCCGTGACTAGCAACGTTTAACCTCCTGGGAATGCAGCCCAGTAGGTCTCAGCCTCATTTTACCCAGCCCCCCATTCAGGTGAAGTCTCTCTGGTTTGAACACCTCAGACACTTCGTTTAGCTAAAAACCATTGAAACAGTGTATTGATTCCACAAAGAGGTGACTTGTGCTTGCATTTATCCTTTTGTTCCCAAATCTGTTTTCAAAGTTTTACATGTTGTTTTGTGTTCCTTTGGGTATTTTTTTTTTTTTTTTTTTTTTTTTTTTGAGACGGAGTCTCACTCCGTCACCCAGGCTGGAGTGCAGTGGCACAATCTCGGCTCACTGCAACCTCTGCCTCCCGGGTTCATGCCATTCTCCTGCCTCAGCCTCCCAAGTAGCTGGGACTACAGGCGCCCGGCACCACACCTGGCTAATTTTTTTTTTTTTTTTTTTTTGTATTTTTAGTAGAGATGGGGTTTCACCGTGTTAGGCAGGATGGTCTCAATCTCCTGACCTCATGATCCGCCTGCCTCGGCCTTCCAAAGTGCTGGGATTATAGGCGTGAGCCACCGCACCCAGCCTTCCTTTGGTATTTTTTTGTTATTGTTTTGGTTTGGTTTGGGTTGTGCTAAGTGTTTCAATTCAGCCAGTTTTAACTGGCTGTTAGATATTAGACTGCAAAATACTCCAGTCAGAGCAGCTCACCTGCGCAGAAAAATGAGGGTTCAGCTTTTAGAACCTAAGTTCTTTCCCAGAGTTAGAGGAACTGCCTGTGACCTTGCCCACTCCAGCCACCTGCCTGAAATAATGACAAGACCAGCCTGACCCCAGCTTCATGAGCAATTGTCCAAAGCCCCTTTGTGCCGTAGTAATTGAGCACCAGCAGGAGCTACAACGACCTGGCTGTTTCTTTTTTGCTAACAAGCTTACGTATAATAAAAATGGCTCTAGCTTGGGGATCTTATTAATCGCCTCATGACAATCCCTCTCCTTTTGGGCTTCTTTGGGTTCTGGGATTTTTAAATTGTTCCCAAGGAGAGTTTTTGGGAAACAAACTCCCTGGAATCATGCAGGCTTCCCACTGGGACAGGAAAGTCAAAGGCCCTTTGTTATTGGCTGGCCTTTGGCTGTCAGCCCTTGCTATGAACCACTGGCCTGAGGCTGGAACTTCCTGCTGTCTGCACCATGGGATTTTGAATGGCACAAGAATGAGGCTATATGAACAGGAGGAGCTGACTGCCACTGGTGGGCCTGGGAGCAGCGTCTCCACACTGTCCCTGTGCAGAGCCCAGAGTGCCCAGCAAAATTCATCACTCTCCAGATCAGGGGCTGGGGACAGTGGCCCACACAGACCAAACACTGGAGCTACAGGGCATGTCACCCGAGGGAGATGCAAAGACCTCACTGGGGCTACTAAGGCTGGCTTTCCAGGCCTGGATGGGCTCCCATTGCTGCACCTCCTGGGAAAGCCCACGACACAGAGGTGGGCGCCAAAAGGCTCTCAGTGGGGCTTTGTCTAAGGAACAGATAGGTCCAGGTCTTCCTCAGGCAAGTGACCTGAGCAGAGGGGCCCGTGTGGACTTTTCACCCTGAAGCTAGAAGGGTGTGGTGACGACAGTCTCCTAAATGAGTGGCTTTAGTCCTAGCTGCCCATCAGCCTCATCCGCCGAACCTTAAAAAACAACAGATGCCCCGCCCCAAACCAACTTAATCTGAATTTCTGGAAGTGGGGTTTGGGCACTAGTATTTTACCCAAGCTCCCCGGGTGATTCTAATGTGTAGCAAGGTTTGAAAACCACAGTCTAAAAGCCACAGACTGTTAAACTCTTGGGGATAAAGGGCATCACCCAGCCATCTTGGCAACACCAATAAGTCCACAATGAGGAGGGGTGGGAGGGCCCACAGTTAGTTAGGGCTGGGCACCTGGCTGGGGAACATCAGGGTGATTGACTTCAAGACTTACTCTTTTTTTTTTTTTTCTTTTTTTTTGAGACGGAATTTCACTCTTGTTGCCCAGGCTGGAGTGCAATGGCGTGATTTTGGCTCACTGCAACATCCACCTCCTGGGTTCAAGCGAGTAGCTGGGATTACAGGCATGCGCCACCACACCTGGCTAATTTTGTATTTTTAGTAGAGACGGGGACGGGGTTTATCCATGTCGGTCAGGCTGGTCTTGAACTCCCAACCTCAGGTGATCTGCCCGCCTCGGCCTCCCAAAGTGCTGGGATTACAGGCGTGAGCCACCGCACCCAGCCAAGACTTATTCTTGATGGTCAGTGCTGGGGACTTTTTTAACCACAGTCTTCCACACTAAGAGATTAGAATTTAGAAAAGTTGGGGTGGCTCAGAAGTTGCAGGGGATTTGGAATTCTTGACAGACACTTCTGGAAGTGGCAAGGATTTGCTTATGTGCAACTGACAGTCAAGGAGTCTTCTCTTTGGGAGGTGACCACATTAAAATGATAGGAATTCACTGTGGGTGACAGCATAAAGCCAATCGTGGCTTCCTCACTCTTCGTGGTGAGCCAGAAGTTGTTAAAGACTGGGCCAAGAAGATTCCAAAAATGGACACAAAGCCAAGAAGAACCAGAGAGGGTGAGGAAGGATAGAGAAGGTTTTATTTGGTTATTTTACTTGGGCCCAAGAATGTTGAACGTGAGAACCTGTCTGTGAAATTGTAGTGTGCAGCCATTGGAAAATGTTTATTATTATCTTTAGCAAAAGCTTTACAAGCAATTCTCCCACACCATGTTCTTTCACTCACTGACGTTCACTGTCCTGGTGTCTGTCCTGGAGCAGGAAATGAAGGGACACACACACACACACACCAGGGAGGAGCAAGAACGGGGCCCAATGTGGAATCAGACCCACTTAGAAACACTTCTGAGGGGAGTGCAAATGAGAAGCGTCTGTCAGCCGAGGCTCTGGATTGATGCCAACAAGCTGGGCTAGAAGGGAATCCAGGAGGCTCAGTCCATGCAGACCACCCAGAGGTCTCAGTGTGCCGCCACACTTAAATTACACCCTCGCAATGTCTCCTTGGAGAAAATGCATATGTGTTCATTGCTTGATGGGTCATCGCTATTTCCATCCCTGTGTAATAGACGTGGGAGGTCTCTCCCAAAGCTCTCAGTGGCTCACCAGTGCTAGCAGAATTCAGTCAGAGCACCCCTGTGCCACGACTCCCTCGCTCTCGGTGCCCTCTGCTGTGTCACTTGCCTGCCCTGTCTAGGGGACTAGATGGAGGCTACTGCAACTACTCAGCGCTTCCCCCTCTGACTTTAGCTTTGGAAATTACTTATCTCCCACTGAAGTTGATTAAGTCGCCTGCCCAGGGTTCATATCAGTTGAACCAGCACCAACAGTAGAACCTGCATCTCTTCCTTCGTGGTCCACGAGAACTCGTACATGCCAAGAGGCTGGAGTCATAGAGCAGCACTTCCCAGCCATTTTCACATTGCATCTCTTACAGAAAGTCATGCTTTGGGTGGTGGATCAGCCACTCTCGGCTGGAAGTGACCCACAAAAGCCCACACATTGTTCAAGGGGTGTGAAGCTCCATTGTAAAATGGCCGGGACCATTTCCATTTAGAGTTGGGATGGTCTCTTCTCCCAACGGTCACTAATCTCCTCCAGATGGAAGAGTAGGCCCAGCGGGGTTTCCACCCGGGTTGTTTATAACCCAGTGTGGGGTGGGAGGTGAAGGTCTAGCATGCACAGAGGGCATCTGTGTGGTGTTCTGGGGCTTTCTATACGGTGCCAGGTCACCCAGACCACAGGCCCCGTGAGTCCCCTTCGCTACTGGTGCCAAATCCACGTGCCATCTGTAAATTATTTACTCTGCATTTATCTTCAAGCTAATTTAAAATCAATCCACTTTTTGTCTGATCTTAACTTAGGCCAAATGTTATCTGTGAAATTATGATTTTGGTATGCAAGCAGACACTTGTTACTCTAATATACATTAAAATACACACATAACTAGTAAAATTTATACACACACACACACACACACATATACATGTATATGTATATATATATTTAGAGACAGGGTCTTGCTCTGTTACCCAGGCTGGAGTGCAGTAGTGCAGTGGCACAATCTTGGCTCACTGCAACCTTGACCTCTTGGGCTCAAGTGATCCTCCCATCTCAGCCTCCCAAGTAGCTGGGACAACAAGCACATGCTGCCACAGCCTGGCTAATTTTTTTGTATTTTTTGTAGAAACAGGGTCTCACTATGTTGCCCAGGGTGGTCTTGAACCCCTGGGCTCAAGCAGTCCACCCACTTAGGCCTCCCAAAGTGTTGGGATTACAGGCGAGAGCCACCGCAGCAGGCCTTAAATGTTTTTTAAACTTCTTTGAACTTAATTCCATCTGAAATCATCCAGCAGCCTCCAGAGATAACAAATAACAAAGTTAAGGAAAAAGCATGGTCATATAGTTATTGTATGGAATCCGTGTGAATTGGTGGGTCCTTAGACACCTTCAGCATAGAAGCATTATTCCCATTTTCCTGTTGTGGAAGCTGAGGCACAGAGAGTTGAGAGTTATCATAAGATCACACTAAGAGAGTGACAGGACTGGGGTTCCAACCCATAGCGGTGAGTACTAAAGCCACCCTCCTTCCCCTCCGCCAGGCCAGCAGATGAGTCGTTGGCAGGATCACTGCATCTGTCATCCCCTCGCCCTCACTCCAGCCTTTTTTTCCCTCCACAGTCCTCACTGGGCTTTGTGGCCCTCGTGCTGAGCACACTGCACACGCTCACCTACGGCTGGACCCGCGCCTTCGAGGAGAGCCGCTACAAGTTCTACCTGCCTCCCACCTTCACGCTCACGCTGCTGGTGCCCTGCGTCGTCATCCTGGCCAAAGCCCTGTTTCTCCTGCCCTGCATCAGCCGCAGACTCGCCAGGATCCGGAGAGGCTGGGAGAGGGAGAGCACCATCAAGTTCACGCTGCCCACAGACCACGCCCTGGCCGAGAAGACGAGCCACGTATGAGGTGCCTGCCCTGGGCTCTGGACCCCGGGCACACGAGGGACGGTGCCCTGAGCCCGTTAGGTTTTCTTTTCTTGGTGGTGCAAAGTGGTATAACTGTGTGCAAATAGGAGGTTTGAGGTCCAAATTCCTGGGACTCAAATGTATGCAGTACTATTCAGAATGATATACACACATATGTGTATATGTATTTACATATATTCCACATATATAACAGGATTTGCAATTATACATAGCTAGCTAAAAAGTTGGGTCTCTGAGATTTCAACTTGTAGATTTAAAAACAAGTGCCGTACGTTAAGAGAAGAGCAGATCATGCTATTGTGACATTTGCAGAGATATACACACACTTTTTGTACAGAAGAGGCTTGTGCTGTGGTGGGTTCGATTTATCCCTGCCCACCCCACCCCCACAACTTCCCTTTTGCTACTTCCCCAAGGCTCTTGCAGAGCTAGGGCTCTGAAGGGGAGGGAAGGCAACGGCTCTGCCCAGAGCCATCCCTGGAGCATGTGAGCAGCGGCTGGTCTCTTCCCTCCACCTGGGGCAGCAGCAGGAGGCCTGGGGAGGAGGAAAATCAGGCAGTCGGCCTGGAGTCTGTGCCTGGTCCTTTGCCCGGTGGTGGGAGGATGGAGGGATTGGGCTGAAGCTGCTCCACCTCATCCTTGCTGAGTGGGGGAGACATTTTCCCTGAAAGTCAGAAGTCACCATAGAGCCTGCAAATGGATCCTCCTGTGAGAGTGACGTCACCTCCTTTCCAGAGCCATTAGTGAGCCTGGCTTGGGAACAAGTGTAATTTCCTTCCCTCCTTTAACCTGGCGATGAGCGTCCTTTAAACCACTGTGCCTTCTCACCCTTTCCATCTTCAGTTTGAATGACTCCCAGGAAGGCCTAGAGCAGACCCTTTAGAAATCAGCCCAAGGGGGAGAGCAAGAGAAAACACTCTAGGGAGTAAAGCTCCCCGGGCGTCAGAGTTGAGCCCTGCCTGGGCTGAAGGACTGTCTTCACGAAGTCAGTCCTGAGGAAAAATATTGGGGACTCCAAATGTCCTCTGGCAGAGGACCCAGAAAACCACACTGGCTCCAACTTCCTCCTCATGGGGCATTACACTTCAAAACAGTGGGGAGCAACTTTTCCACCAAAGCTACAAACCTAAAATGCTGCTGCCCCAAAGCACAAGAGGGAAGAGCACCGCCGGGGCCACAGGACGTCTGTCCTCCAGTCACAGGCCATCCTTGCTGCTCCCTACTGACTCTAGCTTACTTCCCCTGTGAAGAAACAGGTGTTCTCGGCTGAGCCCCCAACCCTCTGCAGAACCAGGTTGATCTGCCACAGAAAAAGCATCTTTGAAGACAAAGAGGGTGAGGTCTTCATGAGTCTCCTGGGCCCAAAGCCATCTTCTGATGGAAGGAAGAGAGTAGGGCCAGTGAAGGCTGCCCAGAGAGAATGTCACAGATGAGGCTGCCCCTGCCCCCCCCCCGCCAGGGAGGTTTCATGAGCTCATGTCTATGCAGCACATAAGGGTTCTTCAGTGAAAAGCAGGAGAAGAGCCCACTGCAAGGATAGCTCATTAGGCACATGACCGATGCAGGGAAGGCCATGCCGGGGAAGCTCTTCCTGCAGGTATTTTCCATCTGCTGTGCCAAGGCTGAGCGGCAGAAACTTGTCTCATAAATTGGCACTGATGGAGCATCAGCTGTGGCCCACAGAGAGCCTTGCTGAGAAGGGGGCAGGTAAAGCAGAGATTTTAGCATTGCCTTGGCATAACAAGGGCCCATCGATTCCCTACTAATGAGAGGCAGGGAGAGCATGGGCAATGGAGACCCACCAATGATCCCCAACCCCGGTGGGTACTGGCTGCCTGCCCTGGGCCAGGGAATGGCTCCTTATACCAAAGATGCTGGCACATAGCAGAACCCAGTGCACGTCCTCCCCTTCCCACCCACCTCTGGCTGAAGGTGCTCAAGAGGGAAGCAATTATAAGGTGGGTGGCAGGAGGGAACAGGTGCCACCTGCTGGACAATCACACGAAAGGCAGGCGGGCTGTGTACTGGGCCCTGACTGTGCGTCCACTGCTGTCTTCCCTACCTCACCAGGCTACTGGCAGCAGCATCCCGAGAGCACATCATCTCCACAGCCTGGTAAATTCCATGTGCCTCTGGGTACAAAAGTGCCTCAACGACATGCTCTGGAAATCCCAAATGCCACAGTCTGAGGTTGATATCTAAAATCTATGCCTTCAAAAGAGTCTCTGTTTTTTTTTTTTAACCTGGTAGACAGTATAAAAGCAGTGCAAATAAACACCTAACCTTCTGCAAACTTCAGGCTTTTATTTCTGCCATGTAGATCACGTATCCATTCGTCCACTGACTCGAGAAGCCTTCAGCTTGGAGCCTGCTCTCAGGCAGGCAGTGTGCAAGGACTTGGGACTGCCAAGGTGAACACAGTGATCTGTGCTAGAGCTGGCCAATGAGGAAGGGCAGATGTGCAGACCTAAGGGACTAAGGGACATGCCAGGGAGGAAATGGGCAAGATCCAGGTGACAGAGTGTCGGGTGGGGGTGTGGGGATGTGAAAAGGTGGCTTCCTGGAGTGGTCTGAAGGCTGAGGCCTCGGTGCAGGTAAAAGCAGCAGAGCTTCTTGAATTATAATGTGCCTGGGAGTCACCTAGGAATGTGGTTCGAATGCGGGTTCTGATTTGTGGTCTGGGGTGAGGCATGAGACTGTGCATTTCTAATAAGCTCCTGGGTGACCTGTATGGTGATGATCCTCGGACACTCCGAGCGACAAGAGCTTAGATGGCATTCTTTGCCTCTGCTGTGCTTAGTCTATGGCACACTAATCTGTACACACACATCTCTGTCCCCTCAATCCTCCCCATGAGCCTGCATTCCCCTGGCAGCCCTGGCAAGGTACACGTCTGTACAATGCTATCTATGACCCCCGTGTTCTCTTAAAGGCAGAGGGAGAAACACTCCATCTTGGAGCCACAGCCTTGCACTTTGTGCTTCACGAGGGCTGCGGCACATTGGCCCTGGGTCCATCAGGAAAACAAAAGGAGCTCTCTTCAGAGACCACCCAACTACCATGCAGCCGAGCCTTCCTGCTGAAGCAACCAGACTGCCTTATGGTACAGGGCAAGGGGGCAAGAAACCCAGTGCAGAAAGTGGTCTAGTGGCTAAAAACCATTTCTTGGGAACAATAACCAAAATACAGCCCTGCCATTTTGAGTTCATTATAAGGATTTTCCAAAGAAAGAACCATGGCCAGTAAATACATTCATGACAAACAATTTTCAAGGTGAAAAGCATCTTGTCCTTGGAGGTTTACTTTTCTCCTCTGTGTCCTCCCATGCATAAAGCTGAGAGAGTTAACTTTACAAAGAAGTAATCAAATAGATGAAAAATACCCCCTACCAAGGTAGCCCATGTAAGAACTAAGGAACCACCAAAATCACGCATATCAGTTCAGGAGAGAAAGTTATCATTTAGCTGTTTGACACGTTGAATCTTTTCCAAAAGCAATGAAGCTAGCTCTTGGAGTGCAGAAGCTCTCTTGTGCTGGGCCACTTCCCTGGTCTCAACCAAGAGAGAGTTGGCTCCACTAAAGCAGAAATTCTCAGTCCCATCCACAATCACTGACTTCTTCTAACAAGTCTTCTGAAAATCTCTTTACTAATTTCTGAAATGAAATTCAGAAATAATATAACCTACCTATGCATATAATTTTTAAAATCAGTGTAAGGTCTAAATTGAAACATAAAGTAGAAATAATTTACACTAATACATATATAACATTAATAATGAATAATTATTATATTAATAGCCTTACAATAAATAAATTGGTTTTTAAATACAGTATATTCAACTAAACATTGTTGGCTCATTTGTAGCTGACATTTTAAGATAAAAGTGCGTGTGTGTGTGTGTGTGTGTGTGTGTGTGTGTACTGTGTCCACTGTGAGTGTTTGAAATTGTGTTGAATGCTATGAAGAAATCACATAGGGTGAAGACCAATAAATGTCAACTAGATTTGGAAACATGGAAACCTAATGGTGAGAATTTCAGTAGGATGTTGAGGGTAAAATCCAGATTGAGTATGAATAAGAAGGAAATGGAGACAGTAATACTGGACAACTCTTCTGAGATTTGGCTGTAAAGCAAGGGAAAGAGAAAGGATGGGTAATGGGAGGGGTATGTGGGGGTTGAAGGAGGGCTGGTTATTTTTTTCCATGGTTCTGACCTAAACATGTTTTAAATGCTTCTGGGGAATAAACAAGGTGAAAAGGAATGATGGAAGATGAGAGAGAGAATGATAGAGAATCACAAAGTCCTGGAGGACATGGGAAGAGATGGAGTGCAGAGTACAGGTGGCTTTAGAGGAGGAGATTGTCCTTTACAACTAGGAGAGAAGGGGAAAAGAAGTGGCTGAGTATTGAGGGGAGGGGCTAGTTGTGATGACACAGCATGTGACAGTTCCCTTCTGATGTTGTCTGTTCTTTTTAAAAAAACAGTCAATCCCTTCTGCTGAGAACAGGGGAGGAGGAAGGTTTGGCTCTGAGGGCTGAAGAGGGACAAAATGGCTGAAAATAATTGTTGGAGAAAATGTAAAGGGAGCAGACCAGAAAAACTGATAGGGTTTAAAAAACAAAAACAAAATTTGATTATAACCATTTTTTATCCAGAGTGAAATATACCAAATTGTGTTTCCTGGGAAGTGTGCAAAGTAGATTTTTGTTTAGTTAAATTCCATTTTCCCTCACCAGTTTCTTTAATAATTCTAGGTAGTTTGTCTTAGTTCAGTGTCATCTCTAATAGTCACTCAGAAATGCCTTGGCTTCATTTTTGTTTTCTCTATTCAGAAATGAACAGTCACAAATGGAACTTTGATGCACTAGGCAACCAAAAACTTCCATTGCCAATCCTCCCATAAAGTGAATAATCAACACTCTTGCTTATTGAGGGTTGATTGCATTTATTGGACCAGAAACCTAACTTATATCTATAATTCTCATATATGAAGAGTCTATTCTTAAAAATCTAATTTTAGCCAACATTTAAAACTTCTGCAACTAAAGAATTCATGTGGGCTTTTAACTTCCTGAAGGGTCTTCCTGCTTAAAACACAATTAGTTCCTAAACAAAAGACATACTTTTTAAGGCAATACTGAATTTGCAGGAAGTAAGGGAAATCATCAGGACAGAAAATAAATGGGAACACACACAAAAATCAAAAACAAACAAACAAAAAAAAGCTCTCCTTGGCTCCTGGCAGAAGCAAATGCAAGTCCTTTCTGAAGAAAAGCAACCTCAGTTCAGATCAACCAAATAAGAAGCTTAATATTTACAATTAATAAACCATAGGTGAGACTCAGTAGAAACAAAACCTGAAGGACTTCGAAGAACAGAATCGTCAAACATACGATAATGATATATTAAGTATCTAAAGAATTAAAAAATAGAGTTGCAAAAAATAAATAAGCAATAATATACTATAAAGGCACAGGCATGATGAAAAATGGAATTTTCAGAAATAAAAAATTGTCAGAAACAAACTTAATTTGGTGAGTTTAACAGCAGATTGGAGAAAATCGTGAATTTTAAAAGCTAAAAAAATTACCCAGAATGCAAAAGAGAGACAAATGGATAGAAAATATAAAAAAGTCATTAACAGAGATAAAGGTTAAAATGAACAACTATAACATACAAATAGCTGGAGTTCCAAAAGGAAAGAATGGTGAAGAGGCAAATTTTAAAGAGATAAAGACCAAGAATTTTCTAAAACTAGTGAATTACTGGTATCCAAAAATGCTGAAAGTGCAATGTATACCATCAGGCAGGAAAGCAAATTTAAAAGTAAAGCTACAGTTAGCCACACTAAGCAGCTCTTAAAAGCAGTCGAGAAAAATTATAAATGACCTACAATTGTGGAATTACAACAGACTTCTTAACAATATCAATGGAGATTAGAAAATAGTAGTCTAATATCTTAAAAGTTCAGGGGGAAGTGATTGCCAACTTAGAATTTTAAATCAAGCAAAACTGACTTTCAAGATTGAGTGCAAAATAAGAATGTTTCAGATTACAGAAATTGAGAGCTTACCAACAGTTCTTTTCTGAAGAACTTCTAAAAATATACTTCAGATAGAAAGAAAATGATCCCAGAGGGGAATCTGAAAACAAGAAGAAACAGTGAGTGAATAAGTGGTGACCCTCAAGGTAAATCTAAGCAAACCTTTTCTCTATAGAAGAAGAATATCTATGTAAGTGTTTTTTTTTAAAGGACATACTAGGCTGGGCACGGTGGCTCACGCCTGTAATCCCAACACTTTGGGAGGCCAAGACAGGTGGGTCACCTGAGGTCGGGAGTTGGAGACCAGCCTGACCAGCATGGAGAAACCCCACCTCTACTAAAAATACAAAATTAGCTGGGCGTGGTGGCACATGCCTATAATCCCAGCTACTCAAGAGGCTGAGGCAGGAGAATTGCTTCAACCTGGGAGGCGGAGGTTGTGGTGAGCCGAGATAGTGCCATTGCACTTTGGCCTGGGAAACAAGAGTGAAACTCCATCTCAAAAAAAAAAAAAAGACATACTAACTGGCTAAAAACAATGATATGTAAATAAGGGATTGAGTTAAAATGTTCTGAGGCTCATATTTGTTTAGAGGTTGGGGTTGGGAAAGTTATGGGCTAATTTAGATCTTGTTAAGTACATCTAGAAAAATGTCAAGGGTAACCATAAAAAGCTAAAAGTATAATGCCAAAATCCTTAGGAAGGGAAAAAAATTTTAATTGGATTTTTGAAAAACAAGAAACAAGAAAAATAGCATAGGTAAAGCAAGACACAGAAAACAAAAAGTAGGTATTAGAAAAAATCCACATATATTCATAATTGTGAAACAGAATACCATGCACTGGTATCAATCCTTATGAGGGGCACACCATATGTTGGATACCAGGAGAGGACTCTAAACACTTTGCCAATTTTTGTAAAGATTCCTGTATCTGGTGGATGCCCAGGTCTGGCAGGAGTCTTTACACAAACACAGCTTCTAAAGGTTTTGCACAAACCCAGCTGCCGGAGTCTGAGTCTGGTATGACAAAACACCTGCACAAGTCAGGCAAAGCCGACTTATTACTCACAGATATGTAGCAAAGATAGAAGCATAGAATCCGTGGGGAGCTGGTCCCCCAGAACTCAAGCAAGCTGCCCAGGGCAGACGGAATCCCATCTGCATATGCCCAACTTCACACTACAGCTGAGGGACCCTGAAAGCAGTCCACTCTGGATTTTATACCCTACAGGTACTTAAATCACTGAGCTTAAGCATTGCAGAGCACCTTGTTCTGAGAGGAACAAAGACAAAGCCCAGGCTGTTCTAGATGGTTCTTCCTTATCCCAGGATGTTACATTCTCAGTACATTCTGCCCAAGAATTGTAAGAAGGAGCAGGGAGAGCTGAATCAGCCAAGGTCATTCAAGGACTTGTCCTCCTGCAATAATCACAATAAATACAAATGGATTAAACACTTCAGTTGAAAGATAGAGATGGTCAGATTGGATTTTAGTTATATTTATAAGTGGCATACCTAAAGACTCAAGGTAAAGACATGGAAAAAAGTAAGTTAGGCAAAATCAAACTAAATTAACATTGGAGTGGCTAGATTATTATCATATAAAGCATATTTTATGAGAAAAGACATTATTAGGAATACAGAGAATTACTACATAATAATAAAATAAAGATTTAAATATTTTAGAATAATGTGCTTTTAATAATATAGCCTCAAAATATGTAAAGCAAAAAAAAAAAAAGAAAGAAATGTGAACAAATCCCTCATTATACTAAGAGATTATAACAAACAGACAATTATATGCATGTGTGCACATGTATGTGTGTATAACAACACAAGTTGGATATAATACGAAATAGAAAAATTATATTTTTCTCAAGAAAACAAATTGAAAACATATTATACCATAAAGCAAATTTCAATAAATTTCAAATAATAAGTATCGGCATTCTCTCAAGTGAGTGCAAGAAAGTTAGAAATCAAGAACAAAATGCTATATATATGTGTGTATATATATGTATACATACATATCATATATATGTATACATACATATATATGTATGTATGTATACATATATGTGTACACACACATATATATCATATATATATATTTATATTTTAGAGACAGGGTCTCACTTTGTCACCAGGCTGGAGTACAGTGACACAACGATCACAGCTCATTGCAGCCTCAAACTCCTGGGCTTAAGCAATCCTCCTGCCTCAGCCTCCTGAGTAGTTGGGACTACAGGCACACACCAGTGTGCTCAGCTAATTTTTAATACTTATTTTTTAGAGATGAGATCTTGCTATGTTGCCCAGGCTTGTCTCAAACTCCTGGCTTCAAGTAATCCTCCTGCCTTGGCCTTCCAAAATGCTGGGATTACAGGCATGAGCCACCATGCCTGGCCTAAAATGCTATATTTTAAATGTCTATACATTTTAAAGCTTTAAATACACATTTCTAAATAAGTCATTAATCAAAGAGAAAATTACACTGAAAATTCTTCAAAATTTTTAAATGTGAATGATTATTAAATATCTTCATATCAAATATTTAGAGATGCAGCAAAAATACTGCTTGGAAGGAAATCAATAACCTTGATGAAAATCAGTACAAAAAGAATCCAACCCACAGAAAGTAAAAGATAGATACACACAGAAAGATATACTGAATGTAAGAGTAGAAATTAGTGAACTAGGAAACAAAAATATAATAGAGAGGATTGACAAAGCCAAAGGTTGGTTTTTGGATAAAACTAATCAAACAGATGAATCTCTGATAAAGCTGATCCTGAAAAACGATAAAATGCTCAAATAATTGTAGGCATAAAAAGGAGAGAAAACTGCAGATGAGACAGAAATTTAAAAGATAATAAGAGAATCTTATACATGAGATTATACAAATAAATTTGAAACTTAGAAAAATATAACTTACCAAAACTGATTCAAGAAAACAAAAAGTGAGCATGTAGACCAGGTGCAGTGGCTGACACCCGTAATCCCCAGCACTTCAGGAGGCTGAGGCAGGAGGATCACTTGAGCCAGGAATTCGAGACCAGCCTGGGCAACATAGCAAGACCCCATTTTTACAAAAAATAGAAATTAAAAAAAATAGCCACGTGCCTGTAGTCTCAGCTACCCAGGAGGCTGAGGTGGGAGGACCACTTGAGCCCAGAAGGTGGAGGCTGCAATGAGCCATGACTGTACCACTGCACTCAGCCTGGGTGACAGAGTGAGACCCTGTCACTCAAAAAAAAAAAAAGGAAGAAAGAAAGAAGTAACTATATATCTGTGGTGATGGGCATACAGTGTATAATGATGTAATACGGTCTAACTTAGCAGTAATTACATTAAATGTGAAAGGATTTAACACTGCAAGAAAAGGCAGAGATTGGCAGAACAAATAATTCTTTTAAATGACCCATCCAGGCACAGTGGCATGTGCCTGGAGTCCCAGTTACTCAGGAGGCTGAGGTAGGAGGATTACTTGAGCCCAAGAGTTCAAGTCCAGCCTGGGCAACATAGTAAAACCTCATCGCTCGACAAAACAAAACAAAAACAAAAAACCCAAAGATTTGAAAGTAAGAGGATGGGCCAGGCACAGTGGCTCACACCTACAATCCCAGCACTTTGGGAGGCTGAGGTGGGCGGATCACGAGGTCAGGAGATGGAGACCATCCTAGCTAACAGGGTGAAATCCCATCTCTACTAAAAATACAAAAAATTAGCCAGGCGTGGTGGCACACACCTGTAGTCCCAGCTACTCAGGAGGCTGAGGCAGAAGAATTGCTTGAACCCAGGAGGTGAAGGCTGTGGTGAGCTGAGATCATGCCATTGCACTCCAGCCTGGGCAACAAGAGCAAAATGGCATTTCAAAAAGAAAAAGAAAAAAGTAAAAGGAAGGAAAAAAGATAGGCAAACAGTAACCAAAAGAGAACGGGATGACTACATAATAATGAACATTTTATAATAGTAAAAGTGTCAATCCATTAAGACTATATAAATTATAAACATACATGCAACTAACAATAGAGCCTCAGATATGAAGTAAAAGCTGTCAGAATTCAAGGGAAAATAAACTATTCAACAATGATAGTTTTTTGTATTTTTAGTAGAGATGGGATTTCACCCCGTTAGCCAGGACGGTCTCCATCTCCTGACCTTGTGATCCACCCACCTCAGCCTCCCAAAGTGCTGGGATTGTAGGTGTGAGCCACTGTGCCTGGCCCATCCTCTTACTTTCAAATCTTTGGGTTTTTTGTTTTTGTTTTGTTTTGTCAAGAGATGAGGTTTTACTATGTTGCCCAGGCTGGACTTGAACTCATGGGCTCAAGTCTACCCATTACTGAAAATACCTCATTTTCAGTAATGGGTAGAACAACTAGACAAAAGACTACCAAGGAAATAGAAGATTTGAACAATACTGTATACAACTATACTTAACACACATCTATAGAACACTCTACTCAACAACAGCAGAATATGCATTCTTTTATTATTCTTTTTTGAGATAGAGTCTCGCCCTGTTGCCCAGGCTGGCATCCAGTGGCACGATCATGGCTTACTGCAGCTTCTACCTCCTGGGCTCAAGTAATCCTCCCACCTCAGACTCCCGAGTAGCTGGGACCACAGGTGTGCACCACCACACTCAGCTAATTATTAATTTTTGTAGAGACAGGGTCTTGCTATGTTGGCCAGGGTCTTGCTAAGTTGCTCATTTCGTAGAGACAGGATCTTGCTATTTTGCCCAGGCTGGTCTTGAACTCCTGACTTCAAGTGATCCTCCTGCCTCGGCCTCCCAAAGTGCTAGATTACAGGCATGAGCCACCATACTCAGCAAAGAATACACATTCTTTTTTTTTTTTTTATTATTATACTTTAAGTTCTAGGGTACATGTGCACAATGTGCAGGTTTGATACATAGGTATACATGTGCCATGTTGGTGTGCTGCATCTATCATGCTATCCCTCCCCCAGCCCCCCACCCCCTGACAGGCCCCGGTATGTGACATTCCATGCCCTGTGGCCAAGCGATCTCATTGTTCAGTTCCCACCTATGAGTGAGAACATGCGGTGTTTGATTTTCTGTCCTTGTGATAGTTTGCTGAGAATGATGGTTTCCAGCTTCATCCATGTCCCTACAAAGGACATGAACTCATCCTTTTTTATGGCTGCATAGTTTTCCATGGTGCATATGTCTATCATTGATGGACATTTGGGTTGGTTCCAAGTCTTTGCTACTGTGATTAGTGCCGCAATAAACATATGTGTGCATGTGTCTTTATAGAAGAATAATTTATAATCCTTTGGGTATATACCCAGT
Organism: Homo sapiens; assembly: GCF_000001405.40. NCBI lineage: Eukaryota > Metazoa > Chordata > Mammalia > Primates > Hominidae > Homo > Homo sapiens. The sequence goes on from NC_000002.12 coordinate 119,274,730, forward strand.
AATGGGATTGCTGGGTCAATCTGTATTTCTAGTTCTAGACCTTTGAGGGAGAATACACATTCTTAAGTACATATGGAACATTCTCCAGGAGAGACAATCCATTAGACCACAAAATAAGTCCCAATAAATTTTAAAAGATTAGAATTATAAAAAGTATGTTCGCCATAGAATAAAATTTGAAAACAATAACAAAAATTAATTTGGGAAATTCACAAATATGTGGAAATTAAAAAACACTCTTCTTAACCAAGAAGTCAAAGAACAAATAAGAGAACTTAGAAAAAAATTTGAGATGAAGGAAACAAAATAGCATACCAAAGTTTCTGGGGTACAGCTAAAGCGGTAGGTACTTGGAGGGAAATTTATAGCTGTAAATAACTGTATTTAAAAAGAAGAAAAATCTCAAATCAACTACTTAAACTATCATCTTAAGAAACTAGAAAAGCGGAGAAAACCAAATCTAAAGAAACCAGAAGGAAGGTAGCAACATAAATTGATACAGAAACTTGAGAAAACAATTTAGCATTATAATGTTGAGCCTTTACATACCCTAACAGCCTGTAATTTCTCCCCAAAGTATATTTAGAAAAATTCTTGTAGGTGGGCAATAGTGAATGTATATAAAAATATTCAATGTAGGCTGGATGCGGTAGCTCACGCCTATAATCCCAGCACTTTGGGAGGCCAAGGCTAGATCACCTGAGGTCAGGAGTTTGAGACCAGCGTGACCAACATGGTGAAACCCCGTCTCTACTAAAAATACAAAAATTAGCCAGGCATAGTGGTGCACACCAGTGATCCCAGCTACTTGGGAGGCTGAAGCAGGAGAATCACTTGAACCCAGGAGGCAGAGGTTGCAGTGAGCCGAGATCGTGCCATTGCACTCCAGCCTGGGCGACAGAGCAAGATTCCATCTCAAAAAAAAAAAAAAAATTCAATGTATATGAAAACAACATGAAGATTCTGAGAAGGTGGCAGCCTTGATGGTATAATTATTTAATCTCTTCAAATCCCCCATAAAGATACACAAAGCAGCCAGGATTGCAAAACTAAAAACCCATGGAAAATCCCTACAACAAACCAGATGACACTGAATCCCTACAAACCCTAAAACATAAATGGGTGGAGACACACCTACAAGATCTGCATGGTATCAGCAGCTGTGTTGGAGGACACAGAAGGAAGCAACAGAGCACCTGGTAGGCCTCAGAACTGTGAGGTCCTAACAAGGGGAAAGAAGTCAGGCTGGCAGGAGCAGAGGAAGCAAAAAACAGAAAGCAGATAAGGTATAAGGGATTTTATAAGGTCCAAAACACATAGCCCTCCTGTACAAATAACTCACAATCTTCCTGTTCTCAACTGTGCCTTCCTGTGCCAACCCTCAACTAATAAAATAATGCAATTTAGTTCCCTGCAACCTTGGCATTATCAGTACTGCGCAAAGCCCTCTTCAGCACATAGCACAAGCACCATCCTATAAAATCCCCAGGAAGCCTATGTTTCCTTGCAGTCAGTTCCTCTCTTGCTAACCTGCCTGTTGCATCCTTGCAACCTATTTGCCTACTTTCTCTAATAAATCTGCCTATTTTAAACCTACAACTGTCTTGGCAAATTCTTCTTACTGCCCATGCTACTGGCCCAGATAGTCACTGATCACCTGCAACAAGAACTTTAAAATAATCAAGAAACAACTATTGTAAAGCCACCAGGCAGGTGGAGGACAGCACCTGACCCAGGGAGGTATTTGTATCCTTCAGTAAAAGCATGTGAGTTCCAAAGGTAAAGTCAGAAGAGGCCAGGGAAGACTGGGCCTAATAAACACTCCAAACTAACCAGCCCAAGCCCCTATCCAGAATAGAACCCCAGCTGGGAACAGACTCCAAATTGAGCACTTCAGGAAAATAGAGAAAAGCAAAAAAGAGAACCCAGACTACAGTAGGGGAGAACGGAATGGAAGTTCTCAGGAAGTGAGGTGCCCTATTTTTAAAATACTGAACAAAAACAACAGAAGAGAGTGCTCTACCATTGTGAAATGAGAAAAACCCTTAAATTATACCTCCTTTCAAAAAGTTCAGGAAATCTAATATTATGTAAACATAAGTAGCAGAAAAGGATTGAAGTCAAATCCCACACGGTTATTCAAAGAAAAAATAAAAAGTAGAATAACATCCCTGCAGACGATAAAAGCATGCCAGAGAAACACACGGGTGAAAACGACAGCCTAATATTTTGACATAAAAGCAAAGGGAAGGGAGGGGAGGGGAGGAAGGCACAGCTCATCTGTGGTATTCAGTAATGGGGAGCACAACTGCAAAGAAAAGAGGCAATGAGCACAAAAGCCAGGCTGGCGTTTACTCTTGGAGGAGGGGCGTGGCATTGCATTTGGGAAAGTGAGCCTGGCAGGCTTATGGGGTCAGAGTCAGCTTCCTTTATGTGGGGATGTTTAAAGGTGTTTATCTTGTAATTTCGTTAACCTCTCATTTTGTCTTATGCTATATATACACGTATATGTATAACGGTGTTTTTTGGTTTTGGTTTTGGCTTGTTTTTTGTTTTTGTTTTTGAGATGGAGTGTCACTCTGTCGCCCAGGCTAGAGTGCAATGGCGCGATCTCGGCTCACTGAACCTCCTAGGTTCAAGCGATTCTCCTGCCTCAGCCTTCGGAGTAGCTGGGACTACAGGCGCCCACTACCATACCTGGATGATTTTGGTATTCTTAGTAGAGATGGGGTTTCACCATGTCAGCCAGGCTGGTCTCAAACTCCTGACCTCAAGTGATCAGCCTGCCTTGGCCTCCCAAAATGCTAGGATTACAGGCATAAGCCACCGCGCCTGGCCATAATGGTTTCTTTTTTAGCAACTAAATTTGTTTAAAAGAGTGTTGATTTCAGTATTGTTCATAATTGCCCCAAACTCCATTGACAGGAGGGCATGAATAAATTGTGCTATTCAGATGATGGCCTGTTATTCAGCAATGAAAATAAATTACCTATTCTTCCAGTGAAACTTAGAGACATGATTATGGACAGGGAAAAAAACAAGTATCAAAAACCTACATGCTATATGATACCATTTTTATAAGCCTTAGAAACCAAGCAAAAATGAAACAGTGTATTATTTAGGAATACATACATATGTGATTTTTGAAACTATATTTTAAGGAAGCAAGGCTGGCAAACGCAAAATTTAGGATAGACTGTATACCACGATAACATTTTTATAATGCTCAGAAATCAGCAAAAATTAAACAATATTGTTTAGGAATAAGTAGACCCGTGATTTTTAAAACTATTCTTTAAAAAAGCAGGGGAATGATAAACCCAAAATTCAAGCTGGTTTTTATTTCTAGGGAAGCAAGGAGCATGGGATAGGGGAGCTAGACCCAAGTTTTCTTCCTAGGTCGTGTGGTAGGTTCACAGTATACTTTTGATTATCATGTTTCATGATTCACAAATGTGTTTTATATGAAGACTTTATCAGATCTGCACACTAAGAATACAAATTAAAAATTGAATTCTCTTTTTCATCAGCAATTCATCTGTTCATTCATTCAGTTATGCAACAAATAGGTATTGTGTGCCCGCCCTACGCCAGGCCCTGTGCTAGGTCCTAGGATAGGGCAGTGAGCAGACACCATGGCTGTCCTCTCAAAGTTCACAGCCTCCTGGGACTTTCTACGCCACTGGTGATGGGGCCAAGTGGGAAATGGCTTTTTACAAATCTGCAGAGAGCACTATTTACAATAGCAAAGACTTGGAACCAACCCAAAGGTCCATCAATGATACACTGGATAAAGAAAATGTGGCACATATACACCATGGGATACTATGCAGCCATGAAAAAGAATGAGTCCATGTCCTTTGCAGGGACATGGATGAAGCTGGAAGCCATTATCCTCAGTAAACTAACGCAAAAGCAGAAAACCAAACACCACATGTTCTCACTCATAAGTGGGAGCTGAACAATGAGAACACATGGACACAGGGAGGGGAACATCACACACTGGGGCCTGTCAGGAGTTGGGGGCAAGGGGAGGGAGAGCATTAGGATGAATACCTAGTGAATGCAGGGCTTAAAACCCAGATGACAGGTTGATAGATGCGGCAAACCACCATGGCACATGTATACCTATAAACCTGCACATTCTACACATGTATCCCAGAATTTAAAGTAAAAAAAAAAAAATCTGCAGAGAGTAAGAGCCAGGACAATCCATAATCAGGACCTTCCATTTCAGGATAACCAGGAAATACCTTGTTGGTATGACTTGAGGGAGGTAATTTTTAAATTAAGATAGTTAAGGCAGCCAACAGGAGACAGCAAAAACAGCAGACAGGCACTCCAGGCCGGTGGTTCCCAATACTGCCAATGTTGTTCCCCAGAGAAGTTTTCATCATCTTAAGCAATGTGATATGCACATGCATGCAAACATGCACACGCACACGGGTTATTCGGAGTTTATTTCCTCCCTATGTTTCTGTGTTAGGATCTCCTTTCATTTACGTATTGATAGTGATGATAGACAGTGGTCGGACTTTGTTTAGGGAACTGTGGTTTGGTTTTTAATGTCCATACTTAGTAAAATAAAGAGCTGCCAAATCCAAATCAATCTCTAAGATTTAAATTCTTCATTATGTAAACCCTGAAGTTTGAGAATCATGGTCCAGTCATGTTTGAACCTAGCACTTTCCTTTTTGAGTAGGAAGACTGAGGTCACTTTTCTCTTTTTTTTTTTTTTTTTTTTTTTTGAGACAAAGTCTCACTCTTGTCACCCAGGCTGGAGTGCAGTGGCACAATCTCAGCTCACTGCAACCTCCACCTCCCAGGTCCAAGTGATTCTCCTGCCTCAGCCTCCTGAGTAGCTGGGATTATAGGTGCCCACCACCATGCCTGGCTGATTTTTGTATTTTTAGTAGAGACGGGGTTTCTCCATGTTAGCCAGGCTGGTCTCAAATTCCTGACCTCAGGTGATCCGCCTGCCTGGGCCTCCCAAAGTGCTGGGATTACAGGCCTGCGCCACTGCACCTGGCCTGAGGTCACTTTTCAATACTTGGTTAAGACCTTGCTTGGCCTCAGGAGTAGCCTGGCCTTGACTCCCTGCCCAGCACCACCCCCATCCGTAGGGCCTGGAGGAGTTCCTCAGCTTATCTCTGAGCAGAGCTGAAAACCACCCTATGGCTGACACCAAGGTGAAAGGAAAGGACTGGTACCTAATAGCAAAAGCAGCAGTATATGTGTGTGCATGTGTGTATTACTACAAATACATCTGTTCCGGCAAGGTATCTCTACTACAGAATCAACCCGCGGGAATGTTTAGCTGAGGCTCCAGAGACCCTGTTGAGGAGTGTGCCGTGTCTGAGGTCAAGTAAGTGCTTAATCCACTAGCTCCTTCTTCCTTGTATCTGCCAGTGTGGCCAGCCGCTGCATCCATTTCCGTTCACCTCCACCATATCTGCCATTTCCACCCAGGCTTGGACCTCATTTCTTTATATCAACGTTTCCTTCAAATCTACTCACTTGTTTTCCCTGAAAATGTTTGTTTGTTTGTTTGTTTGTTTGTTTGTTTGGAGACGGAGTCTCGCTCTGTCTCCCAAGCTGGAGTGCAATGGTGCGATCTCAGCTCACTGCAAACTCCACCTCCCGGGTTCAAGCGATTCTCCTGCCTCAGCCTCTGGAGTAGCTGGAATTACAGGCGCCCACCACCACACCTGGCTAATTTTTGTATTTTTAGTAGAGATGGGGTTTCACCATGTTGGCCAGACTGATCTCGAACTCCAGACCTCAGGTGATCCACCTGCCTTGGCCTCCCAAAGTGCTAGGATTACATGCGTGAGCCACGGCGCCCGGCCTGAAAACATTAATTTTTAATGTTCCCTATGGAGAGGCAGCATAGCACAGAGGTTAAAAACACAAAATCCAGGCCAGACATGGGGACTCAGGCCTGTAATCACAGGAATCCGGGAGGCAGGAGGATCACTGGAGTCCAGGGGTTCAAGACCAGCTTGGGCAACATAGTGAGACCCCATCTCTACAAAAAATTTTTTTAAAATATTACTCAAGCTGGTAGTGCACAACTGTAGTTCCAGCTTCTCAGGAGGCTGAGTTGAGAGGATCACTTGAGTCCAGGAGGTCAAGGCTGCAGTGAGCCATGATTGCACCACAGCACTCCGGCCTGGCTGACAGCAAGACGCTATCTCTAAAAAAAAATGGTAAAAAAAAAAAAAGGAACACAAAATCTGGAGCCACACTGCCAGGGTTTCAGCACCACTTCTACTACTTCCTAACCCGATTTAACCTCCTCTTGCCTCAGTTTCCCCAGCTATAAAATGAGGGTGATTATAGTTCTTACCACATAGGTTTGTAATTAGGTTATGAGAAAAATGACAGCTTCTCTTTTAACTTAATTTTATTTTTAGCTTTTATTTTAGGTTCGGTGTTACACAGGAAAACTCATCTCATGGGGGTTTGTTGTACAGATTATTTCATCACCCGGGTATTAAGCCCAGTACCCAAAAGTTATCTTTTCTGCTCCTCTCCCTCCTCCCAACTTCCACCCTCAAGTAGGCCTCGGTGTCTGCTGTTCCCCTCTTTGTGTCCACGTGTTCTCATCATTTAGCTCCCACTTATAACTGAGGATATGTGGTATTTGGTTTTCCGTTCCAAGAGTTTCTCTTAGGCTGAGGTGGGAGGATAGCTTGAGCCAGGGTGGTCGAGGCTGCAGTGAGCTGCCATCCTGCCACTGCACTCCAGCCTGGGGTGACAGAGTGAGACCCTACCACAAAGAAAATAAAAAGAGAGAGAGAGAGAGAATGAGAATGACAGAGAGAGAAAAAACAGTTTCTCTTTTTAAGGTATTTAAAACAGATCTTCCACAGAGTAAGTGCTATATAAGCGTTTGCTAAATAAACATCCTAACATGAATAGGAAACCGTTATTACTGGCTATAAGACCTTAAAGCAGTTACAACCTCAAAATAAATAAAAACAAAATAATATGATTAAATTCTAGCTAGATTTTTTACCTGCTAAAATGCTTGGTGGAGACCCGCTCTCAAAAGAACAGAGAGAGGGAAGCAAGTGAAGTCTTAAGGACGTTGCCATCACCAAACTGAAACCTCTTCCTCACTCAACCAGAAGACCTGAAAGAAAACTGAAGTAACAGTAACTGTCTTACTGCGCTACCCACCCTCAACCATCCCCAGGCCCACTAGGAGCATGTTGTACATGTTCTGGAAAGTTCTGGAAAGGCCATTAAGATATAAAAATTGGTAGCCAGGTGTGGTGGTGGACGCCTGCAATCCCAGCTACTCGGGAGGCTGAGGCAGGAGAATCACTTGAATCCAGGAGGTGGAGGTTGCAGGGAGCCGAGATCATGCCATTGCACTCCAGCCTGGGCAACAGAGCCAGACTCCGTCTCAAAGAAAAAAAAAAAGATATAAAAAGTTGGGAAAGTGAGAGGTGTCCCGAGAAGCCCACATACATGAAAAATGAAACCAGGCAATCCTATGTGGATCTATTTATCACAAACGCCGCTGGGCTGCAAGTGAAATCTCTTATACCAATAGGTCGGCTCTGATGCAGGGAGTCTGTTTTCACTTTGAACTGCTGTTCATGGCGCTGCCAGGGTGGGACTGTCACTCACCAAGCCTCCTTCCTGTCCTTGGTCTGGGGTGATTCGGCACTTCCCAGTAGGTGACTCCAGATGACAGCCAACAGCCAGCTTGCTCCTGTTCTCTTTCGCAGGCAGAGCTGGCTCTTAATTTTCATGCATTTATTCTTTAGCCACTTGAGACGCCTGGCTGGAGGGATGGGTAAGAGATTTGGCATCTTGGTGCCTCCAAGCCTCCCGTCCAGCATGGTCCAGGTTAACAAACACCTGTAAAGCGTCCGTCTCTGCCGGCCCTGACGGACAGGGTGAGCACCCCGGTGCATCCTCCCTCCTAAGAGGATTAAGCGGGGTGTTTGGAAAACAGAGCTGCATCCCTGGAGGGAAGGTGCCACAGAGACATCAACACACAGTTCTGCATAATCGGTTCAACAGCAGAACAACAAAAAGGGGAAGAGAAGATTAAAAAATAATCCAAATGTCATAATACTGAGGAGTGTGATGAAATGGGCAATCGGGTGGAAGCATTAAACCTAGAATCACTAACCACCCCCGCTTCACTCTTCAAAACTCAAGGCTGCGGGGGGAAACAACATGCTCGTCCTTGGGAGAGCTCCTCTAAGCCCCTCCTGAAAGACGGATGTCCACTTCTGAGGCTGTCTTTGAGGATGGGCACAGGGGAAGCTGTGGCAGTCCAGCCACTCTGCGGGGATGTCATGAATAATTAGCAGGGTCCTTCACAGTGGAGGGCAGCCCTAGTCTCTCTCCCTCTTCCTTGGTGGGAAGGAAGCCCAAGTCCCTGAGAGACACTGGTGAACATCTCCCTGGAGGCTTTGGGCTGACTGTCAACAGTGGCACCAAGGTGTAGCTCGGGGCAGGGGTGCAGGCGCTTAGCACTCAGCAAGATCTGTGGGCCTCCTCCCTGCCTCCCATTCTTTGTCATGAGCTTGGCAATGGAAGCTTCCAGTCCGCCTCTCAGTGCTGCACCCCCTCTGCCCACACTCCTGGGCATCCAGCCCAGGGCCTGCCTTGGTGCCAGCTCTGCCCTTCCTGCCTCCTCCTTCCTGCTTTGCCTTCTCCCCCTCTCTCTTCCCCATATCCATTTCTATTTTACAATGGTTCTTTTGGTTTTTTTGTTTTTGTTTTTGTTTTTTTCTTGAGAGGGAGTCTGGCCCTGTTGCCCAGGCTGGAGTGCAGTGGCGCCATCTTGGCTCACTGCAGCCTCTGCCTCCTGAGTTCAAGCGATTCTCCTGCCCCAGCCTCTGGAGTAGCTGAGATTACAGGCGCCCACCACCACGCCCAGCTAATTTTTGTATTTTTAGTAGAGATGGGGTTTCACCATGTTGGCCAGCCTGGTCTTGAACTCCTGACCTCAAATGATCCAACCGCCTCAGCCTCCCAAAGTGCTTGGATTACAGGTGTGAGCCACTGCACCTGGCCCTATTTTACAATGTTTAATGACCCAAACTTGAGGATTTTTCCACTTCTCTACACCATATAATCAAATCAAAAAATCAGATATTAGGCTTTGACAATGGGACTGAATCTTGGAAACTGGAAAGTCCAGTCTCAGGACATCCCGGAAAGTTGAGCACACAAGCAAGTCCCATGCAACTGTGTGATGAAACAGCCCCACACATCCGGGAGCACAGCCAAGGCGTCCTGTGCCACCTCCCTGGTAGAATCTGGCTTTTCAACTTGCTCACCCATGAGAGGAAAGCGGTTTTAGACATCAGGCTTACCCCTCTCCTAAGCCACACCCTTTTCTCATTCCCAGCTGAGGAACTGAGCCTGAGACACTGAGGTTCCCAGCTGCCTCCATGATTCGCCAGCACCCAGCTTCAGTTTCACATCCTCCCAATCGTCATAGCCAGGACAGCATGCCTCACTGACCACGAGGGAATGTCACATCCCGCCTGGCTGAGCCATGCCGCAGACAGGCTCCTGGCTAAGCACTTGGCCGACACCCCAATATTCAATGCTGACACACCACAAAGGCATAAGTAGGCTAATTTTGCGGATGATGAAAATAGGACTCAAACCAAACTGTGTACAGTTGTAGGGCTTATTGAGGGCAGAAAACTTCTCCACAGCAGGTCTCTGGCAACCCAGAGCCCCTCCCTGCACTCCTGCGTCCCTGTCACTGCACCCATAGAGCCCCCAAGAGGCCTCAGTGGATCACCGGGCTTGCATAATTTTTATCTGGGCATACATTACCAAATTACCTCCACCCCAAAAATACCGTTCCAGGTTTCCTGTTACTATACGGAAACACTGATGTACATCATCAGCCTGTGTTCATTTTGTATACTCTCCATATAGTGGGTGGGTTGTTTTGGGATTTTGGTTTTTTTTTTTTTTGCAACCTAAAAGCTAAAATACTTTTCATGTTTAAAACTGAAATTCATATGCATGGACAGGACATTTTTAAAAGTAAATATTTCATGGGTATTTGTCAACAGAATCTTATGGTTGATAATTTTGTAAACGATTTAACCCATCATTTCATGTGAATAAATTAAGATTTGAATATCTATAGGTAGCATAAGGTGAAAAACCTCTAAAATTTGAACCCGTATTCTGGGATGGGAGACCTTAGGCAAATTAACCTGTCTGAGCTTCAGTTTTCTCATTTGTAAGAAGGGGATGTAATATCTGTGTTCCAGGATTGTGGCGGAGATCAGAGGAGGTCATCTACCAAAAAGCCCCCACCATCCTCACAAAATACCATTATTCTCATCATTTCATTCTTAGGTTGACTTAAATAGGGAATACAAATGTATTTACATATTCTTATTAAATTCTTAACAATCTGATAATTTATTCAAATCCAAATCATATGTAGATAATAAAATTATCTACTGTGCATAAAACCATTAGAAAAGAATGACTCAATAACTATCACCTGACATTTTATTTAACATGATATAGTGCGATAGTCTCGGCACAAAGTGACCTTAACTGCTTCCAAATTCCTTCCTTATTTTTCCTGTAACAAATCATATGGTGAAGGAAGACCTTCATCAGGGTCACGTAACTTGGAGGAGCTTCTTGGGGGAAGTGCACAGGCATCTCTGCGGGCTGTGGAGGAAAAGGCCCCGGAATTGGCCCCAGTGGGGCTTTTTCCCAAGAGGATCTGTCCCGTTTCCCTGTTCATGTGTTGCGTCCTCAGTAGCTGGGACCCCATTTTCTCTGTCGTATCCCACCCCCAACACCTGACCAACTCAAATCAGCACATATATTTTAAACAGGTAGTGGATATCCAACACTGTGTCAGGGCATGGAGAAAATGGAAAAGAAACCAAAATTGTGGTCCTAGTGCTGAGACACAGGTAATCTCATCAAGCAATTTGGGCAGAGGCTGAGTTACCTGGATATTATTGCTGGTATCTGAATTTCTTAATATAAGTTCCAGAAAGCCTGGTAACTTTTAGAAGAGTATATGGTATAGCAAGGAAAGTGAATCCATTCATTCATGCAGAAATAACAGACCCTTGCATTTATCAACTCCCAGTGTGTGCAGGCCATGGAGATGCAAGAGTAAGCCTGATCTTCAACCTCAGGGAGAGCCACATCGTTTGGGGAAGGTCAGTATATAAAAAAGCAAGGCCGGCCAGGCACAGTGGCTCACGCCTGTAATCCCAGCACTTTGGGAGGCCAAGGCGGGCGGATCACGAGGTCAAGAGATCGAGACCATCCTGGCCAACATGGTGAAACCCCATCTCTACTAAAAATACAAAAATTAGCTGGGCATAGTGGTGGGCACCTGTAGTCCCAGCTACTTGGGAGGCTAAGACAGGAGAATTGCTTGAACCCAGGAGGCAGAGGCTGCAGTGAGCCAAGATCATGCCGCCGCACTCCAGCCTGGTGACAGAGCAGGACTCCATCTCAAAAAAAAAAAAAAAAAAAAAAAGCAAGGCCACAGTGTGTGATCAGTGCTCCAGAGGACTGGCCAGCACACAGCAGGATGAAAAGGAGAGCAGGGACCAGTCTCCTGGCTGTGAAGTGCTGGGAAGGTGGGATGGAAAGGACCTTAAGGACAAGATGGTCCTTGGTTGTGCCTCCCAGGATGAATGCTAGTCTGGTGGAACATTCAGAGACCAGAGTGGGAAGTCTGAGAAAGTGGCAGCATGGTGTGCCCAGAGAGAACAGGGTAAGGGGACAGGGGAGAGCTGGGGGAGACAGGAGGAGGTGCCAAATTCCATAGCTGGAGGAGAAGCTGGAGATGTAGCCAGAGATCAAACCAAAGAAGCCCCACTACACCATGCCAGAGTGTGCTCGTGATTCGGAAGGAAACAAGGACCCATCCGATGGTTCTGAACAGGGAGGGATACAGCAGTCAGACTTGCATTTTTAAAAGATCACTCTGGCAGCGGCATGAAGGCTGGACTCGGTGGATGAGAGTCTGCAGGGAAGGACACCAGACGGGAGAGTGTCTCTGCGGTCAGGATGAGAAATGATGAGGCCCAAAGCAGGGCAATGGCGGTGGGAAGGGAAGGGGAGGCCGTTCTCATGAGATGTTCATTCCAGCAATTCTGAGCTGACTTCTGTTGAGGAGGTATCAGCAAGTAGTGAAAGGCAAAGAAGGGTTTCACTTGCTCCAGCTATGGACTAGGAATTTCTTCTTAGTACCCCCAGTGAGCAGAAGAACCTTCTTTCACCTGCGAAGTCCCTCCTGATGGTTGGTTCTGGCAGGCTCCATCACTTAGGAGCTGGGAAACCTCGGGCAGGTCACTTTACCTCCAAGTGCCCCTTCCCCATCTGTAAGATGCAGATAACTAGTACCTACCTCACAGGGGTTGTGAGCAGTAGTGAGTAAATATCTGCAAAGTGCTTTAGTGAGGCCTGACAGGGCAAGCACTTGATAAATGCTGGCTGTTTTATGCCTGGCTCAGTCTCGCTTCTGATGGCTTGTCCTGCAGAGCTTGCTGGACCTTGCTGGAAAAATACTTGAAATTTTGAAATATGGCTTTTGTCACATATGCAATATCCACATAATGGAAGTGCCTACCAGCCAGAAACCAGGCAACTATCACACCTCAGTCCCCACCAGCTCACCATCACAGGTTCCCATGTACATACATACACACCGCCCGAGACCCTCTCCCACAACCCCACCACAAGGGCCTCTGCCCTCAAGTATACAACTTTAGAGGGTTATTTGAAAGCAGGGCTAATAACATGTTTTTTTTTTTAATAAGACATCACATATACATTTTTAAGATGGGAAGTCTCTGTTTTTGTTGAGAACAACAAAGGGGAATATGACATGGAAGATCTGAGGAGACGTGATATTTGTTCGAAGACATTGAGGCTCTTTCTTGATTCCTTGAGTTTTTTTTCATGGCAGAAATTTTTAACTGACATGAAGTTCTGGTTATGAAGGAAATTCTAGAAGACAACACATCTTCTCTCCTTACTCCTGAAGGAAGAGGTTAGATTTGGACGCAACTGTGTGTGTTTAAAATAAAATGGCATTGTTCTTACTTAAATTCCAATTTCTTATAATATTAGAGTTGGTCTTCAGTTAGTTGGTTGTGTTGGGAGAGTGATTTGGACCATATACATTACCCTCAAATATTCAAAAATGAAGGCCCAAATTTACCTATGGTGACAGAAATCACAGCAGTAGTGGCTGATGACAGAGGGCAGTGGTGGGTGATGACAGAGGGGCAGAGAGGGGACTGTGATGGCACAAAGGAGGTTTTGGGGGTGGTGGGCATGTTCTGCATCTTGACTTAGATGTGGGTCGTGCACTTGTCAAAACCCAAAGAACTGCATATCTAAGATCTTTGCATTTCACCATCTGTAAATTATACTTCAATTTTTTTTTTTTTTTTGAGACAGAGTCTCACTCTGTCGCCCAGGCTGGAGTGCAGTGACGCCATCTCGGCTCACTGCAAGCTCCGCCTTCCGGGTTCCCGCCATTCTCCTGCCTCAGCCTCCCGAGTAGCTCGGACTACAGGCGCCTGCCACTGCGCCCAGCTAATTTTTTGTATTTTTAGTAGAGACGGGGTTTCACCGTGGTCTCTATCTCCTGACCTCGTGATCCACCCACCTCAGCCTCCCAAAGTGCTGGGATTACAGTATACTTCAATTTTAAAAAAGTAAGGGAGAGAGCAAGCAAGCAGATTTCCAAAGTTAAACATGAGAGGCTGATTATTCATTTACATCATCTCCTCTGAAAACCCCATTAAGATGGGAGTAAGGGGATAATACAAACATAAACTCATGAAGACAAAGAGACCCAGAGAGAGGACATCGAGGACAAGAGAGTTGATCCAAGTTTTGAAGGCGGGAAGTGGATGGAAGGGTGGAATTGTAAGAGCAGAGAAAGCTCCAACCCCGACACTGGCAGAAAGCACCATCCACCAGAAGCTAGACACTCACCCTCAGAACCTGGAAGCCGCAGGCCTTGCTCAGGCCAGAGACTGGAGAGGAGGCACTCACCTGCTTAGGGTCAGCTATTCCCCTCTGAGGACAAGTCACCTCCCCAGAACAAGACACGTGGCAATGGTAGAACCCACAAGCTCCATCCCCTCAGCCTTGGTGAGTCACTCCAGCCCCCAGCCTCCTCTCCCTCTCTTACACCTCAAGCCTTCTAGCAAAATTTCCCTGACTCTCGAAGGCTTTCAGGGAAAACCGAAATAATCTGTCTTCAAGCTGCTCTACTTTCAAGTGTATAAGCAACCCTGGGCCAAGACACTGAAAAAGCCAACATGTTGGAAAGAGAGGAAGAGAGAATACAGAGAGAATTGCTGGCTCTAGAAACTACTCTGTCCCTTTGACTTGGAGCCCGAGGAAGGCCAGTTACCAGGACCTTTGCAGGCAGGTCCCAACGCATTTCTAGCAAACACGGGGGCCTTAAGGCTGCAGAATGTGCGCTATGTCAGGAGGTCTCATGCAGCCAGAAGGTAGGGACATACTGTACTCTGCCTCAAATCAGCCTTCTTAAGATTCTACTCTCCTGTGGTTTAGCTTCTGTGTTCCATCTTGCACTTAACCAAGTCTCCTTGACATCTTAGTCTGGAAGCGTCTACCAGCTGTGGTGTCTGCATTAAAGCGCAGGGTGGCCGGGCGCAGTGGCTCACGCCTGTAATCCTAGCACTTTGGGAGGCTGACGTGGGCAGATCAGGAGGTCAAGTGATCGAGACCATCCTGGCCAACACGGTGAAACCTCATCTCTACTAAAAATACAAAAATTAGCTGGGCGTGGTGGCACGCGCCTATAGTCCCAGCTACTTGGGAGGCTGAGGCAGGAGAATCGATTGAACCCAGGAGGCGGAGGTTGCAGTGAGCCGAGATCGTACCACTGCACTCCAGCCTGGCGACAGAGTGAGACTCCGTCTCAAGAAAAAAAAAAAAAGTGCAGGGTGGCTTTGACAGGACTGGGGACTGGAATTAGACACCAAGGGGGTCCACAGAGCTATAAAGAGACCCTGCCACTTTAGACCTTGTCTCAGGCCCCGCTCGTAGCCCCAACTCAGCCCTCTGCCGGTAGTAGTTCTCTGCTGTCAGCCACACCCAGCTAAGCCAGGAAGAGAGACCACAGAGGCACCGCTCTGCACCAGGGCAGACTGGTTTTTATTCTGTCTGCTGCCTTAAAGTGAGATTTCTTAATTTTTAAAATAACCTAGAAACAAACATAGGGTTTTGTACACTATCCAAAGAGTTACTGGCATTGCCTAATTATGTGTGAGAACATTCAGTCTTCAGAAGGGAAGAGGGACATTCCCTCTGCAAAGTAATTCCTGCGTCCCTGCCCCTGCATGGGAGTCACCATTTGACCCCAAAGCTCTGGGCACTGCTTACAGGCTCACATATGCCCAAGCTAAAGGACAGCTTCCAAGCCCCTCCACCAAGCAGAAGAACGTCTCCCTGCAATTGGTTTGAGAAGGAATTTTTTAAGCACCTCACCTGGGCCAAATGGAGGAGGCTGCCTATCAATTGTTGTACTAGGAAGCATTTAACACAGAAGCCATAGAAACCGGCTCACGACCTTTCAACCTTCAGCTTTAAGGAATCCTCAACAAATATACAGGGACGTTTTCCAAAGCGTTGACACATTATTAGTCTTCTTTTTAGAAATGGCCCATCATTAAATAGAGTGGTATAAAAGAAAAAGAAGGAAATAAGACTATAGAGGTAAAACTGACTAAAGTTAGGTATTGGCTTTGAAATAATTAAGCATTGACTTTTAAAATAAAATTTTAGGCTGGGAGTGGTGGCTCATGCCTGTAATGCCAGCACTTTGGGAGGCGAAGGCGGGTGGATCACCTGAGGTAAGGAGTTCGAGACCAACCCGGCCAACATGGCAAAACCCTGTCTCTACTAAAAATACAAAAATTAGCCTGGCGTGGCATTGCACGCTTGTAATCCCAGCTACTCAGGAGGCTGAGACAGGAGACTCGCTTGAACCTGGGAGGCGGAGGTTGCGGTGAGCCGAGATCGTGCCACTGCACTCCAGCCTGGGCGACAGAGTGAGACTCCGCCTCAAAAAAATAATAAAAATAAAAATAAAATTTTAGGCAGTAGCAATTGCATGGTCGCTGTTGAGCACTAGTACAACATGCCACCCCATCTACAAGCTGATGGCTTTGACTTTCAGCTATCAGACGCCAAGGCTGACTTACAGGGGGACAAACCTATTGAACACAGTCCTTAACAAATGACTGACACCGGCTCGGCCTCATCAGTTCCCAGGCCCAGACAGACTCTGCTGCCACCTGGTGGCTGAAGGGTAGGCAAAGGCGGACAAGTGCAGAGCCACTCCACCTGACCTGCAGCCTGGACTTCTCCGCGTAACGAGGCTCTGCTAATATGGCAGGAAAGGTGTCATACCGAGGAGAAGCTGCTCGGCAAGATGTAAAGATGAACGGCTGGGCATTAATCGGCTGGTGCCTGGCAGGTATCTAGAATATTCTAACTACAAAACCTGCCTTTGCAAGATTTTTCTTCCCAGAGATTCTATTTCCTTGAACAAGCTGTGTATCCATTCATTCTACCACCTCACTCCACCCCATCCCACCTGAAGCAAGTTACAGCCAGAGAATAGTGAAAGGGACGGCTTTATCCTTATAGAAAGGAAATTTAAAGTGCCGGCTGTTGTTAATGAGCCCATTACTCCTAATTGGGGAAAATTGCAACCAGAAGAAAGGGGATATGTCAGGGAAACATGTGACAGGTAATGTGCTCAGGGCTGGCTGAATCCAAGGGCAAGGCACCTCGGGAAATGAAATGGGAAGAGAAGGTTCTTGGAAAATAAAAAACGAGTCCTTCCCTGGGTCCAAGAACACTGCTGGGTGGTGTGGTTGGAGCTGACAGGTGGAGGGGGAGAACGGGCAGCAGCCGGACACCCCTGCCTTGTAGGAAGAGGCCTGGCTCCACTGCCTAGCACTCATGGGGGACAACCTCCTATTCAGTGTCTAAATGTTCTCTCTGCGCGATGGGATTAGTAGTATTTCTTTGTAAAATAGCAGTGTAACAGAAATTATTCCCCAAAACAATATGTTTAGTCAGGCACCGAGCTAGGTCACCTTAACAAAGTCACAGAGAAATTCTGGAAGGTCAGTGTTATCATCCCCACTTAACAGAGCCAGAAACTGAGACCTGGAGAGGCCAAGCAGCTCACCCAAGGTCACACCTCCAAGCTAGCAACAATGCCTGTGTTCTTCCAACCCCGGGCTGCCTATGTCCAAGCGGAGCTCTCTCTTCCCACTCATGCTTGCCTAAAGCAAACACAGAAAGACAAATGATTCCAATATATGCAAAAGTGCACCATTTGCCTTTTCCAATTTGTATAATTTTAAATGTCACCACAAGTTCACTTCTAGGTCACTTTTAAAACAAGCAACTTTGCTTTAAGGCAAGTGGGGAAAAAAATTCTGCCTTAATTTGTACAGTTGTACAATCCACTGTTCAGTTTTCTACTTAGTTTTCCAGGGAACAGTTCAAACAGAAACAAATGACAATCTAGGACACTTATCTTGCCTATTGTGACTAACCACCACAGCGTTTGAGTTTTGTTTTGTTTTTTTTCCAGCTGGTAAAAAAGCCCTCACAGGAGGCTCAGGACCGCCTCCGGGCATACGCAGAGCCCTAGCGGCAGAAAAGAACTGTCAGCCGCATGAAAATGCAAGTGCAGCAGTGACCCGAGTCAGACCGACAAAAACAAACTAACTTTCAACACAGGTTTTCATCTCATTTCCTCAACTCCATTTGAAACACATATGCACACAGGACTGCTGACCAATTATTCCAGAGCTCAGTCTATACCACTTTACACATCTGGATGACTAATTTCAACTAAAGAAACTCCTAGAGAGTGTATTCAGTCTACACAGATCTGTTAATACATTGCTATGGGATGAGCTTCAACAAGCTGTAAAGTTTCGCTTTAACATTCAAATACAATCTTAGGCCAGGTGCGGTGGCTCATGCCTGTCATCCCAGCACTTTGGGAGGCTAAGGCAGGCGGATCACCTGAAGTCAGGAGTTTGAGACCAGCCTGGCCAACATAGTGAAACTCTGCCTCTACTAAAAATACAAAAATTAGCTGGGTGTGGTGGCATGCGCCTGTAGTCCCAGCTACTCAGGAGGCTGAGGCAGGAGAATCGCTTGAACTCAGGAGGCAGAGCTTACAGTGAGCCGAGATTGTGCCACTGAACTCCAGCCTGGGCGACACAATGAGACTCTGTCTCAAAACAAAACAAAACAAAACAAACAAACGAACAAAAAACAAATATAATTTTAAAGTCATTCTCTCATCCCAGAAACATCCCTGCTGGCCTATGAAGTGCCAGCCACTGTTCTATACATTGGAGACATTCTAATAGCAGAAGACGGAACAGAAAAGGATTTTTAAAAAAGTAAAACAGAGATAGACAAATGAGTTTTGCAAGGGCAAGCATTTGCTATTTTATCTAGGATAAGCAGAGAAGGCCTCTTTTATGGCATTTGAGCAGACAGCTGACAGAAAGGGAGAAAACCATGCAAAAAATGTAGAAAAGTCACTGCAAACAGAGGGAAGAGCAAGTGCAAAGGCCCTGGGGCATGTGTATGTTTACCAGCTGGCCCTGGGGCGTGCATATGTTTGGTGTGCACCAGGAAGAGGACCAAGGCCAAGGTTCTTTCTCTGAGTAAGGGTTTTGAACTGAGGCATGACAGGATCTGACTCATGTTCTAGAAGAATCACTGTGATGGCTGGGTGAAGAATTGCAGCGGGGCAGGAATGAGAACAGGAAGAATTGTAGTGGGGTAGAAGTGAGAGAGAAGTGAAACCCAGTTGGAAGGAAGGTGACTGCAATAGTCCAGGTAAGAATGGTGGTGCCTTGGACCCAGTGGTAGCAGTGAAAAAGGTGAGAGGCGCCTGGGCCCTGGATATACTCTGAACGCCCGTGGAGCAGACAGAACTGGCTGATGGCCTGGCTGTGGGGGTAAAAGAAAAAAGAGATATATATCCAAGGTTTCTGGCCTAAACAAATGGAGGACTGGAGGTCATGTCCTTCAGTGGAGAAGACTGAGCATGGTCCACCCTCAGGGAGAAAGCTCAGAGGCTCAGCTGGAGTGTGTTATCATCTGAGGCATCTATCAGAGGATACCTATCAGCCACCTCACCAGGGATGGGGAGCACCCAGCAGGGACTCCAGCGGGCAGCTGGGCTGTGGACTGAAATCCGGAGTCTGCAGCATTTAGTTGTTATTTAAAGCTGGGAGCACGCATGAGGTCATCTAGGGAGAAGATATAATTAGAGAAGTCAGAGGACCGAGCCCTGGGGCCTTCTACATCGTAAAGGATAAGGGATGAGGAAGAACCAGCAAACGAGATGGGGAGGAGTGACCAGTGAAGCCAAGCGAAGCAAGTGTTGGCAAGAAGGGTGTCAGTTGATTCCATGTGTCCAGCACTGCTGAGAGGTGAAGCAATTCCAAGACAGAATCCTATTCCTGTGGCAACAGGAACCTTTGGTGACCTTGGCAAAAGCTGTCTCAGCAGAGTGCTGGACGGAAGCCCTCATGGAGGAAAGAGGGTATGGAGAACTCGGTTCAGGAATTTGGCTGTGAAGGGAAGATGGGGCGGCTCTTGTGGTAGGGTTCGGAAGGGAGAGCTGTCCGTATGCTGGTGGGGTGCAGAACTTGATGGTGTGGAAGAGGGAGGACAACGCTGAAGTGTGCTCATTGGTGTTCCAGAGGTGGGGAGCCCAGGCACGAGGGAGGACAGATAGCACTACTCGCTCGCCCACCCACACAGGAAGGCAGGTGAGGGACATGTCCGGGAGCAGGAGCATGTTGTCTAGGATGGCCCGAAGTGAAGACAGCAGCTGGGAGTGAGAGGAGGGGTCTCAGAGTTGAGGGTCTAAAGGAACCTGGAGAGCGAGCGGAACTGCAGGGCAGCGTGAGGACCTGACTGCAGCTCAGCAGCCATGACCGACAGCGTGGCCAGTCAGCACTCGCCCTCCACCCCACCACGCGCAGTACAGCTAGCTGTTCAGGTGCAGGTGTAGAAGGCGGAGCGCGGCAGGGTTAGGCCTGGGGCCAGAGGGGTCCGGGCAGCAAGGGTCTAGGCAGAGATTGATGAGAAGGCATAGAGGATCTCAAGTCAGGGAGTGGGATAGTGAGAAGACAGCAGGATCAGTGAAGGTGGGGGTTGAAGAGCCTTGGAGGGGGCACCAGAGGCAGAGAAATGGAAAGTCAGGAGACAGCAGTCAGAGAACGGGAGGTGGATATTGAGACGGTGTTGTGGACTAGGGTGCAGTTATTAATGACTACGGCAAAGGTGTGCCTCCAGGAGGAGGTGGCTGAGACAGAGACGACAAGAAAGTTGCAGTGAGTTCTTCAATGACCTAAGAGGCCCCAGGGTACAGGAAGGTTTGTCTATGTCTATCCTGAATTACGAGAGATAGCTGCGGTCAGCCAGGAGCTAAAATCATCAGGTAATAAGGGAGAGTGGCACAGGGCCTGCAGGTGTCGGCAACAAGGTTAGGGGACGGCAATAATGTATAGTCCGATGGCATAAGCCTCAAGGTCACAGGATGGAGGGAGGAGGAAGGGGCACTGATCAGGAAATTAAATGAGGTTGTTGTGCTTTGCTAAACAGAATTAACACTGAGTGGATTGAAGATGACAGCTCCCGATCTTACTGCTCTCATTCCCCACCAAATCAGAGATGGAGGGGAAGAAGCCCTCACCACCCTCCATCCCTGCCACTTGCCTTAGTCCTGTGAAGGAGTCACAGCCTTAAGAGTGCTCTGGTGACTGCTTTGATCGACCAGATTTGATAGATCACAAGAATGCCATTATGGACGACAGTTTTTTTCCTGTGTATTGGACATAATAGAAATGAAGTTAAAACCAAAAGCTTGAGTCTCTAAGGCAGCATTCCCAAAACGGTCTGCCCTTACCTATTTTGAAAGAGTCACATGACTTCATCCGGGACCTGAAATGGATTTTCTCCATCTTAAAATCTCATGGCCTACGAATGACATTATTCACTGAACACTCATCCAAAGTGGCAGCAGCACGGAATGGAGGAGGGTCACTGCTCCCTAACAAATCACACCGTCGAGCAGCACAACACACATCCTGTATGTTTAAGTCATGACAACTATATGACCCTCTCGCTGACTAATGATCAACAAATGAGCCTCCAAAGGCCATTATCGAAACTCTTATGCTCATATTCTAGCCCAAAATGCACATTTGGGGATGGGGAAAGTGGTCTCAGGTCTGATTCATTGAATAAATATATCTCCTTTGATGGAAAGAAATGACAAATGTCGTGCCTTCCTCTTCCACTCCTATAAATGCTAGAAGTGCAGAGTGAAAGGTACAGAGTGGCCATGAGATGCATACTGTGGCTTCACGTGAGAGATGGGTTCTTTCCAGGCCTGCAGACAGAAAGGCCCACTGTCTTGATGGTGGAGTTCAAAATATTAACCTCAGACCAATCAAGTCAATATTCCACTTCAATTAGCTTTGCTACTCTGAGCAATCATGAGAGTTTCTGAAAGCAAAATGAGGTGAAACTGCCCAGAACCAATAATCAGAGCCCTTCTCCCAACACACATGCATGCATACATGTATGCATGTGTACACGTACAGTGAGAAAAAGATGACAAGATTGCTGGACAACTTCTCTAGTGGGCAGAGGGGTCCCAAGTACAGATCCTTGGACACTCAGGCCCACGATGCCCCAATATGCATTAGCAGAAATGGGGAAGCCCCTGCTCTTCCCCCTTGTCCCCAGCAATCAGCAGAAGGTTTCCAAAGGGGCTCAGGCCAGGCCAGTTCTCTGGGTGTCCAAATAGGCAGGAACTTCACCATCTCTCCTGCCTGTGTCTGGGGCAGGCAGAAAAAGAAGGAAAAGAAAACCCGTTTGCTACGGCAAAGAAGTTCCTCAAAGTCACATGAAACCTGGCCCAACTCGTGGGACCAGGGCCCAAGTGTTCCTTTGGCAAAGGCAAGTTCTCTTCAAAGGAGAATAGAAAAATGCCTGTAAAGGGGCGCCAACAATGCAGATGGGGAACTGTCTCTTGGCTGTGGTTGACCACCTTTCTACCATGTTTCTCCTAGTGCCCAACTCCCTTTGTTTTCAAAGAGTGGCAGAAAGTAGGATTTGAAGCCAGAAGAGACCTGCTCTTTGACTTATCAGATCTTAGGCCTTGGACAAGTGGCTTAATCTCTGAGGGTGAGGGTTCCTTGCTCCAAAATGAAGTTGCTGCTGCTGCACTCACTCTCACAATAAGTACCCGAAGACATGTAATAAGTGCTCACTTCCTGCTAGGCTCTGTCCGTAAGTGCCTTGTAGGCAATGTCCCACTTGATCACAAAACTCTGCAAAGTGGCCCTTATTATCTCCTCCATCTCACAGATGGGGAAACCAGGACTCCTCAGAGCTCTAGCACAGTCTACTGTGTGGATTAAATGAGATAATATAAAATACATACAGTGTCTGACACACAATGGTGATTTTTTAAAAAATGAGACTTCTCAACCATCTTTAAGAGAGTGATCATGCTTTGAAATGCATAACATGACAATGCTTTAAAATGCATACCTATATGTTTAAATAACATATGTGCAAAAAAAGAAAAAAAGGTCTGAAAGTATGCTCACCAAGCTATGCAAAGGAGTGACCTTGCAAGAAGAGGATTTTTACTTTTTTTTAATCTTCAGAATTTTGTTGTTGTTGTTTTGAGACAAGGTCTGGCTCTATAGCCCAGGCTGGAGTGCAGTGGTGTGATCTCAGCTCACTGTAACCTCTGCCTCCCAGGTTCAAGCCATCCTCCCTCCTCAGCCTCCTCAGTAGCTGGGGCTACAGGCATGCACTACCATGCCCAGCTAATTTTTGTAGAGATGTGGTTTCACCATGTTGCCCAGGCTGGACTCAAACTCGTGAGCTCAAATGATCACTGGCCTCGGCCTCCCAAAGTGCTGGGATTACAGGTGTGAGCCACCATGCCTGGACCAGAATTGGTTGTTTTAACAAGCAAATGTGACTTAAAACACATGAAAAAGCTCAGAAACTCTAAAAAATAGACATAGAAAAAATAACCTAGATGGAAATATGTCAAAATGTTCATGGCAATTGCCTGATGGATTTTTTCTGCTTCTTTTGATTTCTATACATGTTTTGGTTTTGTTTTTACTAATTCATTTTTTATGAGACAGGGTCTCACTATGTTGCCCAGGCTGGTGTCAAACTCCTAGGCTCAAGCAATCCGCCCCCCTCAGCCTCCTGAGTAGCTGAAACTATAGGCATGCATCACCACACCTGGCTTGCTTTTAGTCATTCTTAACACAAATACATTCTCCTTATGAAATTATGGCATACGCCTTTTGTGTTTTCAGAAGGCCTTCTCTACCCCAAGGTCACAAATATAATCCATTTTTTCTTCTAATAAACTCATCATCTTGTTTTTCATGTTTAGTTATTTAACCCATCTGAAATTTTAGTGAATGGTATGAAGTAGGACCCTTAACTGTTTTTTTTAAATACTTGGCCATGTGCTAAATAATCTTCCTTTTCCTCATAATTACAAATACTACCTTTATTAGCTATTGTTTCCATGTAAATTTTATTAGTTTCCATATTCTATTCCATTGATCATTTTATCTAGTTCTGTATCATTACCAACTTGTTTTGATCACTGAATCTATTTTGACATCTAGTAGGCAACCACCCTTTCTTCTAGCCTACGTTTTGTTTTTCCAAATTGATCTTGGCTATTCTTGCATATTCTTCTTCCAAATGAATTTAAAAATCAATTTGTCAAGTTCCATGATAAATCCTTTGGGATTTTGATTGAGACTGCATTTATTTATGGATTAGGTAGGTATCTTCCATCTATAAACATGTAATCTATCTCTATTCAGGTCTTTTATACTCATCTAATAACACTATTTTATAGCTTTTGTGAACAATACATTTTAGGTTCAGCACTCAAGTCTCTTAGTTCAAAAAAAACTTAATCTTCTTGCAATCATATTGTCTACAAATGAATGTTTTGCCTACTCCTTTCCAATATCTGAGAATCTTACTATTTTTCCTACTGGCTACAATAAGACTTGCAGAAACATACTGAATAGTACTGGCAATAGTGTTCATTCTTGTCTAATTCATATTTTTTGTGCTGGAGTGCAGTGGTGCAATCACAGCTCACTGCAGCCTTGACCTCCTGGACCCAAGGGATCCTCCCACCTCCGCCTCCCAAGTAACTGGAACTACAGGGGCAAATTACCACACCCAGCTAATTTTTTTTTTTTTCTTGTAGAGACGGGGTTTCATCCTGTTGCCCAGGCTGGTCTCGAACTCCTGAGCTCAAGCAATCTTCCCGCCTCAGCCTCCCAAAGGGCTGAGATTACAGGCCTAAGCCAATGCACCCAGCCGCAGCCTCTTATTCATATCTAATAGATTTGCTGAAACACTTCTCCATTAAGTAGGTTTTCTATGAGCAAACTTCATCAAGTTAAGGGTATTTCTTTCCCTTGCTAATTTTTATATATGCATGAGCAAGAATATCATCAAATGCCTTTTGGCATCTATTGAGATAAACATAATATTTTTTCTCCTATATAGATTTTGAAAAGTATATTGAGAGATTTTCTAATTTTGAATCAATCTTCCATTCCTGGTAAAAGTCCTTTTTAGTCACAATACATTTTTATTTATTGTAAACACAACAGAAATGTCTTTTCTCATAGCTGTGGAGGCTACAAGTCTGAAATCCAGGTGTCAGCAGGGCTCTGCTCCCTCTGCAGGCTCTAGGGAACAATCCTTCTTTGCCTCTTCTAGTTTCTGGTGGTTGCTGTTGATACATTTATTTTTGATTTTTTTTCTGTATTTATAAGTGAAAATACTCTATATGTACCTTTTATAAGAAAAATACATACCAAAAAAGGTACTATACATACATATTTTTGCATTATCTACTTAAAAATGCACAGGTAAAGATATGCTTAATTTTATATTTTAAAAAAGCCTGGTATGCAAATTGAATGCGTGCAAAGCAAACAAATGGAATATGTTTTAACCTCTACTTATTGAGTTCCCTATTTGGATTACTGCTGCCATCATTAATCCAGCCACTCAACTCCAGCAAGAATCACTGAAGTCTCCATTCCTTCCTCCCCACACTATCCCCGTCCAGGCATTCACCAGGTCCCAAACATTCTAAGGTCATTCTACCTCAGGTCTCCACTGGGAGGCTGCAGGATGGAATGGGGGAAGTCAGGATTTTAAGACAGATTTGGTTCCAATCCCATTGCACATGACTGCATTCTCTTGAGCAAATAACTTTACCTCTCTGGGCCCCAATTTCTTCATCTATAAATATACATGCTACCATTGAAGAACTGTGGTAAAAGTCAAATGAGATAACATATGTAAATTAACTACCACACCATATTTGCCACGGAACGCACGATCACATGGTAACACCAAGAACCTCCCCAATCCTCCTCTTCCCCTCGGCCCCTGCCCTAGGCCAGGCCTTCCAAACTTCACCTGCTCAATGATGTCTTCTAGTCTTTCTGCCACCTGGACATTGCTGACAAAGCTCACTTTCTAAAATATAAATGGAATCAAATACCTGTTTAAATCATGCTACTGGCTCCCATCTACCTACTAGATACCGTTCTAACTCCTTAGCATGACTTGTAAGGCCTACCTCAACCTACCTTTCTGGCCTTATCTTCCTCTACTCTGTTCCATGTACTTTACACTCCTGTATAGATGCTCCTCAACTTACAATGGGGTTAGTCCCAATAAACTCATTGTTGGTTGAAAATATTATCTAAGTGAAAAATGCATTTAATACACCTAACCTATCAAACATTGCATTAGCTTAATCTACCTTACATATGCTCAGAACATTTACATTAGCCTAGAGTTGGGCAAAATCATCTACCACAAAGCTGATTTTATTGTAAAGTATTAAATATTTCATGTAATTTATTGAATACTGCACTGAAAGTGGAAAACATAATGGCTGTATGGGTACTCAGTGTTTCTACTGAATGCCTACTGCTTTCATACCACTATAAGGTCGAAACATCATTAAGTTGCACCATCTATAAAAGTCAGGGACACTAAAATTTGCGCTTTCTCCTGAAACCTCAAGCTCTTTCACAGTCCTTTGCCTTTGTGTATGCTATTCCCTCTTCCAGAAAGCCTTTCCCTTCTTTTCTTCTAAGCAAAAATTCCCATTCAATCTTCTAAGACACAGCTCAACTGGTACTTCTTAAAAACACACACACACACACACACACACACACAACTAATTTCTGTCAACAATGCTCTGATGGCAGCTTTTTCTGCTATTCTTAAAATCATTTGCTTGTACTATGTCTTTCTCCATTCACTGAGGCAAAAACTGGGTCTTATTTTCCTCTTTATTAACTCCCCCAAAACTACATCATCTGTGTATTCAACACTTTGCTCCTGAATGAAACAATGAATAAAATAAGTAGAATTTATCTTAAAGAAGACCCTATTAACTTTTTCAACAAAGCAAGGCATCTTCTAATCATGTTAATCAGAGTTTCAAAGTTGATTTGTTAAGAAATCATAGGTTTTCTTAAGTTAGACGTGACCATAATGAAACCAATTTGCCCTCCTGGCAACTCTGAGGACTCAAGGAGCAATGGCAGAGCCGGCTAAGCCCTCCGGCACTCAGGGAGCAATGGCAGAGCTGGCTAAGCTCTCCGGCACTCAGGGAGCAATGGCAGAGCTGGCTAAGCTCTCCAGGACTCAGGGAGCAATGGCAGAGCTAGCTAAGCTCTCCAGGAGTTCTGATTAAATGCAGCCTGACTGAAAGGCCTCTGAAATAAG
This sequence comes from Homo sapiens, assembly GCF_000001405.40. Taxonomy (NCBI): domain Eukaryota; kingdom Metazoa; phylum Chordata; class Mammalia; order Primates; family Hominidae; genus Homo; species Homo sapiens. Next base: position 119,301,661 of record NC_000002.12, read on the forward strand.
GACTCCACAGGTGCTGGCGGTCAGCCATAATCAGGAACCACAAGTATTATATTATTTAGAAGGAATGTATCTTCCAGGACATAGACTTGTTCTCAATGAACAATTTTCTTCCAGAAGTGCAAGCATCCTGCCGCTTCCTCTCTCCAAATAAATGAGTTTGATTCTATGATAGTTTCTTCCTGAAGATGGAAAACACAGCTCAAGAAAGAAAAGAAAAAAAAAAATCAGCAACATTATTTGTATAGGCTGCAATACTTTAAAAAAAAAAAAAAAGTAACCTTCCTACATCATAAAACCTCCCTAAAATATACACAATTCAATTGCACATATGGTGGTATGTATCACACACCCTGAACTAAAAGGTAGCCATGAAGGTCAAGAAACTCAGAATTTCTGGTAGCCACAGACAGAAACAGTTGCTCTAATTAGAAACTACAGAAAAAATATACAATAAACAGTATGATCTTAGTCTTAGAATCTTTTTAAGGAGCTCTACATGCAAGTCACAAAAATAATTCCTAATTTTAGAAAACAAATTATAATTTAAGAATCAATATTCCACAATAATTTTTAATAACAATTTATTTCCCTTTAAAAAGATCAAATGTTTTTCTCATAATATATTATTTTACAACAACAAAGAAAAAGAAAGAGAGAAGGAAAGACCTGAAGAGAAAGAAATAACCAGATTTTAGCTCAAAGAGTATAGCCTGGGATTAATTTTTTAAGATTTGTTTGTCAATTTCAAAAATTCAGCAGTGGAATAAAGAGCTTAATACAGGTATGCAAAAAGGAAGCCCTCGAGATGTTTTCACCAGGATGAAATGGGATTAGCTTTGTAGTTCTTATAATCTTCTTCACAGAAGAATGCAATTTCAGTTTCACTGGCTGAAAAAAAACAGAAAATGGAAAAAAAGATTTTAATGTAAATCTAAATTTTAAACAAGTATGGAAATCCATATGACTTTGATTCGGTATTTCAGAATAGCTTCAGATGCCCAAAGTGAAAAAGATGAGTTATTTGTTGGGTCGCACAATGCATTTTACCAAATCAACAAGAAGTTTCAGGTGAAGTTTTAAGAATCAAAACCTCAAATGATTTAAAAGTAAAAAAGAACAAAAAATAAAAAACCAAAAATTAAAATCAAGAGTTAATACAAGAATCTGGTTTTCAGGAAATCATAAAATTGCTCATTTACAGTCTTTTTTACAGTGCTAGGAAATAAAAAACCTTGATTTTTTTCTCAAATATGCTACTCAGGTACTGAAGGAAGGGGAGGGAAAACTCTTTTCCCCCCCTGAAATTAGCCTGTAGGTATAATAATTTAATACTTAGAGGATCAGTAGAATATTTTACAGATCACTTTACATTCTCCCTCATGACCCATCAAAATATGTGTCTGAAGAAGTTAATTTTTTGCCCTGCTTATGATTAATTCATGCGGCTTCAACAATATGCAAAGTGAAAGACACAAATTGGCTTCTACCTCAATACCTTCAAATACCTCTAATTATTCACAAGGGAGATGGCACAGCTAAAGGACCCATGAAGGTTCAGAGCAGTCACAATTCTTTCAACCTAGCAGGTCAAGGACTGCGTCTTCTATAACAATAAGTCAGCAACATTATTAATTCAGGCTAGAGACAAATCTGATGGAAAGCCTTCCAGTTATTAAACATGCAATTCTTTAAGGTGTTGTGCCAACAAGTTCCACATTCATTTTTCAAATTAAACCAGAAGTTAATACAGTCTGCTTGGCTTTTACAGAAAGAGCAAAAGGGCCTTCAGAATCTCCACAAGAAAACAGACAAGATTATTCGTAATGCATACTGAGCACTCAATTAACATACTCTCTAAAAACAGACAAGTAAAACTCTCCAAGTCAAATAAATAGCATAATAAGAAAGGGTGCCAAGGATTACCACTCGTCTCTTAGTTTACAACTCTCATCTCATCATTAGACTTTATCACAAAATAATGAAATTAATGAGATTAGCATGCCATTTCATTAAAAATGTTTTTGCTGTTTTCAAGAATATCCAATTTAATGTTTGTTAATCATAAGCTACCCATGCTCATTACAGAAAATAAACAAGTGTCAAAAGAAGAAAATAAAGCCACCCATAGTCACAGATCCTCATTCCAGTCCTCTACTATATCTTCAAGATTAAATTTAATCTGAGTAGATGAAAATCAGACTGCAACCTCGCATGACAAGGAGCCTGTGGGGGATACAGCACAGAGAAACTGGAGATCAATAAGGAGGAGCTGTAAAAAGATGCACCCTGTGCAAACAGTAAGTTAAGGTACAGTTAAATTTTACAAGAAAGTGGCATCTAAAAGAATGGGTAAAAGACTCCTCCACACTTGGAATCAGTGGGAAAAAGAAAATCAAGAAAGAGAGCTTCAAAAACTTCAATATTCAAAGATATTTGGAAATCTATCCCTTATAGAAAAAGCTCCTGGGGTTTCCTTTTTTGAAGCAAAGCATGCCCAGAGGTAGATGTATATAATTTGCAAGTGATTCTAATCAACCTTCTAATGAAGAATGAGCAAAAGACACCCTGTTCTTAATAATCACAGAGCAAGGTTTTATCTGTGATGTGCTATTTACATACAGAACTTTACACAGTGCTTTGCCCACACAGCACTTCGCTCAGTCCACGCTAACTGTAATTACAATTTTCACTTACTGCAGTTGACATTTATCTGAACCCCTTTTGAGAAACTAATATGTTGTGTGGCTCTTCAGCAATAGTAGGTTCAGAGAAGCTGCTGGAAAGCAAGGAGTTCTGTTTTGACACATAGGTTCTTTTGGATCCAGTTAACTGAAACATCAATCCATTATTTACATAAGGCATTTATGCTAGCTCTCAAAATGAGAGTCTGCAGTGTAAAGATTTTATTTTCAGATGACTGCACTTGTTTTCAGGAAATCTAGGTAAACAAATGGGTTAAACTATAATACTTCAGGCTGATTTAAAAAATTTTTCACCCTTAACAAATTGGAAAACACACAAATTAAAATTTACTCCAAACATTCAAAAGTAAAACATTAAATGGGTTTTAAATTTTAGTAATGTGGTCCTTAAGAAGAAGTAGAATATAATGTTTTCTTACATCTGTAAGACTCTGTGGAAAATGTTTCAGAGAATGATTTCAGGGACTTATGCTGCAAATTTATTTGCCAATTTATGTGAAAACCAATTATAAATGATTTTTAAGGTTTCTACATCATCACTTTCCACCATTATCCCTTAAATTCCTGCTTCCCAAATACTATTTAAAATGGCTCCTTTAAAACTGGCTGGGGATGAACCCTCAGGAAGTCTACCTTGTGCTGGTCCCCCAGGGCACCTGATTTTAAATTAAATGTGCTGCAGGCGGCAGTGCAGTCAGGTGCAGAGTGCCTTGGCATGGGAATCTGAAATGAATGTGCAATCTAAAATCCAATAAATACACTGCCACTTCATCCCTTCGTCTTACTATCAAATGAAACCAAGAACCCTCCAAATACATTTGCAGGATCCTTTTAATACTGATGTTCAAGTTTAATGAAATAAACACAAGCTAGGGCTTTCAAACTTTGGATATAAAATTAATCATTTTATAATGCTTCCAGACAGACAGACAAGACACACACACACACACAACTTTAACAGGAACATAATGATAATGACTTTAAATGAAAGAATATAAGAACAATCGATTTTAAGTATAAAATCCCAAGAAAAATTAAATGCAATGTATTTAAACTCTTAAACTAATTTATCTCAATAAACTCATCTATCAACAAGGATTTACCCATATGTCTGAGTCCCTAGCCTCATGCTAGTCAGCACCAACGTAGTATGAGGCACAGCCCCTGTTGTCTGGAAAAAGGAGCCTGAGACACACGCACTGATTTTGTGGTACAGAAAATCCACAATCTTGGAAGCTGACATGTGACAATAACTGCACACTGTTGACAAAAAAAAATACAGGAAGGGCGAGGTGTGGCTTCTGTGGCAATCTGAGACCAAAAGGACAAAGTTTCACCCTCTCTCCCGCTCTAGGAGTATAGCCTAGCCTCCCAAATGTCATAAAATCCTAATCTATAAATCATTCAAAGCTGTGCTCACAGCTGAGTTATATTTCTAAGTTTTCATCACCAACAGACGTCCCAAGTGCTGTGCCTTTTATTTCATGACTTGCTTCAAATATTTGTTTTGGATCTGCTGGCAGAGAAGATTTCAAACTACAGTTTGAAGAAAACAACTAGCCAAAAAAAAAAACAACAACAAAAAAAAAAAAAAACAAAAAAAACCTCGGTCTTTGATAGACTGGGTACATGCCTGTAATTTCCACCATGGTGTGGGAAGGTAAAACGGGAAACACTCTACAGAGGTTCACTCTGAGTCCTGCTTCTGGAATCCCCCAGTTTCCTGGGTCCGACACCCACATTACCGAGTAACCAGATTATCACTGTTTCTATGTAAGAGTGAAGAACGGCCACCATAACATACTGTCGAAGGAAGAAAACACGCATGACCTAAAATATTGCTACCCAGAAAAAGAAAGGGAATGGGACTCACACCTTAAGGAAACACAAATCAAACATCATCCCGAAAGAGAAGGGGGAGCCACAGAATCCCACAATATTAGCTGTACAGACAAGATCACCCAAAGGGGCGAGGCGTGAACGACAGGGTTCCAGTTGGGGGCAGATGACAGAAGTGACACGCAAAATGAAAACGAACCACGAGGGAGTTCTGGAATTATTACAGGACCTGGCTTGCCGAGAATGCTTCCCTCAGATAAACACTTAGAGTTTGGCCGCTGTATCTTGTTTTAAAATGTTTCCAATGAAACACAACTGGCTTTGGAAGAGTTACCCAGCCACAATTTCTCTCTTAAACCAGACCAGATTCGAAAGACAACAGTAGTAGAATGTAGCAAAATGAAAGAGAGAAAATAACACTTAAAAAAAAAAGCTTACATGTAAATTTATTACTTAGGGGAATTAGCCCATAAAACTACAATTGCTGACAAAAAATTATAAGTAACATTTCTAGGTAAAAGTCTCTTCTTGCTTCTACTGATCAAATCTTTTTGAAGTACGTATTTTCGTACTGGGTCCACAAGCAAAAACTCCACTGACGTCAGGTGTAGAATGTTCCACGGGGATCTGCAGTGCAGATAAAAAGCCAAAGGATGAACTAGAGAATTTCTCCCTGAGAAAAGAAATCTTCAAACACCTTTTTTTCCCCTAATTTCCCCACTTGCAGCCTTTCTTTTCCTTTCATGACTACTGCAGAAAAGTCCTAACGATAAATTTGTTACCCTGGCATTATTCCCATGGCAACTGGCTGTGATAGCAGTGACAGCTCTACAGCAAGATCAAGCAGTGAAAAGGGAGACAGAGATGACTTCGAATTTTTCTCTTAAACCTCTTAAAAATCTAACCAGACACGGCACTGAGGGAGGGAAAATTCCCTAGAAAAATCACATATTTCAGGCCAGGCACAATGACTCACGCCTATAATCCCAGCACTTTGGGAGGCTGAGGTGGGCAGATCACTTGAAGTCAGGAGTTCAAGACCAGCCTGGCCAACGTGGTGAAACCCCGTCTCTACTAAAAATACAAAAATTAGCTGGGCGTGGTGGCACATGCCTGTAATCCCAGCTACTCAGAGGCTGAGGCAGGAGAATCACTTGAACCTGGGAGGCGGAGGTTGCAGTGAGCCGAGATCGTGCCACTGCACTCTAGCCTGGGCGACAGAGAGAGACTCTGTCTTAAAAAAAAAAAAAAAAATCACATTTCAAGTATCATTTTCACAACTCAATTCTCACTAGAATTTTTTGTTGCTCTCCAGGTACCCTCATCTCCTTCCCCAGGTATAACCTCAGCTTGTCCCCAAGAGCATAGCAACACCACTCTAGATAACAAAGAGAAAATCGCTCCCTGCAGGGACCCAAATCACCCCGAGCCCAGGGTTGCTGGCTTGCCGGAGTTCGGAGTTAGGAGTTCGGAGGGCAGTTTGGAGTCCTCACAACACCCTGAAATGAGTGGAGAATCTGGGAAAATAATCTGACTCTGATCCAGGACCAATAGCCTTAAAGTAAGAGGACAAAAAGAGGGATTTGCTTCTCACCTTTACAGATGGTTCATTACATAAGTCAGTTTGAAATTAATCACAACAAGACCAACAACTCAATATTTTAGTAAAGTCAAAACTTGCCAACTGCCTTCTCCAGGACAGTTTCCAAACAAAGCAGTTGTTCCTGAGGGCCTTTTACACACATCACTCCGGATGCCTTCATTGTTTTACACAACCTTTATGACAACCTTCTAGAATAGGTTTCATTATTCTGTTTTTACAGAAAACAAAATAGAGTTTCAGAGAGGATAAGAGGCTTACAGAAAGCAAGCAAAGCACACAGCCTTCATTCTAACCGATTTTCCCCAACTTCATGGGTTTATACTTTTAAAAAAAATTCGTCCTTTAATTACAAGGAATACATGTAAACTGTAGAAAAATTTTTAAATCACCATAAAAGCAATTAGATAATACAGAAAAGAAAGAAGAATATCAATTACTGGCAATGCCAGCACCTCAAGAAACCATTTCTATAATTTTGGCGTATGATCTTTTCTCCATATACGCATAAACAATAATCTTACATGTATACTTTAAACATTTTAAAACAATAATGGGGTCGGGCACAGTGGCTCATGCCTGTAATCCCAGCACTTTGGGAGGCCAAGGCAGGTGGAAAACCGAGGTCAGGAGTTCGAGACCAGCCTGGCCAATATGGCAAAACCCGGTCTCTACTAAAAAATACAAAAATTAGCTGGGCATGGTGGTGCACACCCATAATCCCAGCTACTCAGGAGGCTGAGGCAGGAGACTTGCTTAAACCCAGGAGGTGGAGGCTGCAGTGAGCTGAGATTGTGCCACTGCACTCCAGCCTGGGCGACAGAGCAAGACTCTGGTCTCAAAACAAAAACAAAAACAAAAAAACCCAAACAATAATGGTATCACACAGTATGTTCTATTTCTATTCAATAAATCAAGCTCTACATCAGTGCTTCACATACAGGGAAGGTCAGGGCTAACCCCACCACCCTTCTGAAGACTTAGCACAACCTCACAGCTTGTCCCTGTTGGCTTAGAAACAAGTACCATTGAAATTCAAACTTGAGAAAGTCTTATTGGTCAAACCGACCCACAGAAAATTCAAGGTCATATTCATTCCCGACGGTGGTATAAGAGTATCCATTTTCCTACACCTTGAACTCCCTTGGACAATGCCACTTTTTCATGTCTGCTAATCTTATAACAATTGCTGCTGTCCAAGGTCACCCAGACAGTAAAAGACAGAATCAGGTTTTGGACCCAAGCACTCTGGCTCTGGACTCTGTTATTTTCATAGAGATGAGCATGCTAATTGTTGTGCAGGCTAATCTAGAGCTCCTGGCCTCAGGCGATCCACTAGCCTGGCATCCCAAACTGCTAGGATTACAAGCATGAGCCACTGCACCTGGCCCCAGACTAGAGTCTTAACACTAGACTCTACTACATAAAACAGTATCTATGTACTCATTTCTAATAAGTACTCATTCTCTCCTAATAAGGTGGAGCTATTTTTTATGTGTGAGTTATTTCTTCTATCAATAGAATTTTTCTTTTTCATAGTAATTACAAGGGCTCTTTATAAAGTCAGGCTAGTAACTTTTCTTTTTTTCTCTTTTTCTTTTTTTTTTTTTTTTTTTTTTTTTTGAGATAGAGTCTCACTCTGTTGCCCAGGCTGGAGTGCTGTGCTGGAGTGCAGTGGTATGATCTCAGCTCACTGCACCCTCTACCTTCCAGGTTCAAGCCGTTCTCGTGCCTTAGCCTCCCAAGTAGCTGGGATTACAGGCGTGTGCCACCACACCTGGCTAATTTTTGTATTTTTAGTGAAGATGGGATTTCACCATATTGGCCAAGCTGGTCTCGAATTCCTGACCTCAAGTGATCCTCCCCGCCTTAGCCTCCCAAAGTGCTGGGATTATAGGCATGAGCCACCATGCCCGACCCCAGGCTAATAACTTTTTATCTGTTGTATATGCTGCAGATATTTTTCAAAGTTTATTGTTTCTCCTTTAACTGTGTTTACAGTTTTTAGTTTATAGGTAGTCAAATTTATCACTTCTCCCCCTTTATGGCTTCTGTCTTTGAGCTCATGCTTGGAAAACTCTTCTCCTTCCCAAGATTATGAAATTATTGAACTACACTTTCTTTTTAAAAAATTTTTTTACATTATAACATTTAACCCATCTACAATTTATTTTGTAATAAAAACAGAGATGAGATACGAGTTTGAATTTTATTTTCCTGAATGCTTTGGCAATGGGCTTGACATAATTTTCTGGCTAAATCATTCTTTCCTCACTTATTTGAAATGTCAACTTTATCATCCTGTGAAATATTACCCTTTTTTTCATTTTTGGATTCTCCAGTGTTTTCCATGGAGCTGTCTGTCAACACCCCCATTAATATCAGTCTGTAATATTCATTATGCTTTATGCTTTAACAACAAGCAGGGCTACCTTATGGGTGCTACATGCCCCAATCACAAAGGTGCCACCTGCTACAATAATATAATAGCATTTAAAGAAACAAATGCCAAATTTAAAATCATTCTTCAAAATAACAACCTTACATATTCATAACATGGAAAGACAAGAATATTCTAGCAAATATTGTAGACATCAACACAGAAATCAAGTCTAAGATTTCACAACATGGTATTTAAGATCCTATTTAACTCAGAAGATCTATGTCAGGAATTCATGCTCATCACGTGAATCAATCAGAAGTAAATTCCTGATACAAGTGATTAAAGTAACTCAAAATAATACTTGTCAAAAAAAAAATTCAGGCTCCCAATGTGCACCTCACTAACCGTGTTCCTTAACAAGTGCATATAAATAATTATGAACAATGTGAGGCCGAGGCAGGCAGATCGCCTGAGGTTAGAAATTCGAGACCAGTCTGGCCAATATAGTGAAACCCTGTCTCTACTAAAAAAATACAAAAATTAGCCAAGCGTGCTGGTGCACACCTGTGGTCCCACCTACTCAGGAAGCTGAGGCAGGAGAATCGCTTGAACCCGGGAGATGGAGGTTGCAGTGAGCCGAGACTGCACCACTGCACTACAGCCTGGGCGACAGAGTGAGACTCTGTCTCAAAAAATAAATAAATTAATAAATAATTAAGAAGAAGCATGGCTTGTGACACTGCATCCGTCACCAACCGCAGAGGTGTGTGAGGGGCACACTGCCTTTAACCACTCAGACCTCCCTGACAATCTCCACTCCCTCTCCTGCCAGATCAGCTTTAGGTGTACATATACGTAGAATAACAGTGACATCTAATGGTCACAAAACATGTCACATAACATTTATTTAGAATAAAACCACATGCACATTCTAGGCTGGAAGGCCCAATCAGGTACTTTTCAGCTGCACACACCAGGTTCCTATTTTAAATTCCATGCCTTGGTGGGCCCTGAGTGATTCGGAAGACTATCAAAAACCACACTGCATGTGATACCAACAATGCGTTTCATTATTCCTCATTAGTTCTTACTATGTCCATTTCTCTCCAACCATCGGCTCAAGTGACAATGATAAGAGTAAGTAGACGTGGTACTTACAACCCGTCACTTAAAATGACCCTCAGGAGAATTCTGAGCATACCTTCTGAAAACAGCCATTTGCATTCTGCATATTTGGAGAGCAGACACCTACTGTCCTCAGCCAAGAGATCGGAATGCACATCATTCTCATCCTCCTCCTCTGAACAGTTACCGGGCAGTGTCAGGGGGACCAAGGACAGCATTTACTTTCCAGTGAGTTATCCAAATACCATCAGCCAGGCCTCAGGATAGGCCGGCAGAGGTCCCCCTCCAGCAACACAAGGCCCCCTTCCTCACCGATTCCAGCTGCTTTCAGAGTGCTGTCTTCTTTCAGCAGGAGTCTTTCGTCATCTTCCAAACTCAACACAAGTTCATTTGTCTAAAAAAAAAAAAGAAAATCTGCATTTTATCAGTACTTACATGGGTTTGTTTGGTGAGACTTCTCAAAGACACAGAGTTGTAACTCTGAGCACAGCAATAATCTAAGTAGATTCCACTGCCCTGGCCGTAATGAGGGCAGTGAACAGAGGCACAGTGAGGTCCTGCCGAGCTCACGCACCACATAAAGCAGTGGGGACAGTTCTGTGGCATGGGCGTGAAGTCAGATCAGGATGCAAATCCAGACTCCACCAGCACCCAGCTGTGTGTTCTCAACAAGCTACACAACCTCTCTAGGACTCGATTTCCTCATTGGTAGAAAAGGGGAGGAGAGGCCCCTTCCTCATCACCTGTGGTAAGGGTGACAGGATGGGGCATATAAACCCTCAGCAGTGCCGGCCGCAGGGTGAGCACTCTCTCTTAGCTGTCACTGTTCTTTTGCTGCATCATCATCATCATCTTCTGCCATCCTCACCTGGTCAGCGACAGAGCTGAGCTTCCAGCTCTGGCCAGTCCGACTTCTGAGAGAAGCAAGTATACTTCCTTTTTTCGTTTTGTTTTTCGAGACAGGGTCTCACTCTGTCACCTAGGCTGGAGTGCAGTGGCGTGATTATGGCTCACTACAACCTCAGTCTCCAAGGCTCAAGCAATCCTCCCATCTCCAGCCTCCTGAGTAGCTGGGACTGCATACATGTGCCGCCAAGCCTGGCTAATTTTTTTTATTTTTAGTAGAGACGGGGTCTCACTATCTTGCCCAGGCTCGTCTCAAACTCCTGAGGTCAAGTGATCCTCTGACCTTGGCCTCCCAAAATACTGGTATTACAGGCATGAGCCACCACACCTGGCCACAAGTATACTTCAAACGGCCAGAAGTCCACATATCTAAAAACCTTGCCCAAGCTAAAAAACATCTGGTTCCATGTCACATTAATTGGAATATTTCTCTATGTGATTTGGGGTGGGGGTAAATGAGAGTGCTCTCCAGTGATATTTACAAATCCAGTGAGACTCATAAATACAAGTGAAAATTTAAACTTGCTATTGACTGGGTGCGGTGGCTCATGCCTGTAATCCCAGCACTTTGGCAGGCCGAGGCAGGCAGATCACAAGGTCAGGAGATCGAGACCATCCTGGCTAACATGGTAAAACCCCGTCTCTATTAAAAATACAAAAAAATTAGCCGGGAGCGGTGGCAGGTGCCTGTAGTCCCAGCTACTCAGGAGGCTGAGGCAGGAGAATGGCATGAACCTGGGAGGCAGAGCTTACAGTGAGCTGATATTGCACTACTGCGCTCCAGCCTGGGCGACAGAGCAAGACTCCATTCAAAAAAAAAAAAAAAAAAGTTGCTATCTGCCCCTAAATAGCACAAAGAGATAACCACTAGTGGCACACAGCACTACTTGTCAACCAGAACACACCTGTTTAGCAACATATTCTATTTGTAGAATACAGCTGAGACAGAGAGTCAACAGAAAGGCCTCTCAGCAGCCAAATCAGAAGCCCAAGCCACGCAGGGTTTATGGACCTCATTCACTGCAGAGCACAGGGGCTTAAAACTCCAGAGCATACAGATTAAAAGAAAAAATACTTTACTCAAAAAATCATTTTAGAATAGGTAATACAGTCTGTAATCCCAGCACTTTGGGAGGCCAAGGCAAGAGGACTGTTTGAGCCCAGGAGTTTGAGACCAGCCTGAGCAAGATAGCAAGACCCGATCTCTACAAAAAAAAAAAGTTTTATTTAATTAGCTGGGTGTGGTGGCACACATCTATACTACTAGATACTCAGGAGGCTGAAGCAGGAGGATATCTTGATCCTGGGAGGTAGAGGTTGCAGTGAGCTGTGTTCATGCCACTGCACTCCAGCCTGAGCAACAGAGTGAGATTGTGTCTCAAAAAAACAAAAAACAAAGAATAAGTAATATCTACTCATTATACAAAGTTCTCCAAGCATATATGAATAGAAAGTGAAAAGTCAGTCTCCTTCCAATCCCCATCCACCAGCTATCTAGTTCTCCAGAGAGGACTGGGACCACTGAGAGGACCTGTTTCCCACACCCTCCCAACACAGTATATTAGCAAAGCCTTCTGATCCTTGCCAATCTGACAGGTGTGGATTAAGTATAGTCTTAATTTGTATTTTATTATGCTTAAAGTTCTGAATATTTTCTATTTTTTAATGGAATTGTAGGCTAATTTTTCCAATAGAATTGTAGAGTCTAGAGCATCTTCACATGCTAAGGAAATTCGGCCTTTTCTGTAAGTTAGAAAAATTTCCCCCACTTTTCATTTGTTCCTTGCTTTTCTCAGTGGTTTTTTTTTTTTTTTTTTTTTTTACATAGAAGGTGTTAAATGAATTTTCGTGGAATAAATAAGTTAGTGAATGAAGTAAAATGTATCAATCTCATATCGTTTCTCAGTTTTCTGTCATATTTAGAAAGCCCTTCTTCACGCCAAGATTTTTTAAATTCCCTGTTCTCTTCAAATATTTTTAAGAATTTCATTTTTTGAATTTTTCATCGTGGAGAATTTCAAATATACAATAGATACAGAATAGTGTAATAAACCCCCTGCCCTGTACCCAGGACCCAACTTGAACAAATTATCAAGTCATGTTCCATCTGTTTCATCTCTATCCTCATCTATGGGTTTAATTTTTTAATCCAAGGGGTATTTATTTTGGCATAAAGAAAAATACATGGATTCAACTTAGCTGTTTTTTAGATGTTTATGCAGTTATTCAAATACTATTTATTGAGTCCTCCATCTTTTCTTTACAAACTTGAAATGCCATATTTACTATACATTCAATTTCCATATTTGGAAATATTGGGGTCTATTTTGGAACTTTTAATTCTGTGCCCTTAAACTACCAGTTCATGTGACAGTGCCATACTGTTCTAATTACTATCGTTTTATAACATGTCTTATATGTTAGAGCTAATTACTCTCATTTCTCTTTTTCAAAATTCTCCTGATTATTCTTATTTTTTACATACTGATTTTAAAATCAGCTTATTTAGTTTACATATAAACACAAGTATTGTATTTTATTGGGGCAGCATTAAATATGTAAATTAAGAGAGAACTGATTTTACGCTGTTGTATCTTCCTATCCAAAATATCCTAAGCATTTCTATTTAAGTCTTATTTTGGAACTCTCATAGCAGGTTTTGTTTTGTTGTTAAGTTGAAGTACAGTTTCACACAATGAAACGCACAGATCTTGAGAGGAGTTCACTTTAATGGGTCTGAAAAATTAATCGCAGAGTTTAGATGCGTATTTTCAAGTGTGTGTGTGGTGAGGGGTGAGGAAGGACAGCAGCATTTTAAGTTTTCTTTTTAAAGACCTTGCACATTTCTTATAAAGTTTGTTCCAGGATATGACTTCCACACATAAAATGGAAATTAAAGTTTTTATTTCAATCTTAATAGAAATTATTCCGACTTTATAAACACACCACTGATTACCATCCATAATACACACACACATACACACACACACACACAGAGGAGGCTCGGGTGGGAAGGTATCCAGTCAGTCTTTTTATTGTGGGAATGGGAAGAAATTTCTGAGGATATGTAGTAACTGCAATTAGGAAAGTCTCTAAGCCCAGAAAATTAGGGAAATGGGGAAAATGCCTTTTATGAATGAGTTCATTAAGACAAAGGAATTATTTAGAAGTCTCTCCTTTCAGCTGACGAAGGAGATTAAAATTACAGCTGAGTTGGAACACTAACAGGCCAAGCCAGCAATGCCACAGGCCCCGCAGATGGGGAATAGAAAATGAAAGGACAACAATAACTTGGAAATGAGAAAAATGACTGTGAACTGGATAAGGCACAAATGAGGACATGTGGATGAAGTTTCTCTGAAGTTTTAAAACCGTATCTGTGAAAATATATTGAACTCTTCCCTTAGAAAAGTTGAAGCAGAAACTTGCAGAACCATCCCCAGGGCATCTTAACTAGCATTGTTATGATTTGGATCAAAGTTCATAAAGCCAGATTCCAGAAGCACTCTGAGTGACTTAATTGTTTTGGGAGTCCTCCCTTAAACAAATACATTGTTCAACTGGAAAAACAAGCCCTAATTTTATAACTAGAACCTGCCAGTGTGAAACATATGTCTTAAATATAAGTAACAATTCTAAGATTGTTTTGTCTTCCGATGACAGGATAATTTCCAGATTTTTTAAATGTTATAATACTGATAATTTGAACATGATGAACTATGTCTCCACTAAGATAAAGGAATAATTTACTACTTACTCCTTTTTGGCAACATGAGCATATGAAAAGCCAAATGATGTAGAACATGCAGCAATGAATGGAGAATGGGGACTTGCTTTGCTTTACAACCTTTTTGAAGAGCGTATTGTTTTATTTTAACTTTATTTTATATTTGTATTTGTATTTTAGATGTATATAATACACAAAAATATAGAACATTACCTATTCTCTACATTTTAGGAATGAGGTTGAAAACATTCCTGTCCCAGAGGAGAGAAATTGGACGAAGTCCAAATATGGTGGCCACACATTCTAGTACCAATCAAAAGGGCAGATTCCATACCACAGCCCCAGACACGTGTGAGCATGACATTTTGAGGCATTTCACAATGGATATTGTAAAACTGGCATATACAATCCTTGGTATAAAAAATAAAGTTACTAGAAGGAACCAAGCCTACTAAACCCTTGACTTTTGCTCAGTGAAACTGATTTTGGACTTCTGACCTCCAGAATTGTAGGAGAATAAATGTGTGTTGTTTTAAGCCACAAAAATATTTTTTAAATAACATAAATTTTAAAACACAGTTACTAATCAATGGTCAACAGACATAGCCTCATGCCATTTTCTTGTGATCTGTGATACGCATTTATCTGAAAGGTGATTGAGTGTATGGAGTGCATCTACGACTACAGAAGACAATGAAATAAAATGAATTAATAAATACTTCATTCAAAAATTGTTATGGAAAAACTCCTATGAGCCAGGCACTGTGCTAGGTATTGGGATATGACAAATAATATCTTATTCTTGAGTAGTTTATATAATACAGGAAGATTACTGCTTTAATGAGGACTCTATGGAAGGCCAGAGATTAAAGAAAAAAAGATCACTCTGCTCTGTCTGTATGATAAACAAATCTTTGACTGTGGCTTCATAAAAACGTTACTCTAAAAAAGTAAAAAAACAGAAATATAAACACACAACAAACCCATAAATAAACAGCTCTCTTTGGGAAAGGTAAGACAACTTCAGGATTGCAGGCCATGGCCTTGGTGGAGCTAAAAGGTGTGTTCCCAGAGCCACAGTTCTGTGCCTTCTCTTATACACAGCAAGAATCAAATTAGAACAAGTGAATTATTTGTGTCTGCATCTGGCCCTTTTGTTCTGGTACAGAATTAAGAAAATCAAAGACACTGGATTGCCAGATAATAAGCAGTTTCTTTTATCTGTAAATTGAATTTACTTTTCCAAGTTTTATGCTTATTTTATGTTAAATATGTGCTTGATAAACAAAATATGGTATACTTTTTTTAATTAACACTTTTTTAAAAAGGACCTACTACTAACAGGGAAATAGCTTATTTTTCTTCAATGAAAAAGCTAAGGCAGTAAAAAGGGTACCTACAAAATAAAAAGCGCTATTATAATGGGAAATATTTTAGATGTACATGTATTCATTCACTTATTCACAAATTCAACCAACATTGATTACTTGCTATGTGCCAGATACTGTACCTGTGGAACATACCTTTGATTTATGTGCTTGATGAATAATCTTTAGTGCATCTGAAAGAAAAAAGCAAGTTATCTTTTTACACAGTTTATTCTAAACTTCTTTTCAAATTATTAAAATGGGTGGAGGGTGGCTACGAAATTGAGAAATGTAAGTCCTTGTTTTATAACCAGACTCATTTAGAAATATACTATACAGCAAAAGAAAAATTACTTCTGTAGATCATTAAAACTGAAGTAAAAGATCTTTATCTTTTAAAGCCTTGGTCTTTGACACACAGCAGTGTGTGTGTCAGAACTTTTTGTCAACTCAGCACATTTTTTCTTAGAATGGAAGACAAGCAAATCAGATTACTGTACCTTGTTTTTTTGGAGTCAATACAGAACAGGATTAGCAAATAATGTAAAAAAAAAAGTCTTAAAATAGACATTAGCAAATGCAGTTCAAAAAAATCTATTCAGATGAGATATAATGACAAGAGAGCAAATGATGATACAGGTGTTGCCACTCTCAGTATTCAAACACTGTATCTAGGACCACCGGGAATCTGAGCAAGGCTGCTAATGCCCCAGGAATATCACTATCTGTCTCTTGGTTTGCAAATACTGCACAGGCTCACACCATTTCATCTGCTCTATTCAAACCCAACTTCACTCCTTAATTTGTTTATCTTGAAGTCAGGCTACACTGTGCACTTCCAGTAAGTAATTTCTCCACACTTGGGTAAAATTCGAACTCAGCAACAATCAGCCCTTAATTACATAATCTACACAGCCATTCAACAGGTTGAAATTCAGAAAGTTTCCGATTCTTCACTCGTTTTTATTTAAACATTTAATGAATGCATTATGATTACAGTGTATTATTGAATAAACTCCCAAACTTAAACTAAAACTCATTCCTATCAATCACGTTGTAACAAGGAATTCCAACAGTGACAGGAAATGAAAGGATCTATTTTTAAAACAGACCTTATTTAACTATGTTCTCATAATACACAATAAGGTGGCTATCTAGATAAGAACTAGCACTCTGAATTTGCCCATTATTTTAAATAGTCAACTTTCAGTTATCTATTGCAATTTTTTTTTTTTTTTGAGACGGAGTCTTGCTCTGTCGCCTTGGCTGCAGTACAGCAGCATGATCTCAGCTCACTACAAGCTCCACCTCCCAAGTTCAAGCAATTCGCCTGCCTCAGCCTCCCGAGCAGCTGGGATTACAGGCTCCCACCACCACACCTAGCTAATTTTTGCATTTTTAGTAAAGACAGGGTTTCACCATGTTGGCTAGGTCTCGAACTCCTGACCTCAGGTGATCTGCCCTCCTCAGCTTCCAAAGTGCTGGGATTACAGGCATGATCCACTGCATCTGGCCTTGTAATTTTTTATACAAGGTCAACATAATCCTCAGTAACTCTGTATTCCTAAGAAATAAAAATAAATCTAACCTAAGTAAAATATGCATATTAGGGATGTAAATAAACCATAATTGCTAAAAATAAGCTTAAAATGTGTGTAAGAAAATAAACAAAGTTGACTTTCAGCTTATCTAGTATTCCAAATTACCTATCATGTCCTTTTTCTTACTATAGATATGTTTATTATTTGAGACAAGTGAGAGAAGCCAATAGTATTTTTAAAATAACAGGAGCTCAAAGTCTGTTGCAATCAACCTGCAAAACTATAGTCTGACCTTACTAAATATTAATCCTGTTCTATATATTTTGCTAATGAGCCTTTAAACTAGAAATCCTGCTGCTCTAATAGGTTTGGCAAACACACAATTAAACGGCTACATATTTTAGCAGAAAAAGAAATGTTTTGAAGAGAAGTTTTTGCCAGATTTTTCTCTCCAACAGAAAGGGGTGTGACCTGAGGAGTGGGTAAGAAAGGAGAAATGACAAACCAGCAGAGAGATGTATTACTGTCCCTTTCTGTGTTGAATAAGCTGCTTCCCTTGTTCTTGCTTCTTTCAAATAATCCTCATAATTATCACAAACAATACCTGTGGGCATTGTTTTCTTAATACAAATTCCTTGAGGAAAGCAACCTCATAAAAATATCATCTTGTATTTGTGGAGCATCACACACAGCTTTATGAAACAGAGAGGGATGAGCAGCCCACACTGTACAACAACTACATTCTTGTGTGCCCTCATGGGTCATGTCTAGGCGATAGGGATTTAAGATAAGTAGCATGCGTGGTAAATCAATAATAGATGTGGATGCCAATTAAATGGGAGGAGGGCTCTGAGATATCTCAGGCTCTTGGTGGCAGAGAGAATCAGCCCTTTGCCAAAGGGTAGGGAGACAGTGACTGGCAAAACTGAAATCTGACTCCACACTCTTTCCACTCCCGAATACCTAACAAAGTGCCCTGTCCCGCAGACCGTGAGGTGGCAGTCCCGGATGACAATGACAGGTGAAAATAACACTGCAGCCTTTCTTGTTCAACAGAAAGCAGAAGATTGTTAAACAGCCAAGTTCAGACAAAGCCACTTGAAGTCTATCAAAACTCGAGTGGTTCTATAATTTCTTCACAAATAAATGTATTCATTTTTTCTGCCAATTCATCTGAATAGTATAGAAATACTAGGGCAGAAGGAAGTTAATAAGATAGAATAGTCTAAAAGGTACATTATCTACCACAATAATGCTTAGCAACTTGGATATTCTAACGCTTTCATTATCTAAAATTTCTTTCAAAAGAACTTACATGGAACACAGCTTTGCACATAGACATATAGATACACACATACACACACACCATGAAAAAAGGAAACCATATGTAACTATTCTAATTTAAAATGGCATCTGTAAGTTGATTCAAGTTTAAGGCTATATTTCAAGACATTATACTTTGAAAGCCTTGAAAGCCACAATTGAGAAGTTTCATATTTACCTTAATCATCCTTTTTATTCCTTTATCTTATTCAATATTGAGTATGTAAATTCTTTAAGCCCAATAAATCAAAGTACTTTCCACTCAGTGCCTTCAACTTCTGCTTCACTACCCCTTATAACCTCACAATTAGTTTCTGGATATTAAAATGCATACACACGGCGAAGATTGTGATTTCAAAGGATTTTAGGTCATAAGTTGTTCTATCAAATGAGAACAGAATGAAAAGCCACTCCAAAAAAAAATCTAAGGTAATAAAAAATTTATACTTTAAAATGTCTGCACCAATTAAGAGAAATATTTATTAGGTGCATCATACCTTTCAAATGAAGTCTCAAATTCAAAGTTTGGTGAGTGTCACTCTGCTGAAGGTTAATAACTGTGCCATCTTTATAACAAATAATGAATGACAACATCTAGCTTCTTACCTTATTACTCCATTTTTAAATCATCAATTGTAACACATAAAACTACTATATAACATGCTCAAATTATTGGCATTTAAAATGTTAAATCCCTTCTTTTAATTCTTAGTCTTCAATCATTTTTCCTTTTCTAATTACCTGGCAGAGAAACTCGTTTTAAACACAGTTTTGGCAAACATGCTACTCTTTGCAAATACGCCACTTCCTTACTATTACAATTCATTTCAGCAATATACTAGCATTCCTGTATTTCTAAATAAACTTCCAAATTGGTTTTTATTTACAGATAGTCATTTTTGAAAACAAAATTTAAGTTTGTAACAAACTAATGCAAAATTGTATTTATATATATTTTAAAAGAATAAAAAAATGGTTACCATATTTATAATTTCTGAATGGTGGTGGCAGGTTGGTCCTTAAAGGGATATCTACAAGAGAAAGATTATTTTTTTACACAATAAGCAAATAGACACTCATAGAATATGCACAGTCTTTTGGTTCTATTCTTTTCTATCTACAGACTAAGTTACCTTGAAAAACCTGACAGAACACAGAATAAATACATCACCGAAATCCAAGGGCCATCTATATTAGTCCATTCTCATACCACTATAAAGAAATACCCAAGACTAGGTAATCTATTAAAAAAAATGTTTAATGGACTGGGGAGGCCTCACAATCATGGCAGGTGAAAGAGGAGCAAAGGCACATCTAACATGGCGCCAGGCAAGAGGGTCTGTGCATGGGAACTGCCCTTTATAAAACCATCAGATCTCACGACACTTATTCACTACCGTAAGAACAGCATGGGAAAAACCCACCCCCATGATTCAATTCTCTCCCACCAGGTCCCTCCCCTGACAGGTGGGGATTATGGGAGCTACAATGCAAGATGAGATTTGGGTAGGGATACGGCCAAAGCATATCACCATCTAAAATATTAGAGCTATTGACAAGATGTTGAGTTGTTACTATCTGAACTAAGACTTCAGTAACACTATTAAAAGAATGTTTAATTTCATTAGACAACAGTATCTATGTATAGTTAAAATATATACTAATACACTTGTGTGAGACATATATATATATATATAGCTGATGTTTGTTTAGCATATGAATCTGAGAGCCCCTTATGGGTCTTTGGCCATTAGTGGAAACCAATGATCTAGAACAATCTTATTACTCCACCAAAATTCATATAACCAACAAAATAACTCCTCTAACTCCTCAAAGACAACAAAACACAGTAAATATTCTTTTAAAAACATATTCCAAATGCCAGTACTAATTTTAATTAATATCTGCTGGTACAACACCTAACAGAGAAATGTGTGTATATATGTGTATATATATATATATCTCAAAATTACATATGCACATACTCCTTGACCTAGCCATTCCACTTCAGAATCAATGAGTGAATGAACGAATTTATTGATTAACTGATTGACACAGGGTCTCATTTTGCTGCCCAGACTGGAGTGTAGTGGAACAAACATGGCTCACTGCAGCCTCGACCTCCCAGACTCAAGTGATCCCCCTGCATCAACCCCCCAAGTAGCTGGGATTACAGGTGCATGCCACCGCACCCAGCAATTTTTTGTATTTTTTTGTGGAGATGGGGTTTTGTCATGTTGCCCAGGCTGGTCTCAAACTCCTGAACTTAAGCAATCTGCCCACCTTGGCCTCCCAAAGTGCTGGGATTACAGGCATGAGCTACTATGCCCAGCCGGAAATTTATTATCATAGAACTATACTACACACGAGTGTGTGTAAAATGACATTCATAGAAGGGTATTAACTGCAGCATTGCTCACAGCAGCAAATGTTAGGAAAAGTCCAAATGTCCTTCAATTAGGTACTCGTTAAGTAAATCATAATATGCCCAAACAATGAAAAATACTTTTCAACTGTTAAAAGAAAAAGAAGGAAGCTCTCTACTAACATGATAAGATCTTCAAGTTACATCAAGGCTAAAGAGATATGAGAGAACATTATTTTTAGGAAGCTACCTTTTGAGTAAAAAGGGGGTAAAATGAGAATTTATGGTGGGATTTGCTTGTACTTGCTGAGTGGGGGGTGGGGAGGGCAGGGGGGTGCTGCACTGGTCAGACAGAGACCAGAAGGGTAAAGGAGACTTTTCACTATATTCCTTTCCACATTTTGATCTTAAAACCACATGAATGTGTTACCTACTAAAGAAAAGTAAAACAAACAAAAAATATCCACGTATCTAAATTAGGAAATGTGAAGGTTTTTGAGACAGGGTCTTGCTCTGTTGCCCAGGCTAGAGTGCAGGGATGTGATTATACTCACAGTAGCCTTGACCTCCTGGGCCCAAGCGATCCTCCCACCTCAGCCTCCCAAGTAGCTGGGACTACAGGCGCTCAGCACCATGCCCATAGTCCCGGCATTTTTTTTTTTTTTAATAGACAGGTTTCACTAGGTTGCCCAGGCTGATCTAAAATTCCTGGGCTCAAGCAATCCTCTCACCTCGCCCCGAAAGTGCTGGGATTACAGGCATGAGCCACTACACCTGGTCAGGAAATGTGGGTTTTTTTAAAATGCTTTTTCAAGATCAAATACGTATCAAATTAAAATATAATTGATTAATTTATGTTACAAGCATTTAAAGCACCTACTACCAGGTATTCCAGGAACAGAGTAAAAGAGGAGCTGCCCACTCATGACAGCGTGTGCTCCAGTGGTGAATGCTGTAACAAAAGTACGTTTCCAGCCAGTGCTATGGTCCTAGGAGTGTGGTCCTCACCCCGGCTGCACGTCAGGATCACCCAGCCTGGCACGAGTGGATCTGACTCACGGTAGGCTGGTCCCAGGCAGAGATATTTAAACACAAAACAAAACAAAACAAAACAAAAAAAACCCTGAGATGATTCGTACTCAAATTCACCCAGAGGCCAGACAGGTGACAACAGGTAAGTGAAGCAGGTCAAACAAGGAGGGGCAGTGAGATCTGAGAGCATGCGCCCATCAAAGGGGGCTCTGCCAGTCAGTGCTGACTGATCACAGTGCTGTAGGAACATGAGCCTGGAGTGGCCACACCTAAAGATTTAAATGGCAATGCTACAAGTCTAGGGTTTTAGGTGAAATTTCTTGACTTTTAAAACACTATAGGCCAAAAGAAACCTCTCTGGAGGCAGGATTTGCCTGCCAGATACCAATTTGAAACCTCTGGCTTAGGCTTACCAGAGCATATGTACTTCATTTTATTCTTCTTGTGTCTCCATTATTTGTGAATTATGGGCCAAAGCAGTATTCATTCAACATCAGAAAGGAGAATTAATTCCATTTAATGTATTGACATTTATATTTCCTGAATTAGACAATGAAACTCCCTGAAGAAAGCCGTGAGGTGAAGAACAGATGGCCCCATGAAGCTATTATCATTTAGAGATGTCTACGACTGAAGAAATCAAATCAGTCTTATGTTCAATCCAGACTTCTGAGAGAAGAGACAACGACCAGGACACAGCGAGCACCTATTCTCTTCCTGCCTTTACATCTTAACTGAAGTGCCATCTCCTCTGACAACCCTTCTAAAGCGGGGGTCTTCTCTGATATTGTTTCCTTCATAACAGGTTTTACAATTATAGTTTTGTCTTTTAACTTATTTTTGTCACTATTTCCTATGAATTTATAAATTCCTCGGGATGAAAACGTGGGCTGTCCTCTCAAAACCTAGGACCATGTCCGGCCCATAACAAATTATCACAAACTGCTTCCATGAGGGCAGGGACCACAGCCTGTTTTCTTCATTGTGTTGTCAGAACCTAAAATAGTGCCTGGTACACAGCATGTGCTCAAAATATTCATGAAAGAATACATATAATTTAATGCCTACAGTTGCCAGTGGAGAACACTGAGGTCTCAAGAAGTGCCTGGTCAGCCCAAGGTGTCAAGAGCTGGGACCAGAACCCTGCCCTCTCGACTCCCCTCCTGCAGCACTGAGAAGGGTGGGAACTAAAGCAGTTACCTTCCACAGTGGCAGAAAGACAGATTAGACATTAGACACACTCCAGTGAGATAAGAGCTTTAACCAAAATACATATAAAGATGCCTGCAAAGGAACTGGAAAAAAACAAACATGTTCTTTATGCTAAAGGTCATTTTTAATCTTGCGCTATTACAAATAAAGCTGGGAACATTCACATGGAGGAAATTACTTTCATTCTCACAGGCACATACTGTCATTCCACCTAGAAGTGGAATGGCTGGATCATACAATAGGTATATGTTTAGCTTTCTAAGAAATTGGTGGCCGAGTGCAGGGGCTCACACCTGGAATCCCAGCACTTTGGGAGTTCAAGGCAGGAGGATCGCTTAAGTCCGGGAGTTCAAGACCAGCCTGGACAACATAGCGAGACCCTGTCTCTACAAAAATAAAAATTAAAAAAAGACACACCTGCAATCCCAGCACTTTGGGAGGCCGAGGCGGTTGGGCCACCTGAGGTCAAGAGTTCGAGACCAGCCTGACCAACATAGTGAAACCCCATCTCTACTAAAAATACAAAAATTAGCCAGGCGTGGTGGCGGGTGCCTGTATTCCCAGCTACTCAGGAGGCTGAGACATGAGAATCGCTTGAACCCAGGAGGCAGCGGTTGCGGTGAGCCGAGATCTTGCCATTGTACTCCAGCCTGGGCGACAGAGCAAGACTGTCTCAAAAAAAAAAAAAAAAAAAAAAAGACATGATGATGTCTGTAGTCCCAGCTACTCAGGAGGCTGAAGCAGGAGAATCACTTGACCCATGAGTTAAGGCTGCAGTGAGCTATGGTTGCACCACTGCACTCTAGCCTAGGGGAGACAGAGCAACACTGCCTCCAAAAAAAGGAAAGAAATGATAAATCATTTTCCAGAGTGGCTGTTCCTTTTAATATTCCCACTAGTGGTATATGAGAGTTCCAATTCTTCCACATCCTAGCCAAAACTTCCTATGGTTACTCCTTTTAATTTCAGTCATTCTTATGGATGTGTTGTGTAATCTCATTGTGGTTTTAATTTCCATTTCACTAAAGACTAATGATGAGTATTAATTAATGTGCTTATCTGCCATACATACGTCTTCTTTAGTGAAGTGTCCGTTCAAATATTTTGCCCACTTTTAATTGTGTTGTGTGTCTTATTATTGAGTTATAAGAGGTTTTGGTTTTGGTTTTAATTCTTATTATTCTAGATAATAGTTCCTAATAGTTCCTTGTTGGATGTATGTTTTACAAATATCTTCTCCACATCTGTGGTTTGGTTTTTCATTTTTTTAGTATATTTTGAAAAGGAAAAGTTTTTAATTTTGCTAAAGCCCAATTGATTTTTGCTTTTATAGTTTATGCTTATTGTGCTGTATTTAAGAAACTTTTACCAAAATCAAAGTCTCTAAGGTTTGTTGCTGTTTTCTTCTAGATGTTTTATAGTTTTACCTTTTACATTTAGTTCTTGGCCAATTTTGAGTTATTTTTGTATATGGTAGGAGGTAAGCATTGAGGTTCATTTATTTGCATATGGCTATCCAATTGTCCTAATACCTTGCTTGGGAAAATTACACTCTCCTCAAAAATACCTTGAGCAAAAATCAATTTAACACATCTGTGTGTCTGTCTCTGGACTCCGCTTCCATTAACGTATATGTTTATCTACACACCAGTATCACATATGCAGTACTTGATTACTATAGTTTTATAGCAGTAAGTCATGAAATAAGGTAGTGTAATTTCTTCAACTTTTTTCCTTCTTTTTGTGAGTTATGACGATTTTAGGTCTTTTGCCTTTCCTTACAAATTTTAGAATAAGTTTGGTATTATCTGAAAGGAAAAAAAAAAGCCTGCCAGAATTTTGATTAGAACTGGAATCAATACCACAGTTTGAGGACACATGACATCTTAACAGTTTTGAGTTTTCTGATCCATGAACACAGTATACCTCTCCATTTACTTAGGTCTCTAAATTTCTCTCAGTGATATTTAAAGTTTTTAGAGTAAAAGTCTTACACTTCTACCAAATGTATCCTAAGTATTTCAGGTTTTTTGATGTTTTATCATTTTTTTTTCAGTTTCCCACTGTATATTGCTTGTAACTAGAAATACAATTAATTCTTGTACACTGATCTTATATCTTAATATCTTATAACCTTGCTAAGCTCAGTTTGTAAGTTCTGGTAGCATTTGTATAGATTTCATAGGATTTTCTGCATAGATAATCATATTGCCTGTGAATAATGACAGTTTCACGTCCTCCTTTCAAACAGGGTTGCCTGTTACTTCATTTTCTTGCCTTAATGAACTGGCTAGAACTCCAGTACAATGTTGAATAGCAGTGATGATGAACAGATGTCCCTGCTTCCTTATTTTAGGAGGAAAGCACTCAGTCTTTCACCATTAAGCATGATGTTAGGCAACAGTTTTTCATACTCTTCATCAGGTAGAGGAAGTTCCTTTTTATTCCTAGCTTGAAAAGAGTTTTTAGCAGGAATGGATTTTGGATTCTGTCTTCAATTAAAATAATCTTATAGTTTTCTTTTCTTTACTATTAATATGATGAATTACATGGATTTTTTTTTTTTTTTTTTTTTTTTTTGGTGGAACCAGCATTGCATTCTTAGGATAAACCCTACATGGTCATTGATATAGTTTGGATGTTTTGTCCCCTCCAAATCTCATGTTGACATGTAACCTCCAAAGTTGGCGATGAGCCTAGTGAGAGGTGTTTGGGTCACGGGGGTAGATCCCTCACAAATGGGTTGGTGCTCTCCATGCTATAATGGGTGCGTTCCTCCTCTATTAGTTCACGTGAGATCCGGCTGTTTAAAAAGAGCCTGATATCTTCTCCCTCTCTCTCTCTCTTGCTTCCTCTCTCATATGGCATGCTATGTGGCATGCTGACTTCCCTTTGCCTTCCACCATGGTAGTAAGCTTCTTGAGGCCCTCACCAGAAGCACATGCCAGCACTAAGCTTTGGGTATGGCTTACAGAACCGAGAGTCAAATAAATCTCTTTTCTTTATAAATTACCCAGCTTCAGGTATTCCTTTATAGCAATGCAAACAGACTAACAGAGTCATAATGTATTATCCTTTTTAAATATTGTTGGATTTGATTTACTAAAGTTTGGGCAAGAATTTTTACATCTCCATTCATGATGGATATTGGCTGGTAGCTTTATTTTCTTTCAACAACTTTTTCTGGTTTGGTATCAGGGTAAGGATGACCTCAGAGAATGAGTTGAAAAATATTCTGCCCCCCTCCTTTTTTTTTTCTTAAGAGACAGTATCTCGCTATGTTGCTTGGGTTGTTCTCAAACTTCTGGCCTCAAGAGAACCTCCTGCCTCAGCCTCCTATATAGCTGGGATTAGAGGCAAGAACTATCGTGCCTGGCTCCCATCCTTCTTCTGGAAGAATCTCTGTAGAATTGAGATTATTTCTTTCTTAAAAATATGGTAGAATGTACCAGTGAAACCATCTGGGCCTGGAGTTTTCTTTGTGGAAGTATTTTTTAACCATAATTCCTTTTAAAATACAGAGTTGTTCATGCCGTTTCTTTTTTAGTGAGCTTTGATAGTTTGGGTCTTTGAAGCAATTTGTCCTCTTTATCTAGGATACTGTACTTATTAGCATTAAATTGTTAAGAATATTCCTTTATTATTCTTTTAATATCTGCAGAAAGTCTGTAGTGATATGACAACTGTCACTCCTGATACTGGTAACTTGTATCTTCTCTATTTCCTGATCAGTCTGGCTAGAGTTTACTCAATTTTATTGATCTCCAAGAATCAACTTTGACTGTTATGGATTTTCTCTATGGTTTTTCTATTTTCTGCTGTGATCATTATTATTTCTTTTATTCTGATTATTTTAGGTTTCATTTGCTTTTCTGTTTCTAGTTTCTTAACATAAAGACTGAAATCATTGATTTGAAACCTTTTTTAATATTTAGGTGTTTTAGTACTATAGACTTTCTTTTAAATACTATTTTACATGCATCCCACAAAATTTGAAAAGTTGTATATTCATTTCCACTCAGTTCAAAATACCTTCCCTTTTGATCTCTGCTTTGACCCTTAGGCTATTTAGAAGTGTGTTATTTGGTTTCCAAATATTTGGAGATTTTTCCAGAGATCTTTCTGTTATTGATTTCTAATCTAATTCCATTATGGCCAGAAAATAGACACTGTCTAATTTGAATCCTTTAAAATCGATTAAGACTTGTTTTATAATATGAAATCTGGACTATTCATAAACGCTCCATGTGCATTTGAAGGAAATGTGTAAATTCCACTATTGTTGGAAGCAAGATTCTATAGATGTCAATTCAGTTGATTGGGTTGCTAGTGTTTTTAAGTTCTCTTGATCCTTACTGATTTTCTATTTGTTCCATTCCTCTATTTCTTCCTGCAGTTCTATGAGTTTTTACTTCATTTATTTTGAAATTCTGTTGTTAGGTGCATCGTTATGTCCTCTCAGTTGATGCCTTTATCATTATGAAGTGATAGTTTTATCCCTAGTAATATTTTGCTCTAAAATCTACTTCATCTGATACTAATACAGTCCCTCCACTTTTCTTTGGATTCATATCAGCATGGTATAACTTTCTCATCCTTCTATTCTTACTTGATTTTTATCTTTAAAGTACATTTCTTGTAGGTAACATATAATTGGGACTTCCTATTATATGTCTGTCTTTTAATTGGGGTATTTAGACCATTTACTTTCAATGTGATTATTGATATGGTTAAAGTTTGCTATTCTTTTAAATTTGTTCTCTATTTCCTCTTTTTCTATCTTCTTTTGGATTGTCTATTTGACAATATTTTATGATTCCATTTTATCTCTTTTTTTAGCTCATTAGCTGTAACCCTTAGATTGTGGGGTTGGGAGGCAGGAGTTGCTTTGAGGTTTACAGTAAACATCTTTATCGGTCTACCTCCAAATGATACTATAACACTTTGTAATAGCAAAAGATTCTTCCATTTCTCCTCTGCTGGCCTTTGTGCTACTGCTGTCATAAATTTCCCACAAAACCCACAATACGTTGTTGTTGTGTTTCTTTAAATGGTCAAATATTTTTTTTAATTATTTTCAAAATAAGAAAAAATATTTTATATTTATTATATTTACCATTTCCAGTACTCTCTATTTCTCTGTGTGCATCCAGATTTATATCTGGTATCATTTTCCTTATGCCTGAAGAAGGTCTTCCAACATTTCTTACAGTGCAGATCTCCAGGTGATGAACTCTTTCAGCTTTGGTATGTCTGAAAACATCTTCATGTTGGCTTCATTCCTTAACTGCTTTAAAGAAGTTACTCCAGGCCAGACACAGTGGCTCACATCTGTAATCTCAGCACTTTGGGAGGCTGAGGAGGGCAGACCACTTGAGGTCAGGATTTCGAGACCAGCCTGGCCAGCATGGTGAAACCCCATCTCTACTAAAAATACGAAAAAAATTAGCTGGGCGTGGTGGCACATGCCTGTAGTCCCAGCTACTTGGGAGGCTGAGGCAGGAGAATCGCTTGAACCTAGGAGGCAGAGGTTGCAGTGAGCCAAGATCATGCCACTGCACTCTCCATCTCAAAAAAAAAAAAAAAATGTTAATCCAGTATCTTCTTTCTGGCACACACTGATTCTGATGAGAAGTTGGCTGTCAATTTCATCTTTGTTCCTTTTTATGTAATGTGTTCTTTTTTCTCTTGCTGTTTTTAAGATTTTTTTTCTTTACCACCAGTTAAGCAGTTAGATTATGGTATGCCTTGGTGTGGCTTTCTTCATGTTTCTTTTGCTTGGGATTTGTTGAACTGCTGGGAAATGTGAGTCTCTAGTTTTCATCATATTTGTAAAATTTTCAATCATTATTTCTTCAAATATATCTTCTGTCCCCCGTCCCTCTCTCCTTCACTATCTCCAATTACATGTATATTTGGCTACTAGAAGTTGTCCCATACCTCCCCACTGCTTTATTTTTTCCAGTCTTTTCCTGTGTTTCATTTTAGATTGTTTTGTTGCTATGTTTTCAAGTTGACTAATTTTTTTCTCCGCAGCATCTAATCTGCAGGCTAATCCTGTCCAGTGTATACCCATCTCAGACAATATTTTCAATTCAGGTATTTTTAAATATCTTCCATTGCTAACATGCTCAATCTTTCCTCTAGCTTCTCGAACATTTTGCAATATGGTCATAATTATCTCCATCATCTTTGTTTACTAATTTTATCACCTGCAATATTTCTGGGTTGGTTTCAATAGACTGATTTTTTTTTTCTGCTCATTATGGGTCATACTTTTTTGCTTCTTTGCATGCCTGTTAAGTTCTGATTTGATGCTAGACACCGTAAATTTTATCTTGTTGGGTGCTGGATATTTCTGTATTCCTGTAAGCTTTCTTGAGCTTTCTTCTGCAACACAGTTAAATTACTTGGAAACAATCTGATCCTTTCAAGTTGTGCTTCTGAACTTTGTTAGGTGGGACCAGGACAGAATTCAGTCTACAGCTAATTTTGCTCTACTACTGCAGCAACACCCTTCTGGATACTCTGCCCGATAACCTGTGAATAACAAGGTTTCCACTCCAACAGGTGGAATAAAAACTATTCCCAGCCCTGTAGGAGCTCCGAGCATTTCTCATTCTACTAGTTTTAGGTGGTTCTTTCCCAGGCTTCCAGTGGTTTCTTTACTTGCTTGCACTGATCCATACACAACTGAAGACTCACACTCTGCATATCTTCAAAGATCCTCTGCAAATCTTCAGAGCTCCCCATCTCTCTGTGCAGCTCTCTATATCCCTGTACTCTGCCCTGTGAACTCTCCAGGGTCCACTCCAGACTGCCAGCTCTGACTCCTAAACTCATGGAACCCACCAGCTTTGCCTGAATTCCCTCTCCCCGCCCTGTGGCCTGGAAAGTGGCACAATCATAGGGGTCACCATGTCTGTTTCCCCAATCCCAGGGAAATGATTGTTTTATATATTATACATAGTTTTTTTAGTTGTTTAATGTAGAAGAGCAAGCCTGGTACCCTGGTCCCACTCCATCTTGGCTGAAAGCAAAAGTTTATGACGTATCTATTATATTCTGAAAATTATTTCCCACTTTGCACTGCGTTTTTCTTTCATTTTATGTTTTCCCACCTTTGAACTTAAGACTTCAGAATGTTGCAAAAACTAATTTAATATTTCATTAATAGAAAGGAAGGTCACGAGAAGGTAACCACTAACTTTTCTCATACAATTAAGTCTCCATAAAAAAAAAATCAGTGGAAAAATTTAGGCAACTTAACAAATATACTACTGAAAATTACAATGCCCCAGGGGAGTCTGAAATGTTAAAACACACATTTCAATACAAAAATCAATAAAGTCTAGAAAACCATTGAAATATCAAGAGGCAATAAAATAATTCTTTGCCTCACAGTAAAGGCTCTAAAAATAGAAGTGGTACAATTTGTAACTTATTATTGGATGCTGGATCTACATTAGAAGACCTTTGAGAAAGCATAAACACCTAAAGGAAAAAAAAAATAAAACTAAGCCAATGACTAATCTATATGGACAAAGAATACCAAACACCTAATAATCAAAACTATGCACCAACATTCAAACCTGATAAGGTATCCTTATCAGATATGATGGTAAGATTCAAAGGTTAAGCTATATGCTTTTTACTTTAATTATAAAATAATCTAAATTATAGAAAAGCACAGAGTAGAACAAAAAATTCACTTAACCCACCAACCAGATTTTACAAATGTTAACATGTAGTCATATTACTATAGATCCTTTATTATTTTTTTTAACTAAGTAAAACAATCTGGATGCAGCTAAAGCCTTTCTATCTTTTGCCAGTCCCACTGTTACTCCCTTCCTAGAAGAAACCACCTGCCATCCCTAGGTTAGCACACCCGCTCTGTTGTTTTACTCTCGTTCCAAAGACTAATAGCCAGGGATGATAAAAATAGTTTTGTTTTGTTTTGTTTGAGTCAGGGTCTTTCTCTGTTGCCCAGACTGGAGTGCAGTGGCACAATCAAGGCTCACTGCAGCCTCGACCTCCCAGGCTCAAGCAATCCTCCCATCTCAGCCTCCCAAGTAACTGGGCTACAGGCATGCACTACAAAGCCAGGCCAATGTTTTTACATTTTTAGTACAGATGAGGGTCTTGCTATGTTGCTCAGGCTGGTCTCGAACTCCTGCATTCAAGTGATCCTCCCGCTTTGGCCTCCCAAAGTGCTGGGATTACGGTGTGAGCCACCACGCCAGGCCAAGTATTATTTTGTGTATTAAAATTATAAAGTACTTAAATTAAAGAATGCGCAGCACATCCTGTAGTAGAGTAGTAAAAACAACAAAGCATTGCCTTAACAGTATGTTGAAGGAACTGCCTCACGTGATAAGGCAATAATACATTATGACTGTGCTGCAGCCACATTATTGTATTCCTTTCAAAAAAAGAGAGGCTTCAAGGGACGGGTTCTCTACAGAAGAGTGCCAGATAATACATGTAGAGATAATCATAGAATTAGAAAAATCACAATTTTTCAACCACCAATGATTCAGATAAGGATCATCAATAAATGCTAAAACCATAAGAAACAAGATATGTAAATGGTCTCAATGTTGATCACTCCATAGACTACTTATAAATTAGAAAGACACTTTAACATCAGGAAAATCTGGTGGATGGCACCTTTAGCCAAAGGATTTAAATCTGTATCACCAATGAAGGCATAAACTGACATTCAGTGTTTCCTGATGTGATGCAACAAGGAGGAATCACCTACATCAAGGCCAGCAAACTAGTTTGGTAAAGGCCAGCGAGTCAGCATTTTAGGCTTTGTGGGCCAGTCTCTGTCTCTGCGACAGTCTGTCACAACTATTCAACTCTACTACTAAATCACAAAAGTGGTACATATATGGTCCACAGACTGTTGTTTGTTAACCCCTGACCTACATGGTAATCCTGCCAAAACTGCTTAACCCGAACCTAATCATGAGAAAACAATCTAGACAAATGTAAATTATGTAACATTCTGTAAGACACTGGCCTAAATTTTTCTTTAAGAATCAATATAATGAAAAACAAAAGGTGGGGGATTGTTCCAGATTAATGGAGATTAGAAAGATATGACCTGTCACAAAATGACATGAAGGACCCTTCAATGCGTGTTCAATGCATGTTTCTCTGTTCTTTTTTTCTTTTTTTTTGTACAGATGGGGTCATACTGTGTTGTCCAGTCTGGGCTCAAACTCCGAGGCTCAAGTGATTTTCCTACCTCCACCTTCCAAAGTGTTGGGATTACAGGCATGAGCCACTGTGCCTGACCCCTTCAATGTATATTTCTAAGTAAAAGAAGCCATTCTGAAAAGTCTACATACTGTATGATTCCAATTCAGTGACATTCTGGAAAAGATACAGAGATAAGAACAAAATCAGTAGTTGCCAAGGGTGCAGCATGGGGAGGGAAAGGATAAAGAAGTGAAGCACAGCGGATATTTTAGGCAGTGAAACTATTCTGTACGGCACTGTAAGGGTGGCTACATGACATTACCCATTTGTCAAAAACCCAAAGAACTTTGTAGCACAAAGAGTGAACCTCAATGTATGCAAAGCAAAAAAAAAAAAAAAAAAAAAAAAAGGTCGGGCACAGCGACTCACACCTATAATTCCAGCACTTTGGGAGGCCGAGGCAGCGGACTGCCTGAGTCCAGGAGTTTTGAGACCAGCCTGGGTGGGCAACACAGCAAAACCCCGTCTCTACTAAAAATAAAAAATTAGCCAGGCATGGTGGCATGCATCAGTAGTCCCAGCTACTCAGGAGGCTATGGTGGGAGAATCACCAGGGTCCGGGAGGTTAAGGCTGCAGTGAGCCGAGATGGTGCCACTGCACTCTAGCCTGGGCAACTGGAATGAGACTCTCTCTCAGAAAAAAACAAAATATATATATATATATATTTAAGAAGTCAGAGGATACCAGGAAAGAATGCAGGTGGTGACAAGAGAATCTAATCTATCTGTACTACAAATGCTACAACAACCTTACTGAAGGGAGTAGAAGAAAAAGTGCTGACCTAAATAACTCTGGCAATGAACAGATTTTGTAAGACTACAGTGCTTATGGCGAAAGGACACAAAAGGACTGTATCTAACTGATATCAAGTTGCTTCCCATGGGGATACACTGCTATACCTGTATGCTAGAATTAAACAATTAAATAAATGGATAGCAGATGGTGGGACCACGTTTCTCACTGTTGGTATGGGAATTAACAGATAAGCAAGGAGAGGAAGCTAGAATGACCCACAGGGTAATGGATCAGAGATGGAAAGATCAGTAAGAACTCACGTTTAATGTATTTGTATATAGATCATTACATATAAAAATATTTATAGATATGTACATACGCACAGGTTAATACAGACACATATATTTCTTTGCCTGATCAGCTGAGACAGTTTAAAATAACACTCCTTGGCCTTTAGATATCTACCATAGAAAAAAGAAAGAAAGAAAGAACACTCTAGTAGCAATGAACACATCTAGTACCTAGATCCTGGTTTCTAACACAATTTTCCACTAAAAAAGAACTGAGACTCCTTGGAAATAAAGCTGATTCTAAGAACAGGGCATGTACAAGATGAGTCTGGAGCATCCTGTAGTACCAGAAAGTAAAAGTACTGAACACGTGCACCCATGCACACTGAGGGCATATGTCAGAGGAGCACAGAAGGCAATTGAAAGAGCTCCCAAACCTAGCAAAATCTGAGCAACAAAGTCAAGTCTGCCACACAGAACTCCAAAGGATTTTTGTACATGGTTTATTCTAAAGGAAGGGAAGCATAACTCCCGAGTGTTTAACTGTGATATGAATTCCTTCTGAAAAGTACCATTTGAAAAGGGAAGGAAAAAAGAGTAACTTTACAGTAGAGAAACCTGACATGACTTCAGCCACTTAATCAACGTCAATGTCAATAATCCTAAATGATGTGGAAAGCATACACCTCTGATACTATCTGATAAAATCACTCTGTGCCTCTGTGACCTTCCTCTCAAAAATCCATAAGCCCAGTCTAACCATGAGAAAAACATCAGACTGAACTGGAAGGTTGGACAGAGCTTCCACAGTGTTCTTTTTCATAGTTGGGATGACTTTACATTTGGAAACCAGATCTAAAGTATTAGTAAGAATCGAAATGCTTGCAAATTAAGAATAATTAAAATAATTTTATGTTATCTAGATAATTGGTTTGTCTAGTATTCTGAATCTAAAAAATACAGTCATCTATAGATGGTAATATATTATGATACCTCTATGATCATAATATTTGATTAATATCCATTTCCCAGGCCAGGTACAGTGACTCACACCTGTAATCCCAGCACTTTGGGAGGCTGAGGCAGGCGGATCTCTTGAGATCAGAAGTTTGAGACCAGCCTACCAACATGGTGAAACCCCATCTCTACTAAAAATATAAAATTAGCCAGGCATAGTGGCGCACACCTGTAATCCCAGCTACTCAGGAGGCTGAGGCAGGAGAATCGCTTCAATTCAGGAGCCAGAGGTTGTTAGCCGAGACCACGCCACTGCACTCCAGTCTGGGCAACAGAGCGAGACTCTGTCTCAAAATAAATAAATAAATTTATCATACATCAGAAATAGGTTTATTATATTTATATGTAAATATATACATTTATATTTATTATATTTATATGACTTAAGGTTTTGATGACGTGATGATGCTCTAGGGCTGTGATTCTCAATGGGGAATGAATAAAATTTAACCAAAACTTTTTGGCTGAGGAGAAAATACAAACAATTATGGCAGGTAACTAGGTTAACCTGTGGATGGCAAAACATGACTACGAAAGAAAAGAACATTTAGAAAGCCTTGGGGAGGGAGGAGGATCGAAAAATAAAATTTAATTTAAAAAGAAAGAAAGAAAGGCAATAAAGTGTGTAAAATAACTCCAAGAGATCTTTCTTCACAATGCCCATTTCTGTATCTGTACAAAATTCCCTATGCCACTATGTCAGACAATCTCTTTAGCACTCAGCACTCAAAATGCTAGAGCAAGATGAACTAAATTCAAAGACCCTTTTGACACGGAGTCCATCCATTTATTTCAGAGATCCCACTCAAGCAAGTGAGGCAGTAGAGAAGAATAAAGAAGCAATTTAGTGCAGTGTTTAGTAAGAGTACATGTTTGACACTTAACATGCCTGGGTTGATTTGCAGCTTTGCCTTTTATTACCCATGCAACATCAGGAAAGTTTCATTTATTTATTTATTTATTTATTTATTTTTTGAGACACAGGCTTGCTCTGTGGTCCAGACTAGAGTGCAGTAGTGCAATCAAAGCTCACTGCAGCCTCAACTTCATGGGCTCAAGCGATCTTCCCACCTCAGCCTCCTGAGTGCTGGCACTACAGATGTATGCCACCATGCCCAGCTAGTTTTTTGGGGTTTTGTTTTGTTTTTTTTTTGGAGAGACAGGGTCTTGCTATGTTGCCCTGGCTGGTCTCAAGCTCCTGGGCTCAAGTGATCCTCCCGCCTTAGCCTCCCAAATTGCTGGGATTACAGATGTGAGCCACTGCAGGTGGCCAGGCAAGCTTCTTAACCCCTCTGTTCCTTAGTTTCTTCACCTGTAAAATGGTTCCAACTTTAGAGGGATGCTGTGAGGATGAAATGAGATAATCTAGGTAAAATTCTTAGTATAGTACCTGATACAGAGTAATGTTTGCTATCATTATTATTATTACATATTTCAAAAATCCCTCACTATCAAACTGTTTGGTCTTTGTTATGTACACAATTCATAAAAGGCAAATCTGTGGCCCACCAACCTTTCAGAGTTCCATAGTACCTCAAATCAGATGACAAAGATAGGCTTGGACACAGAGCCCACAACTCAGAAAAGTCTGTACCCCAAAAGTTCACCTTTTAGTCAGTGGAACACATTTCCCTAAGTGCACAATTGAAACAAGCAGTGGCTGTTATTCCCACTGCAGATGAAAGGTGTGAGTAGGTGGGTCTGAGCATCTCACTGTGACCAGTACCACTGCTCTGCTGGGGAAGGTATCTGTGGTACCTGGAAAGAAAAGAACACCGTGACCCTGGAAAAAAGACATCTTCCCCTGCCATTGCAGCAGCTTGAAAATACATCTTATTCTCAAGGACTTCAAGAACCTAGTCTGTACTGTACAAAGAACATCATAGCACTTGCTGTGTCAACATTAAGAAACACTGTAATCCACAATACACACAAAGATTATAAAATAAAAAAGTACGGATTTGTTTCTATTTCAAACTCTGACTATGCTTTGGGTAATGACCTTTCAAAAGCAGGACACTTTCTAATTGACACTGTCAGAGACCAGGAAGTGCCCCCCAAAATATGCCTCTTTAGCTAAGGATTTTTTTTGAGCTAAAGGCAATTAAGCAGCAGCAGATGGAGGAAAGCTCTCGGCCCTCCGTTTGCCTAAAATCAGGACATATAATAGATTTACAAAGAGAAAAGGTATCCTGCCCACCTCTCTCCCAAGGAAAACAAAGGTTAATCACTGAAGACAACTTTAGACCCCTATCAGTCTGGAGACAGCACAAGAGAATCCACATTAACGAGCTTTACTAACTAGCCTTAGTATTCAGTTTCCCACAAGTTGTCACCCTGAGAGATTTAGAGTTCATTTCCTTTGTCTTGTCACTTCTCTAAAATTTTACTGTTCTTTGTTGAGGATGCTACCTAATCTGGGGGAGTGAGGAGAATGAGAGAGAAAGGGGAAGAGGAGAGAGGGGAGAGAGTGAGGAATTGTTTCAAGGTGAGCAGGTCTATGTGAACCTGCCCCAGAAAGTCCGAGGAAACTGAGAGGCTGAAGAAAGAGGCTGACATATTCAGTTTCTTAGAAAGACATATTTAATAGGAACTTACAAACAGAAGCCATGTCTGTGTCTCAGGCTTTGGCAGGACAAGACAAGGGATCCACGCACCACTACCCCCCAGACCCAGGGCTTATATCATAGGGAAAGGGTGATCTGAAGGGATGTGTAGGGCAAGCAAAGTACAATAACATCAAGGTTGCTTGACCTAAGGTCAGGATTTATAGTAAGTACCTGTTCTTACATAGGGAATAGTAGATAACCTGGAAATCTTAGAGGTATCTTGAAACTGGGGCTAATGAGAAGTCAATATGGCAGATCAGTATCCAAGATGGAGTTGCTTTGGCCTCCGCAGGAATAAAACAAACATAGCAAAATGTTAACACAAGGAATCTGTGTGAAGAACATCCAGGAATTCTTTGTCTTGTTCTTGCAACTTGTCTATGAGTTTGAAATCATGTCAAAGTAAAAAAATTACATTGGATATAAAGCAATACCTTTGTCAAAAGCAATGGAACTATACAAGAAATCTGCAGATTGCACCATATGTAAATAACACTTCAATTAAAGTAATGAAACCTTATTTTAGATGTTTTCTCAAAGTTCGATGATTGGAACACTTCAATAATTAAAAATGGAGAAGAGAAACCCATTGAGGACATAACAGAATGAAGACTAACTTCATGCATACTTCTAGTTTGAAACAATCAACTAGCACCGCCGTTTCTGTGTCTGTGACCACAATTATCAGCAGCTCTCATGACTTCCTGCTGTACAGCCTCCGCTCCCCTCCCACCACACTTCCCCATGTGACCACCCCACACCCTCTGTGCTCAGCTGGGTACCACAATCAGCTACACTACACCCGCTTGCTAATCAACCTCCAAATACATAACCCCATTAACAACAAACCTAGATATTACTTTTAATTAAAAAAAAAAAAAAAGAAGCCAAAAATGACGGTCACAATCCCTCATGAGGACACAGACTATTCAGTGAGAATCCTTGAGGGAGGCCCTCTGCAGATGCCAGGGCCCAGAACCGGGGCTCGCCCAGCACCTGGCTTGGAACCCAGGTTAATCTTTCAAAGTACTTTAGGATTTGTTAAAGATTATTATTAATGTCATAGTCAGCTATTTTTAAAAACTACTAGTAAAACAAAATGGCTTTCACATCTCATACCTTGCTTTAGAAATACGATAAATTCCTTTACAGTTTGGTCCAAATTCACTCCGTGATACACTACAGGTTTGAAATTGCGATGTTCAAAGGAACGGATGAGGCGAACTGTGATGGTCACTT
The DNA here is from genome assembly GCF_000001405.40 of Homo sapiens. Lineage (NCBI taxonomy): Eukaryota > Metazoa > Chordata > Mammalia > Primates > Hominidae > Homo > Homo sapiens. The sequence goes on from NC_000002.12 coordinate 119,339,947, forward strand.
CTCCAGGAGCCATGTGAAGAAATTCCTGTGGCAAGAGACATGAGAACCATCTAAATGAAGCCAGCTCACAGTTGTCTACCAGCACCTAGCCTGCATCTCTATCAGCTCTCTGGCACCAGCCCCGCTCTTCCATGCTGCATGATCACTGACAGAGTTCCCAAACAGAAGCCAGGTTCCAGAGTCCCCAGAAGGGTCCCAGTGATTATACCCACCTATCCACTGCAATCCTGGACAGCTCTGTCACAGTCACAGATGTTCTGACCAGCAGAAAACTGACAGAGTACAGAAGATGAACCAAAGTAACACAGGGGCATGTGTACGTGTGGAAACAGAGAAGCAGGACGGCCGAACACAAACACACAGCAGACACACGCCTATTGTGGGTGCCCTATGTCCGTGGGCCCCTCAGCTGGCCCTGAGATGGAAGCACATTTACATTAGAATCAACTATCAACAGACAGCATTTCAATTTCATAAATGCTGCCAGATTTCAGGGCTTATTTAATTATATACGATGGTGTTACCGTCTTTCACATTACTAAAGCTGAGTATGTATAGTTCATCCTAAAACTAAGTACTAGGCACATGTACCAGGTCTTAATGTTATCTCATTTAATTCATTTAATTCTCTAAACAAAACATGAAGCATTTTGCCTCATGGTTTCGTGAGAGAATTAAATGAGATAACATTTTAAAGATGAGAAGACTGACTTGGAGAGATTGCATAAACTGCCCAAAATCATGAAGCTGGTAAATGATGGAGTCAGGATTCAAGCATCAATTTAATTGCAAAGTTCATGCTTTCTAATACACACACACACACACACACACACACACACACACACACACACACACAAATTGGAAAACCACCCCAAATTATTTCCTCCAAAAAATGTCTGCACAGTTGCCAATGTTTTTTTCATGCTTAAAAAATATTTTTGTTTTGAAATATTGTAAGCAAACAGTTAAAAAAAAAAAAAGAACTTGCTACACTACCCTGTCAAATCTTAACATTCTGATGCATTCTGAGTCTTTTAGGAAGAAAACACATCAGAAGCCCCATGTACCCTCCCCAATTCCATCAGCATTTTCTGCCCTGGGACGACAGAGCAGTGACTCGCACACACCATTCCAATACATAATTTTACACTCTAATTCATATCATTTGAATCTACAGAAAATAGACTATTATGCACAGCAGTAACAACACTTTCTATATTTTTTTTAATCTTGTTTTGTTTTGTTTGAGACAGGGTCTCACTCTGTCACCCAGGCTGGTCTCCAACTCCTGGGCTCAAGTGATCCTCCTGCCTTGGCCTCCGGAAGTGCTAGAATTATAGGTGTGAGCCACCATGCCCAGCAACACTTTCTGTTATATATCAGCAATGCTTACATGCCAGATACTACTCTAAGTGCTTAGCATTCATTAGATCATCGACTGCCCACTCACCTCCAATCACCCTGTGAGGTTGGTAAGATCATCTCATACAGAAAAAGTGAAACACAAATAGGCTGAAGTACTGTGCCCACAGATACACAGTATGGTTAACTTTACATACATGGTGTATTATAGGTAGCTTCCACAAGCCTTTCAGCATCGCTTTTCATTTATCTATGTTGAAAGATGTAACTCTAACTCTCACATTCACTTTCTGAAGTATCAAAAACGCATTTGTTTTAAAGATACGAGCAGGGCATAGTTCTATCTAGTAGCACCTACTTTGTGCTACTTACAACTTTGCATGTAACTTTAAACCATAATATACAATAAAAGTAAGTACTAGAAAAAAAATACCTGTAATACTGATAAATGTAAGGAAAGATATACAATATCACTAGTAGTCAGGGAAATTCAAAATAACAGTGAGACATATCACTCATCTAACTGATAAATTACAAAGTCTAACAATACCTACTATTGGCAAGGGTAGAGAACAATGAAAACCTCATCAGTGACGGCAGGGACTTAAAGGAGCAGTACTTTTGGAGACAATAAGGCGATCTTTAGTAAAACTGAAGATACATATACCTTTTGATCCTACAATTTCATTCATACATAGGTACCCTAAGGAATCTCACATATATATACAAGGAGGAACCATAAAATAACATTAATAGCAGTGTAATTTTTTAACTGCAAAAACTGGAAACAACTGTCCATCAACAGCAGAATTGATAAGTAAAGGATGGTGTACTCCTACGATAGAATATGACAAGCAATAGAAATGAATGGATTGAAGTACAAGCATTAAACATGGATAAATCTCAAAAATACTACCACGAGTGGAAAAAAGCAAGTTGCAGAAGAATCAGAGCATCCTGTACTATCATTTATACAAAGTTCATAAACATAGTCTTTATTTCGTTTGATAGGAGACAATTGGCCAGGCGCGGTGGCTCACCCCTGTAATACCTGCACTTTGGGAGGCCGAGGCGGAAGGATCATTTGAGGTCAGGAGTTCGAGACCATCCTGGCCAACGTGGTGAAACCCAGCCTCTAATAAAAATAAAAAAAATTAGCCAGGCATGGTGGCGGGTTCCTGAAATCCCAGCTACTCTGGAGGCTGAGGCAGGAGTATCACTTGAACCCAGGAGACGGAGGTTGCAGTGAGCAGAGATCGTGCCACTGCACTCCAGCCTGGGTGCCAGAGCAAGACTCGGTCTCAAAAAACAAAAAAGAAAAAAAAAAAGAAAGGAGACAATTATCTGAGGTGTAGGAAGAATTATGTACTTGGGAAGGAATAAATTGGGGCTTCAATTATATTAGTAACATTTTATATCTTAAGCAGATGTTAGGTATATGGGTTGTTTGTTTGTTTGTTTGTTTGTTTTTGAGATGGAGTCTCACTCTGTCGCCAGGCTGGAGTGCGGTGGTGCCATCTTGGCTCACTGCAACGTCCCTCTCCCGGGTTCAAGCAACTCTCCTGCCTCAGCCTCGTCAGCCTCGTGAGTAGCTGGGACTACAGGTACGCGCCACCAGGCCCGGCTAATTTTTGTATTTTTAGTAGAGATGGGGTTTCACCATGTTGGCCAGGCTGGTCTTGAACTCATGACCTCGGGTGAACCGCCTGGCTCGGCCTCCCAAAGTATATCATTCTTTATGCCTTTTAGTATGTCTGGAATATTTTATAACATACACAAGCAAGTCACATTAATTTGGCCTAGAAAGTCTCTCTGAATCTTATAAGCATGTTTTGTGGTTAATGAGTTTAACAAATCTTTTCACAATTTCAATATTAGTTACTTCACTATTTCTTATTAAATCTGGCTTACAATGCTTCTCAGAAAATCGTATCCCAGAATCTACCACATAATAGCAGTTCAGCAAATACCTACAAAATTAAAATTTAAAATATACTGAAGTATTCAATAAGGAGTAGCTCTTCAGAAAGAGACATATAGAAGCCTCTTGTATTTTAGAAGCAGTGTTGACAGGTTTGCTAAAGCTATGACCACGTCTCCCTCTTCTCACCCCCTAAAACAACAAAAAAGCCCTCCCATACACACGCATATGCACACACCTATACCTACACACACACACACACACACACACACACACACACACACACTGGGAAGCGCTGGAATGCAGCCCAGTGTCCCTAAGAACCTAGAGTTGAACAGATTTAACTTAAAGATCAACTCTGCTTCTTAGCTGCAACTGTCTGATATATAAATAAGAATTCCTTAAAAAGCTGTTCCATGTTAGCCGGGCGTGGTGGCACATGCCTGTAGTCCCAGCTACTCGGGAGACTGAGGCAGGGAGGTGGAGGTTGCAGTGAGCTGAGATTGCGCCACTGCACTCCAGCCTGGGCAACAGAGTGAGACTCCATCTCAAAAAACAAACAAACAAAAAAACAAGTCGTTCCATTAATTTAAGAAATTAACATACATAAAACACAATTCCTCACACACAGGATCTCAATAAGTAGTAGCTGCTTTTGTCATTATTATTCTATTTGGATTAAAATAGGTTTGGGTATAAAGACAGCCTATATAAGCAGCAGATAAAGATAAATTCCCAGATGTAATGAAGCGAAGGCTGGGCAGGCTGGCACTTGCATTCCTCATGAAACTGTTTTTCACAATTACAGGTTTGTTATTTTCACTTAATAAAAAGCTGCCCATATGCTGTACTTAAATAGTTGAACTTTTCCATTTAAAACCCCAAAATTTGTGTTATATCTAATTTTGGACAACTATTGTCATCTTTCTTTTATGTGCTTCAATTTATACTCAGTAACAAAACAATAGCTACTATCAGAAGGACCATTATCTAATTTGCCTTAAGGACAGTGGGACATAGGCTTGTTTGCCTAGAGGAGCTGCCTCAGCTTAGAAGACTAACCTTACAGATAATAAAATCTGACATTTTTCCCAGAAAGTTTGGCCTAGTTTTTTAAAAAAGTGAATCTGATCAATTTTTAAAAGTATTCCTCAAATGAAAAGGCAGAGAAGCCAATAAAAATAAACTTCAGGATAAATTAATTAAAAATATTCAAGGATATAAAAGATTTAAATAAATGAAATGATAGACAATGTCCTTAACTACAAAGGTTCAAAGTAGTAAAGAAATCAAGTCTCCCTAAATTGACCCATTGAATAAAATCCCAATCAAAATAAAAAAGAGCTGTTTGGGAATCTTGACACAAACAATTCTAAAATCCATCTAGAAGAATCTGTGAGCTTTGTCAGCAAAGTCATAAAACAACAAAAAAGAAAAGAGACCAGTGACACCAATTATTAAAACACATTATAAAGCAACTGTTACATAGGAAAAAGCTTGTTTGATTTTCATAATTTTACAAAATCCAATAACAACTATTTTAAATGCAAAATCAAGCCACGGTAATATAAAATCGGATACTGGAGCAGAAATAGATGGACAAATCTGTGAAATCTAACAGAGAAGTCAGACTTAAGATTATAGAAAATTTAATATAAGATGAAAGTGGCATCTCAAATTAGTGGGGAAAAGATAGTTTCCTTAATAAATGGCATTGAGAAAACTAATAATGGATTTGGGGAAAAGTAACAATGGATTCTTATCTCACTCCTTATACAAAATAACGTGTCTATGAAACAAATATTTAACTATAAAATCATGAAGAGGCACCAGAAGAAAATAGGTACATATTTTTATAATCTTAAGATAGGAAAAGCTCTAAGCAAAGACAAAGCAGCAATCATCAAGGAAAAGACTGATAGTTGTAACAACATAAAAATGTAAAAAGAGACCAATATCCTAATAGAAACAAGGATAAAGGTAATTAACAGGCAACTGGCTAAACTTAAGCCAATAATGTGAAAAGATCAGCTTTACTTCCAACTAAAGAACTGAAAGAGAAACAGTTATCAATTTTGCCATCAGACTGGTATAATAAGAAAAATTGAAAACTGGCCAACCAGTGTTGGCAAGGATATGGAGAAACAAATATTTTTTTATAAACAACTGGCAAGAACATAAAATGAAACAGCCTATCTGGAGGTGAGTGGGTAATCTGTACCAAAATTTTAAATTTGTCTACCCTTTGATATGGCAATTTCTTTTCTAACAATTCACCCTGAGAAGAGAATCATATCAATTATTTTATAAACCCATGGGTTCATAATGACACTTTTTTAAAAAGCTGGTCATTCTGGAGGCTAACAAGGCACTAATTTGTTTTTCTGAAAAGTGGCTTTCCAAGTGAGGGTTGGTAGAAATAAGAAGTCAAACATTTTACCCTTCCTTTCTTGTACAGACAGTATTTCAGCGTTATCAAATAGCTGATGAAAAAAAGTTTCTTCTTTATAGAAGAATTACAGCTAAAAAGTACTAAAAGAATAAAATTTTGGCCAGGTGCGGTGGCTCACGCCTGTAATCCCAGCACTTTGGGAGGCCGAGGCCCGCGGATCACAAGGTCAGGAGATTGAGACCATCCTGGCTAACACGGTGAAACCCCGTCTCTACTAAAAATACAAAAAATTAGCCGGGCATGGTGGCGGGCGCCTGTAGCTACTCAGGAGACTGAGGCAGGAGAATGGCGTGAACCTGGGAGGCAGAGCTTGCAGTGAGCAGAGATCGTGCCACTGCACTCCAGCCTGGGCGACAGAGTGAGACGCCATCTCAAAAAAAAAAAAAAAAAAAAAAGAATAAAATTTTAAAATCCTAATTTACATACCTATCAGGATGGCTAAAATAAAACACAGCAATAGCCCCAAATGTTGGTGAGGGTGGAGAAATTCACATACATTGCTGGTAGGAATGTAAAATGGTACTAGCCAGTCTGAAAAAGAATATGGCAATTTCTCACAAAACTAAACATACCCATTATATAACCCAGTAATTGCATTCTTGGGCATTCATGCTAGAGAAACAAAAAGTTATGTTAACACAAAAACCTGTATATGAGTGTGCACAGCATATCCATGTGTAATGCCCCAAAACTGGGAAATAATCCAAATGCCCTTTAACATATGAATGGTCAGGCAAACTGCAGTATATCCATATCATGAAATACTAGTCAGTAATAAAAATAAATAAATTATTGATACAGGCAACAATCAGGGTGAATCTCAAGGGAATCAAGCTGAATGAAAAAAGGCAGTCTCAAAAGCTTGCATACTGTATAATTCCATTTTTATGTCATTCTTATGATGACAAAATTACAGAAATGAAGAATGCATTAGGGTGTTGCCAGGGGTTAGGGGAAGAGGGGGAAAGAGGTGTCATGTCTGTGGCTATTAAAGGGTAAAATGAGAGATCCTTGTGATGGAAATGTTCTGATTCTTGACTGTAGTGTTACCCATTTTTATCTACATGTGATATAACTGCACAGAACTAAATGCATACACACACAGGCATACACATATATACACACACAAGTGTATATAAAACTAGTGAAATCTAAATGAGGTTCATTGCTTGTATCAATTTCAATTTCCCGGCTGTAAAATTGGACTATACTCAAGCAAGGTGTTGCCAATGGGGGAAAGTGGATGAAGGGAAATGGGATCTCTGTATTATTTCCTACATCTACATGTGAATCTACAATTATCCCAAAATAAAAAAATTCCAAAAATTATCATTCTGAAAACTCTAATGAAATGAGTGTAGGTGATGATCATAAAGCGGTGTTAAAACCATCAGGTAAGACTGACGGGGAACTTCAGCATGGGTACATCTGGGGCTGACAACACCTGAACTTCATAATCAACATTAGTGAATGAATCGAGCCTCCAGATCTCATTCCCAGTTTATCAGCTATGACAGGGTATGGAAGAACATGTTAAATGACACCACAAGGAGGCCATCAGCCAAGTTCAGATGGTGGAAAATTGTACTGGAAAAATGACTCGATTTCTTCAACAAATGGCATGAGAAATAAAGAAAAGAGAGGAAGGCTATATATTAAAAGAGACTTAAAAGAGCTAATCTCAACGGATGCAACATTTAGTCTTTGTATGGATCCTAATTTGTATAATATTAGATGATATTAGGAATTAATGTTAATTCTGTTTATATGATATTATGGTTGTGTTTTTAAGTCCTTATCTTAAAAGACTGAGGAATATACAGGTGAAATGATGACCTGTATTTGCTTTCAAATACCCTAGCAGAGGAAAAACAATTATAGAAGCGTAGATTAAAAAAAGAATAGTAGAGACCAAGCATGGTGGCCCACGCCTGTAATCCCAGCACTTAGGAGGCCGAGGCAGGAGGATCACTTAAGCGCAGGAGTTCAAGACCAGCCTGGGCAACATATCGAGACCTCATCTCTCCAAAAATAATTTTTTAATTAGCTGAGTGCAATGACCTCAGCTAATTAACCTTTTTATCTTGAAATAATTGTAGATTCACATGTAGATTTGGGAAATAATACAGCGCTCCCATTTCCCTTCATCCACTTTCCCCCACTTGGCCACATCTTGCTTGAGTATAGTCGATTTTACAGCCAGGAAATTGACATTGATACAAGCAATGGACATCTATAATCCTAGCTACTTGGGAGGCTGAGGCAGAAAGATCACTTGAGCCAGAAGTTTGAGGCTGCAGTGAGCTATGTACTGTGCTCCACACCACTACTCTCCAGCCTGGGAAACAGGACAAGGCTCTGTCTCAAAAAAAAAAAAAAAAAAAAAAAATACTAGACCATTGTTAACTGTTGAAGTTGGTTATGTATGAAATCTCATATACTATTCCATTTGTAAATGCTTGACATTTTTCATAATAAAAACATTTTGCAAGAAGACTATAAGTGCGCAAAGGTGTACATTCAAAGATTTTCTTTCACTGAAATGTTTCTAACAGTTAACAAAATTAGAATCCACTTAAATGTCCAACAGTAAAGAAATGGTTAAGTAAATTATGCCACACAGTAAAACAAAATACCCTGCAGCCATTAAAGGGTGATATGGATGTATGGATACCAACTTTGAAAGATGGCCATGACATACCAGTGAGTAAAAAAACAACTTAGGCTGGGCACAGTGGCTCACGCCTGTAATCCCAGCACTTTGGGAGGTCAAGGCGGGTGGATCACCTGAGGTTAGGAGTTAGAGACCAGCCTGACCAACATGGTGAAACCCTGTCTCTACTAAAAGTACAAAATTAGCCAGGCGTGGTGGTGCGCGCCTGTAATCCCAGCTACTCGGGAGGCTGAGGAAGGAGATTCGCTTGAACCGGGGAGGCAGAGGTTGCAGTAAGCCAAGATTGTGCCACTGTACTCCAGCCTGGAAGACAAGAGTGGAACTCTGTCTTAAAAAAAAAAAGAAAAGAAGTTAAAGGGCTCGGTGCCGTGGCTCACACTTGTAATGCCAGCACTTTGGAAGCCCAAGGTGGGCAGGTTGTTTGAGTCCAGGAGTTCAACAGACCAGCCTGGGCAACATGGTGAAACCCCATCTCTACTAAAAATACAAAAGTTAGCCCGGCATGGTGGCGTAAGCCTGTAGTTGCGGGGCTGAGGTGGGAGGATCGCTTCAGCCTGGGAGGCAGAGGTTGCCAAGAGCCAAGATTGCACCACTGCACTCCAGCCTGGGAGACAAAGCCAGACCCTGGTCTCAAAAAAACAAAACAAAACAAAAATTAGAAAATTGCCTGTGTACAGTATCACTGCATGTTTGTAATGTAGGTGTGTTACATGTGAACATAAGCATGGAGAGATGTCCAGAAAAGCCTTTACCAAAACATTAACAGTGGCTGTCTCTGAGGGGCAGAAATCCAAGAGACTGTTACTTGTTTTATATACTTTTTAATATTGTTTGATGTTTTACCAATCATGTGTTTTTAAATTAAGCTATTTCCAGTATACTTGTATTTTCACTTTTCTGATATATGTGTATGCATCAACAATAAGTTATTTTTAAAACTCAGCTATTTCCATTTGTTTTTAAGAAGGAAGAGACAACAGAACAAAGCAAACAATACCAAACTTACAGAGTACTGGAAAGGAGGGAAAGGCTAGGAACTTAGTTATACTCCTGCTATGTACCAAGGAACACCAAATAAATCCAAACAGCATTCGGAGGCACCAGAAGCAGGTCACACGCCCAGAGGAGTCTGAACTTGTCCCGCTGCCTCTTCAGTGGTATACGTCAACATCAAAATCTGCTTTTAACATATCCCTCCAGCTACAATGACAGCTCACAGTTCCCCACACCCACCACGCTGTTGCCAAGCCTCTACCACACCTCTCCAGCCCCAGCTTCTCTCCAAAATCCCTCCGCCCCTCACCCTCTTTGCTTTCCCACAGAGGCTCCTTCAAGACCCAGCTCAGGGGGCTATCTTCTGCAGGACACCTTTGAGCTGGGCTCCTCCTCTCCCCCAGGCTGAGCCATGGGCCCCCTCTGTATGCTGTAGCACCTATCACTCGATGTCGATGTCATCTGTTTTAGAGGTCTGGCCCACAAGCTCTTTAAAGGGAAAGAATGCTGTATGGTCCGTTTTTGTAGACCCAACAGCTTGTGTAGCGTGAGGCACCTCAGAAGCCCCATAAATGTTCTTTTTAAAATTGTTAATTTTGTGTAGAGCTAGGGTCTATGTTGTCCAGGTGGGTATTGAACTCCTGGGCTCAAGCAATCCTCCTGCATTAGCTTCCCAAAGCACAGGATTACAGGTGTGAGCCACCACGCCCCGCCCACACCGCCCCCCGCCCCCCCACCGTCCCGCGTAAGTGTTTGTAGAACTAATGAGCAGTTAAAGGGAGGAAAAAAAACCTGATTTCTTCCATTTCCTAAGGACACACGAACATGGCAATCTTGCACTAGAGACACAGGACCCAAGAAAATGTTTGAGATGTGGAAAAAAAATCAAAATTAATATTAATTATATATTTATAATATGTAACAGTTCAACAGCAACTTGATTCTATTCATAATTATATATGTTAGATTTAATGTAGGATACGTGTATATTTCAACACATAAGACCCAGGTGGTGCTTTGAAAAGTAAGAGTGCCTAGGGCTTGGGAAGGTCTTTAAGCCTCCCTGCCTAAAAAACCTGTAGTTCTAGCTAGTAACTTACCCAGCTAGTTTGGGGCAATGCAGAAAAGCCCATATGCAAAGCAAAACAAAGCTCTTACAAACAAAGCAAACACAAAACTTCCATAGGAACTGCCTTGCATGGAAGTCCCAGTTCGATGGCCAGTAACCACTGCATCAGAGCAGCCCAGCACCCTCCCCTCTGCAGCTGCTTTTTTGGTCCAAGCTGCAAGGATGGTGAGGAGGGAAGCATAGCTTGGAAGCTTTGAGACCCCATAGATGAGATGGGCCTTCAGCCTTCAGTCCTGGAGCCTGTGGTGGAAATTCAGCAACCAGGCAAAGCCAGAACAAGCTAACTGCAACGCTCCTTAACTTGCCCAGTGGTTCCCCTTCCCAAGCTGGCTGGTCTCCCCAGGGCAGAGCTCTAAGCTGCAGAGTTATAAACCAGCAGGGGCAGGCTTCTGGATGAAAAACTAGGCACCACACATAAAAGCTCAGAGCCGAGCATCCAGATAAGCACAAAACACCCACAAGATACTTGATTGTTGATGTTACACTGATCTCTGTCAGCTCAAAAAAAAACATCACTACAGTTGATTCTGGTTGTTGGTAGTAGTTATGGTTTATAAAGTTGGCTGTGAACACTGAATTAGCAAATCCTGAACCACTGCTCCTAGGGGAACTACAGGATTAGGGTCTCGTGAGCTCGACTTCACATTTTGGCAAATGATCAATACATAATCTTGTTTCATGCATGTTTCTGTTGAAAGAGACATTTATTATGTGTTGCTAATTCATCAGCATTGAACTCACAGCCAACACCACTCACAGCCTGCCTGAACAAAGCTTATCTAACACAATATTTAATATTTTCTCCATAAGGCACATCACAGCCTTCCTGCGCCTAGGAACACTTGACTGCACGTCTGCGCTATGCTTGGGGGACATTTTAAATAGCAGAATCACCAACAGAAAAGCATTAAAATGAAAAAAACATGGCAATAAATAGTCCACAAACTGGTCACTTGTTTACAATATAAGAGCTGAAACAAGAAGGCAGAGCGACTGGGCACGGTGGCTCACACCTGTAATACCAGCACTTTTGGAGGCCCAGGCGGGAGGATCACTTGAGCCCAGGAGTTTGAGATCAGCCTGGGCAACATAGCAAGACTCTGTCTCTACAAAAAAAAATACCAAAATTAGCTGGGTGTGGTAATGTGTGCCTGTAATCCCAGCTACTCAGGAGGCTGAGGTAGGAGGATCCCCTGAGCCTGGGAGGCAGAGGTTGCAGTGAGCCAAGATTGCACCACTATACTCCAGCCCCAGCCTGGGCAACAGAGCGAGATCCTGTCTCAAAAAAAAAAAAGCATAGTGTTGTCTTGTTTGACTTCAGCTGGGAATGTATTGAGTGACTCAAAATTTTCACTGCTCTGCACATGTCCAAGAATGACCAAGAAAGTGCCATGAATATTGCTTTTGGGGTTACAAATAAATGTTAGTATGTAGGTGAATTTGCAAATACAGAATCTGAAAATAATTAGGATTGACTGTACTACCTAAAAAACCTGGTATATATGCCTTATGGTATTCGAAGAAAGCATCTTCTTGACTTTTTTGTAAGAGAATGGAATCCAAAATGAGCTATTAGAAGCTTTAAGGGTAGGAAAAGCACTCAGGCACTAAGGCAGTTAACATGGAGAAGACCCTATAACCACTTGCGCACTGACTGACCTTCCGTCATGCCACACGCAGGTTTCCAAGAAATTATGCTTATGACCAGAATTTTAACAAACTCCTAGAGAGAATCATTTTGAAAAACCAAAATATTTTATAAAGCATATATACTCCCTAAATTTAAGTACTGTAAAATTACACTTGTCATATATCAACTTTGCTTTAAAGTTTGTCTTATCCAAATGAAAAAGGTACAACTTTCAAAAAGGGAAGGTTCTAACCACTGTTCAATTAAATTTGGCCTAAAGCTGCCTCCACAGGTAATGAACTGCACCCTATCTTACTATGTAAACAAGCTGCAACCTAACCTGCAAGTGTATTCTTGGAATAAGTAACTGAGTCTCAGCCAATCACAGCAGCCAAACTTTCAGCCAATACAGGCTGCAAACTGCCAAAACATGTCAAAATAAGGCAAAAGCCAAGCTGTAGCCAGTCAGACTATTTCAGTCTCTCACTTCTGTTTTCTGTCTATAAATACCACCTGCTGGGTATTTATAGACAGAAAATACTGTTGCTGGTTAGAGCTCTCTGAACCTTTACTGGTTCAGATGCTGCCTAATTCATGCATTGTTTCTTTACTCAAATAAATGCTGCTAAATTGAATTTGTCAAAAGTTTTCCTTTTAACACCAGATTCTCTCTCTCATTATAGACAGGTTATATATATAGAGAGAGTGTATTAGAGTGATTACATATACATACCTACGTATGTATGTATATGTAATCATGCTAAATGCTTAATTCTCCTCAAGATTTAGGAACCAGTATCACAGGGCAGAGAGTCCATCACCTTCCTTTTAAAACAAATAAATCAATAAAAAGAATATATGAAATACAGTTGTTACTGTTCTTTTCTGTGAGGAAACTAAATTGGCAAAGGTGAGCAGATATAAAAGGAGAAAGAGCAGGAAATTGTTAAGAAGAAAATCACTGAATATGCAAATGATTCTGAAACTGCCCTTAATGATTTTGGAGTAAATAATCCTTAAGTACAATTAAATAGCATTCAAATATGTCATTTTATCAAAAAAAAAATGTTGTTTAAGGCCAGGGGTGATGTGGGGGAGCCTAAATTATTTTTATTATCCTTCTTAAAAAGATGGAACACCTAGCATACTGTTAGTAGATGAATGATAAATGCTCACCATTTACAGAAAATTTAACCTTGGCAAATTAATAACTTTATATTAATTTCAGTTTAAGTTTAGAAGAATGACAAATTAAAATTAATTCACACTTAGGACTATGACTAAAAGTAAAATGTTAATTGCATTTTAATCTACTCTGGCCTACTTCAAAAGCATAATTTTAACTCTTGGATGGAGAACGAAATTTTCTTCTAAAAATAGATTTCGGTAACAATGAAATATCAAGAGCTGGACATTATAATAAAAAGAAAAAAGGTAACAAGAATTTTCTTTTTTTTTTTTTTTTTTGAGAGTCTCGCTGGAGTCTTGCTCTGTCACCCAGGCTGGAGTGCAGTGATGCGATCTCAGCTCACTGCAACCTCTGCCTCCCATGTTCAAGTGATTCTCCTGCGCAGCCTCCAGAGTAGCTGGGACTACGGGCACACGCTGCCACGCCTGGCTAATTTTTGTAGTTTTAGTAGAGATGGGGTTTCACCATGTTGAGCAGGCTAGTCTCGAACTCCTGATCTTAGGTGATCCGCCCGCCTCAACCTTCCAAAGTGCTGGGATTACAGCTGTGAGCCACCACGCCCAGCCCCAAGAATTTTCTTTTTAGGACAGACTGGAGAAAGGGTGGGAAAAGGATTGGGAGAGGCTGGTTGAAGGTACAGTTGAAATTAAATAGGAGGAATCAGTTCTGGCGTTCTATGGTTAACAGTACATTACAAAATAGCTAGAAGAGAGATTTTTAAATATCCTCACCACAAAGAGATAAATGCATGAGGCAATGGTCACACTAAATACCCTGATTTGCTCATTCTACAACTTATATATGTATTGAAACATCAAATTGTGCTCCCCAAATATGTACAATTACGTGTCAATTAAAGAATCTGCTTTAAATTTTTTCAAAAGCATATTTTTTTAAAATATGAAACTCAGCATTTATAAACTACATTAATGGCAGGGCACGGTAGCTCACGCTTGTAATCCCAGCACTTTGAGAGGCTGAGGAAGGCAGATCACTGACGGATCACTTGAGGTCAGGAGTTCGAGACCAGCCTGGCCAACATGGTGAAACCCCGTCTCTACTAAAAATACAGAAAAATATTAGCCGGGCGTGGTGGCACGCTCCTGTAAGCCCAGCTACTGGGAGGTTGAGGCACGAGAATCGCCTGAACCAGGAGGTGGAGGTTGCAGTGAGACAGGATCGCACCACTGCACTCCAGCCTGGGAGACAGTGTGAGGCTCTGTCTCAAAATATAAAAATTTTTTTTAAAAAACCCTACATTTATAAACTAGGACTATATGAGGGTTAAATAACATTTGAAAACTTCTTGGCATTTTTTTGTTGTTGTTTAGCTGCATAATACAAATGAAAGCACCATTATTCTAGAAGAGTTGGTTAAATCATCTTTCACTGACAGAACTTTTGAGAAAGATATTTTCAACATATTCATTTATAAATGATTTCAAAGTCTTCAACCTCAGCCATTTTTTAGATAGGTCAAAAAAATAAAATCTTCCACCTCTAGGGGTTTAGGTAACACAATAGGTACAAGATAAATTTTAGCTAATCTGCTGACTGGCACATGCTTCTCCATGCTGTAACTGCTTTACTGCATAATGACATTAGCAGCTGACCTTCCCTGAGGAAGAACCATAATCAGTTCCAAATAAATATATCCTTGATTACTGTTCACATCTAGAATACACCACCCACTGACAAATCAACATCTACAATTCCTCAGACCTGCCATTATGACCTTGAATCTGGAGCAAATACACAAAACCATAATTCGTTTTCTCTGCTCAAGATATGCAAGACTCTCCATAAACCATTCTGGACAGTTGAGTTTTCCCAAGGGTTGGAGACTTAACCATTTAGAAAGAATATTTCATACACTTTCTTAAACAAGGTATACTGGGTATAAATTCTATTTTTCTTGATTTGCAACCATCAGTGAGAATATTAATCCTTGTACTGTGTGTTGGGAGACATTTCTCCATGGGTCTCTCACACGTCTGCGTGTCTTAGAAGCAGAGGGGCTGGCTGCTTTCATTCTGAACTATCTTTCAAGGATATGTACATAGCGAACAGCTTAGAAAGACAGAGACAGTATCTCCCACCAGACTGTCCAGTAGCATGAAGACATCTCACTCCAGGGTAAGGCTGGGCAGGTTTGCTTGCAGCCCTTTATAAAGAATTTGATTTACCTAAACCTGGGGTTCTACAGCTGTGACATAAACCCACTGCACATGCAGTAGCAACTGAGCTACTCTGATTGCCCCTGTGGGACCTATAGGGAGGAGGAATGGAATAAACTCCTCCTCTCAGTGGTGGCATTAGATTCTCATAGGAGCGTGAACCCTATTGTGAACTGAGCATATGAGGGATCTAGGTTGCATGCTCCTTATGAGAATCTAATGCCTGATGATCTCAGATGGGACAGTTTCAACCCAAAACCATCCCCCTACCACCCCATCCATGAAAAAACTGTCTTCCATGAAACCGGTCCCTGGTGCCAAAAAGGTTGAGGACTGCTACTCTACAACACCATCCACCGAACAGGATGTAATGGACATTTATAGAACACCCCACTAATGACTGCAAAATACACATACTTTTCAAGTATCCACAACATAGATGCCAAGACGTCCACATCCTGCACCACAGGAAAAAACCATGACGAGTCTGAAGAAGTGAAATTAAACAATGTGTTCTCTGACCACAGTGGAATCAAATTAGAAATCAGAAACAGGAACCTACCAGGAAAGTCTTCAAACACTTGGAAACTAAGCAACAGACTACTAAACAAGCCCTGGACCAAAGACGAAGTCTCAAAGGAAACAAAGGCCAGGTTCGGTGGCTCTCAGTTGTAATCCCAGCACTTTGGGAGGCTGAGGTGGGCAGATCACTTGAGGTCAGGAGTTCCAGACCAGACTAGCCAACATGATGAAACCCCAACTCTACTAAAAATACAAAAATCAGCTGGGCTTGATGGCAGGCACTGTAATCCCAGCTTCTCAGGAGACTGAAGCAGGAGAATCGCTTGAACCCAGGAGGGAGAGGTTGCAGTGAGCTGAGATCACTGTTCTCCAGCCTGGGTGACAGAGCGAGACTCTGTCTCAAAAAAAAAAAAAAAAGGAAACTAAAAATACACTGAACTGAATGAAAGTGGGACACAGTTAAAGCACTGTGAAGAGGAAAATGTATAGCACTGTGAAGAGGAAAATGTATAGCACTGTGAAGAGGAAAATGTATAAATGCATAAATTAAATGAGAAAAAGTCTCAAGTCAATAATCTAAGCTCCCACCTCAAGAACCTAGAAAATCAAGAGCAAAACAAACCCAAAGCAAGCAGAAGGAAAGAAATAATAATGAGTGGAAATCAATACAATTGAAAACAGAAAAACAATAGAAAATCCATGAAAAAAGAGGTGGTTTTTTGAAAAGATTTTTTAAACACTGATGAATCTTGAGCAAGACCAGCTAGGGAAAAAAAAAAGAAGGCACAAATAACCAATATTGGGAATGAAATGGAGGATATCATTACAGGCTCTGCAAATAGCGAAAGGATAATAAGGGAATACTATGAACTAATTACATACATACATTTCACAGCACAGACAAAATGGACCAATTTCTTAAAAAACTAAAACTACCACCACTCACCAATATGAAATAAACAATATGAATAGCCCTATAACTATTAAGGAAATTAAATTCATAATTTAAGAACTCCCAAGAAAGAAATCTCTATAAGAACCTGATGAGGTGCCTGGAAAAAAGGAAGGAAGGAAGGAAGGAGAAAAGAAAAGAAATCTCCAGTCCTAGAAGGTTTCACTAGAGAACTCTACAAAACATTTAAAGAAGAATTAACATCAATTGTACACAACCTCTTTCAGAAAATGGAAAAGGAACATTTCCTAATTCACTTTATGCAGCTAGTTTTTCCACAATAAAGCCAGACAAAGCCATTACTAAAAAAAAGACAACAACAGACCAATATCCCTTATGAATATAGACATGAAAATCCTTAGTAAGACATTAGCAAATAGAATTTAGCAATACATAAAAATAATTATACACCCTGACCAAGTGGTTTTTTCCAGAGAAGCAAGGTTAGTTTAATATTTGAAAAGCAATCAATGTAATCCACCAAATTAACAACCTAAAGAAAAATCACATGATCACATCAAGTGATACAGAAAAGGCACCTGACAAACTTCAATGGAGACTCAACATCCACTGACAATAAGGACTCTCAGAAAAACAAGAAAAGAGGGGAACATCTCAATTTGATAAAGAGCATCTACAAAAAACAAACCAAAAAAAAAAAAAAACTAGAGCTAACGTTAGACTTCATAATGAAAGACTGAATGCTTTCCCCCTAAGATCAGGAACAAGGAAAAATAGCCATTCTCACCATTCTTATTCAACATGCTGCTGGAAGTTCTAGCCAGTGAAACAATGCAAGACAAGGAAATAAAAGGCAAAGAGATGAGAAAGGAAGAAATAAAACTGTCCCTATTTGCAGATAACATGATTATCTACACAGAAAATCCCAAGAATTCTCAAAAAACAAAAAAATCTGGAATTAATGAATTTGGCAAAGTCACAGGATACAAAATAAACATACAAAACCAACTATATTTCCAAATAGTAGCAATGAACACATGGAACACAATATACAATATAAATACAAATACAAAATACAATAACATTCACAATCACTCAAAAACAAGTATTTAGGTGTAAATCTAACAAAACATGCACAATAATATTGAAATTAGGCCAATTAATAACACTGCAATGGCCTCTAAGTTTTTAAGTGACAGGAGGAGTTGTTAGTCTCTCATTTTAAATCAAAAGTTAGAAATGATTAAGCTTAGTGAGGAAGGCATGTCAAAAGCCAAGATAGGTTGAATGCTAGGCCCCTTGCACCAAACAGCCAAGTTGTGAATACAAAGGAAAAGTTATTGAGGAAATTAAAATGCTATTACAGTGAACACACAAATGGTAAGAAGGCAAAACAGATGGCTCACGCCTGTAATCCCATCATTTTGGGAGGCCTAGGTGGGTGGATCACCTGAGGTCAGGAGTTCAAGACCAGCCTGACCAACATGGAGGAACCCCTGTCCCTACTAAAAATACAAAAATTAGCTGGGAGTCGTGGTGTGCATCTGTAATCCCAGCTACTCAGAAGGCTGAGGCAGGAGAATCACTTGAATCCGGGAGGTGCAGATTGCAGTGAGCCGAAACTGCACCACTGCACTCCAGCCTGGGTGACAGAGGGAGACTCTGTCTCAAAAAAAAAAAAAAAAAAAAGGCAAAACAGCCTGTCGCTGATATGGAGAAAGTCTGAGTGCTCTGGATAGAAGGCCAGACCACCCACAACATTTCCTTAAGCCAAAGCCTAATCCAGAGGAAGGCCCTAACACTCTTCAATTCTATGAAGGCTAAGAGAGGTGAGAAAGCTATATAAGAAGAGTGAAGCTAGCAGAGGTTGGTTCATGATGTTTAAGGAAAGAAGCAGTCTCCATAACAAAAAAAGTGCAAAATGAAGCCTCAGGTGCTGATGTAGAAGCTGCACCAAGTTATCCTGAAGATCTAGCTAAGATTGATGAAGCTGGCTACACTAAACAACAGATTTTCAACACAGACAAAACAGCCTTATATTGGAAGATGAAGCCATCTAGGATCTGCATAGCTAGGGAGAAGTCAACGCCTGGTTTTAAAGCTTCAAAGGACAGGCTGACTGTGGGTAAGGGTTAAGGCAGCTGGTGACTTTCAGTTGAAGCCAACGCTCACTGATCATTGTGAAAATCTTAGGGCCCTTAAGAATTATGTTAAATCTACTCTACCTGTGCTGTATAAGCGGAACAACAAAGTCTGCATGACAGTGCATCTGTTTACAGCATCGTTTATTAAATATTTTAAGCCCACTGTTGAGACCTAATCCTCAGGAAAAAAAAGATTCCTTTCAAAATATTACTGCTCATTGACAATGCACCTGGCCACCCGAGTGCTCTCATGGACATGGACAAGGAGATTCATGTTTTCATGCCTGCTACCACAATATGCATTCTGAAGCTTATGGATCAAGAAGCAATTTCAACTTTCATGTCTTATTATTTAAGAAAATACATCTTGTAAGACTACTGCTACCGTAGATAGTGATTCCTCAGATGGATATGGGCAAAATAATACGAAAACCTTCTGGAAAGGATTCACCATTCTAAAGGCCATTAAAAATATTCATGATTCAGGAGGAGATCAAAATAGCAACATTAATAGGACTTTGGAAGGACTCCAACCTTCATGGATGACTTTGAGGAGTTCAAGACTTCAGTGGAGGAAGTAACAGCAAATGTGGTGGAAATAGCAAGACAACTAGAACTAGAAGTGAAGCCTTAAGATGGGACTGAACTGCTGCAATCTCATAATAAAATGCCAGCGGATTAGGAGTTACTTCTTATGAATGAGCAAAGAAAGCAGTTTCTTGAGACAGAATCTACTCCTGGTGAAAATGCTCTCCCTGTCGCCTAGGCTGGAGTGCTGTGTTGAAACGACAAAAAAAGCGTTTAGAATATTGCATAAACTTGTAAAGCAGCAGCATGGTTTGAGAGAATTGACTCCAATTTTGAAAGTTCTGCTATTGATAAAATGCTGTCAAACAGCATCTCATGTTACAGAGAAGTCTTTCTTGAAAGGAAGAGTCAATCAATACAACAAACATCATTGTTAGCTTATTTTAACAAATTGCTACAGCCACCCCAACCTTCAGCAACCACCGCACCAATCAGTTAGCAGCCATCAACATTGAGGCAAGACCCTCGACCAGCAAAAGGATCATGACTCGTTGAAGTCAGGTGATAGTTAGCATTTTTTAGCAATCAAGTATCTTTAATTCAGATATGTACATTTGAGGCCAGGCACGGTGGCTCATGCCTGTAATCCCAACACTTTGGGAGGCCGAGGCAGGTGATCACCTGAGGTCAGGAGTTTGACCAGCCTGGCCAACATGGTGAAACCCCGTCTCTACTAAAAATATAAAATTAGCCAGGTGTGGTGGCACATGCCTGCAATCCCAGCTATTCAGGAGGCTGGGGCAGGAGAATCGCTTGAACCTGGGAGGCAGAAGTTGCAGTGAGCTGAGACTGCACCATTGCACTCCAGCCTGGGCAACGAGAGCAAAACTCTGTCTCAAAAAAAAAAAAAAAAAAAAAAAGATATATACACCTGTTTGACATAATGCTATTGCACACTTTATAACAGACTATACGTATAGTGTAAACATAACTTGTATATGCACTGGAAAACCAAAAAACTGTGACTCATTTTGCTGTGATCATCATTTTATGTCAGTGGTCTGTGACCAAACCTGCAATATCTCTGAGGTATGCCTGTAGACAAGTGATTGGCAGCAGCTTAATTCATAATAGCCAAAAAGTGGAAACAATAGCAATAGCCTTCAAAGAGTGAATGGTTAAACTCTTTCATCTATATGATGGAATAGTACTCAGGGATAAAAAAGAACAAAACTATCATTCACTCAACAAGCTAGATGAATCACCACAGAATTATTCTGAGTGAAGAAAAAACAATACAAAAAGGCTATATACCACAATTTCATGATATATAACATTATTGAAATGATAAAATTATAGAAATAGAGAAGAAAGTTGTGGTTGCCAGGGGCTAAGGAGGAGCTAGGTAGTGGTTGTGGCCACAAGGCAGTATTAGGAATCTTTGATGATGGAAATATTGTTACCTTACTTAAATGTATCAATGTCAATGTATTGATTGTGTTATGTATTCTATATGGTTTTGCAAGATGTTACCACTGGGAGAAACTAGGTAAGATGTACAAGAGATCTCTCTAGGCTACAGTAGTCCTCACTTACAGTTCCACTTTTGATGGTTTGAACCCAAAATGGGTTTCGTGGGTTTGTTACCCACGGCCAACCACTGTCCAAAAATATTAAATGAAAAATTCCAGAAGTAAACACTCACACTTTTATTACAATATATGGTGATAACTGTTCAATTTTATTATTATTTTGTTACTCTCTTACTGTGCCTAATTTAAAACTCAAATTTTATTATAGATATGTATGTACAGTCAGCCCTCCATATCTGTGGGTTCTGCCTTTGCAGACTCAACCAACTTCAGGTGAAAATATCCTGGGAAGAAAACGATAAAAAAATACGGATACACACACAAAAAAATTGTAAAATACAGTATCACAACTATTTATATAGCATTTACATTGTATCTAGTATTATAAGTAACCTAGAGATTATTTAAAGTATACAGAAGAATGTGCATAAGTTACATGCAAATACATCATTTTATATAAGGGACTTGAGCATCCATGGATTTTTGGCATCCATAGGAGGTCATGGAACCAATCCCCCACAGATATTGACAGACAACCATGTAGGAAAAAACATATATAGGGTTCAGGCCTCCATTGGGGGGGTCTTGGAATTTAGCCTCTGAGGATAAGGAGGGACTACTATATTTTTTATAACCGCACGTCAATCTATATAGTTAGCTCAAAATAGTGTTTTTTTGAACAACATTGCCCTTTGAAGGAATTATTAGCCAAAGCATGTCAGCAGATCTTTTTTTCTTTGAGGCAGGGTCTCTCCCTGTTGCCTAGGCTGGAGTGTAGTGGCAGGATTATACCTCACTGCAGCCTTGTCACCAGATTTTAATACAGTGGCGTTTTGAACAATAGGAGTCCAACTTCTATTTTTTTCCACCTCTGCCATCCCTGAGAAAGACCAACCCTTCCTCTTCCTCCTCAGCCTACTCAGTGTGAAGATGACAAGTCTGAAGACCTTTATGATCTACTTCCACTTACTGAACAGTAAATAATTTTCTCTTCCTTGTGATTCTAGTAACATTCTTTTCTAGTTTACTTTTAAAAATACAGTAAATAATACATATAACATATAAAATGTGTTAATCAACTGTTTGTTATCAGTAAGACTTCGAATCAACAGTAGGCTATTAATAGTTAAGTTTTAGGGTAGTCAAAAGTTACACACAGATTTTTGACTGTGTGGAAGGTCAGTGCCCCTAACCCCTGTGTTGTTCAAGGGTCAGCTGTATTTCTAATTTTCTTGTTGACAGGCAGAAGAGTTTACTAAGAAAATTCACCTCTAACAATCTAGTTTCAAGGCATTTTCCAGGTGGTTTGTCATGTGCAGCTAGGAGCTAAATAGGCAAAGATGTAGAAGACAATGTAGATTTAGAAGAGAATATATAACACATTTTTATTAAAGTATGAAGTTGAACAAGAACTCAGTACTGAACTCAAGATATTTTCATTATTCCTGCCCATAATCATGAATGCTTCTAAACAGAGCGCAGGCAGCACCTGACCAGTGTATGACCAACTCATGGAGAAGCAATTCTAAAGGAAGTCCTGTCTTCCTTACTTCCAGCCAGCCTAGGATACTTCCCTATCAGAATCTTCCACTCCCAAGCCATCTCTGCAGCTCACCTCAGCCCTAACCACCCCCAGCCCAAGTTGGCTAGGCAAAAAGAAGAGGAAGAAGAAAATGGTAAACATGTGCATGCCACACCTGTTTACTCTTCTCTCCTGCCCGCCTTGCCACAATTCCTCTGAAGACGAACACCCAAAGGAAGGAGAGGGTAGGAATGGCACAGGACTTGCTAACACCTCCAGCTGCCAGGCCTCCTCTCACCAGTTATGAGGAAAGCCAGGCTTCATTCTTACCCCACCCCCACCAACTCTCACCTCCCTCAGCCTTCACAAAAAAACTCCACCCATACCTCCCCAATCCTATCCAGAAGCATTTCCAAAGTCCCTTCTTCCCTTTAAAACTAGTCTCCTGGGCCAGGCGACATGGCTCACGCCTGTAATCTCAGCACTTTGGGAGGCCGAGACGGGCGGATCACGAGGTCAGGAGATCGAGACCAACCTGGCTAACACAGTGAAACCCCGTCTCTACCCAAAATACAAAAAATTAGCCGGGCGTGGTGGCGGGCACCCATAGTCCCAGCTACTCGGGAGGCTGAGGCAGGAGAATGGCGTGAACCCGGGAGGCGGAGCTTGCAGTGAGCCGAGATCGCACCACTACACTCCAGCCTGGGCGACAGAGCAAGACTCTGTCTCAAAAAAAAAAAAGGCAAAAAAAAAAAACTAGTCTCCTCCAGCTCTGCTGAAGCCCTGCCACAGGAGTCACATTCCAAGTAACCGGAAAGAAAATACAGAATGAATGTAATCCATCATTTGTGGATACCCTAACCCTCGCCTTATAGTAACTCTAGTTACTAGAGCAACTAGGAAGCTCTCCTGAAATCGTAGTTCATTTTCTGGTGATTAGGTTACTTTCAGAAATTAGAGGTTTCATTTATACTAAGAAACTTAATATGAAACTACTATTCCCACCTAATGAGCAAGAAATGCTTTCACTTATTAATATATCTTGCCAGGGCGAGGCACAGTGGCTTAGGCCTGTAATCCCAGCATCCTGGGAGGTCGAGGCAGAGGGATCACTTGAGCTCAGGAGTTCAAGACCAACCCAGGCAACATGGCAAAAACCCATCTCTACAAAAAATTAGCCAGGCATGGTGGCACACACCTGTAGTCCCAGCTACTCGGGAGGCTGAGGTGGGAGAATCATCTGAGCCCAGGAAGTCAAGGCTGCAGTGAGCCATGATTGTGCCACTGCACTCCAGCCTGGGTAATGGAGTGAGACCCTGTCTCAAAAAAATAGAGAGAGAGAGAGAGACAGACAGACAGACAGACAGACAGAGATAGGAGAAAGGGGGAGGGAGAGAGAGGTAGGGCAGAGAGAGAGGGAGAGGAGAGAGGAGAGAGAAGAGAGAAAGAGAGAGAGATCTTGCCCATCTGGCTTTATTCTGAGACCCACCGAGTGAAGCCTGTGGCAGACAAGAGTGGTTTCTATGAAAAAAATATAAATAAATAATAAATAAAAAGTGGTATTCCCAGATGTGAAGGCAAACTACAACAATGACAATGGCCTCTCTATTGATTGGCAGGGTCAATTTGGCTGACAAGTTGGCTGGTCAGGTTTCTCATCTCCAGGTGCTCTGCTTCCAAAGCTGGGAGTGGTACAAAGAGATTACATGGTCCTTGCACCAGAGTTCATCTACTTTACTCAACCCCATAGTTTTACATTCAGTTCTAACAAATTTAGATGGTTTCCAAGTTCAGTTAATCAGACAGAATAAATCTTCATAGAGAGAAAAACACTTTATTCATTCAACAACTATTTGTTGAGTGCCTAAGAAGTGCCAGACACTTGGAGATTCAGCAGTGACTGATACACAATGACCCCATCTCC